>NC_000007.14:141881779-142506779 GCF_000001405.40 Homo sapiens | reverse complement strand
GGTCTCTTGCTTTCCATGCCTAGGGTGAGACCATATCAGGCAGAACCAGCTCATGCTGCTGACTGCCCTCTCTGTGTGGATGATGATGGCCACCCAGCGCTGCCCATGATCTGTGGGCACAAAGGTGGCCTGATGCATGAGGGACTTGGGGAGAAAGGGCAGACTTTAGGGTAAGGAAGAATGCTCTGTTTTTATTTGAGATGCCATCTTTCATAGGGAATATCCCTTTGTGCAGGGTTCCTGCCATTAATTTAGTAATAAATAAAATTTAGTAATAAAAAGGAGCTCTAATAACATATCTTGTGATTCATCCAGAGTTTTACAAGCTTTCCACTGGGGTTTCTCCTTGTCTATTTTCTGAGCTCATCATCTTCTCCTTGACCCAGCCAACACCCTCCTCCCAGGTCCCTGTGTCTACTGAACCAAGCAGCAGGGTTTGATTCCTTCTGGCTACCCTCATTTCCATGGCTGCTTAATTATGGGTGGAGTGGGTTTGGGATGGCACAGGACAAAACAAAGTAAAGGGCATTATTCTTCTTAGGGCTCTGATTCACACTGAGAACTACATGCTTCATGGTAGAGCCTCATGGTACTCATCGCGTGTGGATCAACACCCACCCCAACCTCACCTCTCACCTTGCCACCAAGTTAGAGACTCTTAGAGTAGAAAAGGCCTTAGAAATAATCTTGTTTCCATTTCCAGGCGTGCTTTGTAATGTGGACTTGTTATTAATATTTAACACAGCTATTTGTCCTTCATTTCCAAAGAAATTACTCCCTCAGCTGTGCATCTGCGCTGAGACCTAAAAAATCCATTAGGAGAAGGTGGAGGGTTGCATCACAGCTTCACAGCTTAGAATTTGATATTACATGTCCTTTGTCTTTGACATCCTGCGGCCACTCTGCCGTGTTCCCAACTGTTCCTCCCCACTGCCTGTGCTTCCTTCTCTGTTGATTCAAAGAAAATAAGATCCTCCTAATTTTAGAATGCAGGAACATTTACCAATTTCTGGCCCATGAGAGTCTCTCTTTGAACTCTGAGATATTTATTAAACAAACTCTGACTCCATTGGCCGTGCCATTTTTCGCTTCGCCACCAGTCTTCAAAAGATAAAGGAGATGTATAGATGTTTACTTAACCTTGAAAATAAATTATCCCACCTTCCAAATACTTACAAAGGAAAACTGACTAAAATCAGATGGATTCTAGTTAATATTGGTTTCCTCTACATTTCATGTTAGGAAGTGACCACTTAGTTGCTTCTCCTCCCTCCCTTATTTTAACAACAGCTCCTCACACAGCTCCCTGACCTAGTTTATCCACATCAGTGTCTCTGCTACATGTTGTGATGGGAATAATTTTGTCAAAGCTCAGATCTTCCAGTTCCAGGCCACTAATCACTTACCCACTCTAGTATCTCCCCACTGCCAACACCATGATGCTTGTACCTGCGGTGCTATAGGGTACACAGACTGTCTCAACCCTGGTGTCCGATCTGAAGACAACGCCAGATGGTTCTAGACTTCCCCTCCCTCAAACTCCAGTGACCCCTCTATCAATTCCACATGGAAGCAAGCCGACTGCCCTTCATCTGCCTCCACCATTTATTAGCTCTGAGACCATGGGCAAGGCTATTTATTGATTTCCTGGACTCTAGCCTCATCTAGACTCATCTATAAAACAAGACTAGCATTCCCCTCAATGCTTTATGAGGATGAACTGAGATACCATGTAGTCTCTGGTAGGTTTGATAAAGGTCTATCCTTTTATCCCTCCCTGTCTCCTCATGCAGGAGAAACCAAATGGAGCTCTCAGACCTGCCAGGACTATGAGTGATGGAAAAGCTGGAATCATCAACTGGGTGCTGGGGTGAGGAGAACCTGGAAGCGTAAAGATGCCATTTGGTCACTTTAGAAAAGATCTGGCAGAATTTAGGAAACAGACAATACAGCATGAATGTACCTGTCTACCCTCATTATGCAATATGAAGCAGATAATAGGAGCAAGTTAGATCTATATCAACCAATCTGGAACAATAAAGACCAAGATATACAGAAAAGAGTACACATTTGGCAGTTAAAGTGTACAGGTGAACCCATTTTCTGTAGGTGTACTTGGGTAGAAAGGTGTGCATGAACACAGAAAAGAGGGGTGAAAAGAAGCACACCAGAGCGTTAATATTGGTTACCAATGGAACATGGGATTGGATTCGAGAGCATTATTGACATTTTCATTATATATATTATTTAAATTGGTTATTAAAAAATCTTAACGACATGCAAGCTTTAAGTTTACACTTTTCATCAGGCATCAGAATTTGCAGTGTCTAAATGGGCAAAGTACAGAAAGCTTCTGTTTATGGAACCCCGTATAAAGGCTCATTTGTTTTTAATAAACCGAGGAGAAAGTGTGCTCCGTAAAAACACACGAGCTCCTGGTGAACACAGCCAGTCTCTGACTGCTGAGGAGGGTGAGCATCGAGGTCGATACATTTGATGGTGAGGTCAGCTTGGCTGATTATGAACTAATAAGGCTTCTACCTGTGAAAGCCTGATCACCACGGGGAAGTGGAGGATCTCACCCCTTGTTCTAGAACAGCCTTTGAATAGCCCCCGATTGGAAAAGGAAGAGAAATGAGCACCCTCTAGTGCCTGCATTTCCAAACTCAGTGAGAGCTCGTTTCCAGTTTTACATTGTTCAAGCTTTAGAAATGCTCTTTGTTTCTGATCCAAGTAGCAGTATTATTACAATGTCGATTGTAACGATATTCCAGCGTTTATCAACAGCACACTGCTTTCTCAAATACAGCTTTAGTGAGTGGGTGGAAGAAAATGCTGTCCCTAGGGAAGATGTTCTGACTTTGGTCTGTTTAAGGTTCAATTATTTAAAATAACTAGTCTATTTTTGGTCTTTATTGCCTAAAGAGATAAAACTGCATTTGTCTTCAAAGCATAGATGCAAATCATTCTGGCAAAATTGGGACTTCTGTCTATCCGTGGGCCATTCTTGGGGATTGTATATTTGATTATTTCCACCCAGAATGGCTCTCACAATTCTTCAGGGACTAACACATAGCCCTGCTCTGTAAATGGAGCCTCTGCCTCTCAATCAGCCTTTCCTAACTGGCAAAGGAGGGTAACAAGCAAAGGTCTCTGCTCAGCGCCCTGCACCAAAATCAGGTGTGGGCTGGAGGAAGCTGGTGACCATGAACTCTGTGTCTCTGACATTGCCCACCAATTCATGGAAATGGACACCCATAATATCGCTCAGTGTGTCAGGCACCATGACCTCAAAGCCACCCAAAGAGATATTTGTGCCTTGGGAAAACTCTCCATAAGAGCATGGGGAAGCCATTTGTTTTCTTCTCCATGACCTTTTAATGTCAGTGTTTGACATTATGTTTCTGATCACTCTCTCAGAGTGATTAGGTGCGCTGTGTCTGTGAGACTCCCAAATCCAGGACACCTGTGAGGGAAGGAGATTGAAGGAGGAGATTAGGCAGGAAGGCGATAGGGCAGATAGGAAATTCAGTCGTGCAGAAAGGCTTGGATCCAGTTACTTATCCATGACAGGGATTTCTCATCTGTTTCCAGGACTCATTTGATCCTAGGAGATGAAGGGATAGAGGTTCCGATTTAATGCGTCCAGACATCTAAGTGGGTACTCAGACGGCCTTTCAATATCTGCTCTTCATTTTTCAAGATTGGCCAGTTTCAAGATTGGAACTGCTGTTGGTCCTGACAATAAAATGGGGAACAAAACATCCACAATTTGTAAAATGATGCATGTTACAGTCTAGAATGCAAGAGTAGTGTCAATTAAATAGTCACACAAAGTCATGGAAAATGACTATGGTGCTAAATCTATGAATTTTAATACATATTATAAGCTGTGAGCATTTACAATAAGGAGGTGCAGCCTAGGAAAACTGTTGAAGGAGTGTCTCCCTAGAGATGGTTGTAGATAAACTGACAGTTGGAGCAAGAACAAAGAAGAAGAGACTTGTGTTGACACAGAGAATACAGCATGGAGTGGAAAGGCCTTTGGTGGGAGGAGCATGATGCATGAGGAATGTCCTGAACTGAGGCATCTGTGGTTGACGTGGAGGTGAAGGTGCAGAGGGAGAGGACAGCTGGGAGCAGACATCATGTGGAGGAGGCTGAGGACTGACATGAGCATGGTGTGGGGAAGATGGAGTTGTGAAGGCCGACGGGGAAAAGTTGTCAATGCTGTCTGCAAATATACAATTTCAAATGAACTTTCCTTTCTGAGAGCAAGTGAAGAAGAGGACTTCTGAGGCCAGAGCTGGAGGAGGGGCCTGGGAGAGAGGCGGCAACTGCTCACATCACTGTGATGTGCGTTCCCTCGTCCAGCTGAGACTGGCCTGGGAGAGAAGCTCAACACAGGGCAGAGTTTCCCATGCACAGGGATGCTCAGAAATCTGAGGGCCCCAGCCTGGGCAGTGTTGGGGAGACTCCTATGGGAAAACGTCTTCCACTGCCTAGAACATGGTCTCGTGAAGACAAGGCCACCTATATCTTCCACTGAACATTGTGTGCAGAGGAAGGTGGCTGTGGGGTGACTGCTGGTGCAAGAGGGCACAGAGGTCTGGGAGAGGCTGACACAAAGGCCACATATTTGGCTTTGAGAGAAAGTCACAGACCCTCAGGGATTTCTCTGTATTGCGGGCTGGGACAGATCAGCTGTACACCAGGTTCAGCTCCTATTAACACCTACACATGTAGTCATGGATGACAGTCTCAGGCATCTCCGTGCCACTTCATGTACTGCCTTTGTTCTCTGGTATCTTAAGGATTTGATTGTCCCAGCTTCTGTGAGGTTTATGACAGAAGGAAGATGAGTGCCCAAGGAGGGACCCCAATAATGGAGACCTGAGGTAAAGGCTTAAGCTGGGATGTGGTGAGCCAAGGAAAAGGCTTTAAAGATCTTACCTGCCCCAAGTAGGCAAAAGGCCACACCACTGAGGAGTCTGGTGGTCATGGTAGGGTCAGGGAAAAATGGGGAAATTGTGGGGAGGTTTTTCAGCTTGTGTGTTGGGGACATAAATCCTAGATGTCAGTAGAGTCAACTGATGATGCCACTGCCCCTGCCAGCCAGTGACTCTGCCCTCTGCCTGCAATTCTCCCTCTACCTGCTGCAACCTTCAACCTACAGTCAAGTCATAAACCTTCACCCATATGGTCTCTGCTCCTGGCTGTCTTTCTTCTACAAGACAATAGACTGACAAAGTTCATGCTCATTTGCCCTCCACCTACCTCTCCACCGTCAGCTCCAGGTGTCCACTTAGGGCTCTTTTTGACAAGCTATTGTTTCTTCACTGAATATATGTCCTTCCCTCCCATTCCTAGGTCTGTATCTTATTTCTTACATGAGATGTATTTCAGGTACATTTATTCTTAGTGGTGAAAATCCAAACTTAAATTTTAGTAGAATAAGTTGAGAAAAATATGCTTAGACATTTATATGAAAAAGTGGTTTTTGTCTACACACAAACAAAATTGTTTTTAGTTTTTGTTGCATTAAATTAAGCTCTTGTGCACCAAAAACTCCATAAAAATGAAAATATAAGCTGCAGACTGGGGAAAGACAAAGGGAATGCATATAAATGATTGTTAAAATGTGTGAAATTTAACATTCCTCAAAGGAGCTAATGAAAAGGACATAGTAATGACCCCTGAAGACATTTCAGCCTCTACTGCGGCCCTGCTGGTCACTAGACGGCAGTGTGAGGGCTCTGATTTACTGACCAGGATGCAGAAGATGATGATGGAGCAGGGGGGTAGGTGGAAAATGGATGGACTAGTTTGTTTCCTACTTCTGATCCTTACAAGCCAAGAGACATTGGGGAAAATGACTCAATGTCCCTGAGCCTTCTATCTGTAAAGGAAGAATAAGAATGTTTGATGTGCAAGATTGTTGAAAGGCATTAAGCTATGTAAGAAATGCAAATAATCAAGCACACATCTGGGGCTCAGCAGTCACTCTTGTACTGAGGTGACAAGCTGCAAGAAGATGCAGCACAGAAGTGGGCACACTCAGGACACAGGAAACTTGGGCTTTATTGGTTGGGAGAGCTCTGCCCTCAGTAGGACACAAGACATGCCTTCCAAACAACTAAAAGCTTCCCTTGAAGGAGTGAAATCTGGGTGGGGCCTGCAGCTCTCAAGGCAAAGCTAAGGCAGGAAGTTTATATACAGAACGTCAGTGACTCTGATGGGCTGTGCCAAGCTGCTGGCACAGAGATAGAGGGCCGAGTCCCCCAGCAACAAGGCGTTCACATTCAGCTCAGAGCTATAGTTAGGGAACTGGTGACCTGAGAATCGATCAGGGAAGTTGCCTCTCTGTCTCTCTTCCTCCTCATAATACTGAAAGATAAACTGGGGCCCCTGACCCAGGGCCTGTTGGTACCAGGACACAGTGTCATGCCCAGACTTAGGAGAGCATCTCAGAGTCACTTGCTGTCCTCTCGTTTTGATCAGGTGTGTGGGACTTTGGGTGACTCCAGCGTCCACTAAGCCTGTGGGAAAAGCAGATGGAGGATGAGCACAGGGACAGCCTGGAGGTCCTCCCCAAGGTAAAGTGGAGGACACAGGGGTGGGAAAGCTGAGAATGGGGCTGCTGTCCTGTGCCCAGGACTCACCTGCTCCCAGGAGACAAAGCAGTGCCCAGCAGAGGAGCCCGGGGCCCATGGCACAGAGGGACAGGAAGCACTGCATCTGATTCAGGGCTTGGTTCTCCTGGGGAAGAGCCGAGTGAGTTCTGGGCCTTGATTTTCCTGATGGGAGGGGTATCCTGTGATGTCACTGTCCTTTGTCCTCCCCATGCAGCCTTCCTTAGGTCTAGTGCTCCAGGACACTGGACTCTCTACCTGTCCTGCCTAGCTGGAGGGATGTGTGAAGGCAGAAGTTTCTGTGGTGATACAGTTCCTCCTCTGCCTACACTGCCCCAGCTCACAGGCTGCCCCATCACCCTATCACCGTTCTCCCACCTAGTGCTGTGGTGCTCCATGCTGGAGCTCACACACCTGCCCATCAGCGGAGGGTGAGGAGCCTGTGAGTAAACCTCAGTTTCCAGCTCTTCCTTGCTGTCCTCACGTCATCTTTCTGATGCTAGATTCACACCAATGTTTCTTATTATATTTTTCTATCCAAGACAACATTCCGAGCCCCTTTTCTCAGTGGCCACTGGTACAGTCCCCAAGATTTAGTCTGTCTGATCAGATCCAAAGCAGACCTGTGTTGTCTGTAAATTATTAAGAGTACAGATTCCCCAGAAATAATTCTTGGACTTTAACAGCTCACAGCACAGAGTTTGGCTTATGGGAGACAGGACAGCAGAGGGAGGTAGAGTCACCATCTGTGCTGGTTTGCAAAATCTATTCCCATGGCTCCCTTCTTGCTGGGTTAAATTTCCTGGTGGCTAAAAGTAGTCACACAGTAGCCTGAATGCTTTGCCTCTTAGATATTTCTTTCAGCAGATATACTAGCAAATGGCTCATAATTTTTATATTCCATAAAGTTCTAGAACAGGACACAATTTTGCCAAGGTTTTTGCTACTTACAACAAGGATGGCATTTACTTCGATTTTCAATACCTTGTTCCTCATTTCCCCCTGAGCCTTCACCAGAATTGCCCTTTATGCTCTGTTTTCAGGAATCTAGACTTTTGCTAGTCTGCTCCTCCCAATTCTTTCAGCCTCTATCCATTAGCCACTTCCCATTAACCAAAGCTGCTTCTACATTTTCAGGTATTATAGCAACAGCCTCACTCTCAGGTACCATATTTTCTTTCAATTTCTTTCCTACTGCTATAGAGAAATACCATGGAATGGGCAATTTATAAAGACAATAGTTTTATTTGGCTTATAGATCTGGAGACTGAGAAGTCCAAGATAGAAGGGCAATAACTGCTGAGGGCCTCCTGCTGTTATCCAAGGCAGAAGGAAGGGGAAGCAAGCACCGAAGTCAGAGAAAATGACTGAATTCATCCTTTTTATCAGAAGACCATTCCCAAGATAATTAATTCACTCCCACAATAAAGGGCATTGATCTGTTTCTGAGGGCAGATCCCTCATGACCCTAGTCATAGCTGTCCCACCTCCCAATACCATTACCTTGACAAGTTTCAACATGAGATTTTGTGAGGACATGCAAGCATAGCACACACATCTACACTATGAGTCAGTATTTCCACTCTTAAGTCTATTTCTTTAAAAAAAATGCATATGTCCACAGGAAGAATTCCACAAAAATGTTCACAACAAGTTTATTCATAATAGTTGAAGACAGGAGTAACATGGATATCCATCAACAGGAGCATGGATAAACAAGTTGTAGTATATTTATGCAATGGAATATTAGTCATAAGAATGACCTACTGATACAACGATATGAATATACTTCAGAAATACTAATTTTGGAGAAAAACAATTCAATAAAAATATGATTCCATTATATGAAGCTCAAGAATAGACAAAGCTACTCAACAGTGATACACATAGAAAAGTTTTTATCCCTGGGATAGAAATTGATTAGAAAGGAGCATGATGACACTTTCTTGAGTGACGGAAATTTTTTTTATAATCATTTCAGTTACTATTGCACTGGCGTATGCATTTGTCAAAATGTACCAGGATGTCCTTCTATTAATATTTGTGTTTTACTCTCTATTAATTATACCTTAATAAAAAGTATTACTAAAAATTAAACAGCTAAATTGCATAAAAGATGGGAGTCATTTACAAATGTATGCTTGTATTCTGCACAGCCCAATTTAAAAATGAATCACACAAAAAGAAGAAAAGACAGGAACACACATAGCTGTGTAAGATTTGGAGAATGTGAGAAGTGCTCAGTGACTGAAATAGACAACATTGAAATTTGGCCACAAAATAAGCTCAAGTGATGAGTGGGCTGAAAAACAAGTGAGGATCAATATCAAGGAAAGCTGTAGACAAACAAAAGCTCTCTAAAAATATCTTCATATGCTGTTGAAATCATTCTGAGAACCATGAGCTGCTATCCGTTTCATAACTTGGGAAATTGGGCATTCATCAGTCTCACAATTGAGACTTTCATTTCTTTTTGGCTTTCAACAGATTGGCCAATTGGTGAAGTGATTTTTTTGCCCAGCAAGCAGCCTGCTCCCCTCTTTGTGAGTGGGGTCCTGGGACACCCGGCCCTCCGCCTTTGGCAGCCTCACAGAGGGGAGTTGGGCACAGCGCAGACACACGGGGTTCCCTGCATGTGGGGTTTGCAATCCCTGTAAAGCCCAGCTGTGGATCTCCAGTCCTGCAGTTAATGGATCCCAACTAAAAAACCTTGCGTCTAGGTGTCTGCTCTACCTGTAAGTGCTAAAGAGGGATAGAGGCTGGAGAAAAATAAAATGTTTGCTCAATATTATTCTGTAACATTTTACAAGAAAATAAATTGAGGAGTCCATGCATTTTCATCCAAGCCAAGGTCATGAGGATAATAGCTGAATTTCTTCCTTAATCTACCCTGAGAAGACTCAAACACTGTTCTATGCCCACAAATACTTTAGTAGTGACTTATTTATAGTCTATTTTTGATAATTCTTCTAGTCAATTATATTCAGCTCTAACAGCACAGTTTGATGTGTCTACTAACATTTTCCTTCAGTAGTCTGTTTACTTAGGTGTTTTAGAACTTCTCAATATTTTTTGCCCTCCAGAGAACACATACTTGGTGTCCAATGGAATCTCAGCCAAGGTGATGTTATCAGTAAGACTTATGAACTTGCAGAATCCCAGATCACTCAAGCAGGTTAAAGCTGTTGCCTGGTCAGACAATTTCCAATGTTCCTCTGAGGCATTTGCTCCTCTGCACCCGCCCCTGATACGAAGGCAAAAATTCTTCAACTGTAGATGTCACTAAAGATTACAGGGACTTCCCGCCTCTTGCATAGCTGTAGGTAGCCTAGCAATAACTGAAAACTGCTGCAACATCTGCATAATATGGGATCCAAGCCCTAATTTTTCTTAACCCTTTCCCTCCTAGACTGCTCGCCCAGACTCCCCAGAGCCCAGTGGACCATAGTGCCATCTTGTGGCCAATAAGTGAAGTTTCATCATTATTTCTTCCGCTGGGAAGTGTCTGCTGAGTGAGCCGGCAGAATATTCCACAAGTGCCGTCCCGCAGGTGTTATGAGCAGCTTCCCTAAATCATCATACCAACACTAGTTCTAACCCTGACTATTGCTTTCAGTTACCAAAATCTTAATATCCCACCGTCATTCTGAAAAACTCTTAACAAATATCTCCAGTTATAGTTTAACTTTTTCTCCCTTAAACTACCATCTAAAGAAAGAGGAATAGAAGGAGAGGAATGAAAGAAAATAATATTTGGTTTTAAATAGTAAGAAAACACAGACGTTGAGGTATAAAGAGATTATTTAATGTGAATCACTAAAGATAAACAAACACATCCTCCTAAAATGACAATGTTACCCCAAAAGTATAGATCAGCAAAAGATGAAGTCAAATGTCTATTAATAAAAAGTAAAATTGAAATATATAAAATGAAACCTCTTACAAGGCAATAAGCAATGGTGGAGGGAGCAGTACCTAATGTAGAAACTAAGGATGGATATAGCTAAGACTAGCAAAGGGGCTGCTACAGGAAATGATCAGCTTGTACAATGCACATCCACTGATCTGAGCACCAAACACGGAAGAGATGATTCTGAAACAGGCAGAGGAGCAGCGGGAGATGAGGACATGCTGGTACAAAATAGCATCATAAGGAAGCAAATCAGCCAGGGGACTGTGGATTAGATAACTGTGCTTTCTCCTGTCTCCTGTGACAGCTGAACTGGACCATTTTCCTCTCCAAGGATTTGTTCCCGCACCCTGAGTTAGAGGACCCTGGGATTTGCTCCTCCTCAGCTTCCCATGGATGAAAATCCCTCTCCCTCCTTGTTGAGCATGGTCTGAAAGAGAGGTCATCTCTCCCTCCCCTTCAATCTCACAGTATTGGGGATTGGCACAGACTTCTCAATTGGCATCGGCCTCTCTCAGGGCATGCTCACATGCCCCCTAACTGTGACTTTTCATTTCCACTAGACTGAAAGTTAGATGTGGGCAATGAAACTTAACACCTTTATCATAGGATGCATAAGTAACTGCTTTCAAAATTATTGTTGTTTCTTTCACTGCCTTGGGTTATATCTGAACAGGAAAAAAAGGCACAATTTCTTAATGTGACTTAACCACAAAAACCTTCCCAAGTGCCAAGAACAATATAACTGTAAAGGGATTGCTGTCCTAATTGGTGAGATGGCCAAATAAAACAAAAACAAAGAAAATGTTATCAAATACTTTAATGGAGACCCAGAATCCCAGTCCCTCTTATACAAACATCATTGCATGGCCTCCCTCTAACTAAGAGACAGGCAGAGCCATTCCTGTGCCCTGCACCTGGCAGGAAAGCCCTGCTGGAGCCTGTTGGGAGCTGGTGAGGATGAGCCTTGGTGATTCTGTCCCAGAGCAGGGATTCTCAGGGAACTCTGGACAACTTCCAGGGACTGAGATGGAGAGTGGCCACACTCTGTCTTGGAGAGGAGAATACTGAGGGCATGATCCTTCTGACCTCTCAGCCTAAAGTAAAAGCAGAGTCATTCCTGACTGGTGGGGAGCTGCTTAGTCTCCAAAGCAAAATAGTCCTTGTTTCAGGGTCTGTCGGTGACATAGAAGAATAGCGGGGCTGTATGTGGTTCACAACCCAGAGTTGCTGCTTGGCCATCTCTGTTCCCAATGACTCCAGCATCTGAATATTCCATGCAAGGAAAGATAATTTGCAAATAATGAACTGGTTCAGTGATACCTTTAGTTACATTCAAAATAGTTGTCATGTTCCAGACTGGCATGCTTGTAGGAGACACAGAGCTACAGAGCAAGAGAATTTAGAGGTCGAATAGAAATAGGTACAATTGAGGCCCACTTAGATGATGGCTTCTCAGAGCAGGAGTAGAGGGGAGGTGAATTCTGAGCCCTTTTGGCCCCACAAGAAATGGCATAACAGGGACATCAGAAAATACCCCAGGGATATGCTGCTATACTGGGTGTCTGTGAAGGTGGGGGCATGGCTGGTAGCATTTCCCAATTTGTGGTGTACCAGCATACCCACCATGACAGACTTCAAGCAGCCAACATGGCTTCACTGAAAGGGGAGCTGGGAAGAGTAGTATGCCTATTTGGTTCTTCTGAGTCATTCAAGCTGGCTCCAGCACATCCCTAGACTCAAGAGCAAAGCTTTCAAAGTTCTTCAATGCTTCCTGCTCAACACACTAAAAATGAGGCCACAGCAACTATAGCACACCTCATTGTTTTCATGATAGGATCAGTGTGTGATCCTGAATCTTGGAATGGACAAAGGGATGTTTGTGCAGAGAAAGGATTTCTGAGTCCTCTGAAGCTGCCGAGATCACAGAGCAAAGAGTTATGCTGGTTGGTTGGGAGCTGCTAGCCTTTGACTTAGAGTAATTGCAATGAAATGTTTCTCCTGCTTTACTTAAGACAACAGAATGATTTCAATAAAGCAGAAACCCTATTCCTTCCTATTTGTTCATTAGAAACATCTGCCCCTTGCTCCTGTTGCATGTTCATTCTCAGTATAAATTGGAAGCCCTGCTCACTTTTGCTACAAGTTCTTGCAGCGCCATTTACAACAGTGGACTGTGTTCTGTTCAGCCTCAGTGTCACAGCTTGTCCACTGTTAGGACCAGGTGTCTCAGGAGTCACGGAGAGGAAAGTGGCAGCAGTTAGAGAGAAGGTCTCAGAAGACAGGGAATTCCCATCTGTGTGCTGGCCTTACTCAGTCCCAGGAGACACAGGGCACCTGAGCAAGAAGCGATTTGATGATGACACAAGAAAAAATGGGTCCAGAGCAACTCCACCTCAGTGACCATCATTCTCTGGGGAAAGAAATTTGGTGTCTGTACCACCACAATTTCTGATCAGTGAATTTGGAAGGACTATGATGCCCCTCCTAGCTATGAAAGACTCAGGGCACCTCTATCAGGGTTGCATCTGGGACACCGAGTCCCCACACTTGGAGAAATGGCCTGTCCCTGAGGACTCTCAGAAACCCATGATCCATGATCACATGATCTCTGACCAGTGCATTCACTTTCATGGATACAAACTGCAGCATCACCCACAGATAGGTGGAAGATTCTACTGCAATATAATCATTGTACTTCTATTTATAACAAGTACTATATAACAATATATAATGTGAAAATTAAAAAGGAATAGATTCAATATTATAAGTAAAACACCTCTTGAGTTCAAGGCCTCAGGAAACTTATTTCAAATCAAATGAGTTTGACAGCAATGAAAACACTCGAGAGTCTAATAATCAGATTTGCTGAGCGAATCAAGGTGAACCGGCAGCAGTGGTGAATGCATGCTTGTGTGTATCAGAACAGCAGCAATGGCAAATGGAAACAAAATGAAGGATACTCTTGGCTTAAAGTAGACAGAAGAAATGAAGTCTTATTGTTATCATGATTGCTTTTATCACGTAAGGACCACAAAAGTTGCACAGACCTTTACTTCAAACAGGAAGAGAGGTTTGATATTTTGTTGCAGAAACTTCCAAGGTGACAGGGATAGAAGAGGCTTCAGAAGAAAGATGTTACTGGGGATGTAGCCTCAGACCTTCCAGATGCCCCAACATATGAAAAAGAGGCATGTTTCCTGCCCATGACAACCTCATGTATGTGGGCAGCACAGCAGCCCCCAAGACCTATAGAAGATGCATGTCTGCCCTGAAGGCCAAGGCTAAGACACCCACTCCCTGTTTCGAGCAGTGAGCTGGCTCCGAGCCCTCCTAGAGGGCAGTGGGACGTGATTGTTTTCACCACCTACATTTGCAGTCACTGTGTTTCAGGAATGAATCTGTGGTCTCTTTCTACCCAAAGGACAGCCGATGTCCAAATCTACTTCTTTCCCATCAAAAGTGAGGAGCAAAGAGAGGCCTCTGTTAAGGGTCTCTAGGAGGTGCAAGGAGAGAGAAGGATGAGGTTTGTGAACAGGAAGGAGGCGACTATGCCACACTGTGGCTAAGCTGCTGGCACAGCGATACATGGCCGAGTCCCGCTGCTCTGTGCGCTGGATCGTCAGAGTGGAGATGGATCCCTCAGGCCTCTCTGCAGAGAACCGATCATTGGGCAGCCCTGATTTGTCTTGTTGGGCTTCATAATTGAAGTAAGTCAGAAACTCTGGGCCCTGCCCCAGGGCCTGTCGGTACCAATAAAGGGATACATGACCCGAAATTGGATCACACCTGAGAGCTACATCCTGTCCCCTCTTTGTGACTTTGTACCTGGGAGACTGGGAGACTCCAGCACCTGTGTGATCTGTGGAAATAGAATTTGGCAACAGAATAAGGAAAACATTTGTCGTCAGCACACACACACACACACACACACACACACACACACACACACACGCCCACACGCCTACACACAGAAAAAAAAATGAAACTACTTTGTGTTCTGAGGACTCACCTGTCCCTAGGAAACCCAGGACCACCCAGCATAGGAGACTGGTGCCCATGGCAGGGTCAGGACAGGATGAGGGCTTTACCAGATCAGTGTCACTGTGAGCAGCAGCAGAGGATGAGGGATGTCCTTGTCTCCACAGGGCAGTTCCCACAGTGACATCACTTCCTCTCTCAATCCCCAGGACCTCAGGATCACAGCATTTCTATTAGAACACAGTTGGGTGCTGCTTTAAATATTTATCAGCTCCTTTTTAACAACATCAATGCATGGCTCATCGCCTTGGGCTCCAGAGCTGTCTGGACCCGGAGGTCTCATGCTGTATCTCTGAGTTTATCTTGTCATCCCACAGCCGCTTCTTGCTCCTTTGTCTGCTGGACATTTACTCTAGGATGCACCAACACCGCCCCTAACATAGGGCACAAAGTGGTGAGCTCATTGCATTTCCTGCAAGTCAGGGTCCCCAGTGCCATCCCCATTCATGCTCCAGCCTCCTCCATTCCCCCAGTCACACGTGCCCAATGACTGTCCTATCACATGGATTCCCTCAAGAACTGCCCTCGTGCCTTTCTTCTGGGATCATTTCCCACCTTTGTTAACTGTAACTCAGAAAAGATGCCAATAGAAAACCATCTCAGGCATAGAGTGACTTATTAACGCTCATCTATTCCATGCCCTGGACTGGATAGCTGGGATCTTCCATATGAAAAACACCAGGACCTAAAGTTCTTGCATCAAAGATTTGTTTTACCGTTGTCTAATTTAAGACACTGATGGAAGAGAAGTACTCAGTTTACTGTTTAGGTCCAACTTATACAAAGTAAAATGAATATTCTTTACTCTGAAATCATATGTTCTCCTCTGAGTAAATTAAAAGGTCACATAAATCATGAATTAAACCTACTGGGCTAGACTGGGCCAAGAGAAGACAGCTTTTTTCTGGAAAGGCGAAGTTTCCAGGGTTAGTCAATGTGGTGCAGGAAGAAGGCTGGCATGTGAAGAATTTTCCCTTGTTAGAAGATGCTGGGATGTGTGATATCCTGGGTACTCAGCTGATCTGGGGAGAAGGGTGGTCAGGCGTGTAATAGGAGGGATGAAATTTTGTCAGCAGGATTGTCCTAGGAAATTGCCCTTCAACCATCTGAGACATGTTTTGGGCTCTTTGGCCCTCTCTGCTCTGTCTTGTTTTGGGGCCAGGTCTCTACATGGAGAGAAGGCATCTCTAGCACACAGTATTCTTGCCATCTTCACAGAAATGCCGGCAATTTCTGCAGATCTTAGGATTTCACTTTGGGTTGGCCATCAAATCATTGAGCTGATCAGCTACAAATTCATGAAGCACATTTCTGATACTGCAGAGTCCAAAGGGAGACCAGAGAAGTTGCTTTGGGTATAACCGAACTAGGTCCAGGAAGACAGCAAGAGGTGAGCTTCCCTCCCACTGTCTCCACAGGTCGCTGCACTCTGACCAGGGTTCTGATGTCCATGCAACTCCAGCAGGACGGAAGCTCAGGAAGGAGACAGAAGCAGGAGGCAGAGCCCTGCCTCTGGGTGGAGTGAGAGTTCAGGCACACGATTAAAGAAAACTTAGTCACCAGTGTCTGGAACATCTACATACAAATTGTGTCCACATTCACCTGGGCGGCACAGGTGTCCCCTGGAGAGGAGTCCACAGACCATGGCAGGTCGAGACAGTTGTGTGATCTGATGCCTTAATCTGGGAGAATCCATCCTGTGCTGGATTGTGTTAAGTCAACTTTGCAAAGGTAGGAGTCTGCCTTCCCAGAGTGACGTTTCTGTTATCATTCTGGGTTAGAGATGGTCAAGGATACATTTGTGTAAAATTTGGAAGATAGATGTAAAACAGTCACTATTACACATAGCAGATAACTGTGGTCAGACAGTGAGAGTCAGTGGCCAGCAGATACAGAGGCATCCAATAGACCTTGGAAGTCCTGTTCCTTCTGCACCCTGTGTACAGTTCATCTTCCCAAAAGCAGCCAGGCTGCCCCCAGTGTTTGGCAGTGCACGTACATGGGTGGCCCCCACACAGAGGGAACAGCTTCCCCAGACACAGATTTCCTTGGCCTTTTCCTGTGCTCCCAGGTCAAGGTCCCACTGCATGGCCTGGCATGCTCTGATCCTGTCATGTCCCTGCCACTCCAGCCTGTCCTGCCAGAGCTCCAGGAGCCCTGGCTACTGACTGGCTCCCTCACTTTCTGACTTCTCTCCTCCAGACCTTCTCTTTCTCAGCTCCTCCTACATATGCATAAGGTCTAATTCTGATCATAAATCGGTTACACTGTCAAATTTGTAGTGGCTCTGTTTTATTGATGCAAACCTAATGGAGATTTTCTTACTAGAGGTGGTTTCAAGGAACAACCTTTATGGATGGAATTCTAGAAGTGGATCCCTGATCTGTCTGGATTTGTTGTGGGGAAAGACCCTGAAGGAGAGCACAGAGACCTGGAGGAGTTCAGGTGTTGTAGCCACAAGAGGAAGCCTTGAGCCAGGTGTGGCCGCCATGGTAGTGATTCCCCATCAATTTCCAAGACCAACCTGAGCCCAAAAATCAAAGGGGTGGGCTTTCTTGTACTTAATGCTAGATCTCTGCCAAGTTACAGTAGGTGTAGCATGTTCCTACTATTGGTTCGTCCACCCACTCATCACTCACTCAGCCTGTCATTCACTCATCCATTCTCTGTGAAATGGGTCTCCCCACATGCCAGGCACCGATGTTGGTAAATGCAGCAGGCACAGCCTTAGCTCTCATGGGCTTAAAAATTCGGTGGAGAGTCTGGGCATAGTGGCTCATGCCTGTAATCCCAGCACTTTGGGAGGCCTTGGCAGGTGGATCATGAGGTCAGGAGATCGGGACCATCCTGACCAACATGGTGAGTCCCTGTCTGTACTAAAAATACCAAAAAGAATTAGCTGGGTGTGGTGGTGTGTGCCTGTAATCCCAGCTACTTGGGAGGCTGAGGCAGGAGAATCGCTTGAACCAGAGAGTCGGAGAGTCGGAGGTTGCAGTGAGCCGAGGTAGTGCCACTGTATTCCAGCCTGGTGACAGAGCGAGACTCTGTCTCAAAAAAAAAAGGAAAAATAGGGAAAAAAAATGGGTGGAGTACAAAAATTATCAGACAAGTACCTGAGAAAGCCCAACTGTGCTAAAGGTTACCAACAGACACATGATTCTATGAGAGCTTTTGAGTGGAAAGTTGATCTCAGCTGGGAGGCGGGGGAGTGCTTCCTGCAGGAGGGGCAGATTATGCTGAGATCTGAAGCACAGGTAGGCGCTGGCCAGTAGAAAAGGTAGCCTCTAGCCTAGGGCAGAGGGAATGGCCTTTGAAATCTCTTTGATGGGAAGGAAGGAGGCACAGAAGAGAGGCTCCCCTTATAGCTGCAGTAGAAAGGGGCGGGGAAGTGAGGGGAGGAGAGACCCAGCAAGGCCTTGGAGGGTGACTGCCCAGATGGGAAAGGTGGGCCACAGGAGAGACTACGTGAGGGTGGGGGCTGGGAAAACCCTAGAGAGAGGAAGCAACATGGTCACCAGGAAGAGACAGGAGTCTAGATGGATCTGAAATACAAATCCTCTTCCACCCTGGGGGCCTCGGACTCAGGATGATGAGTAGAAAAGTAGGAGCTGGGGAAGCCCTGGCCACAACCCGAAAGGAGACCTCGGAGGACAGACCAGAGAGAGCAACAAGGGAGACATCTGAGGACCTGGGACCAGTCCAGGCCTGGCTGAGATGCCTGCAGAGGCACGTGGCACAGAGCGAGGCTCATACTGTCCGGGCCACTTGGGGCCACTCTGGGTTCCAAGGTTCCTGGTGCAGAGATCTCTGCACAGGGCATCCTTGAGTCTTGGGTGGGGGAGGAGGGCAGCACCTTCCCTTGCCTTTATGTGCAGAGAGGAGACAGCCTTGCAGCGCTGTGGAGTAACTGCTGGCACAGAAGTAAACAGAAGTCTGAGAGGGAGCAGCTGACTCCAGCTTGAGGGGGAAATCCTCTGTGTTTGATCTGGAGACATTGTAGCCATTGGGAACTTCTCCTTTGTCAGTGAGAGCAGCAGCAACTGAGTAGTAAATCAGCCTCAGCCCCTTGCCTGGGTCTTGTCGATACCGATACATGTATTCATGGTTCATATCCTGGGCACACAGCAGAGTCATGCTCTGTCCTGTCTTCAGGACGTGGAATTTTGGGGTCTGAGTGACACCAGCATTCATTGGACCTGCAGGGAAGGACAAAGCTGATGCTACAGCTCCAGTGGAAAGGGGCTGGGCCTTGATATCCACACAAGGGGCCCTGCCCAGGACCCACCTGCCCACAGGAGAGAAAAGGCCACACAGCACAGGAGCCCGAGGCTCATGGCAGGGGCTGCAGGACGGAGGGGTCTTCTGGGTCTGTGCATTGATGAAAGGGGAACTGGACTCTCAAGGGAGTCATTCTGAGACATCATTCTCCCTGCCTGGCCCCCAGAGCCTTCCTGTCAGGAGAGGCCACGCCCATTCCCCAGATGGTCAAATTCAAGATAAATGCACCAGTGAACAGCTGAGAATGAGAAGAACACATTTGTCTGAATTGAAACAAGTCTACAAGATTTTCATGACCTTTTGGAAACAGTTTGTAATTCACTGTAAATTTTATTACTTCGATAATATAATAATATTCTGGTGTTAGTTGTCTACACAGTGCTGTAGTCTAGAGTCTTAGGGACACTCCTCATGTCTTCCTGGTGTTTTTGACTCCTGTGTCCCAAATATTCTTTCAAGTATCTTTTTCTAATTTGCTTAATTGACCATAATCCTGTTTAAAATCCTTTGTCTATATTGGTTTTCTCTGTTATCAGGTTTCCAAAACCCAGGGGCAGGCTCATCAACATTGGAGGAGTCGTTTTGCTCTGTTTCTTGTCAATCCACTGACAGATGAGACTCCTGATAAACCCAGCTGAGCACCTTCAGCTCCACCCAGGGCTCTTGCTTTCCATGTCTGGGGTGAGACCGCAGCAGGCAGAACCACCTCACTTTGCTGACTGTCCTCTAGGTGTGGATGAAGGTGACCACACTGCGTTGCCCATGACTTATGGGCACAAAGGTGGCCTGATGCGTAAGAGACTCAGGGAGAGAGGGCAGGATTTAGGGTAAGGAAGAATCCTCTGTTTGTACTTTAGATGTCATGTTTCATAAGGAATATCCCTTTATATGGGATTCCTGCCATTAATTTAGTAATAAATAAAAAGGAGCTCAAATAATATATCTTGTGATTCCTCCAGGATTTTACAAGCTTTCCCCTGGGGTTTCTCCTTGTCTATTTTCTGAGCTCATCATCTTCTCCTAGACCCAGCCAACACCCTGCCCCCAGGTCCCTCTGTCTACTGAACCAAGCAGCAGGGTTTGATTCCTTCTGGCTCCCTTCATTTCCATGGCTGCTTAATTATGGGTGGGATGGGTTTAGGATGGCAGAGGGCAAAGCAATGTAAAGGGCATTATTCTTCTTAGGGCTCTGATTCACACTGAGGACTATATGCTTCATGGTAGAGCCTCATGGTACTCATTGCGTGTGGATGAACATCCCCCCATCCTCACCTCTCAGCTTGCTACTAAGTTACTCTTAGAGTAGAAAAGGCCTTAGAAATAATCTTGTTTCCATTTCCAGTTGTGCTTTGTAAGGTGGACTTATTATTACACAGCTATTTGTCCTTCATTTCCAAAGAAGTTACTCCCTCAGGTGTGCATCTGTGCTGAGACCTGAAAAACATTAGGAGAAGGAGGAGGGTTGCATCACAACTTCACAGCTTAGAATTTGGTATTACATGTCCTTTGTCTTCCACATTCTGTGGCCACTCTGCCGAGTTCCCTACTGTCCCTCCCCACTGCCTGTGCTTCCTTCTCTGTTGATTCAAAGAAAATAAGATCCTCCTAATTTTAGAATGCAGGAACATTTACCAATTTCTGGCCCATGAGAGTCTCCATTTGAACTCTGAGTTATTTATTAAACAAACTGTGACTCCATTGGCCGTACCATTTTTGCCTTCACCACCAGACTTCATAAGGTAAAGAAGCCGTATAGATGTTTACTTAATGTCAAAAATAAATTGTCCCACCTTGCAACTACTTACAAAGCAAAACTGACTAAAATCAGATGAGATTCTAGTTAACATTGTTTTCCTCTCCATTTCATGTAGAGGAAGTGACCCTTAGTTGCTTCTCCTCCCTCCCTCATTTTAAGAACAGCTCGTCACACAGTTCTCTGGCCTAGATTATCCACATCAGTGTCTCTGCTACGTCTTGTGATGGGAAAAATTTTTTCAAAGTTCAGATCTTCTGGTTCCTGGCCACTAACCACATACCCACTCTAGTACCTCCCCACTGCCAACACCATGATACTTTTACCTTCAGTGCTGTAGGGTACACAGACTCTACTGCCCCCTGGCGTCTGATCCGAAGACAACGCCAGATGGTTCTAGACTTCACCTCCCTCAAACTCCAGTGACCCCTCTATCAGTTCTACACAGAGGCAAGCCAACTGTCCTCCATCTGGCTCCACCATTTATTAGCTCTGAGACCATGGGCAATGCCATTCATTAACCTTCCTGGACTCTAGCCACATCTAGACTCGTCTATAAAACAAGACGCACATTCCTCTCCATGCTTTATGAGGATGAACTGAGATACTGTGTAGGCTCTGGTAGGTTCGATAAACATCTATCCTTTTATCTCTCCCTGTCTCCTCATGCAGGAGAAACTGATAAAGCTCTCACACCTGCTAGGATTATGAGTGATGGAAAAGCTGCATTCATCAACTGGGTGCTGGGGTGAGGAGAACTTGGAAGCATAAAGAGGTCATTCAGTCACTTTAGAAAAGATTTGGCAGAATTTAGGACTCAGACAATAGAGCATGAATGTACCTGTCTACCCTCATTATGCAATATGAAGCAGCTAATAGGAGCAAGTTAGATCTATATCGACCAATCTGGAACAATAAGACCAGGGTATATTAACAGAAAAGAGTATGCATGTGGCCAGTAAAGTGTACAGGTGAACCCAATTTCTGTAGGTGTACTTGGGTAGAAAGGTGTGCATGAACACAGAAAAGAGGGGTGAAAAGAAGCACACCACAGTGTTTGTATTTGTTACAAATGGAAGATGGGATTGGACATACGTAGACCTGTGTTGTCAATGCTGTCTGCAAATATACAATTTCAAATGAACTTTCCTTCCTGAGAGCAATTGAGAAAGAGGACTTCTGAGGCCAGAGCTGCAGGAGGGGCCTGGAAGAGAGGCTGCATCTACTCACATCATGGTGATGTGCGTTCCTTTGTCCAGCTGAGACTGGCCTGGCAGAGAAGCTCAACACAAGGCAGAGTTTCATATGCACAGAGCTGCTCCGAGCTCTGAAGGCCCCAGCCTGGGCAGTGTTGGGGAGACTCCTATGGGACAATGTTTTCCACTGCCCAGATCACGATCTCGTAAAGACAAGGCCACCTATATCTTCCACTGAACTTTGTGTGCAGAGGAAGGTGGCTGTGGGGTAAAGCCTGGTGCAAGAGGGCACAGAGGTCTGGGAGAGACTGTCTGACACCAAGGCCACATATTTGGCTTTGAGAGGAAGTCAAAGACATTCAGGGATTTCTCTGTAGTGTGGGCTGGGACAGATCAGCTGTGCACCAGCTTCGGCTCCTATTAACATCTGCACCTGTATTCATGGATGGCAGTCTCAGGCATCTCCATGTCACTTCGCGTCCTGCCTTTGTTCTCTGGTATCTTGGGATCAGGTTGTTCCAGCATCTGTGAAGTCTATGATAGAAGGAAGTTGAGTGACCAAGGAGGGACCCCAATAATGCAGACCTGATGTAAAGGCTTAGGCTAGGATGTGGTGAGCCAAGGAAAAGTCTTTAAAGATCTCACCTGCCCCCAGGAGGCAAAAGGCCACACCACTGAGGAGTCTGGTGGCCAGAGCAGGGCCAGGGAAAAATGTGCAGATTGTTGGGAGTTTTTTCACTTTGTGTGTTGGGGACATAATTCCTGGATGTCAGTAGAGTCACTGGTGATGCCACTGCCCCTGCCAGCCAGTGACTCTGCCCTCTGCCTGCAATTCCGCCCTCTACCTGCTGCAACCTTCAACCTAGAGTCAAGTCATAAACCTTCACCCATGTGGTCTCTGCTCCTGGCTGTCCCTCTTCTAACAACAACAGCTTGATAAAGTTCGTGATCATTTACCCTCCAGCTACCTCTCCACCGTCAGCGCAGGGTGTCCATTTTGGGATCTTTTTGACAGGCTGTTGCTTCTTCACTGAACATATGTGCTTCCCTCCCATTCCTAGGTCTCTATGTTATTTCTGACGTGAGATATATTTCAGGTACATTTCTTCTTAATGGAGAAAAGCCAAACTTAAATTTTACTAGAATAAATTAAGAAAAATATGTTTAGACATTTATATGAGAAAGAAGTTTTTGTCTACACACAAACAAAATTGTTTTTCATTTTTGTGGCATTAAATTAAACTCTTGTACATCAAAAAACACCATAAAAATGAAAATGTAAGCTACAGACATGGGAAAGATAAAGGGAATGCATATAAATGATTTTTTAAAAAGTGTGAAATTTAACATTCCTCAAAATTGCTAATTAGGAGGCCATAGTAATAACCCCCTGAAGACATCTGAGCCTCTGCTGCGGCCCTGCTGGTCACTAGAGGGCAGTGTGAGGGCTCTGGTTTACTGAACAGGATACAGAAGGTGGTGATGAAACAGGGGGGTAGGTGGAAAATGGATGGACTAGTTTGTTTCCCACTTCTGATCCTTACAAGCCAGGAGACACCGGGGAAAATGACTCAATGTCCCTGAGCCTCCCATCTGTAAAGGAAGGATGAGAATGTTTGATTTGCAAGGTTGTGGAAAAGCTTTAAGATATGTAACATATACAAAAATCTAGCACACACCAAGCGCTCAGCAGTCACTCTTATACTGAAGTTACCCAGGAAGGGACAAGCTGCAAGAAGATGCAGCACAGAAGCAGGCACACTCAGGGCACAGGAAACCTGGGCTCTATTGGTTGGGAAAGGTCTGCCCTCAGTAGGACACAAGACATGCCTTCCAAGCAACTAAAAGCTTCCCTTGAAGGAGTGAAACCTGGGTGGGGCCTGCAGCTCTCAAGTCAAAGTTACGGCAGGAAGTTTATATACAGAATGTCAGTGATTCTGCCGGGCTGTGCCAAGCTGCTGGCACAGAGATACAGGGCCGAGTCCCCCAGCAACAAGGCGTTCACATTCAGCTCAGAGCTATAGTTAGGGAACTGGCGAGCTGAGAATCGATCAGGGAAGTTTCCTCTTCCTCTCTCTTCTTTCTCATAATACTGAAAGATAAACTGGGGCCCCTGACCCAGGACCTGTTGGTACCAGGACACACTCTTGTGCCCAGAGATAGGAGAGCATCTCAGAGTCACTTGCTGTCCTCTCGTTTTGATCAGGTGTGTGGGACTTTGGGTGACTCCAGCGTCCACTGGGCCTGTGGGAAAAGCAGATGGAGGATGAGCTCAGGAGACAGCCTGGAGGTCTTCTCCATGGTAAAGTGGAGGACACGGGTGGAAAAGCTGAGAATGGGGCTGCTGTCCTGTGCCCAGGACTCACCTGCTCCCAGGAGACAAAGCAGCACCCAGCAGAGGAGCCCAGGGCCCATGGCACAGTGGGGCAGGCAGCACTGCACCTGATTCAGGGCTTGGTCCTCCTGGGGAAGAACCCAGTGAGTTCTGAGCCTTGATTTTCCTGATGGGAGGGGTATCCTGTGATGTCACTGTCCTGTGTCCTCCCCATGCAGCCTTCCTTAAGTCTAGCGCACTACGGACCCTGGACTCAACCTGTCCTGCAGAGCTGGAGGAATGTGTGAAGGCAGAAGCTTCTGTGGTGATACAGTTGCTCCTCTACCTACACTGCCCCAGCTCACAGGCAGCCCCACCACCCTATCACCCTTCTCCCACCTAGTGCTGTGGTACTCCATCCTGGAGCTCACACACCTGCCCATCAGGGGAGGATGAGGAGCCTGTGATTAAACCTCAAGTTGCAGTTCTTCCTTGCTGTCCTCACATCATCTTTCTGATGCTAGATTCACACCATGTTTCTTATCATATTTTCCTGTCTCAGGCAACATTCCCAACCCATTTCCTGAGTGGCCAGCGGTGCAGAGTCCCCAAGATTTAGTCCATCTGATCAGAATCAAAGCAGACCTGTGTTGTCTGTAAATTATCAAGAGTTCAGATTCCCCAGAAATAATTCTAGGGCCTTCTCAGCTCATAGCACAGACCTAGCCAGCTTGGGACTCAGCACCCTCAAGGTCATCCTATACGTAGTGCTCTGGACAGTTTATGTTATTCCCTTCAGATCCACCCTGCCTTCAGAAGCTGACCCCAGTGTATTATGTTAACTGGCTCCTCTTTTCTCTAACTCCAGAGCGAGTTTGTCTTATTGGAGACAGGACAGCAGAGGTAGGTAGTGTCACCATCTGTGCTGGTTTGCAAAATCTATTCCCTTGGCTCCTTTCTTGCTGGGTTAAATTTCCTGGTGCCTGAAAGTAGTCCACAATAGCCTGAATGCTTAGCTGCTTAGATATTTCCTTCAGTAGATATCCTAGCTAATAGCTCATAATATTTTTATTCCAGAAAGTCCTAGAACAGGACACAATTTTTCCAAGGTTTTTGCTACCTACAACAAGGATAGCATTTACTTTGATTTCCGATATCTTGTTCCTCATTTCCCCCTGAGCCTTCACCAGAATTACCCTTAATGATCTATTTCAGCAATCTAGGCTTTTGCTTGTCTGCTTCTCCGAATTCTTCCAACCTCTATCCATTACCCATTTGCCATTAACCAAAGCTGTTTCTACATTTTCAGGTCCTTGTTGTAGCAACAGCGCCACTCTCAGCACCATGTTTTCTTTCAATTTCTTTCCTACTGCTGTAGAGAAATACCACAGACTGGGTAATTTATAAAGACAAGGGATTTATTTGGCTTATAGATCTGGAGACCGGGAAGTCCAAGATCAAAGGGCCATAACTGCTGAGGGCCTCCTGCTATTATCCAAGGCAGAAAGAAGGGGAAGCAAGCACCCAAGACAGAGAAAGTGGCTGAATTCATACTTTTTATCAGAAGACCATTCCCAAGACAACTTATTCACTCCCACAATAGGGCGTTGATCTGTTTCTGAGGGCAGATCCCTGATGACCTAGTGATAACTGTCCCACCTCCCAATACCATTACATTGACAAATTTCAACATGAGATTTTGTGGGGACACGCAAGCATAGCACACACATCTACACTGTGAGTCAGTATTTCCACTCTTAAGTCTATACCTAAAAGAAAATAAAAAAAAAAGAATCCATATATCCACAAGAAAGAATTCCACAAGAATATTCACAACAATTTTATTCATAATAGTTGAAGACAGGAGTAACATGGATATCCATCAACGGGAGCATGGATAAACAAGTTGTGGTATATTTACACAGTGGAATATTAGTCATAATAAAGAATGACCTGCTGATACAACAATATGAATACACTTCAGAAATACTAATTTTGGAGGAAAATAACTCAATAAAAATGTTATATGATTCCATTTATACGGAGTGCAGGAATAGACCAAGCTAGTCAATGGTGATAAAAATAAGAAAAGTTTTGGCCTGGCGCCGTGGCTCATGCCTGTAATCCCAGAACTTTGGGAGTCCGAGGTGGGTGGATCACGAGGTCAGGAGATCGAGACCATCCAGGCTAACACGGTGAAACCCCGTCTCTATTAAAAATACAAAAATTAGCCGGGCATGGTGGCGGGCGCCTGTAGTCCCAGCTACTCTGGAGGCTGAGGCAGCAGAGTGGCATGAACCCGGGAGGCAGAGCTTGCAGTGAGCTGAGATCACAGCACTGTGCTCCAGCCTGGGCGACAGAGTGAGACTGTCTCAAAATAAATAAATAACTGAGAAAAGTTTTTATCTGTGGGATAGAAATTGATTGGAACGGAGCATGACGACACTTTCCTGCATGACGGAAATTTTTTTATAATCATTTCAGTTACCGTTGCTCTGGCATATGCATTTGTCAAAATTTACCATGTTGTCCTTGTATTAATATTTCTGTTTTTATCTCTATTAGTTAAACCTTAAATAAAATTGTTACTAAAAAGTAAACAGTTAATTGCATAAAATATGGGAGTCATTTACAAATGTATGCTTGTATTCTGTACAGCCCAATTTAAAAATGAATCACACAAAAATAAGAAAAGACAGGAGCACACATATCTGTAAGTTATGGAGAATGTGAGAAGTGCTTGGTGACTGAAGTGGCAACTTTAAAATTTGGTATCAAAATAAGCTCAACTGATGCGTGGGCTGAAAAACAACTGAGGATCAATATCAAGGAAAGCTATAGACAAACAAAAGCTGTTTACAATATCTTTATATGCTGTTGAAATCATTCTGACAACCATGAGCTGCTATACATTTCATAACTTGGAAAATTGGGCATTCATCACTCTCACATTCAGACTTTCCTTTCATTTTGGCTTTCAACAGATTGGCCAATTGGTGAAGTGATTTTTTTGCCCAGCAAGCAGCCTGCTCCCCTCTTTGTGAGTGGGGTTCCCGGGTGACCCGGCCCTCTCCCTTCGACAGCCTCACAGAGGGGAGTTGGGCACAGCACAGACACACGGGGTTCCCTGCACGTGGGGTTTGCACTCCCTGTGAAGCCCAGCTCTGGACCTCCCAGTCCTGCAGTTAATGGATCCCAACTAAAGAAACCTTGCCTCTAGGTATTCGCTTTACCTGTTAGTGCTAAGGAGGGATACAGGCTGGAGAAAAATAAAATGTTTGCTCAATATTATTCTGTAATATTTTACAAGAAAATCAATTGAGGACTTCATGGATTTTCATCCAAGCCAAAGTCATGATAATAGCTGAATTCCTTCTTTAATCTACCCTGAGAAGACTTAAACACTGCTCTCAATAACACAAATACTTAGTGGAGACTTATTTATAGTCTCTTTTTGGTAATTCTACTAGTCAATTATCATCAGGTCTAACGGCACAGTTTGGTGCATCTACTAACATTTTTCTTCTGTAGTCTGTTTACTTAGGTGTTTTAGAGCTTGTTCTCAATATTTTTTGTCCTCCAGAGAACACATGCCTGGTGTCCAATGGAATCTCAGCCAAGGTGATGTTATCAGTACGACTTCTGAACTTCTAGAATTCCAGATCACTCAAGCAGATTAAAGCTGTTGCCTGGCCAGACCTGCAGGGAAGATGAGGTGCAGCAGAGACGCACTGGGCTCAGGACACAGCCCACCCCTCGCTTTTCCCTTTTCCTCTGAGGCAGTTGCTCCTCTACACCTGCCCCTGACCAAAATTTGCCCCGGCCAAAATTCCTCAACTGTAGATGTCATTAAAGATTAGAGGGACTTCCCGTCTCTTGCATAGCTGTAGGTAGCCTAGCAATAACTGAAAGCTGCTGCAACATCTGCATAATACAGGATCCAAGCCCTAATTTTTCTTAACCCTTTCCCTCCTAGGATGCTCTCCTAGACTCCCCAGAGACCTTTCGAGCTCAGTGGACCACACTGCCATCTTGTGGCCAATACGTGAAGTTTCAACATTGTTTCTTCTGTAATGGCCCAAGGAATGCTGGGAAGTGTCTGCAGAGGAAGCTGCCAGAATATTCCAGAAGTGCCATCACGCTGGTTTTATGAGCAGCTTCCCTTAAACCCTAAGTCTAACATTAGTTCTAACCCTGATTATTGCTTTGAGTTACCAATCTTAATATCCCACCCTCATTCTGAATAACACTTATCACATAGGTCCAGTTATAGTTTAACTTTTTCTCCCTTAAAACTACCATCTAAAGAAAGAGTAACAGAAGGAGAGGAATGAAAGGAAATAATATTTGGCTTAAAATAGGAAGAAAACACAGACATTGAAGTATAAAGAGATTATTTAATCTGAATCACTAAAGATAAACAAATCGTCCTCCAAAAATGACAATGTTACCCCAAAAGTATAGATCAGCAAAAGATGAAGTCAAATATCTATTAATAAAAAGTAAAATTGAAATATATAAAACGAGACCTCTTACAAGGCAATAAGCAATGAATGGTGGAGGGAGCAGTACCTAATGCAGAAAATAAGGATGGATATAACTAAGACTAGCAAAGGGGCTGCTACAGGAAATGATCAGCTTGTACAATGCACATCCACTGATCTGAGCACCAAACACGGAAGAGATGATTCTGAAACAGGCAGAGGAGCAGCGGGAGATGAGGACACGCTGGTACAAAATAGCATCATAAGGAAGCAAATCAGCCGGGAGACTGTGGATTAGATGACTTTGCTTTCTCCTGTCTCCTGTGACAGCTGAACTGGACCATTTTCCTCTCCAAGGATTTGCTCCTGCACCCTGAGTTAGAGGCCCCTGGGATTTGCTCCTCGTCAGATTCCCATGGATGAACTCCCACTCCCTCCTTGTTGAGCACAGTCTGAAGGAGAGGTCATCTCTCCCTCCCCTTCAATCCCACAGTATTGGGGAATGGCACAGACTTCTCAATTGGCATCGATCTCTCTCATGGCATGCTCACATGCCCCCTAACTGTGCCTTTTCATTTCCACTAGACTGAAAGTTAGATGTAGGCAATGAAACTTAACACCTTTATCATAGATACCCAAGTAACTGCTCTCAAAATTATTGCTATTTCTTTCACTGCCTTGGGTTACAGCTGAACTTTCCTGTACAGCACAATTTCCTGTAAAGGCACAATTTCTTAATGTGGCTTAACCACAAAAACCTTCCCAAGTGCCAAAAACAATATAACTACCAAGGGATTGCTCTCCTCATTGGTGAGATGGCACAATAAAACAAAAACAAAGAAAATTTTGTCAAATACTTTAAAGGAGACCCAGAACCCCAGTCCCTCTTATACAAACATCACTGTTTGGCCTCCCTCTACCTAAGAGACAGGCAGAGCCATTCCTGTGCCCTGCACCTGGTGGGAAAGCCCTGCTGGAGCCTGTGGGGAGCTGGTGAGGATGAGCCTTGGTGATTCTGCCTCCAGAGCAGGGATTCTCGGGGAGCTCTGGACAACTTCCAGGGACTGAGATGGAGAGTGGCCACACTCCGTCTTGGAGAGGAGAATATTGAGGGTGTGACCCTTCTGACCTCTCAGCCTAAAGTAAAAGCAGAGTCATTCCTGACTGGTGGGGAGCTGCTTAGTCTCCAAAGCAAAATTGTCCTTTTTACAGGGTCTCTCGTTGCCACAGAAGAATAGCGGGGCTGTAAGTGTTTCACAACCCAGAGTTGCTGCTTGGCCATCTCTGTTCCCAATGACTCCAGCATCTGAATATTCCATGCAAGGAAAGATAATTTGTAAATAATGAACTGGTTCAGTGATACCTTTAGTTACATTCAAAATAGTTGTCATGTTCCAGACTGGCGTGCTTGCAGGAGACACAGAGCTACAGAGCAAGAGAATTTGGGAGCTGGATAGAAATGGGAGCAATCAAGGCCCCCTTAGATGATGGCTTCTAAGAACAGAGTAGAGGAGACATAAATTCTGAGCCCTTTTGTCCCTAAAAGACATGGCATAACAGGGACATCAGAAAATACTCCAGTGATGTGCTGATAAACTGGGTGTCTGTGAAGGTGGGGGCATGGCTGGTAGCATTTGCTAATTTCTGTTGTACCAACATACCCACCATGGCAGATTTCAAGCTCCCAGCATGGCTTCACTGAACAGGGAGCTGGGAAAAGTATGCCTATTTGATTCTTCTGACTCATACAAGCTGGCTCCAGCACATCCCTAGACTCAAGAGCAAAGCTTTCAAAGTTCGTCAATGCTTCCTACTCAACATACTAAAATGAGGCCACAGCAACTATAGCACACCTCATTGTTTTCATGATAGGATCAGTGTGTGATCCTGGATCTTGGAATGGACAAAGGGATGTTTGTGCAGAGAAAGGATTTCTGAGTCCTCTGAAGCTGCCAAGATCACAGAGCAAATAGCTATGTTGGTTGGTTGGGGAGCCGCTAGCCTTTGACTTGATGTAATTACTGTGAAAGTTTTCTCCTACTTAACTTAAGACAACAGAATGACTTCATTAGAACAGAAACTGCATTCCTTGCTATTTGTTCATTAGTACCATCTACCCTTTGCTCCTCTTGCATGTTCATTCTCAGTATAAATTGGAAGCCCTGCTCGTTTTTGCTACATGTTCTTGCAGCGCCGTTGACAACTATAGACTGTGTTTTCTTCAGCCTCAGTGTCAGAGCTTGTCCACTGTTAGGACCAGCTATCTCAGGAGTCACATGGAGGAAAGTGGCAGCAGTTAGACAAAGGGTCTAGGAAGACAGGGAATTCCCATCTGTGCTCTGGACTTACTCAGTCCCAGGAGACACAGGGCACCTGAGCAAGGAGGGATTTGATGACGACACAAGAAAAAATGGGTCAAGAGCAACTCCCTGCCAGTGACCATCATTCTCTGGAGAAAGAAATTTGGTATCTGTACCACCACAATTTCTGATCAGTGAATTTGGAAGGACTATGATGCCCCTCCTAGCTATGAAAGACTCAGGGCACCTCTATCATGGTTGCATCTGGGACACTGAGTCCCACACTTGGAGAAGTGGTCTGTCGCCAAGGACTCCCAGAAACCCACGATCCATAATCACATCAGCTCTGACCAGTGCATTCGCTTTCACAGATACACACTGCAGCAGCACCCACAGATAGGTGGAAGATTCTATTGCAATATAATCATTGTACTTCTATTTATAACAAGTACTATATAGTACTATCTATTATGAAAAATAAAATAAAAAGGAATAGATTCAATATTATAAATAAAACACTTCTTGAGTTAAAGGCCTCGGTAAAATTATTTCAAATCAAATGAGTTGGACAACAATGAAAACACTCAGAGTCTAAAAATCAGATTTCCTGAGGGAATCGATGTGAACAGGCAGCAGTGGTGAATGCATGCTTCTGTCTATCAGGACAGTAGCAATGGCAAATGGAAATAAAATAAAGGATACAAGTGGCTTAAAGTAGGCAGAAGAAATGAAGTCTTATTGTTACCATGATTGTATTTATCAAGTAAAGACCACGAAAGTTGCAAAGACCTTTACTTTAAACAGGAAGAGAGGTTCGATATTTTGTTGCAAAAATTTCCAAGGTGACAGGAATAGAAGAGGCTTTAGAAGAAAGATATTCCTGGGGATGTAGCCTCAGACCTTCCAGATGCCCCAAAATATGCAGGAGAAGAGCATGTTTCCTGCCCTTGACAACCTCATATATGTGGGTAACACAGCAGCCTCCAAGACCTATAGAAGATGCATGTCTGCCCTGAAGGCCAAGGCTAAGACACCCACTCCGTTTGGAGCAGTGAGCTGGCTCCAAGCACTCCTAGAGGGCAGTGGGACGTGATTGTTTTCACCACCTACATTTGCAGTCACTGTGTTTCAGGAATGAATCTGTGGTCTCTTTCTACCCAAAGGACAGCCGATGTCCAATTCTACTTATTTCCCACGAAAAGTGAGGATCAAAGATAGGCCTCTATTAAGGGTCTCTAGGAGGTGCAAGGAGAGAGAAGGATGAGGTTTGTGAGCAGGAAGGACACGACTGTGCCACACTGTGGCTAAGCTTCTGACACAGAGATACACAGCCGAGTCGCCCTTGCTCTGTGCGCTGGATCTTCAGGTGGAGAAAGATCCTCAGACCTCTCTGTGGAGAATTGATCACTGAGCAGCCCTGATTTATCTTGTTGAGTTTCATCCTGGAAGGAAGTCAGAAACTCTTGGCCCTGCCCCAGGGTCTGTCGGTACCAATAAAGGGTTACCTGACCCGAAATTGGATCACACCTGGGAGCTACATCCTGTCCCCTCTGTGTGACTTCGTACCTTGGGGACTGGGAGACTCCAGCACCTGTGTGATCTGTGGAAATAGAATTTGGCAACAGAATAAGGAAAACATCTGTAGTCATCGCACACACACACACACAAACACACACACACCTACACACAGAGAAAAAATAAAACTACTTAATGTTCTGAGGACTCACCTGTCCCTAGGAAACCCAGGACCACCCAGCAGAGGAGCCTGGTGCCCATGGCAGGGTCAGGCCAGGATGGGGGCTTTACCAGATCAGTGTCACTCTGAGCAGGAGCAGAGGACGAGGAATGTCCTTGTCTCCACAGGGCAGTTCCCACAGTAACATCACTTCCTCTCTCAATCCCCAGGATGTCAGGGTCACAGTATTTATATTAGAACACACTTTAAATATTTATAAGCTCCTTTTTAACAACATCAATGCCTGGCTCATTGCTTTGGGCTCCCGTGCTGTCTGGAGCCAGAGGCCTCACACTGCATCTCTGAGTTCATCTTCTCATCCTACAGCCACTCCTCTGTCTGCTGGGCATGTCTTGTAGGATGTGCCAACAGCATCCCCAAAACAAGGCACCAAGGCATTAGCTCATTGTCTATCCTGCAATTCAGGGTCCCCTCTGCCATCCCCATTTATGCCCCAGCCTCCTCCATTCCCTCAGTCACACGTGCCCAACGGGGCAGCCCCATCACTTGGGTTACCTCACGAACTGCCCTCATGCCTTTCTTCTGGGATCATTTCCCACCTTTCTTAACTGTAATTCAGAAAAGAAACCTTGATAGCAAACTCACAGCGGTCATTTTTCATGTTCCCCTTCTAAAAGTTATTTTTTTTAATCAATCTTACCTTAAATGAAGGAGAATGATAATTGAGCTAATGGTTATTTTTACCACTGTCTTAACTTACTGTTGTTCTCCATCTATTCCTATGGGACGTATTTGTCTTTTCTTTCTGATGGCTTTCAAAATCTTCTCTTTGTCCGTCATGTTCTACAATTTGCTTATGACTTGACTGCCTTATTTGAGATTCATTGTGATTCTGGAAACTCTGAATTTAGGTCCTTAAACACCTCAAAAAACTTCTCAGCTAACATCTCATAAATATCACTTCATAACATTCTACCTATTTTATCTGTCTGAAAATTCAATCATATGCAACAAAAAATGGGAAATTATGAAAAATATGCATATTCTAATATATGGGAAACATCCATTTTTTTCTTCCCTGTTCTCTAACTTCTTTCATATTTCACTTTTCATTTTCCATGCTGCATTCTAGATCACTCCTGCAGATCCATCTTTGAAATCACTAAAAATCTCTGTAGGAGGAGCTAATCAACTGTTTGACTTTCCATTTTGTTTTCAGTGATTGTATGAGGCATTCCTAGATATATTTTTTGACAATTGTTATGAAAGTTGATGGTTTCAGGCATTGTCTTTTTCCTAGTTTCAGTTCCCCGTCATGTTCATTTAAATGTAGCTCACCAAACTTTCATATCTTATAATGCCAACATTTCGAGTCTTCAGGTTTGCACTTCAAATGTTTGTTGCTTGTGCTCATGTTTCCTCATTGCTATCTCCTAATATTCTTCATACTGGGAATCCATTTGTTCGATGGTAGTCTGTGACATTCCAGTGAGGCCCAGAGTGAGAGTGAATAACACTAAGAGTCAGTCATTTTGCAGCCATCTCCAGTCTAACTCCCTAATGTATGGCGCCAATAACTGCTGCACTCTAGGCTGCCAAATACACACATGACAAAGGTCGGTAGGGTCAAAAATGCTCTCAGGACACTCCCAAGGAAAAATTCAGAATAGAATTCAAATTTTCTAATTATTTTTAATAAAGCTCTTTCATAAATAAATGCCATTAAGCCATGTAGTCATCATGACATTTTCTTCTAAGGAGAAATTACACATACATATTTATAAATACATATATACTCATACATATATAGACCCTCTGGGTGAGAGAGACTTCAGACACAGTATTAAAAGAAAAGTTAGTCACCAGCGTCTGGAACATCTACATACAAATTGTGTCCACATTCACCTGGGCAGCACAGGTGTCCCCCGGAGAGGAGTCCATGGACCGTGGCAGGTCGAGACAGTTGTGTGATCTGATGCCTTAATCTGGGAGAATCCATCCTGTGCTGGATTGTGTTAAGTCAACTTTGCAAATGAAGAGTCTGACTTTCCCAGAATGCCATTTCTGTTATCATTCTGGTTAGAGATGGTCAAGGATACATTTGGTAAAATTTAGAAGACAGATATAAAACAGTCACTATAACAATTGGCAAGTCATTGTGGTCAGACAGTGAGAGTCAGTGACCAGCAGATACAGAGGCATCCAACAGACCTCGGAAGTCCTGTTCCTTCTGCACCCTGTGTCCAGTTCATCTTCCCAAATGTTGGCCAACAGCAGCCAGGCTGCCCACAGTGTTTGGCAGTGCACCTGCAGGGGTGGCCCCCATAGACAAGGAACAGCTTCCCCAGAAGCAGGTTTCCTTGGCCTTTTCCTGTGCTCCCGGCTCAAGGTCCCACTGCATGTCCTGGTATGCTCTGATCCTCTCATGTCCCTGCCACTCTAGCCTGTCCTGCCCAGAGCTTCAGGAGCCCTGACTACTGACTGGCTCCCTCACCTTCTGACTTCTCTCCTCCAGACCTTGTCTTCCTCAGCTCCTCCCACATATGCATAAAGTCTAATTCTGATCATAAATCTGTTACACTCTCAAACTTGTAGTGGCCCTGTTTTATTGATGCAAACCTAATGGAGATTTTCTTACCAGAAGTGGTTTCAAGGAACAACCTTTAAGGATGGAATTCTAGAAGTGGATCTCTGATCTGTCTAGATTTGTTGTGGGGAAAGACCCTGAAAGAGAGCACAGAGACCTGGAGGAGGTCAGGTACTGCAGCCACAAGAGAAAGCCTTGAGCCAGATGTGGCCGCCATGATAGTGATTCCCCATCAATTTCCAAGATCGACCTGAGCCCAGCAATCAAAGGGGTGGGCTTTCTTGTACTTAATGCTAGACCTCTGCCAGTTTACAGTAGATGTAGTGTGTTCCTACTATTGGTTCGTCCACCCACTCATCACTCATTCAGCCTCTCGTTCACTCATCCATTCTCTGTGAAATGGGTATCCCCACACACCAGGCACTGATGTTGTTAATGCAGCAGGCACAGCCTTAGCTCTCATGGGCTCAAAAATTGAGTGGAGAGGCCGGGCACGGTGACTCACGCCTGTAATCCCAGCACTTTCGGAGACCGAGGCAGGTGGTTCATGAGATCAGGAGATCGAGACCATCCTGGCCAACATGGTGAAACCGCATCTCTACTAAAAATACAAAAAAGAATTAGCTGAGCATGGTGGCACATGCCTGTAATCCCAGCTACTCGGGAGACTGAGGCAGGAGAATCACTTGAATCAGAGTCAGAGGTTGCAGTAAGCGGAAATCATGCCACTGCACTCCAGCCTGGTGACAGAGTGAGACTGTCTCAGAAAAAAAAAAAAATTGGGTAGAGCACAAAAATCATCAGACAAGTATCTGAGAAAGCCTAATTGTCCTAAGGGTTACTAAGAGACATATGATTCTATGAGAGCTTATGAGAGGAAAATTGATCTCAGCTGGGCGGTGAGGGATTGCTTCCTGCGGGAGGGCAGATCATTCTGAGATCTGAAGCACAGGTAGGAGCTGGCCACTAGAGAAAGGAAGTCTCCATCCAGGGCAGAGGAAATGGCCTTTGAAGTCTCTGTGATGGGAAGGAAGGAGTCTCAGAAGAGGTGCTCCCCCCATGGCTGCAGTAGAGAGGGGCGGGGAGGCGGGGGATGGAAGGTGACTGCCCAGATGGGAAAGATAGGCCACAGGACAGACCATGGGTGGGGTGGGGGAGGGGAAAACTCTAGATAGAGGAAGCAGCATGCTCACCAGGGAGAGGACAGCCTAGATGGATCTGAAATACAAATCCTGTTTCATCCTGGGGGCCTCGGAGTCAGGATGATGAGTAGAAAAGTAGGAGCTGGGGAAGCCCTGGCCCAACCCCAAAAGGAGAGCTCAGAGGATAGACCAGAGAGAGCAACAAAGGAGACATCTGAGGACCTGGGACCAGTCCAGGCCTGGCTGAGATGGCTGCAGGAGCACCTGGCACAGACTGAGGCTCATACTGTCCGGGCCACTTAGGGCCACTCGGGGTTCCAAGGTCCCCATTGCAGAAAACTCTGCCCAGGTCATCCCTGAGTCTTGGGTGGGGGAGGAGGGCAGAGCCACCCTGCCTTTATGTGCAGAGAGGAGATGGTCTTGTAGCGCTGTGGAGTAACTGCTGGCACAGAAGTACACAGATGTCTGGGAGGGAGCAGCCAACTCCAGCCTGAGCGGGAAATCCTCTGTGGTTGATCTGGAGACGTTGTAGCCATTCGGGACTTCTCCTTTGTCAGTGATACCAGCACCAACTGAATAATAAATCAGCTTCAGCCCCATGCCTGGGTCTTGTCGATACCAGTACATGTAGTTATGGTTCATATCCTGGGCACACTGCAGTGTCATGCTCTGTCCTATCTTCAGGATGCGGAATTTTGGGGTCTGAGTGACACCAGCATTCACTGGACCTGCAGAGAAGGAAACAGCTGATGCTGCAGCCCCAATGGAAAGGGGCTGGGCCTTGAAATCTATGCAAGGGGCCCTGTCCAGGACCCACCTGCCCACAGGAGAGGAAAGGCTGCACAGCACAGGAGGCTGATGCTCATGGCAGGTGCTCCAGGACGGAGGGGTCTTCTGTATCTGTGCATTGATGAAAGGGGAACAGGACTCTCAAGGAAGTCATTCTGAGACCTCATTCTCCCTGCCTGGGCCCCAGAGCCTTCCTGTCAGGAGAGGCCACGCCTCTTCCCCAGATGGTTCAATCCAAAATAAATGCGCCAGAGAACAGCTGACAATGAGAAGAAAACATTTGTCTGAATTAAAACAAGTCTACAAGATTTTCATAACCTTTGGTAAACAGTTTGTAATTCACTGTAAATTTTATTTTTTCAATGATATAATTAATAGTCTGGTGTTAGTTATCTACATAGTGCTGTAGTCTAGAGTCTTAGGGCAATTCCTCATGTCTTCCTGGTGTTTTTGACTACTGCGTCCCAAATACTCCTTCAAGTATCATTTTCTAATTTGCTTAATTGACCATAATCCTGTTTAAAATCCTTTGTCTATATTGGTTTTCTCTGTTATTAGCTTTCCAGATCCCACGGGCAGGCTCATCAACATTGGAGGAATCATTTTGCTCTGTTTCTTGTCAATCCACTGACAGATGAGACTCCTGACAAGCCCAGCTGAGCACCTTCAGCTCCACCCAGGGCTCTTGCTTTCCATGCCTGGGGTGAGACCACAGCAGGCAGAACCACCTCACGCTGCTGACTGCCCTCTCTGTATGGATGATGGTGGCCACCCAGCACAGCCCATGACCTATGGACACAAACGTGGCCTGATGCATGATTAGGCCACAGCTCCTCACAGAGCTCCTCACAGAGCTCTCTGGTCTAGTATATCCATATCACTGTCTCTGCTACATCTTGTGATGGGAATAATTTTCTCAAAACTCAGGTCTTCTGGTTGTAGGCCACTAACCACTTACACACTCTAGTACCTCCCCACTGCCAACACCATGATGCTTCTATCTGCAGTGCTGTAGGGTACACAGGCTCTCTTAACTCTGGTGTCCGATCTGAAGACAGCCCCAGATGGTTCTAGACTTCCCCTCTGTCAAAGTCCAGTGACCCCTCTATCAATTCCACATGGAAGCAGGCTGACTGCCCTTCATCTGCCTCCACCATTTATTAGCTCTGAGACCGTGGGCAAGGCCATTCATTAACTTTCCTGGATTCTAGCCTCATCTAGACTCATCTATAAAACAAGACTAACATTCCCCTCAATGCTTTATGAGGTTGAACTGAGATACCGTGTAGTCTCTGTTAGGTTTGATAAAGGTCTATCCTTTTATCCGTCCCTGTCTCCTCATGCAGGAGGAACCAATGGAGCTCTCAAACCTGCCAGGACTATGAGTGATGGAAACGCTGGAATCATCAACTGGGTGCTGGGGTGAGAGGAACTCGGAAGCACAAAGAGGCCATTCAGTCACTTTGGAAAAGATCTGGCAGAATTTAGGAATCAGACAATAGAGCACAAATGTACCTGTCTACCCTCATTATGCAATGTGAAGCAGCTAATAGGAGCAAGTTAGATCTATATCAACCAATCTGGAACAATAAAGACCAGGATATATTAACAGAAAAGAGTATGCATGTGGCAGGTAAAGTGTACAGGTGAACCCATTTTCTGTAGGTGTACTTGGGTAGAAAGGTGTGCATGAACACAGAAAAGAGGGGTGAAAAGAAGCACACCAGAGCGTTAATATTGGTTATGAGTGGAAGGTGGGATTGGATTGGAGAGCATTATTGACATTTTCATTATATATATTATTTAATTTGTTTATTAAAAGTTCTTAACCACATGCAAGCTTTAAGTTTACACTTTTTGTCAGACATCAGAATTTGTAGTGTCTAAATGGGCAAAGTACAGAAAGCTTCTGTTTATGGAACCCCCTATAATGGCCCATTTATTTTTTTTACTAAACCGAGGAGAAAGTGTGCTCTGTAAAAGCACACGAGCTCCTGGTGAACACAGACAGTCTCTGACTGCTGAGGAGGGTGAGCATCGAGGTCGATACATTTGATGGTGAGGTCAGCTTGGCTGATTATGAACTAATAAGGCTTCTACCTGTGAAAGCCTGATCACCACGGGGAAGTGGAGGATCTCACCCCTTGTTCTAGAACAGCCTTTGAATAGCCCCTGATTGGAAAAGGAAGAGAAATGAGCACCCTCTAGTGCCTGCATTTCCAAACTCAGTGAGAGCTCGTTTCCAGTTTTACATTGTTCAAGCTTTAGAAATGCTCTTTGTTTCTGATCCAAGTAGCAGTATTATTACAATGTCGATTGTAACGATATTCCAGTGTTTATCAACAGCACACAGCTTTCTCAAATAGAGCTTTAGTGAGTGGGTGGAAGAAAATGCTGTCCCTAGGGAAGATGTTCTGACTGTGGTCTGTTTAAGGTTCAATTATTTAAAATAGCTAGTCTATTTTTGGTCTTTATTGCCTAAAGAGATAAAACTGCATTTGTCTTTAAAGCATAGATGCAAATCACTCCAGCAAAATTGGGGCTTCGGTCTATCTGTGGGCCATCCTTGGTGATTGTATATTTGATTATTTCCACCCAGAATGGCTCTCACAATTCTTCAGGGACTAACACATAGCCCTGCTCTATATGTGGAGCCTCTGCCTCACAACCAGCCTTTCCTAACTGGCAAAGGAGGGGAACAAGCAAAGGTCTCTGTTCAGTGCCCTGAACCAAAATCAGGTGTGCGCTGGAGGAAGCTGGTGACCATGAACTCTGTGTCTCTGACATTGCCCACCAATTCATGGAAATGGAGACTAATGATATAGTTCAGTGTAGCAGCCACCATGGCCTCAAAGCCACCCAAAGAATGGAGAAGCCATTTGTTTTTTTCTCCATGAACTTTTTTTTTTTAGAAAGAGTCTTGCTCTCTCGCCCAGGCTGGAGTACACTGGTGAGATCTCAGCTCACTGTGAGCTCCACCTCCCTGGTTCACGCCATTCTCCGGCCTCAGTCTACTGAGTAGCTGGGACTATAGGCGACTGCCACCACGGCTGGTTAATTTTGATTTTGTATTTTTAGTAGAGTTGGGGTTTCACATGTTAGCCAGGCTAACCTGACCTCATCATCTGCCCTCCTTGACCTCCCAAAGTGCTGGTATTACAAGCATGAGCCACTGCACCCAGCCTCCATCACCTTTTAATGCCAGTATTTAATGCTATATTTCACACCACTCTGCCAATGATTAGGTGCGCGAGACTCCCAAATCCAGGACACCTGTGAGGGAAGGACATTGGAGGAGAAAAGCCAGGAAGGCGGTGGGCAGTTAGGAAATTCAGTCCTGCAGAAAGGCTTGGATCCAGTTACTCATCCATGACAGGGATTTCTCCTCTGTTTCCAGGACTCATTAGATCCTAGGAGATGAAGGGATAGAGGTTCCCGCTTAATGCGTCCAGACTTCTGAAACACTCTACGTGGGAACCCAGAGGGCCTTTCACTATCCATCCTTTATTCTTTCAAGATTGGCCACTGGCACCTGGAACCGCTGTTTGTACTGATGATAAAATCAGGAACAAAACATCCACAATTTCTAAAATGATGCGTTTTACAGTCTAGAGAGCAAGAGAAGAGTCCATTAGTCACCCGAAGTCATGGAAAATGACAATGGTGTTAAATCTATGAATACTAACGCACATTATGAGCTGTGAGGATTTATATTAAGGAGGTGCAGCCTAGGAAAACTGTTGAAGGAGCGTATCCCTAGAGATGGTAGTGGTTAAACTGAGATTTGGAGCAAGAACAAAAAAGAAGAGACTTGTGTTGACCCAGAGGATACAGCGTGGAGTGGAAAGGGCTTTGGTAGGAGGAGCATGACGCGTGAGGAATGGCCTGAACTGAGGCATCTGTGGTTGACCTGGAGGTGAGGATGCAGAGGAAGGGAGAGGACAGCTGGGAGCGGACATCACGTGGAGGAGGCTGAGGACTGATATGAGCGTGGTGTGGGGAAGATGGAGTTGTGAATGCTGACAGGGAAAAGAACATAGACCTGTGTTGTCAATGCTGTCTGCAAATATACAACTTCAAATGAGCTTTCCTTTCGAGAATAACTGAAGAAAAGGACTTCTGAGGCCAGAGCTGCAGGAGGGGCCTGGAAGAGAGGCTGCATCCACTCACATCATGGTAAAGTACATTCCGTCGTCCAGCTGAGACTGGCCTGGAAGAGAAGCTCAGCACAGGGCAGAGTTTCCCATGCACAGAGCTGCTCAGAAATCTGAGGGCCCCAGCCTGGGCAGTGTTGGGGAGACTTCTATGGGACAACGTCTTCCGCTGCCTGGATCGCAGTCTCGTGAAGACGAGGCCACCTATATCTTCCACTGAGCATTGTGTGCAGAGGAAGGTGGCTGTGGGGTGACTGCTGGTGCAAGAGGGCACAGAGGTCTGGGAGAGGCTGTCTGACACCAAGGCCACATATTTGGCTTTGAGAGAAAGTTACAGACCCTCAGCAATTTCTCTGTAGTGTGTGCTGGGACGGATCAGCTGTGCACCAGCTTCAGCTCCTATTAACACCTACACATGTAGTCATGGATGACAGTCTTAAGCATCTCCATGTTGCTTCGCATCCTGCCTTTGTTCTCTGGTATCTTGGGATCTGGTTATCCCAGATTCTATGAAGTCTATGATAGAAGGAAGTTGAGTGCCCAAAGAGGGACCTCAATAATGTAGACCTGTGGTAAAGGCTTAGGCTAGGATGTGGTAAGCCAAGGAAAAGGCTTTAGGGGACTCACCTGCCCCCGGGAGGTAAAAGGCCTCACCATTGAGGAATCTGGTGGCCAAGGCAGGGTCAGGGAAAATTCGGCGAATTGTGGGAGGTTTTTCAGCTTGTGCGTTGGGGACATAATTCCTGGATGTCAGTAGAGTCACTGGTGATGCCACTGCCCCTGCCAGCTAGTGATTCTGCCCTCTGCCTGCAACTCCTCCCTCTACCTGCTGCAACCTTCAACCTGAAGTCCAGTCATAAACATTCGCCCATGTTGTCTCTGCTCCTGGCTGTCTTTCTTCTACAAGACAATAGACAGACAAGGTTCATGATAATTTGCCTTCCAATTATCTCTCCACTGTCAGCACGAGGTGTCCACTTTAGAGCTCTTTTTGACAGACGATTGCTTCTTCACTGAACATATGTGCTTCCCTCCAATTCCTAGGTCTCTATCTTATTTCTCACATGAGATATATTTCAGGTTCATTTATTCTTATTGGTGAAAATCCAAACTTAAATTTTAGTAGAATAAATTGAGAAAAATATCATTAGACATTTATATGAGAAAGCAGTTTTTGTCTACACACAAACAAAATTGTTTTTAGTTATTGTTGCATTAAATTAAACTTGTGTAAAACACCATAAAAATGAAAGTGTAGGCTGCAGACTGGGGATAGACAAAGGGAATGCATATAAATGATTTTTAAAAAGTGTTAAATTTAACATTCCTCAAAGTTTCTAATGAAGAGGCCAGAGTAATGACCCCTGAAGACATGTAAGCCTCTAGTGAGGCCCTGCTGGTCACTAGATGGCAGTTTGAGGGCTCTGACTTACTGACCAGGACACAGAAGGTGATGATGGAGCAGGGGGGTAGGTGGAAAATGGATGCACTACTTTGTTTCCTACTTCTGGTCCTTACAAGCCAGGAGACACTGGGGAAAATGACTGAATGTCCCTGAGACTTCCATCTGTCAAGGAAGAATAAGAATGATTGATGTGCAAGGTTGTTGAAAGACTTTAAGCTATATAACAAATTCAAAGAATCTAGCACACATCTGGGGCTCCGCAGTCACTCTTCTACTGAAGTTACCCAGGAAGTGACAAGCTGCAAGAAGATGCTGCACAGAAGCCGGCACACTCAGGGCATAGGAAACCTGGGCTCTGTTTGGGAGAGCTCTGTGCTCAGTAGGACACAACACATGCCTTCCATACAACTAAAAGCTTCCCTTGCAGGAGTGAAACCTGGGTGGGGCCTGCAGCTCTCAAGTCAAAGCTAAGGCAGGAAGTTTATGTATAGAATGTCAGAGACTCTGCCGGGCTGTGCCAAGCTGCTGGCACAGAGATACAGGGCCGAGTCGTCCAGCTCCAAGGCGTTCACATTCAGCTCAGAGCTATAATTAGGGAACTGGAGACCTGAGAATCTAGGAGGGAAGTTTCCTCTGCCATTCTCTTCCTCCCTATAATACTGAAAGATAAACTGGGGCCCCTGACCCAGGGCCTGTTGGTACCAGGACACAGTGTTGTGCCCAGACTGAGAAGAGCATCTCAGAGTCACTTGCTGTCCTCTCGTTTTGATCAGGTGTGTGGGACTTTGGGTGACTCCAGTCTCCACTGAGCCTGTGGGAAAAGCAGATGGAGGATGAGCACAGCAGAAAGCCTGGAGGTCCTCCCCAAGGTAAAGTGGAGGACATGGGTGGGAAAGCTGAGAATGGGGCTGCTGTCCTGTGCCCAGGACTCACCTGCTCCCAGGAGACAAAGCAGCGCCCAGCAGAGGAGCCCAGGGCCCATGGCACAGTGGGGCAGGCAGCACTGCACCTGATTCAGGGCTTGGTCCTCCTGGGGAAGAGCCGAGTGAATTCTGGGCCTTGATTTTCCTAATAGGAGGGGTATCCTGTGATGTCACTGTCCTGTGTCCTCCCCATGCAGCCTTCCTTATGTCCAGTGCTCAGTGGATGATCCTGGAGTCTCTACCTGTCCTGCAGAGCTGAAGGGATGGGTGAAGGCAGAAGTTTCTGTGGTGACACAGTTCCTTCTCTGCCTACGTTGCCCCAGCTCACAGGCTGCCCCATTGCCCTCTCACCCTTCCCCCACCTAGTGCGGTGGTGCTCCATGCTGGAGCTAACACACCTACCCATCAGCGGAGGGTGAGGAGCCTGTGATTAAACCCTCACATTCCAGCTCTTCCTTGTTGTCCTCACATCATCTTTCTGATACTAGATTCACACCAATGTTTCTTATTATATTTTCCTGTCCCATCAACATTCCCAGCCCCTTTCTTCAGTGGCCAGTGGTGCAGAGTCCCCAAGATTTAGTCCGTCTGATCAGATCCAAAGCAGACCTGGGTTGTCTATAAATTATTAAGAGTATAGATTCCCCAGAAATAATTCTAGGATTTTAAGAGCTCACAGCACAGGGTTTGGCTTATGGGAGACAGGACAGCAGAGGGAGGTAGGGTTACCATCTGTGCTGGTTTGCAAAATCTATTCCCATGGCTCCCTTCTTGCTGGGTGAAATTTCCTGGTGCCCGAAAGTAGTCACACAGTAGCCTGAATGCTTTGCCGCTTAGATATTTCTTTCAGTTGATATCCTAGTGAATGGCTCATAATTTTATATTCCATAAAGTCCTAGAACAGGACACAATTTTGCCAAGGTTTTTGCTATTTATAACAAGGATGGTATTTGCTTCAATTTCCGATAGCTTGTCCCTCATTTCCCCCTGACACTGCACCAGAATTGCCCTTAATGCTCTGTTTTCAGGAGTCTAGGCTTTTGCTAGTCTGCTCCTCCCAATTCTTTCAACCTCTATCCATTAGCCACTTCCCATTAACCAAAGCTGCTTCTACATTTTCAGGTATTATAACAACAGCCTCATGGTGCCATATTTTCTTTCAATTTCTTTCCTACTGCTATAGAGAAATACCACGGACTGGGCAATGTATAAAGACAAGAGGTTTATTTGGCTTATAGATGTGGAGACTGGGAAGTCCAGGATCAAAGGGCCACAGCTGGTGAGGTCCTCCTGCTGTTATCCAAGGCAGAAGGAAGGGGAAGCAAGCACTTAAGACAGAGAAAACAGCTGAATTCATCCTTTTTATTGGAAGACCATTCCCAGGAAAACTAAGTCACTCGCCCAATAAGGGCATTGATTTCTTTCTGAGGGCAGATCCCTTATGACCTAGTCATAGCTGTCCCACCTCCCAATACCATTCCACTGACAAATTTCAACATGAGCTTTTGTGGGGACACGCAAGCATAGCACACACATCTACACTATGAGTCAGTATTTCCACTCTTAAGTGTAGGTTTTAAAAGAAGAAAAAAGAATGCATATGTCCAAAAGAAAGATTTCCACAAGAATGTTCACAACAACTTTATTCATAATAGTTGAAGACAGGAATAACATGGATATCCATCAACAAGAGAATGCACAAAAAATTTGTGGTATATTTATGCAATGGAATATTAGTCATAAGAAAGAATGACCTACTGATACAACAATATGAATACACTTCAGAAATACTAATTTTGGAGAAAAATAACTAATAAAATATGATTCCATTTATATGAAGCTGAAGAATAGACAAAGCTAGTCAATGGTGATAAAAACAGAAAAGTTTTTATCTCTGGGATAGAAATTGATTGGAAAGGAGCATGAGGACACTTTCTTGAGTGATGGAAATTTTTTTTATAATCATTTCAGTTACTGTTGCACTGGTGTATGCAATTGTCAAAATGTACCAGGATGTTTTTGTATTAATACTTGTGTTTTACTCTCAATTATACCTTAATAAAAAGTGTTACTAAAAATTAAACAGCTAAACTGCATAAAAGATGGCAGTCATTTACAAATGTATGCTTGTATTCTGTACAGCCCAATTTAAAAATGCATCACACAAAAAGAAGAAAAGACAGGAACACACGTATCTGTGTAAGATATGGAGAATGTGAGAAGTGGTCAGTGACTGAAATAGGCAACATTGAAATTTGGCATCAAATTAAGCTCAACGGATGAGTGGGCTGAAAAACAAGTGAGGATCAATATCAAGGAATGCTTTAGAAAAACAAAAACTTTCTAAAAATATCTTCATATACTGTTGAAATCATTCTGAGAACCATGAGCTGCTATACATTTTATAACTTGGGAAATTGGGCATTCATCAGTCTCACAATTGAACGTTTCTTTTCTTTCTGGCTTTCAACAGATTGGCCAATTGGTGAATTGATTTTTTTGCCCAGCAAGCAGCTTTCTCCCTCTTTGTGAGTGGGGTCCTGGGAGACCCGGCAGTCCCCCTTTGGCAGCCTCACAGAGGGGAGTTGGGCACAGCACAGACACACGGGGTTCCCTGCACGTGGGGTTTGCACTCCCTGTGAAGCCTAGCTATGGACCTCCCAGTCCTGCAGTTAATGGATCCCAACTAAAGAAACCTTGCCTCTAGGTATTCGCTTTACCTGTTAGTGCTAAGGAGGGATACAGGCTGGAGAAAAATAAAATGTTTGCTCAATATTATTCTGTAATATTTTACAAGAAAATCAATTGAGGAGGTCATGGATTTTCATCCAAGCCAAAGTCAAGATAATAGCTGAATTCCTTCCTTAATCTACCCTGAGAGGACTCAAACACTGCTCGATGCCCACAAATACTTAGTAGAGACTTATTTATAGTCTCCTTTTGATAATTCTACTCGTTGATTATCTTCAGGTCTAACGGCACTGTTTGGTGCATCTACTAATATTTTCCTTCTGTAGTTTGTTTACTTAGGTGTTTTAGAAATTGTTGTCAATATTTTTGGCCCTCCAGAGAACACGTGCTTGGTATCCAATGGAATCTAAGCCAAGGTGATGTTATCAGTACGACTTATAAACTTGTAGAATCCCTGATCACTCAAGGAGGTTAAAGCTGTTGCCTGGAGAGACATGCAGGGAAGATGAAGTGCAGCAGAGATGGACTGGACTCAGGGCACAGCCGGCCCCTTTCTTTCGCCTTTTCCTCTGAGGCAGTTGCTCCTCTGTCTGCACCTGCTCTGACACCAAAGCTGCCCAGCCAACATTCTTCAACTGTAGATGTCATTAAAGATTAGAGGGACTTCCCGCCTCTTGCATAGCTGTAGGTAGCCTAGCAATAACTGAAAACTGCTGCAACATCTGCATAATATGGGATCCAAGCCCGAATTTTTCTTAACCCTTTCCCTCCTAGGCTGCTCTCCCAGACTGCCCAGAGTACTTTAGTTCCCAGTGGACCACAGTGCCATCTTGTGGCCAATAAGTGAAGTTTCATCATTGTTTCTTCTGCAATGGCCCAAGGACTGCTGAGAAATGTCTACAGAGCGAGCTGCCAGAATATTCCAGAAGTGCCATCCCGCAGGTTTTATGAGCAGCTTCCCTAAACCCTCATCCCAACACTACTTCTAACCCTGACTATTGCTTTGAGTTACCAATCTTAATATCCCACCCTCATTCTGAATAACTCTTATCACATAGCTCCAGTTATAGTCTAACTTTTTCTCCCTTAAAACTACCATCTAAAGAAAGAGGAACAGAAGGAGAGGAATGAAAGGAAACAATATTTGGTTTTAAATAGTAAGAAAACACAGACGTTGAGGTATAAAGAGATTATTTAATCTGAATGACTAAGGATAAACAAAAATGCCCTCCAAAAATGACAGTGTTACCCCAAAAGCATAGATAAGCAAAAGATGAAGTTAAAAATGTCTATTAATAAAAAGTAAAATTGAAATATATAAAGGAGACCTCTTACAAGGAAATAAGCAATGGTGGAGGGAGCAATACCTAATGCACAAAATAAGGATGAACATAAGTAAGACCAGCAAAGGTGCTGCTACAGGAAATGATCAGCTTGTACAATGCACATCCACTGATCTGAGCAGCAAAGAGGGAAGAGATGATTATGAAAGAGGCAGAGGAGCAGCGGGAGATGAGGACACGCTGGTGCAAAATACTATCATAAGGAAGAAAATCAGCCAGGGGACTGTGGAATGTATGACTTTTCTTTCTCCTGTCTCCTGTGACAGCTGAAGTGGACCATTTTCATTTCCAATGATTTGCTCCTGCACCCTGAGTTAGATGCCCCTGGGATTTGCTGCTCCGCAGGTTCCCATGGATGAACTCCCTCTCCCTCCTTGTTGAGTATGGTCTGAAGGAGAGGTCATCTCTCCCTCCCCTTCAATCCCACAGTACTGGGGATTGGCACAGACTTCTCAATTGGCATTGACCTCTCTCATGGCAGGCTCACATGCCCCCTAACTGTGCCTTTTCATTTCCACTAGACTGAAAGTTAGATGTGGGCAATGGAACTTAACACCTTTATCATAGGATGCATAAGTAACTGCTTTCAAAATTATTGCTGTTTCTTTCACTGCCTTGGGTTACAGCTGAACAGGAAAAAAAGGCACAATTTCTTAATGTGACTTAACCACAAAAACCTTACCAAGTGCAAAAACAATATAACTACCAAGGGATTGCTCTCCTAAGTGGTGAGATGGCAAAATAAAACAAAAAACAAAGAAAATATTATCAAATACTTTAATGGAGACCCAGAATCCCAGTCCCTCTTATACAAACATCATTGCATAGCCTCCCTCTAACCAAGAGACAGATAGAACCATTCCTGTGCCCTGCACCTGGCAGGAAAGCCCTGCTGGAGCCTGTGGGGAGCTGGCGAGGATGAGCCTTGGTGATTCTGCCCCAGAGCAGGGATTCTCAGGGAGCTCCGGACACCTTCCAGGGACTGAGATGGAGAGTGGCCATACTCCGTCTTGGAAAGGAGAATACTGAGGGCCTCTGACCCTCAGTATTCTGACCCTTCTGACCTCTCAGCCTAAAGTAAAAGCAGAGTCATTCCTGACTGGTGTGGAGGTGCTTAGTCTCCAAAGCAAAATTGTCCTTTTTACAGGGTCTCTCGTTGCCACAGAAGAATAGTTGCTACTTGGCCATCTCTGTTGCCAATGACTCCAGCATCTGAATATTCTATGCGAGGAAAGATAATTTGTAAATAATGAACTGGTTCAGTGATACCTTTAGTTACATTCAAAATAGTTGTCATGTTCCAGACTGGCATGCTTGCAGGAGACACAGAATTACAGAGCAAGAGAATCTGGAGGTTGAATAGAAATAGGAACAATCGAGGCCCCCTTAGGTGATGGCTTCTAAGAACAAAAGTAGAGGGGAGGTGAATTCTGAGCCCTTTTGGCCCCACAAGAAATGGCATAACAGGGACATCAGAAAATACCCCAGGGATGTGCTGATAAACTGGGTGTCTGTGAAGGTGGGGGCATGTCTGGTAGCATTTCCTAATTTCGGTTGTACCAGCATACCCACCATGGTAGATTTCAAGTGGCCAACATGGCTTCACTGCTTGGGAGCTGGGAAGAGTAATATGCCTATTTGGTTCTTCTGACTCATACAAGCTGGCTCCAGCACATCCCTAGACTCAAGAGCAAAGCTTTCAAAGTTCTTCAGTGCTTCCTACTCAACACACAAAAAATGAGGCCGCAGCAAGTATAGCACACCTCATTGTTTTCATGATAGGATCAGAGTGTGTGATCCTGGGTCTTGGAATGGACAAAGGGATGTTTGTGCAGAGAAAGGATTTCTGAGTCCTTTGAAGCTGCCAAGATCACAAAGCAAATAGCTATGCTGGTTGGTTGTGGAGCTGCTACATTTGACTTGAAGTAATTGCAATGAAATGTTTATCCTGCTTAACTCAAGACAACTGAATGATTTCATTAGAGCAGAAACTGATTCCTTCCTATTTGTCCATTAGTAATATCTGCCCTTTGCTACTCTTCTATGTTCATTTTCTGTATAAGTTGGAAGTCCTGATTGCTTTTGTTTCATGTTGTTGCAGCACCGGTTACAATTGTGGACTGTGTTCTGTTCAGCCTCAGTGTCAGAGCTTGTCCACTGTTAGGAGTAGGTGTCTCAGGAGTCACATGGAGGAAGGTGGCAGCAGTTAGAGACAAGGTCTAGGAAGACAAGGAATTCCCATCTGTGCCCTGGCCTTACTCAGTCCCAGGAGACAGAGGGTACCTGAGCAAGGAATGATTTGATGATGGCACAATAAAAAATGGGTCTAGAGCAGCTCCCTACCAGAGATCATCATTCTCTGGGGAAAGAAATTTGGTGTCTGTACCACCACAATTTCTGATCAGAGAATTTGGGAGGGCTATGATGCCCCTCCCAGCTATGAAAGACTCAGGGCACCTCTATCATGGCTGCATCTGGGACACTGAGTCCCAGACTTGGAGAAGTGGTCTGATGCCGAAGACTCCCTGAAACCCATGATCCATAATCACATCAGCTCTGACCAGTGCATTCGCTTTCATAGATACAAACTGCAGCAGCACCCACAGACGAGTTGAAGATTCTATTACAATATAATCATTGTACTTCTATTTATAACAAGTACTGTATAATAAAATATAATATGAAAAATAAAAAAAAGAAATATATTCAATATTATAAATAAAACACTTCTTGAGTTAAAGGCCTCAGGAAAATGATTTCAAATCAAATGAGTTTGACAGCAATGAAAACCCTCAGAGTCTAGAAATTAGATTTCCTGAGGGAATCAAGGTGAACGGGCAGCGGTGGTGATGCATGCTTCTGTCTATCAGGACAGTAGCAATGGCAAATGCAAACAAAATAAAGGATACACGTGGCTTAAAGTAGGCAGAAGAAGTGAAGTCTTATTGTTATCACCATTGTATTTATTAATAAGGACCACAAATTTGCAAAGATGTTTACTTTATAGGAAGAGATGTTTGATATTTTGTTGAAGAAACTTCCAAGGTGACAGGGGTAGAACAGGCTTCTGAAGAAAGATGTTCCTGGGGATGTAGCCTCAGACCTTCCAAATGCCCCAACATATGAAGAAGAGGCGTGTTTCCTGCCTATGACAACCTCATGGATGTGGGCAGCACAGCAGCCTCCAAGACCTATAGAAGATGCATGTCTGCCCTGAAGGCCAAGGCTAAGACACTGACTCCTTGCTTGGAACAGTGAGCTGGCTCGGAGGACTCCCAGAGCGCAGTGGGCTCTGATTGTTTTCACCACCTACATTTGCACTCACTGTGTTTCAGGAATGAATCTGCGGTCTCTTTCTACCCAAAGGACAGCTGAGGTCCAAATCTACCTTTTTCCCATGAAAAGTAAGGAGCAAAGAGAGGCCTCTGTTAAGGGTTTGTAGGAGCTGCAAGGAGAGAGAAGGATGAGGTTTGTGAGCAGAAAGGAGGCGACTGTGCCACGCTGTGGCTAAGCTGCTGGCACAGAGATACACAGCTGAGTCCCCCTGCTCTGTGCGCTGGATCTTCAGAGTGGAGACGGATCTCTCAGGCCTCTCTGCAGAGAACCGACCACTGGGCCGCCCTGATTTGTCTCGTTGAGCATCACTCTGGGAGTAAGTCAGAACCTCTGAGCCCTGCCCCAGGGTCTGTCGGTACCAATAAAGGGTTACATGACCCGAAATTGAATCACACCTGAGAGCTACATCCCGTCCCCTCTTTGCGACTTTGTACCTTGGGGACTGGGAGACTCCAGCACCTGTGTGATCTGTGGAAATAGAATTTGGCAACAGAATAAGGAAAATATTTGTAGTCATCGCACACACACACACAAGCCTACACACAGAAAAAAACTGAAACTACTTTGTGTTCTAAGGACTCACCTGTCCCTAGGAAACCCAGGACCACCCAGCAGAGGAGCCTGGTGCCCATGGCAGGGTCAGGCCAGGACGGGGGTTTTACCAGGTCAGTGTCACTATGAGCAGGAGCAGAGGATGAGTGACGTCCTTGTCTCCACAGGGCGGTTCCCACAGTGACATCACTTCCTCTGTCAATCCCCAGGACCTCAGGGCCCCAGCATTTCTATTAGAACACATTTGGGTGCTGCTTTAAATATTTATAAGCTCCTTTTTAACAACATCAATGCATGGCTCATTGCTTTGGGCTCCAGATCTGTCTGGACCCGGAGGCCTCACGCTGCATCTCTGAGTTCATCTTGCCAGCCCACAGCTGCTCTTCTGTCTGCTAGGCATGTCCTGTAGGATGTACCAACAGTGCCCCTAACATAGAACACAAAAGGGTGAGCTCATTGTCTTTCCTGCAAGTCAGGGTCCCCTCTGCCATCCCCATTCATGCCCCAGCCTCCTCCATTCCCCCAGTCACACGTGCCCAACAGGACTGTCCCCTCACATGCGTTCCCTCATGAACTGCCCTCATGCCTTTCTTTGGGATCATTTCCCACCTTTGTTAACTGTAATTCAGAAAAGATAACTTGGTAGCAAACTCACAGTGGTGGTTTTTCATATTCCACGTATAAAAGTTTTTTTTTTAATCAATCTCACCTCTAATGAAGGAGAATGACGATTGAGCTAACGGTTATTTTTAACCACTATCTTGACTTACTGTTGTTCTCCATCTATTCCTATGGGAGGTATCTGTCTTTTCTTTCTGACTGCTTTCAAAATCTTCTCTTTGTCCCTCATGTTATACAATTTCCCTATGACTTGACTATTTGTCTTACTTGAGATTCATTTTGATTCTGGAAACTCTGAATTTAGGTCCTTAAACACCTCTAAATAATTGTCAGCTAACATCTCATAAATATCACCTCATAACATTCTACCTATTTTATCTATTTGAAACTGCAATCATATGCAAAAAAAAATGGTAATTTATGAAAAATTTGCATATTCTAATATATGGGAAACATCCATTTCTTTTCTTCCCTGTTCTTTAACTTTTTCATATTCCACTTTTAATTTTCCGTGCTGCATTCTAGATCACTCCTGCAGATCCATCTTTGACATAGGAGCAGCTAATCAACTGTTTGACTTTCCATTTTGTTTTCAGTGGTTGTATGAGGAATTTCTAGATATATTATTTGACAATTTTTATGAAAGTTACTTGATGGTTTCAGACATTCTCTTTTTCCTTGTTTCTCTTTTTCCCTCTCATGTTCATTTAAATGTAGCTCTCCAAACTTTCATATCTTATAATGCCAAAATTTTGAGTCTTCGGGTTTGCACTTCAAACGTTTGTTGCTTGTGCTCACATTTCCTCATTGCTAACTCCTAATGTGTCCTTATGTACTTCATACTGGGGATCTATTTGTTTGATGGTAGTCTGCGACATTCCAGAGAGGCCGGGACTGAGAGGGAACAACACCAAGAATCTGTCATGTTTACAGGCATCTCCAGTCTAACTCGCAAATGTATGGGCCCAAGAAGTGTCTGCTGCACTCTGGGGGGCCAAATACACCCACAATATAGGTTAGTAGGTCAAAAATGCTCTCTGGCCAGTCCCAAGGAAAGATTCAGAATAGAATTCAAATTTCTATTTTTTAAAAAATAAATCTCATACATTTATAGACCCTCTGGGTGGAGGGAGATTTCAGGTACAGGATTAAAAGAAAAGTTAGTAGCCAGTGTCTGGAACATCCACATACAAATTGTGTCCACATTCACCTGGGCAACACAGATGTCCATGGAGAAGAGTCCAGGGACCATGGCAGGTTGAGGCAGTTGTGTGATCTGATGCCTTAATCTGGAAGAATCCATCATGGGCTGAATTGAGTTAAGTCAGCTTTGCAAAGGCAAGAGCCTGCCTTTCCCAGAATGCCATTTCTCTTATCATTCTGGGTTAGAGATGGTCAAGGATACATTTGGTAAAATTTGGAAGACAGATGAAAAGCAGTCACTATTAGACTTGGCAGGTCATTGTGGTCAGACAGTGAGAGTCTGTGACCAGCAGATACAGAGGCATCCAACAGACCTAGGAAGTCTTGTTCCTTCTGCACTCTGTGTCTAGTTCATCTTCCCAAATGCTGGCAAACAGCAGCCAGGCTGCTGTTTTGGCAGTGCACCTGCAGGGGTGGCCCCCGTAGAGTGGGAACAGCTTCCCCAGAAGCAGGTTTCCTTGGCCTTTTCCTGTGCCCCCGGTTCAAGGTCCCACTGCATGTCCTGGCATACTCTGATCCTTTCATGTCCCTGCCAATCCAGCCTGTCCTGCCGAGACCCCCAGGAGCCCTGGCTATTGACTGGCTCCCTCGCCTTCTGACTTCTCTCCTCCAGACCTTCTCTTTCTCAGCTCCTCCCACATATGCATAAAGTCTAATTCTGATCGTAAATTTGTTACACTCTCAAACTTGTAGCGGCCCTGTTTTATTGTTGCAAACTTAATGGAGATTTTCTTACCAGAAGTGGTTTCAAGGAACAACCTTTAAGGATGGAATTCTAGAAGTGGATCTCTGATCTGTCTCGCTTTGTTGTGGGGAAAGACCCTGAAGGAGAGCACAGAGACCTGGAGGAGGTCAGGCTCTGCAACCACAAGAGGAAGCTTTGAGCCAGGTGTGGCCGCCATGATAGTGATTCTCCATCAATTTCCAAGACCGACCTGAGCCCAGCAATCAAAGGGATGGGCTTTCTTGTACTTAATGCTAGATCTCTGCCAGGTTACAGTAGATGTAGTGTGTTTTTATTATTGGTTTATCCACCCACTCATCACTCACTCAGCCTGTCATTCACTCATCCATTCTTTGTGAAATGGGTCTCCCTACATGCCAGACACCAATGTTGGTAAATGCAGCAGGCACAGCCTTAGCTCTCATGGGCTTAAAAATTGGGTGGAGTACAAAAATAACCAGACAAGTATCTGAGAAAGCCAAGCTGTGCTAAAGGTTACTAACAGACACATGAATCTGTGACAGCTTATGAGAGGAAAGTTGATTTCAGATGGGAGGGGAGGGAGCGCTTCCCACAAGAGGGGTTGATCATGCTGAGATATGAAGGACAGGTAGGAGCTGGCCACTGCAGAAAGGAAGGCTCCATGCAAGGGCAGAGGAAATGGCCTTTGAAGTCTCTGTGATGGGAAGGAAGGAGGCACAGAACAGGGGCTCCCCTCATGGCTGCAGTAGAGAGGGGCGAGGAGGTGGGGGGAGGAGAGACCCAGCAACGCCTTGGAGGGTGACTGCCCAGATGGGAAAGGTGGGCCACAGGAGAGAAAACATGAGGGTGGGGGCTGGGGGAAACATTAGAGAGAGGAAGCAACAGGGTCACCAGGGAGAGACGGGAGTCTAGATGGATCTGAAATGCAAATCCTGTTTTATCCTGGGGGCCTCGGACTCAGGATAATGAGTAGAAAAGTAGGAGCTGGGAAAGCCCTGGCCCCACCCCAAAAGGAAAGCTCCAAGGATAGACCAGAGAAAGCAACAAAGGAGACATCTGAGGACCTGGGACCAGTCCAGGCCTGGCTGAGATGCCTGCAGAGGCACCTGGCACAGAGCAAGGCTCATACTGTCCAGGCCACTTGGGGCCACTGTGGGTTCCAAGGTTCCTGGCGCAGAGATCTCTGCCCAGGGCATCCCTGAGTCTTGGGTGGGGGAGGAGGGCAGAACCTCCCTGCCTTTATGTGCAGAGAGGAGACGGCCTTGTAGCGCTGTGGAGTAACTGCTGGCACAGAAGTACACAGATGTCTGGGAGGGAGCAGCCGACAGCAGCCTGAGCGGGAAATCCTCTGTGGTTGATCTGGAGACATTGTAGCCATTGGGGACTTCTCCTTGGTCAGTGATACCAGCACCAACTGAGTAATGAATCAGCCTCAGCCCCATGCCTGGGTCTTGTCGATACCAGGACATGTATTCATGGTTCATATCCTGGGCACACTGCAGTGTCATGCTCTGTCCTGTCTTCAGGACCTGGAATTTTGGGGTCTGAGTGACACCAGCATTCACTGGACCTGCAGAGAAGGAGAACAAAGCTGATGCTGCAGCCCCAATGGGAAGGCGCTGGGCCTTGAAATTCACACAAGGGGCTCTGCCCAGGACCCACCTGCCCACAGGAGAGACAAGGCTGCACAGCACAGGAGGCCGATGCTCATGGCAGATGCTGCATGACGGAGGGGTCTTCTGTATCTGTGCATTGATGAAAGGGGAGCAGGACTCTCAAGGAAGTCATTCTGAGACATTCTCCCTGCCTGGGCCCCAGGGAGGGAGAGGCCAGGAGAGGCCACACCCATTCCCCAGATGGTCAAATCCAAAATAAATGCACCAGTGAACAGCTGAGAATGAGAAGAACACATCTGTCTGAATTGAAACAAGTCTACAAGATTTTCATGACCTTTTGGAAACAGTTTGTAATTCACTGTAAATTTTATTTTTTCAATGATATAATTAATATTTTAGTGTTAGTTATCTACATAGTGCTAGTGCTGTAGTCTAGAGTCTTAGGGAAACTCCTCATGTCTTCCTGGTGCTTTTGATTCCCCTGTCCCAAATACTCCTTCAAGTGTCCTTTTCTAATTTGCTTAATTGACCTTAATCCTGTTTAAAATCCTTTGTCTATATTGGTTTTTTCTGTTATGAAGTTTCCAAATCCCAGGGGCAGGCTCGTCAACATTGGAGGAGTCGTTTTGCTCTGTTTCTTGTCAACTCACTGACAGATGAGACTTCTGACAAACCCAGCTGAGCACCTTCAGCTCCACCCAGGGCTCTTGCTTTCCATGTCTGGGGTGAGACCGCAGTAGGCAGAACCACTTCACGTTGCTGACTGCCTTCTACATGTGGACGATGGTGGCCAACCAGCGCTGCCCATGACCTAGGGGCACAAATGTGGCCTTATGCGTGAGGGACTCGGGGAGAGAGGGCAGACTTTAGAGTAAGGAAGAGTGCTCTTTTTTAATTTGAGTTGTCATGTTTCATAGGGAGTATCCCTTTGTGTGGGATTCCTGCCATTAATTTAGTAATCAATAAAAAGGAATTCAAATAACATATCTTGGTGCACAGAGTCCCACACTTATTAGGACGCCACAGTCAGTATAACATTGTCATGTTCTTCAAATTCTTATGATTTTTTGAACCAACGGGATGCTAATAAGTTGTATGGCTGGTTCTGAGTCCATAATTGTGTTTCATATTCTGCTCACCTCCCCATGTGCTGTTTTCCTTTTTAGCACAAGTACATGACCAGGGTCTGGGTCACTCAGTATCAATGGTACTTTGGATCCCATCAATGGGACTGTGTCCTGTGAAGAACACAGAAGTTAAAGTCACAGCAAAGGAACACCTGGTACTATTATCTGCAAGCTAGGGTCCAACAAACCAATGAGTAGATGCCACATATGTGCCCAGTATTTCTCTGGTCCAGAAAACAGAGGGACACACAGCAAAAGAGCCTGGTGCCCAGGCAGCGCCAGAACAGAAAGGGGAATTTTCTAGCTCAAGGCTCATGTTTTATGGGTTGGACACTTGCGGTCAAGGAAGAGAGACCCCTTCTCTCAATGTGACATTATCTCTCAAGGTAGTCACTATTGCACATGGTTCACTTGGCCCCAGTGCACTCTATGTGCTCAGGAAGCAGAGCTGAATCACAGCTAAATATTGTCTGATGGAAACTCAAAATAATGTTCTTGGAGATGATTAGTTTTTGTCAGAATATCATTATAAAATAATTTAAGTGAATGAGTGTATGAGAAAAAATAATGAAAATGAATGAACAAATTATGTGGAAATAGCCTCTTCCATGTGGGAAGATTTTTGGTGTCATTTCATCATCTTGTCTATCTCCAGACAGGATTATCCCTAACGTGGATCAGGTGTCTCTCAGGGTTCTGGAAGGGTTTGAAACCCTTCTAAAGCCATAAAAAATCTCTCTTTTTTTAAATTTTTTAAATTTTACTTTAAGTTTTGGGATACATGTGAAGAATGTGCAGGTTTGTTACATAGGTAAACATGTGCCACGGTGGTTTGCTGCACCCATCAACCCGTCATCTAGGCTTTAAGCTCCGCATGCATTAGGTATTCATCGTAATGCTCTCCCTCCTCTCACCCTCCGCCCTCCGACAGGCTCCAGTGTGTGTTGTTCCCCTCCCTGTGTCCATGTGTTCTCTTCGTTCAACTCCCTCTAAGTGAAAACATGCGGTGTTTGGTTTTCTGTTCCTGTATTAGTTTGCTGAGGATAATGGCTTCCAGCTTCATCCATGTCCCTGCAAAGGACATGATCTCATTCTTTCATATGACTGCATAGTATTCCATGGTGTATATGTGTCACATTTTCTTTATCCATTCTGTCATTGAGGGGAATAGCCATAAATATCTTTGGGAGCACCTCCCTCTCTTGAATATTTACCTGTGTACTAAAGAGGAAGTGTTTTAATAGTTAGAGGTTGTAAATTTCCATTAAAAATATACCTGAGCAAAACAATTTTCTAGTGATAAATATCACTGGTTGTCAGGGATGGAGGGAGGCATTGCAGAGAGGAATGAGAACACTCTCTGTGTGATGGAAATGTTCGGCATCTTAATAGGGGTGGGGATTGAAGGGTCTATACACATATGTTGCTCCAAAATCACTCATCAGTTCACTTAAAATGTGTAATGTTTATATAATCTATATATTAATGAAGTTGATTTTTAACTATCTGAGGAGGTATGTATGCTACATTCTTTAGTTAATTTCATGTGAGGGATCATCAGGTATATATATTTCCACTTCTGTGACTTCTAAGTTCTCAGCTTAAGATTTCTAGGCAGAGTGTGTCTGAATCTGCCTTTGTGCATGGTGAGGGTGGAAGAGGCTGTCTGAGATTAACAAAGGGAATCAAGAGATTTAGATTCCTATTATAGGCTAGATATTTTATGATACTAAATTCTATATACAGCCCTATAGATAGACTGTATTAGTCTCATTTTATAGATTAACAAAACAAAAACCAAACTAAAGTTAACCTGTCAAGAGCTGGTCTCAGTTAGTGATGTGGTGGTGTTAGAGTGGGAGTCAGGGCTGGGTGCCATGGCATCTTTTCAGAGTTCTTTCCCCATACTGTCTCCAGGATACATTCATCTCTGTCTGTGATGTTATTGGAGCCAGCAGGTCTGAAAGGGATGTAGAGAGCAAATACTCTGATTTTGAAAGGTAGGCGTCTCTCTTCATGAAAATGCCTTATAGCACAGAGCTATAAACACAGGGCTTAGAGACTGACAGGTCAGAGCTGGACCCCCGGTACTGCATCCTAATAGCCATTTAATGTGATCATGTTATTTAACCTGTGGGTCAATTCCCTCCTCTCTGTAAAATGAGAATAGCATTTGTGTCTTAAGGCTTTTTCTGACAGTTGAATTTCTAATTAACTGCAATTTTGCAAATGAAGGGCTTCTATTTTGTGTATAGTAAAATGACAATAAAGGATGGAATTATGATTTTTTTTTCTGAATCTTCTCCGTGCAGCATAATTGAACCATAAAAGTGCATTGATGTACTCAGAGCCTGCACCTCTGCAAATGACCCTGTTACTCGTGTGATGTGTGGTTTTATAGAAACAGTCAAATACTATGCATTTATTACCACAGACCTTAAATGTGTTATATACACACAAGGAAATAATATCAAAAAAGAAGAAAATCTCACCATATGTGGCAATGTGGATAAACCTGGAGGACATTATGGTAACTGAGTAAGCCAGACACAGAAAGACAAATACTGCACGACTCTTTTTTTTTTTTTTTTTTTTTGAGATGGAGTTTCGCCTTGTTGACCAGGCTGGAGTGCAATGGCACAATATCGGCTCGCTGCAACCTCCACCTCCCGGGTTCAAATGATTCTCCTGCCTCAGCCTCCTGAGTAGCTGGGATTACAGGCGCCTGCCACCGTGCCCAGCTAATTTTTGTATTTTTAGTAGATGCAGGGTTTCACCATGTTGGCCAGGCTGGTCTCCAACTCCTGACCTCATGTGATGTGCCCACCTCGGCCTCCCAAAGTACTGGGATTACAGGCGTGAGCCACCGTGCCTTTTTCTACTTTTATGAGGCAACCTAAATAGTCAAACTCATGGAAGTAAAAACTGAAACATTGGTTTCCAAGGGCTAGGGATTGGTGGCAATGGGGAGTTGCTGTCAACAGGTATAAAATTCCCAGTTAAGCAGGATGAGGAAGTTCTAGAGATCTACTGTACAGCCTTGTGTCTGTGGACTACGATACTCTACTATATACTTAAAAGCCTGTTAAGAGGATAGATCTCATATTAAATGTTCTCACTAAAATTTTTTTTAAAAAGGTGGTAAAAGGAGGTAGGTAACTAAAGAGAAAGATTTTTAAAAAGGACATTTGTATAATTCAGAAACATTAAAGTATTTTGAATTAGCAAAATATAAATTTCAAAATAATTCAATAAATACATTTCCATATTAATTGCCTTAATATTGTCAAAGGCGAGAAACATACTGTTTTTAAAAATTGTCTTATCTGTTTTTCTAAATTTTATTTTTTGTTTCGCTTTTAAATTTATGTGGCACAATCCCTTGTACAAAGCAGGGGGCTTAAAATGTTTATGAAATCAATAAATTAACTAATGAATAATAATGATTTGTGTCTTTTCCCTCATAATAAATTACATCAGGTACAGGAAAACTACACTTTCCTTTAAAAACATCCCATTCCCTTTGCTGTGCACTGAGAAATCTCTCTCCTCACATATCCTTCATGAAAGAGATCACCTGGCCTCATTCATAGGACAGCTATGGTGCAGAAAATTGCACCTCTCTTTTTTGTCACAATGAAGGATGAATGAATATGTTTAGCCTGGAAGTTATATGTTCCTTGGACTTTTCAGCAAAGAGAGTATAGTGATCACATATAATGCCTGACTTTCTCCTCCTGCTAATGGGGACCTGGAAAGGGAAGGCCATGTGAGAGGACAAATCTGCAGAGTGGGGACAGCAGGTAGAGGTGCTGGAGGAACAGACTTCAGCTAGTTATCTTCTTTTCAATTAACTATTTATTGATACATATTAGATGTACATATTTTTTAGTAGATGTGATCTTTGATACATTAATATAATCAAATCATGGTCATTGGGATAGGCATCACTTTAATATTTGTCTTTTCTTTACCTTAAGAACATTTGAATTATTCTCTTCTAGCTATTTTGAAATGCATAATTGGTTGATGTTAACTACAGTCACCCTATTACTGATCTATCCAACGCCAGGTCTGGTTTCTTCCATCTAAGAGTGTACAAGACCCAGGAAAGTTATTTCAGTCAAGTGTATACACAGTTAAATAATACTTATTTTGCATGATTTCTGTCAGAATCAAAACAGGTCTCATAAAGAAGCAACAGAGGGTACCTGGGAAAGGCCTGTCGGATCACCAGATCCTGAGCCCCTCTGGCTGCCAACATCCCATTCATGGTCTTTTTCTGAGTGGGGGCAGGAATGTTTTGGCATTACCATAGGAAACTTGCCTTTCTATTTACTTCCTCTGCAGGCCATCCTTTGCCCACTGTACCCTTAGGTGGGTGCCTGGCTCTGCTACCCCATGTATCATTCCTGCCCTGAAGGGTCCCGAAACTAAAGGTGGAGCACAGTATCCACATGTCCATGTCACACCTTACTCCACCCACCGCTGTCCCTGCCCTGACACTGATTCCCAAGCCCTGGATGCCCCAGCCCCTTCACCATCCACTGGCCAGACAGACACAGAGACACTCTCTTGTTGGTACAAACTGAGGCCTTTCGCACCCCTACCCTTCTCTGGACAGTGAGGAGTCTGTGTTAAACTCAGAACTCACTCTGAACTCAAATGGCCCCCACCTGATGCTAGCAGGCAGCCAGGCATTCTCTTCAGCCTTCCTCTTCTGGGTCACCTGCCCTCCCCTCCCCAGGGTTCCCAGCAGCATTGCGGAGACACAGCGCCTCCAAGTGGCTATAGATCCATAGTCTCACAGATTCACACCTTCTGATCTGATGAGCTCTAGATTGTCCAAATCCGTAACAGAGACCCCTGCATCCCGCTCCTGCAGCCCCCACCCTCTCACATACACCCTCTCTAAGCTTTCCCAGATAAGCCAATTTAGGGTTAATCTCTAAATCCTCCCTTAGCCAGTGGAGACAAAAGGGTGTATTAACCAACATTTTGATTGCAAAATTAATCGTTGTTATGTCATTGCAATTCATATGATAAGGTGGAAGAGAGGAGCCTGAATAAGACAGGACATACAATTAAACAGTGTGAAGCTATCCAGCAGAATGATCTTGGAAAAATATTTAATATCTCATGTGTCTTCATATTTTGTATTTAGAGTCATTATTACCAAATTTTAAATAGTGCATTTAATAAAAGGGGCTTCTAGTTTTTACATATTTAATTCTGAATTTATAAAAAGTCTTGAAATAAACAACCCTATTGGCTATAACTTAGGCAGATTGAGTGGTGTGACATTTCCCATCACTAGCCAGAAGTGCCTATGAGCTCCCCAGGTGACCCAGTGCCTCTTTGTAATGCGATCCAAAGATAAACTTTTTCATGTGGATGAATCTGCATGAGAAAATGCACATACACACACACTCATACACACTCACACATACACTCTCACACACACACTCATACACACTCACATATACACTCACACACACACACATACACACATGGTATCTTCTTATTGCAAGGATAAGATTCTATTACTGAGCACAACAAATTTTTCTCTCAGTGTTTTAGGTTGACTTCTGAAATGCACCCCTGATAATGTGTCCAGACTCATAAAGATGTGATTTTGGAAAAGTGTGGTTGTGGTGAGGAATTTCTTTTACTGGATCATAGGACTGGATAAATATTATTATAACATAAATTTCTTTGTTCCAAAAGGACATTTGTGAATTCCAGCTTTAGATATAGTTAGGGTACTGGGTAGTACTGGTCATTAATCCTGACTGGGAAAACACATTTGCTTGGAATACTGCAGAAATTGTATGGAAAATTGAGACTAGCCATAATGACTCTCCATCATATTTCAAGTAAAAGGAGCCCCTTTTGAAGGGAAAACAGTAATAGATAATATTTCAGAGCTCTGTATAAATGGACATTAATTTATTCATTTCACAAACATCGAGTAGTATCAATTATATACCTGAATTTTCCTCTGAATGTAAAGGAAACAGAATGATATACTGCAGTGGCCAGGGAATGTCAGGGTAAGAAGCAAAGAGGAAGGTAGATGTGAGTCAGTCCTTGATAGATGAGGAGTGTCTGGCCCTGTTTGGGGAGAATACAGTTTGTTGCAGACTGTGGAAATAGCACAGATACACAGGATGTAAAAGCCTGTAAAAGCTCTAGAGCCTGTGATTTCCTAACCTGCCGTATTTCCTGCACAACTACACTTCCCTTTCCCTGCACAGATGAACTTTAGAAGACATCGGGCCCGGGAAAGTGGGGTGAGCTAGGTCAGAGGCTCTGGAAGCCTCAAACGTCTCCATTCCTTGTACCATCTGGCAGTATGTCATTTTTTACCCCCACTCTTGGCAAATGCTAATTTTTTAAAATAATGTTTTTAAAGTAATCATTTATTTTGTCATTTTTGTAACACACAGCGCTGTCAATCAGGGTTTTTAATCAGCATGAGATGAGCCCATAAGTTAATTTCACAGAACTTTAATATAATTCCATCTCAGCAAAGACATGAGTCAATTTCCTTATTATGTATAGCTTGGGTCATGTGCATAATTTCCTTTCACTTTCAAAAAATATTAAAAAGAAATTGAGGACCTTGATATTATCCTTGAAAACCTTAGGTTAGGGACTGCCACCCTAGCCAGTTCTCACCTCCTAACCTCTTTGTCTCTCTTACCATCTATGATCCCTTGACTCCCCTGGAGCTGTTCTGTCCAAAGATTCTAAAGATAAATTGAAATTACCAGATGATTTTATTATTTCTTACATGATCTATCTGTAGTCCAGCCCAGAACAGCAGCTCTGGACAATTTTGTTTTGCATTTGTCTCTTTAAACCTGTTTATTGATTCACTGATTCAAAACATGTGATTTTTAATATCTTCCTTGTCAGATATACAATGTTAGGATTAATGGATAAAATGTCAAAAGTGAGGAAGTCAAGAAAGTGAGAAGCAAAACCAATGAAAAATGGTCTGTGTGATGAGTAGCCATTAGGAATGATGACAAGATTAGTAGCAGACAGAAGGACTGAATGAGAAGAGAGTTCTGAAGGGAAAGAAGCAAGTGCAGCAAAGAAGGGTGCTGTTCTAATGTCATGTGTGTAAAGGAGCTGGGCTTCAAAGGAGGAAGGAAAATGATCTGGAGGCAACAGAGAGAAGCCCAAAGAGCAAGGAAGACACCAAAACAATATATAAACACAGAGTAGGTCTCTCGATGTACATTAAAGGATACCCCGAATTTCATTCTGCATCATTCTGATCTTGAAAGTCTCAGTCTTTGAATAACAAAAATAGGACAGTGACAAGCGAAACCAGGGCCTCTATCGAAGAACTCGGGTAAACCCAAATTGTCTTGGGCATGCAAAATACAGGCACATTTTGCAACAATTGCCGATGATACACTGATAGGGGTTGAGAAATCATCAGTATGTAAATACTACTATAGAAGAAAGACATTATAACTCTTCATAATAAATTGCAAGTGCTGTGTAGAAATGTGTATCATAAACCAGAAGAAAAAAAATACAGATTTGGCTGTTCAGGACACAGCATCAGGGAGGAAAGAGGGCCAAGTAAGACTGGCCAGGCCTGTGTATGTTTTTTAACTTTATTTATTTATTTTTTGTGTGTGATTTGGGGTCTTACTCTGTTGCGATGATCATGGCTCACTCCAGCCTCGAACTTCAGGGCTCAAGCAACCCTCTCAACTCAGCCTCCTGAGTAGCTAAGACTGCCATACCAGGCTAATTTTTAAAATATATATATATTTTAGAGACAAAATCTCACTGTTTCCCAGCCTAGTCTTGAACTCCCCACCTCAAGCATTCCTCCCGCCTCAGCCTCCCAAAGTGCTGAGATTACAGGCATGAGCCACCACACCAGGCCCTGTGTGCTTTTAGACACCCTGTGTATATTCATATTGATAGTTCCAGAACAGGCAGTGGAGGAGATCTCATCAGTGTCCTGTGAGTGCACACAGACCTTTAGCTAGCACCTGGCTTGCTTTATGCAAGATAGAAACAAATGGATCCCTGTAGGCCAAGAGGGGTAGCTTACTTCTAATGTATTAAACTGCCTGTATTATCCACACTGAAGATCTCTTTAAGTTTAATGTAAAAATCCGTATATAAATGGTAAATTGAAATTAGCATTATAAAGGAATGTCCACAATCATAGAAAAGAACTTTCATTTACAATAAAGAGTACTTGTAGGGGAAATTTCTGTTCATGGCTTAGAGTGAGAAGGGAATGAAGTGGGCAGAGTAGTTCACAAGACATAGCCATTCTCAAGAGCTCCCACTGTTTGGATGGGAGTGTCAAATACAGGAAGGCAGGGAAACCTACGGTGTGGGTAATTAAGGTTTATCCTACCTGTGTGTGAGTTATGACCCCATACACAATTTGTGAGAAATTTGCAAAATGCATTTTCGACATTATCTCCTACACAAGATTTTGTATGTTGATATTGTATCATCTTATGTCTTTGCCATGCCCCAAACCCACTTAATTATTCTTGTGGGGAGGGTGAGGCAGGAAAGACTTTGCTCAGGACTGCTGGGAGCTGTGAGGAAAAGAGGAAGCACCAGAGTTTCTGCACAGGGAGGGGGAGATTCTGCAGCGCTGTGGCTAAGCGACTTGCACAGACATACACGGCCGAGTCCCCCTGCTCTGCAGGCTGGATCTTCAGAGTAGAGAATGATCCATCAGGCCTCTCAGCTGAGAATCGCTCTGTGGGCATACCTGCATTATCTATAATAGATCAGCTCCGGAAGTAACTCAGCAATTCCAGTCCCTGCACGAAGGTATCTCTGTACCAGAAAAGGAAATTGTGGCCAAAAATTGGCTCACATCTCAGAGTCACTGTTTGTCCCATTTCTGTCACCTCATGCTTGGGTGACTGGATAATGCCAGCATCTGTGCATGCTATAAAAGAACGCAAAATTAGGAAACAGAATAAGGAAAATACAGGAAGTCATCTATACAGAGGCCCAGCATGAGGATGATAAATACATGAGGACTCACTCGCTACCAGGATACAAAGGGACACACAGAGGGTCCAGGAGTCCATGGCAGAGTGAGAACAGATGTGGCACATTCCAGACCAGCGCCCTTATGAACATAAGCAAGAAAAGATACTTTGGGACATTTTACCCCCACAAGATGCATCTGTTAGTGACAACACTGAATGGCCCACCACCCCCAACTTGAAAGCTCCTTTAAGCGGAGGCTACATTTTTGGGAGATGAATCAGGCAGACTACATTTTTGGGAGATGAATCAGGCAGGACTGAAGTCAACTATAATTGATCTGAGATACAGATGCACACTTGCAGAGGATCCCTGTAGATTTGCTTTGATATTATCAATTCATAGCACCTTCTCCATAACATGCCTTACCTAGGAGCCTGCCAACTATATCCATCTGCACCTCAAACTCCAAGTATTTAAAGATGAACTCATTGCCTTATTGCAAGCCAGCTTCTCTGCAAACTCTCCTCTTCCTCTCACTGGTGACTCTGTGCTCCTAGTTCTTCAAATGCCTTTAAATGAGTTAGAAGTTAGCATCTGAGTTACCCAGGAAGAGCAAGCATGTCAACCGCGTTGTTAAAGATACAGGAGCTGAATCAGTGTCCCGGAAGCTCATTAGATTTCAAAGCTCTTCTTTGCAGTGAAGGGTCTCTCCGAGTTTATTGATCCTTGAACTCTATTGAGTTTGCAAAGCCCAGAGCACAGAATCTCTCACATTCTCTATCCACACAATAAATCAGAAACAAGATTGTCTTTCTCACAAAGATTTGGAAATTAAATGTTCCAGAGTTGATTTACATCTTATTCTTACCTCTAGCAAAGCTCAGCATTTCTTAATCTTTACACCTGGTCTTTTTCTTATAAAAGAATCTTACATCTCACTAACTGACTTCCTCTCGGGGTGTAGAGTATAGAGAACTGAGAGAACCTCTGCTCTATGAATTGGTCAACTAGGTTATTTGCTAACAAAGAAGAAGGAGCAGTTTAAGGCCACATTTTCGCTGTTGGCACAGAGGCATACAGCTGAGTCCCCTGCGCCCCAGGGGACTTGCCCATCCTAAGGAGCAAATAGTTTACAGATGAGCTTGTGTGACCTGAGGTGTCTGTTTCCTTGTGGGTTCCATCCCTTTGTTGTGTGTGTTAGATCCAGAATGTAAAACGGTAGTCATCAATCAGTTTTTAAGGTGACCAACACGTTTTCCTCCCTATTACCAGGTGCCTAGGTTTGGTAGTCAGAACAATGCCCCTTCAACCATGCCCAGGCCTAATCCCTGGAATGTGTTAAATTACCTGATAAAGGGGAATTAATGTTCCAAGTGAAGTGAGCTTGCCAATCAGCTGACCTTAATATAGGGGCCCAATGTAATCACAATGGTCCTAAAATGTGGAAGAGGGAGGATGAAAAGTGAGCATCAGAGTATGCAGAGTGAGCAAAGTCTCAGCCAGTCCTTGCTGGCTTTGAAGATTGAATGGGGCCATGAGCCAAGGAGCACTGGTGGCCTCTAGAAGCTGAAAAGGAGAGAAAAACAGTTCTTCCCTAGAGCCTCAGGAAGGAATGCAGCCCTGCCAACGCTTGGATTTTAGCCCAGTAACATCCATTTTGGACTTCTGACCTCCAGAACTGTAAGGTAATACTTGTGTGGTTGTAAGCCACCAAGTTAGTGGTAATTCGTTACAGCAGCAATAGAAATTGAATACCTTATAGTAGCCATGGGACTCATGAGAGAGAGAGGCAGAAGCCGGATACAAAATACTGGTAGAGTCAGATGCACGATCACGTGGAAAAACGAAATCAACCCAGGCAAAACAAACAAAACTTTTATATGCCCAGACCCCACCTTCTTCCAGGGACACAGAGGCATCTGGAGTAATAGAGTTAGAACTAGACTGCGGCATTTTCCCGCCCTGAGCAAAGGTTCTTGGGGGAGAAAATTCTGTCCTACTCCACCCTAAGCCTTGCTAATAAGTGTATATGCTGCTGGTACATCATTGTGATTGAAGCTGCCTGAGGACAGGCTCCCCCTGACATGGTCCAGGGTAGCGCCTCCATTTCTACCTGTTCTTCCCTCTACGTTCGACGGAACAGGTAGGGCTAGCCTCGGCCGGCTTGGGGCCAGGCTCTACAAGGCTCCTGTGACACAAACACTGCTTTTCTGCTTTCCCCAGCCCAGAACACGGCGCCGCACCACCCCAGCTCCTTGTGCCTCCACGTCTTCAGTGAGCTCAGACCTACATCCACTTGCAAGCCCATCTGCCACTCAGAGCCCTATTCAAATCTCAATTTACAGCAAAACCCATCTCCGCATCAAGAGGCAAAAGGGTTGGTCTCTAATCCCTTTATTTTCAGCCTTCATTGCAGGTACCTCCAACCCAGCTCCCTGACTCTAGGTCCAACTCCAGGGTTTTCATTAAGGATCCTCCAGGGAGCAATCCCAGCCCCTCCCCCATAGACTTTGGATGACAGTGAAGCCACAGTGCCTCCTGGTGGCCAGTAGGCAGGAACAGCACAAATGTGCTCTTTGTCAAGACCAAGGACTTGCACTTCCCTTTATTGAGCCATGGGGAAACGAGATACCATAATTTGTGGTGTTGGAGGGTCATAAAACAACATTATGACCTAAGATGGAACCACCTGAGAGATGGACATTACAGTCTGACAGATGGAGACATAATATCAGTTTTAATATCCATAAACAACCCGGCTCAGATGGGAGGGCAAAAAGACCGACCAACACTGTCTTGAATCAGAATTTAATCCATTCTCTCTCCCCTCCAAATTACAGGCCATCCCTATAAGGAAAAGAAAGTTTCCCACTGATCTTAGTGCATTTAAAAAAGCACCAAAAGAATCTGCTTTTATTCCCAGTAGCCAGGATGAAAGGGAGAGGATGAAGAGAGAGGAACCTCAGATGAAGAGGAGACTAAATAAAATAACTTATTTCCCTTCCCATAGGGAAGATTTGGCAAGCAATAGAAAGAATAAAACTGGAGCATTGCTTTAGGCAAGTTCCCTCAAATGGAAAATGTGGAGCAAAGTGTTTTCCCAGAAGCCTGGGCTTAAGTAGGAAAAGATGATAGTCACACATCTGTGACTCCCTCTAGTTCTGACCCCTGGCCCTCAGGTGTACTCAAAAAACATGGCACAAATGGATCACAACAATGCAGAAATGAAGTGTAAACCACAAATAAAATTAAAAGGCCCCCAATAATCTGAATGGACTTCCTACCCAGCCAGGGCTCTTTTAAAATTTAACCTGAGAGACAACCAATTGTCAACCAGAAAAATTTTAAATCTACCTTTAAGCTGGAACCTCTCCCCACTCCTGCCTCCAGGTGTCTGCCTTTCTGGCCAAAAACAATGTATCTCTTAATTGTGTTTGATTGAAGTCTCAAGTCTCATGTCTCCCTAAAATGTAGAAAACCAAGCTGCACCCTGACCACCTTGGGCACTGATCTCAGTACCTCCAGAAGGCTGTTTCACAGGCCATGGTCACTCATATTTGGCTCAGAATAAATGTCTTTAAATATTTTACATAGTTGGACTGTTCATCAACAGAAACTAATTCCATGTTCACTTTGTGCTCTCTGATCAAGTCTAAATATTCACTCTCTGTTCTCATCTTGTCTCATGATCCAGTGAAGCATCAAAGATTATGTAATAAATAACATAAAAATACTCAAATGATAAAACCTCAAAACCAAGTAAGGGTCCCAATTTGATTATAAATCCACTTCAAGTTTTTAAAAAGTTCTTTCCTTAAAATTAAAGTTTCTGTATAACATCTCTACGCTGTTTAAGTCAAATATCAAACAAATCAGACTAAGAATCTGACGTTAAAATTCAAAGAAAATTAAAACTTCAGATAAAATGTTTTGACCTTAATCTGTATAATTACAGAAGAGGGAACTCAGATTAATGCTTTTGTTATTATTTATGTACTTGAGTAAAATAACCACACTAACAAACTGCAACTAATTCATATCCTAAAGATACGATGAGGAATAACTGGGCCAGAATCTTGGAGAAGGCAGGGGCCTCGGGAGTGAGCACAGCAGTCACTGCCCTTATGGGCATTTGCTGATCCCAGCCCAGCACTAAGGAAGCTGACTCACAGTCCAGAGGGGTAAAGGCAAAGACCATAACTTACTTAATGTGACCATTGAGGGACTTGAATAGAATCAATGCACTAGAAGGAAGCCTGTCCTCCAGGGTCTCCAGGACACCTCAAGCCTTTAATTCTGTTCCAGGGAGTCCTGGATTGTTTATGCATCCATGCACTTTACAAAGCACAATAAAATTATCTCTGGAGAAAGATATATCCATCCTAGACCAGAAATTATTTCTACAGCCATAGTGTCTGGCATGATGTCAAAAATAATCAGGTTTAAAAGGAAAAATACAAACAAATGACTGAGAAGCAGCACACATACAAAAATGTCCACAAAGACCACAGAGGTGAAAATAAGCAGACAGACTGAAATAACTGAGTGTCCTATGCTCAACGAAATAAAAGATACACTCAAAAAAGGTTATGAGGGAATGACTGACCGTAAAAGATAACCTTATAGATCAGAAAAAGAACCAAATGAAAATTCTGGCAAGGAAGTGGAGGATGGTCATGGTCACCCACCACCTGGCTGAGGTGTTGTTAGCTGAGTAAATTGCAGGGAAGGAAGGGAGATGTGTAGTGAGTTCATGGCCATCAGTTAGGACCTGCAGTCAGGTGGATGGAAAGGGAAGTCAGGAGGGGCTGAGGGACAGTGACAGTCCTTCAGAAGATTCCCAGGAAGCTGCATTTCCAAACATTCTAACCAATACTTCAGAATAATTTCTAGTACAAGACAGTCTGGGCAGAAGATAGGGTAGAGACTAGAGTTGGACACACACAATGCATTATCAGAGGAGGCAACTGGACCAGGGGCAGTTAATTGCTTCTGAAGTTCTTTCAGGAATATCTAATGCACTGATGTATTAGTCTGTTTTCATGCTGCTGATAAAGACATACCCAAGACAGGGAAGAAAAAGACGTTTAGTTGGACTTACAGTTCCACATGGCTGGGGAGGCCTCAGAATCATGGCAGGAAGCAAAAGGCACATCTTACATGGTGGCGGCAAGAGAAAATGAGGAAGAAGCAAATGTGGAAACCCCTGATAAGCCCATGAGATCTCGTGAGACTTGTTCACTATCATGAGAATAGCATGGGAAAGACTGGCCCCCATGGTTCAATTATATCCCCCGGGTCCCTCCCACAACACGTGGGAATTCTGGGAGGTACAATTCAAGTTGAGATTTGGGTGGGGACACAGTCAAACCATATCAACTAAGGAGCTATTTTAATATATGAGGACAGACAAGTGAAAGTGTCCTCATCAGTCTCTGAACTAGCTGGCCTAGCCCCATATAATGTTGGGATATGTTTGTTACATGGAAGAGTTAGAAAGCTCTGGAGTAGCAGAATTCATTTTGAGCTAAGATTTTGGACTCGTTGCCAGGATATCCATTTGTGTGCATTTTTTTGAAATTTAAAGGGTGCTGAATGAAATAGTTGAAATTATCAACATCATCATCTTTAACATTACTCTTATTAGCATATTTCCGCAAAAACAGGGGAAAAAGATTTCCAAACACATAGTACCTGTTGAGATTTGGTTGCATAATACATCCAATGAGAGGTCTAGAGGAGGCTCCAGAGCCAGGGTGTCACCAAGGATAGGATTCAAATTATTCATATGCTGACAACTGCAGAGAGAAAACCTGCTGATTGTTACTCACATACAATCATTATCTGTATTATTAAAGTTTATCACACATGTTTATTGACTGCATGTTTTTATTTTTCAAATTTACGTATTTTTTAATTGATATAAAATATTGTATGCATTTTTTAAATAGAAGAACAACTATTAGTACCCCAGAAGACTAAGTCTGTGATAAGTCACTTTCAGTTTTGGTTTCTTGAATTCTCACCGATAGGTGTTTCAGATTCCTTAGACATATTTTCAAATAACAACTGCAGCCTTCATGTTTTAAGAAATAGTTTATCTCCAGCCAGGCACAGTGGCTCAAGCTTGTAATTCCAGCGCTTTGAGATGCCGAGAAGGGCGAATCACTTGAGGTCAGAAGTTCGAAATCAGCCTGGCCAACATATCAAAATCCCGTCTCTACTAAAAATACAGAAATTAGCTGGGCATGGTGGCACATGCCTGTCATCCCAGCTACTGGGGAGGCTGAGGCAGGACAACCACTTGAACTCAGGAGGCAGAGACTGCAGTGAGCCCAGATCGCACCACTGCACTCCAGCCTGGGCAATGGAGCAAGACTCCATCTCAAAAACAAAAAGAAAAAAAGAAAAGAAAAGAAAAAGTTTATTTCCTCCCACTATATGAGTCCTAGCTATATCTGAAAACTCACTTCTTCCTTGGGAGGATGAGGAATAAGGAAAGGCTGCTGTGAGCTGAGTAGAGAGGAGAGAGTCCTGCGGTTTTCTGGTTTTCTGCACAGGAGGGAAGTGTCTCTGCTACACTGTGTCTAAGCTGCTGGCACAGAGATACACGGCCGAGTCCTCAAGCTTTGCAGGTTGGATCTTGAGAGTGGAGTCTACTCCTTTGAGCCTCTCTGCAGAAAATCGATCCTTAGGCAACTGTGAATCATCCACTACACCGTTATTCTGAAACTGAATCAGAAGCTTTGGGCCCTGTCCCAGGATCTGCTGGTACCAGTAAAGGGTAGCATGGCCAGATATAGGATTGCACCAAAAAGCCACACTCTGCCTTTTCTCTATAATCTTATATCTGGGAGACTGGGCAACTCCAGCTTCTGTGAGTTCTGAGAAGGAAAAAGACAGAATTTGAAAACAGAAGGAAATGATTGAAATAATCAGAGAGATCCAATGTGATCATGGTGTTCCTAGGACTCACCTGCTCCCAGGAGACAGAGGGCCGCCCAGCAGAGGAGCCTGGTGCCCATGGCAGGGTCAGGGAAGGATGGGAGCTTTGCCCAATCAGGGTCACTGTGAGCAACAGCAAAGGAGGAGGGACATCCCTGTCCTCTCATGGCAGTTCCCACAGTGACATCATTGCCTCCACAAATGCCTACATTGTTAGAAACCAATTATTATAAGCTAAAAGAGAGCACGAAGTTGCTTTACCGTATTCACAGACTGTGTAAGTTCAGCCAAGTGTCCTCACTCACATCTCTAGGGCTTGGGGACTGGATCTCCTACTCCATCTCTAGGCCCATCCTCTGCTGGATGTTTCGAGTTGAAGGCAACTCGAAACAGAGATATCAGTTAGTGACCTCTTTGTCTTATCAGCAATTATCCTTCTCTTTGGGTGTTTCTCTTTTACTAGGTTCTCTATCTTCCTTGTCCTATGCACTTAGAAGCTGGGGTAATTGACACAAGTTTATCCTAGAAGCTGACGCGCTGTAAGCTAAAGGGATAAAACAATAACCTGGGCACAGAGTTGGAAGGGTTCATTTTTAGTGAAGGCCGATGAACAGTTTCCTCTTTACTGTTATCATTCATGATACATTGTGTACCAAGCCTTCATCATGGTTCTGCCTGTAGTTTTGGGTCACCAGTGCAATGAAAGTAAGTTCTCATTTTTATCGAAGATAGGTGGGGAATTCTCTTATCCCTGAAAATATCAGTATATATTGTAAGAAATGCAAAATCAAAGAGACTTGCTGAAATCTAAAAATAACCTTATAGCTATACCTCTAGTGTAAATTACAGTTGAACAGTAGTGGTCATTATCTCTTTTTTGTTTCTAATGGGGCAACATTAGTCACAAACGCACTTTTATTCCTTGCCTGAGTAATAAGAAATAAAAGGAGTTAGGGGATGGCGCTCCTCAGAGTTGGCATAAGACAATAACACAAGGAGATGCACGTCCAGGGAGGTGGGAATGAGGATATATGTGTTCAGTGAGGTGCACTCAGAGATATTCCACCAAACCCGCAAAACCTAGGGGACACATGTCAAGGTTATCAGGTGAATACCTGTGGGTATAGAATTACCAGAGCCATCCGTTTCTGTCATAAATCCTTTACTACTGAGGTAAAAATCTGCTGGTTTGAGTCCAACTCATGTAGGCACCGGGTAATAATTGCATGATGGAAAATTTCTTCACATTAAGGGGCCACTACCTGCTCCATCTTTGTGACCAGGGTTACAGTTCTGGGTGACAACAGCATTCAGGGGATGGAGGCTGGTAGCTGGAAACAGGACTTATCTGTCTATCAAGCCTATCAGTCCACAGGACCTGCATGTGGTGTGCTTGCAAGTGAGGCATGCCAAGTCCAGGGAAGACATTCCTCATTGTTCCCAGGCCTCATCTGCTTCCTGGGCAGCGCAACTGAGAAATCTATGACAGAATTCTTGTCAAGGCAGGAACTGGTCATTGTGCTGCTCAGGGAAGAAAAGGCCAGAGCCCTGGGAAATCCGGTTTTTGTTAAGAATATCTGTAGTTACTACCTGCAATTTGGAATAGCCTATCTGGCATAAACTAGAATTGTCCACTCTCCTATATTTCCCTTACATCATCGTATACATTGTCCAGAGCACGACTAGAATAGGTAAGGTGTGAGGTACAGGTGCATTGCTCACATTTCTCTGAATTCTCCTGAGGAGCCAGTCATTTTCCCTTTGCATGGGTCTCTGAGCATTTAGGCTGGCTCCTGGTCCTCCTCCATCTACCTCCCATGCAAGCCCAGAAGAGTCTCCACTCAAAGATTTGCTACAGTTCAGATTTTACTGCTGAGCAGAACATGCCAGCACCAATGAAAGATAAAGGGTTTTTTTTTTAATATTTCACATTTCACTGACTACTCACAACTTCTGCAAACAAGATACTGGATACTAGTATACACACTTTTCCTTTAAACTTAACATCTCAGGCAGCACTGAGCGCTGTTTCAAAAACATTTGAACATCATCAAACCCCAGTGCCTTCTGATGGCCAGTGTCACTGGACTTAGGTCCTCGGTCCATGGCTTAGAGATACTGGTGGGACTTCTATACTATCTTCAATAGAATCAGGGCTAATATAGGACAGTGTTTGTGAGAAACCAGGGAAAATTTTTTCCCAGTTCCATCTGTTCTTACTGTCTTGCTAGAGCCTGTCCTATAGTTTAGTTATGGTGTGTTCCCACCAAAATTCATGTTGAAGCTTATTCGTCAATGTAGTGGTGTTGCTACAGGCACATTGCTCACATTTTTCTGGGGTAGTGTGAGCCTTATGGGAATTGTTTGGGTCATGGGAGTAGATCCCTCATCAAAGATTAATGCCAGGAGTCAGTTCTCTCTCTCCAGCATCTGGATTAGTTACCATAAAAGCAGGCTGTTATAAAGTGAGGGTCTTGCTCATCCTGGCTCTCCTTGCACAGGCCTGCTCATTTCTCCCACTTCTCTTCCACGTTGTGACACAGCACAAAGCCCTCAAAAGAAGTTCAGTAGATGTTGATGCCCTACTGGTCTTTCCAGCCTCCAGAATTGCAAGCCAAATAAAGCCCTTTTCCTTATAAATTTCTTTATACATTTTCCCAGCCTCAGGTATTCTGCTATAGCAGCAGAGGACAAACTGAGACAGCCTCCCTCTTTGTTGAACAAATACATATTGTCCAGCCCTAACTTTGGAAAATCACTACTCTTCTCTTTACATTCAGTCACCTTTGAAAGTTCTTGAGTTTTCAGCCAAACTGTAGAATACTCAGAATCTCTTGATACAGAGAAAACAGTCCTGTATATTTGCTAAAAGGCCTCTTGACATGCATTACTAGCTAAGTTTTGCACTGGTCTCAGAGATACCAAGCTGCTTTGTCCTCAGACTGCAAATTCTCTTGTTTTCTTTTGGGACTTTCTTAAAAATCATAGCCTGTCTCCTATTTAAAAAAGTATACTCTAGACTAAAAGATACCTTATTTGATATATTTATTTTATGGTAATGACATAGTATTTCAAATATATTAAAAATGAATATAAGAAATACCCAACAACATTATTACTCTGAAATAACACCAACATTTTATTTTGGTCTGTTAATATTTTTCTTCAATTTTTTTAAACTGAGCATCTATGGAAAAGGTGAGAGAATAATGAAATAGTCAGAATATTAAAATGTATATCTGTGTGCCGATTGTACATTTTGTGATTTTGCTTGATCTCTCTCTATATATTTTGCCCTCAATTTCTGAAGCATTTTATCCTTAATAATAAAATGAGTCTCCTAAAAAATTGGCATTATCTTATATAACCACAAATGTCACTATTATGCCCAAAACATTAGCATTCACATAGCATTGTCATCTAGTACATACTTCACATTCAAATTTCTCCAGTTGTCTCAGCATGTCCCTTGGTTTTGATTCACTTTTCCTCTAGAACAAAATCAAAGATCACGTATTTCATGAGGTTAGCAGTTCTCCTTAGTTACTTTTAAATTATACATCTCTTCCACCCACTTATTATATTTCCTGTTTTTCATGATTATAAGTTTTTGAAGTGCCTAGGTCAGCTTAGTTGTAAAATGAGCCACAACAAGAATTTCTATACTATTAGAGGTTAGTTACTTGGCAAATATACACCACAGATGATGTGTATTTCCTATTGCATCTGGTCAATCGCAAGAATGTGGAATGTCATTTTTATGCAGTTTTGTCAATGTATATTTGAGGTAACTGACACTGGATCTCTTCATTTTTAATATGTCTTTTACCCTCTGTAACTGAGTAGTAATCTGTGGAGTGATGCATTGGAAAAATGTCCATATCCTGTTCCAGTCCCAAAAGCATATATAAAACATGGTTGAAAATTCCTTAAATCTGGAAAAAGTTAGCAATATCCAGGTACAGAAAGCTCAGAGGTTGCCAGTTAAATTCAATCCAAAAAGGAGTTCCCTAAATCACGATATGTATTAGTTCATTTTCATGCTGCTGATAAAGACATACCAGAGACTGAGAAGAAAAAGAGGCTTAATGGACTTTCAGTTCCACATGGCTGGGGAGGCCTCACAATCATGGCAGAAGGCAAGGAGGGGCAAGTCATGTCTTACTTGGATGGCAACATAAAAGAGAGAGCTTGTGCAGGGAAAATCCCATTTTAAAACCATCAGATCTAAAAGAGACTCATTTAGTATCATGAGACAGCAGGAAAGACCCGGCCCCCATAATTCAATCACCTCCCCACAGGGTTCCTCCCACAACACGTAGGAATTGTGGGAGATACAATTCAAGATGAGATTTGGGTTGGGACACAGCCAAATCATATCAAAATGTAATCATTTTCTCTCTTCTATGGTATATTAAAAATGTTTAAGAAGTACCGCACTAAAAACACTACCAACCACAAACCTCCCAAATGAAGTTCAAACTCAATTTCTTTTAGCATTGTCGCAGTACACCAACATAATTCTAAAGTCAAGAGAGACCCCAAAAAAGCCGATCAGACAAAAAACATTACCTCCAAAGAAGGTGTGCAAATTGATCATAGGCATAAGAAAAGGCACTTAACATTTTTAGTCATTAGAGAAATGCAAATCACAACCACAATGAGATATCATTCACACTGACTAGGATGGCTATACAAAATAGTAATCATCATCATAATAATATTTTTGAAAAGAAAAACAAGAAATAAATGCTGGCAATTCTGTGAAGAAATGACATTGCTGGTAGGAATCTAAAATTGTGCAGCTGCAACCAAAAAAAAACCATTTTGGTAGTTACTTAAAAGGAGAAACATAGAATTACCAAAGGACCCAGAAGTTTCACTCCTGGGTATATACCCAAAAGAATTGAAAACAGGGCATCAAACAGATATTTTCAGGCCAATATTCATTGCACCATTATTCCCAATATCTACAAGGTAGAAACAACCCAAATGTTAATCAATTAATGAATGGATAAACAAATGTGGTATATGCATACAACAAAATATTATTGAGAAATGAAAAGGAATGAAGTTTTGATAAATGCTACAATATGAATGCACCTTGAAAGCATTAAGCTAAGTGAAAGATACAAGACACAAAAGGAAAAATAGTGCATGGTTTCACATAAATAATCTGCAATAGGCAAATTCATTCAGAAAGAAATTAGATTAGAGGTTAGCAGAAAGAGGGGGTATGTGGAGTTATTCTTTAGTGGGTATTGAGTTTCTGTTTGAGGCAATGAAAAGAAAATTGGAAACAGATAATGGTGACAGTTTCCCAACATAGTGAATGTACTTAATGCTGCTGAATTGTACAATTTAAAAATAAAGTGACAAAATTATATGTTACACATATTTCCCCCTGCCACCCACCCTTTTTTTTTGAAATGGAGTCTCACTCTGTCGCCCAGGCTGGAGTGCAGTGACATAATCTTGGTTCATTGCAGCCTGTGCCTCTGGGTTCAAGCGATTCTCCTGCCTTAGCCTCCTGAGTAGCTGGGATTACAAGTGTGAGCCACCATGCCCAGCCCACTTTTTTAAAAGATTGTTTTAAAAAACTACCTTTACAATAGGAAAAATAAATACTTAAAGTTGAATTTTCTACGATTGAACCTAAAGACAAGAAAAGGAACCCAAATGATTTATATACACTCATAATTTCTCAAGAAATGCTATTAGTCACAATATATCCCACAGTGGGTTTTCTGATGTGGTTGTCATTATCTCTTGTAGTGGATATATAAACGGTTTTCATTAGTCCAAATGTCTATTCAGATTTAGGACTGTCACTCCTTTGAAAAGTTTCCTATCTAGTAATTTTTGAATCATAACTTATTATTTCAGGTTGCTATATTCTGATTACAAGTAAGGTTGAAAAGTTATTCTCATGTTTAGTGGTAACTTATGTTCACTTGTGTGAATTGCCTATTTAGCTTCAGTATTGCCATTTTTATTGGGCTGTCGTCTTATTAATAAGAATGTTTTACTCATTTACGTACTAAGTTTATTAGAAAAGGACACCTATGCTACAGAAAAAAAAAAATAAAACAAATCCTAAAATCTCAGTGGCTGAACTCTATCAAGTCTTACCTCTCATGACCACAAAACCCAGTGGGGCATGAGCAGCTTTTTTTCCATGGCTGTCCACCAAATTATGACCCAGGGAGCCAAGCTGCTTCCAGTTTATAATCTGTGCCATGACCTCCCAAATTCATCCACACATGGCAAAAGAGAGTTGAAGAGTGTCTGTGCAGAAAAGAGTTGACAGCAGGCTTGAGACTGCCTGCTTGCAAGATTGAACTTTGGCTGATCTTTGGCCACTTGGCTGATGAGTGGTGCCCTGCACTGGCAAAGTTTCTCCTAACTGAGAGGAGCGGCTCGTTGTGCCTAGACTGGTGTTGCAAACAGTATTGTACTGAACACCAGATTTCCTTCTGGAGTCTGAATTTTTGGTTAATGCTAGGCAGTATGTGCTTGTGACCAGCCTCCTCTGAAACCTCATGAGTGCTGAGTCTCTGATGGACTCACTTGGTAGAAACACTGCACATGTGTTAATGCATTTTTGCTACGGAGTGAAGCGAGAACCCTGTGTGACCTCCCCGGGAGGAAGACAGCATAAGGAGGCCTGAGTTTGGATTCCTTCAGATTCCACCTGTGTTTTCTCCATATGATCTGCTGCTGACAACTTACTAAGACATGTTAGAAAATCTTAGCTGTGAGTACAACTCTATGCCATATACCACATCTCTAAACACGGGAGTACGCTTAGGGACCCTCAGCATGGACCTACAGGATATTTTTAAGGGCCAGACTTGAAATTGGGCTAACATTATTTTTACTCACCTCCCACTATTCAGAACCTGGTGACATGCTCCCAGCCCTCCAAGTGCAAATGAGGCCAGGAAGCATAGAGGAGCCATGGGTGAGCCTGACTCTTCTCTGTCACACTGATTTTTCATCATCTGCATGCATTCCTCATTTTTTTCCTGTGCTGTGGCTTAACATTTCATTTCTTATGCTATGTTTTGGTGTACAAAAGTTTAGTTTAATGCAACTGGAGTTACAAATTTTTTTTTTTTTGAGGTGGAGTTCTGCTCTTGTTGCCCAGGCTGGAGTGCAGCGGCATGATCTCGGCTCACAGCAACCTCCGCCTCCCAGGTTCAAGCGATTCTCCTGCCTCAGCCTCCTGAGTAGGTGGGATTACAGGCATGCACCCCATGCCCAGCTAATTTTCTATTTTTAGTAAAGACGGGGTTTCTCCATGTTGGTCAGGCTGATCTCGAACTCCCAACCTCAAGTGATCCGCCTGCCTCAGCCTCCCAAAGTGCTGGGATTACAGGCATGAGCCACCGCGCCCGGCCTCAAATATTTTTATGGCTAGTGGTTTTCTTATGTGTCATCTAAAAAACTAATTCCTCAAATGAGTGCTAAAAATATATTTCTTAATTTTTCTCTCATAAAATTTGTCTTGCTTTTTACAGTTAAGAGTAAATGTACCTGAAATAGACTTTTATGTAAGGAATGAAGTGGAGGCCTGGGAATAAGTTGGAGGCACATATGCTCAGTGAAGTAGAAATAATCTATTATTCATAAACAATCCCCAGGGTGGAAAACAACACTACACCTACGAAGCTGTAACTGAATGTAGGGGAGTGTGGCTAAAGCAGAAAGCCAGGGGAAACTTAATGCAAAATGATGATGGAGGCTGGGCGCAGTGGCTCACGCCTGTAATCCCAGCACTTTGGGAGGCCAAGGCGGGTGAATAACGAGGTCAGGAAATCGAGACCATCCTGGCTAACACCGTGAAACCCCATCTCTACTAAAAATACAAAAAATTAGCCGGGCGCCGTGGCAGGCACCTGTAGTCCCAGCTACTTGGGAGGCTGAGGCAGGAGAATGGCGCGAACCCGGGAGGCGGGCTTGCAGTGAGCCGAGATCGCGCCACTGCACTCCAGCCTGGGCAACAGAGCAAGACTCCGTCTCAAAAAAAAAAAAAAAAAAAACAAAATGATGATGGAGAAGCAGGTGAAGGGCAAATGATAGATGACCTTGTAGGGCTATTGCCCTTAGAAGAAAGGCAGCCAGGAGCAGAGACCACATGGGGGAAGATTTGTGTCTGTGAGTTGAAGGGTAGTAGAGGATACGGTAAGGTTTACACGAAGAAGTCACTGATCCCATAAGGGAGAGAAGAATATGTTGGCTTTGAAATTATGAAGGGAATTAGGAATATCAACAAAATATCTCTTCCATTCTGCAAGCAGAAAAAGAGAGCTGCAGAAGAAAGACCCAGCAAGGTTAGTGTGTTGGGGCAAACTCCAGATGGTCTGAGACAGGGGTAGGAATAGAGCCACAGCACTGAGGGTCATATGGCCCCTGCTCTAAGACACCCCCCCAACCTGGGCAGGACTCTGTGACTCCTATGGGGGCTGAGACGTCCCAGGGTGGGGCCCAGACTTGGGTGCACAGGCAACCTCAGTTTTTCTAACTGCCGTTTCCGTGCAGAGAGGAGGCAGCTGTGCAGCACTGTGGACTCACTGCTGGCGCAGAAATACACAGATGTCTGGGAGCGGGTAGCTGACTCCAGAGTGAGGGGGAAATTCTCTGTCTTGGATCTGGAGACAACGTAGCCATCGGGGACTTCTCCTTTATCTGTAATATCAGCAGCTGCTGAGTAATAGATCAGCCTCAGCCCATGTCCCAGGTCTTGTCGATACCAGAACATATAGCTGTGGCTCCAAGTCTGGTGACACATCAAGGTCACCTGCCTTCCTGTCTCTGTGATCTTGTATCTTGGGCTCTGGGTGATTCCAGCATCCCTGTGTCCTGTAATAGAGAACAACAGACACTGATGCTGTCATCCCAACAGAAAAGCTTGCATTGAGTCCTTGGGAATTCCAGGGAAGGAGGCCCTCCTGTGACCAGCCCTCACCTGCCCACAGCAGACAAAGGGCCACATAGAAGAAGAGCCTGGTGCCCATTTCAGCTCCAGGGCAGGATCTTGTGTCTCCCAGCCCTGCTGTGGGCAAATTGAAGTTGAGCTCTCAGTGACTTGATGATGTCACTGTCCCTGCTAAATGCTTGAACCTCAGAGCTAACCTGCCACATCTGTTCTCTTCCCCACAGGAACAAATCATTTATTATAGACATACTTGAGAAGCTTAGATTGGGAAAAATTTGTAGATCTGTTTTGAAAGAAATCTTAAAATGTGTAATCTCATTCCCTGATTTTAATAGGGGAATTTGTTCTTCTATGCGTATTTTACTCCCATTATGCTAAATTCTTCATTTGAATGCTGTTTTAACATTTATGAATATTTCTGTAGTCTAAAGAGCATTGTCATAGCAGTCCTGGTGACTTTTATGACTTCTCTGTACAAAATTCAACTCCAAGTTGAATTATTTTCCACTTTGTTTAACCTCTGGATATTTGTATTTCAGCCTACAGAGATACCCTTGGTTAAAAGAGTCAACTGACATCCAGAAAGGTTTCAAAGTTGTGGATTCAAGGTCTTTAACATTTGAAGTCTTGTTTCACACTGTAGCACCTCATTGCGCCTGATGGGAGCCTCACCATCCAAGCTCAGGCTGCGGTGTGTTCTCATGAGGATGATTTTTCCCTTTGCTTCAGGTGAAGCCACAAACACTCACCACCTAAGTCCCATAAGTGACTGTACTTCCTATGAAGAAAAGAGGAGGCTCATTAAGAATGTGGATGAAATGTTCACCCAGAACTACAACTATCTGGAGTCTCTAGGGTCACAGGGAAATGTTCTATTTCCATTCAGAAGATCTTGTATTCACTAAATGGGAGAAGATTGGAGGAGGTGTAAACGTGCTTTGGCACCAAACTTACATCCAGTCAATAGCACTGCTATTGTTATTTCAGATACAATAGATTATCTATTGCATATCTTGATGCAACCTGGATGGGTAATTCCCACAATCATGCTCCAGTGAGAGAGGACACAGAATCAGAAGTGGAGACAGGGAGGAGGCCCATGAGCATCCCCATGGGAGGCCGTGGCTGGGGCCTGGTAAGCCAAGGAAGGACTTTCCCATCTATGCCCAGAACTCATCTGGTCCTGGGAGACCAAGCAAAGGGGCCAATCTTCGTGGTTGGGCCAGGGCAGGGGAAAAAAAAATCTTTTCAGTGCAGGACTTTCATTTTTGGGATACGGCACGTAGAATCCCAGAGCTCTAAGGATCCTTCCCTAAATGAGGTGTGAGCTACCCAGAATGTCAGTACTTTCAACAGCACTCTAACTTCTCTGGAGACATAAGCATCTATGGGGAATATATCCTTTTACTTTTTAATTATTATTCAGTATAATAAGTTATAACAATTTTTTGGAAGTGTCTACCTCAACTTGAAGCTCTGTCTGGTTTCTCCACTGGTGTTTCCCAAGTACCTGGACAGTACCTATGTAGTTGCCATGAAATCAATGAAGAATAACCTCGGGCCTTCTCACTCACACAGGACCTTTCCAACACTTTGTCATTTTGCATTCTTCTTTGCAAGGAGCTCCTTAAAATTGTATCAGCTTTGTGCCCCACAAAACTTGAATCTACTCTGCACCTATAGCTCATTAAAGATTTGTTGAATGGAAGAAAAATGGAATGAATGATTACCTGGGTCCAGGCAAACTCTGCTTCTGTAAAGAGAACCCAAGTCTATTCAGTTCAAATTGGGTTCAGAGCTTTAAGGGAACAGAGAGCCATCCTGAGGCTGCTGAGAATTCAGGAATAATTCCAAATGAATCTGGAAGAGATTAGTTTATATATGTCATCATAAGACTTTTTAAACGAATGGGTAGCGGTATAAGTAAAAGAAAAACAAAGGTCTCCTTCAAAGGGAAGGGTCTTTGGATGGTGGCTTCATCCCATCACTGCCACAGTATAGGCTATCCCTGAAGAGAAAGTCTGTGATGGGGACTTAGGTGCATGTAGCTTATTCGGGAAATGATTCCAGGAAGAAGAAGTAGGAACGAAACATAAAATAGGGAAGGAAGAAGCCAGGATAAAAGTGCACAAACAACAAAAGAGTTTGTGTTGGAGCAATAGGAGATGGAATCCATCAGGGCCTCTCAGGAGCACACAGAATGCTGTCTGAAGTTTCTGCATGAATGGGCAGGCTGGAGCATTAGTCCTCTGTCTCAGCAGGGGCATCAGGAGCTCTGGCTGTCTTTGAGTACAGGCCAGGTGGGCTCAGATAATATCATGGAACAGCCCTGGGGAAGAAGCAGAGAGACTCCCAGCATGCACCTGTGGAAGGGCACTGCCAGATCGAGGCGAATGGGGACTTGCACACAACTGTCCACTACAGCAAGCCTGAAATCAGAGGTGGGCAGTGAGGATGTCGTGGAAGGCACTAGAGGCTCCTCTTCTTTCTAATAAAACCGCCCATTCTTCTATCAGCTCTTTTGTGGGATTGCTGATTGCTCTGAATTCACAGCTTTCTGGGAGCATCACACCTTCTTGCATATCAGACTCAGTATCAACCAGGAAGTGCTGTAAGGGGCAACATTTTTACTTTCCCTTAAGACACAACCATTTATGTTAGTTTTACCTAATTATCAGACTACTATCTTTGCATTTTAGATGACTTTGTGTCTTATTAAAAAATAATAAAATTAACTAATGAATAGCAATTATTTGTGTCTTTTCCCTCATGGTAAATTGCATCAGGTACTGGAAGACTGTGCTTTCCTTAAACAACATCTTATTTCCTTGCTGTGCAGCTGAGAAACCTCCCTCCTCACACAGCCTCCATAAAAGCAATCACATGGCCTCACCCATAGAACTGCTATAGTGGAGAAAACTGAACCTTGATTTTTGTCACAATGAAAGATGAAAAGATGTTTTGCCTGGAAGTCATATCCTCCTTGGACTTGTCAGTGGAGAGGCTATAATGATCACATATGTGGCATAATCTTCCCCTCCTGCTAATGGGGACCTGGAAACGGAAGGCCAGGTGAGAGGACAAATCTACAGAGTGGGAACAGTGGATAGAGGTGTTGGAGGAACAGGCTTCAGCCAGTTATCTTTTTTTTAATTCACTATTTATTGATGTATATTAGATGTACATATTTTTTAGGTAGATATGATCATTGATACATTTGTATAATCAAATCATGGTCATTGGGATAGGCATTATCTTAAATATTTATCTTTTCTTTAGACTAGGAACATTTGAATTATTCTCTTCTCACTATTTTGAAACGCATAATTGGCTGATGTTAACTACTGTCACACTACTACTGATCTATCCAATGCCAGGTCTGGTTTCTTCCATCTAAGCGTATGTGAGACCCAGGAAAGCTGCTTCAGTCAAATGTATAAACAGGTAAGATAATACTTATTTTGAATGATTTCTGTCAGAATTAAAACAGGTCACATAAAGAAGCAGCAGAGGGGCCGGGCACAGTGGCTCACACTTGTAATCCCAGCACTTTGGGAGGCCGAGGCAGGCAGATTGTTTGAAGTCAAGAGTTTGAGACCAGCCTGGCCAACATGGCGAAACCCCATCTTTATTAAAAATACAAAAAATTAGCCAGGCGTTGTGGTGGGTGCCTGTAATCCCAGCTACTTAGGAGGCCGAGACAGGAGAATCATTTGAACCCAGGAGGCAGAGGCTGCAGTGAGCTGAGATCAAGCCACTGTACTCCAGCCTTGGTGACAGAGCAAAGCAAGATGCCCTCAAAAAAAAAAAAAAAGAAGCAGCAGAGAGTGCCTGGGAAAGGCTGCCACCAGATCCTGAACCTCAGTCAGGGCAGGAATATTTCTGGCATTTCCATAGGAAACTGGCCTTTCCAGTTACTGGCCCTGCAGGACACTGTGAGCTCACTGCATACTTAGGCAGGCCTCAGGCTCTGCTATTCCATGTTCCATTCCTGGTCTGCAGGGCCCCTAAACGAAAGGTGGGGCAGGTGCAGCACAGTGCCCACATGCTCACAACAACCCCTATTTTCCTATGCCTGCCCACCCTGTCCCTGTCCTGAGAAGCATTCCCCAGCCCTTGACACCCCAGCCTCAGCACCCTCCACTGTCCATACAGACACAGAGACACTTTTTCCTTGGGGCAAATTGAGGCCTTTGGCACCCCTACCCTTCTCTGGCAGTATTTAACTCAGGATCCACTCTGAACTCAGATTGCCCTGCTGATGCCAGCAGACAACCAGGCTTCCCTTCAGCCCTCCTCTCCTGGGTCACCCTCCCACCGCTCTCCAAGGTTCCCCACTGCATTGTGAAGCCACAGTGCCTCCACGTGGCCAACTGTCCAGAGTCTCATGGATTCACACTTTCTGAACTGATGTGCTCAAGATTGTCCAAATCAGGAACAGGGATTCCCGCATCTCCGCTCCTACAAACCCTACCCTCTCACACACACAACCTCAATGCTTTCCCAAGCAGGCCAATTTAGGGTTGATCTTCAAATCCACCCTTAGCCAGTGGAGACAAAAGGGTGCATTAACCAATATTTTGATTGCTGATAAATGTTACATAATTGCAATTCATATGATAAGATGAAAGAGAGAACCCTGAATAACACAGGGCATAAAGTAAAACAGCTTGAAGAGATCAAACAGATCCAGCCTGGAAACGCGATATTCCATGTCTCCTTTTGATTGATCAGACACATATCTCTTCATATTTTGTACTTGGATTATTTACAGAATTTTAGATAGTGCATTTTATAATGGAGGTCTCTGGGCTTTTTCATATTTAATTCTTAATTTATAGAAAGTCTTGAAATAAACAACCCTATCAGCTATAACTTAGGCAGATTGAGTGGTCTGACATTTCCTGTCACTCCCCAGAACTGCCTATGAGCTCCACCAATCACCCAGTGCCTCTTAGTAATGAAATCCAAAGAGAAACTATTTTCATGTGGATGAGTCTCCATGAGAAAATGCACACACACACGTGTACACACTCACACATATAAACACATGCACACTCTCACACTCGCACTCATACACACGGTATCTTCTTATTGCAAGGATGATAAGATTCTATTACCGAGCACGGTGAATTTTTCTTACAGTGTTTTAGGGTGCTTTCTGAGATGATGATGTTTCCAGCCTCAAAAAATGTGGTTTTGGGAAAATGTGGTTGTGGTGAAGAATTTATTTTACCAGATCATGAGACTGGATAAATACTATTATAACATAAATTTCTTTGTTCCAAAAGGATGTTTGCAAATTCCAGCTTTAGATGTGGTTAGGATACTGTGTAACATTGGTCATTAATCCTGACTGGGGAAACACATTTGCTTGGAATATTGCAGAAGTTGTATGGAAAATTGAGACTAGCCATAATGACTCTCTGTTGTATTTCATGTGGAGGACGAAGCCCCTTTTGAAGTGAAACTCTGCTAAGTAAGAAAGTACACATAGAATTCAACTATTATATTGAGAGAATGTGAAATATTATTGTCATTTACTCAATAGAGTCAAAATAAATTTACTTATCATCTATTATGTGCCAAACTCTCTGTGACATAGTGAAGATAAAAAAAGGTGAACAAGGGTAGAGGTCATTGCATCAATTTTTTTTTTGGCAAAATTAAATATTTCACATAAAATTTTTGTAAGATTTGGCTATGATTCAAATTTGATCATGCTTTTTTTTTGAGATGTAGTTTCGCTCTTGTCACCCAAGCTGGAGTGGAATGGCATGTTCTCTGCTCACCGCAACCTCCGCCTCCTGGGTTCAAGCGATTCCCTTTCAGTTTCTATTCCATGTAAGCTACAGGATTCCCAGACCTCTTGAGGGAGTTAGGGTTTTCAACAATTTCTTTCTCCATTTTTTTAAACAAGTTCCCAACTACTACAGAATAAATCAACTCATTTTATTGTCTACTAACTTATCTTGTCTTCTCACCCTGAGTCCCAAATTCCTTCATCAAAGCTAGCCTGATCATTACATAAGCCTTCTAACATTATCTCAGAAGTTTACTATAATTTTTTTGTGCACAATTCACATATGAAACTTTTGTTACTTAACAGAGATCATTATTAATTAAAAAAAAATCTATTTAATGTATTTCAAACCCCAGTGTTCTGCAAGTCTCTGGGAATGGCAGAGGAATTTTCTGGAAGAATGGAGATAGGGGAGGGGAGGGAGAGAGGTTTAAGTCATAGGGAGGAGGAACCAACGAAGAAAGGCTGTGTCACAGCAAAGTGAGGGAAATTGTAGCAGGTCTACAGTGACTTCTGGAGAGATCTGTAGGAACAGAGAGCAGGCATCAGAACCTTATCTTTGTCTGTTCTTTTCTCTTTAACCCACTTCAGAGACAGCTCCCAGTGATCCCTTATATGTTTGGTTCTTGAGAAGGACTAGTTTGAAAACTGCTTTAAAATCCTTATGTCTCTCCTCCCATTGTAATTAGGGTTTCTCCTGCAGCTGTTCTTGCCACAGTTTCCTCTTTAGACTAGTGATGAAGTCAGTTTATAGCTTGATCAACTTGATCGCTCTTGGCGAGATCACAGCCTGCCAGGAAGGGTTGTTTCATGAGCGCAGCTGGTGAGAGTTTGGGGATTTGTTTCTGCCTAGGGTGAGATCCACGGTAGTGCATAAAGAGTTGGAAAGAGAAGTAGCCAGCCATACTAAAGAAGTAGATATGGAGGACAGCTAAAGTAATAATGATAATAAAAATTTACTGCTGAAGGAAACAAAAGGAACCACTTCTGATGCACAGCTTACCCTAGCAGCTTGCCCTCTAATCCCCTCTGATCACCAGTGCCCTGCCCTCTTCTGGGACCCTCCATCAAGCCCTTGAGCCTGTGTTTTCTAAATTGCCACTTTTCCTGCACAGCCACACTTCCCTTTCCCTGAGTAAATGCACATTAAAAGACATGGACCTGGGAAAGGAAGGTCAGCTGGGTCAGGGGTACTGGAAGCCCCTAAGCTTTTTTATTTCTTGCACCACCAAAATTGGATAGTATTTAATATTTCCCCCATTTTTGGAAAATGCTGATTTAAAGAAATAATGTTTTTAAAGGAATCATTTTTTAATTTTTTTGTAACACACAGCATTGCCAATCACAGTTTCTAATCAGCATGAGATGAGTTTGTGAGTGTCACAGAACTTTAATATAATTCCATCTCAGCAAAGTCATGTGTCAGTTTCCTTATTGTGTATACCTTGGGTCACGTGCATAATTTCCTTTCATCCTCAAAAAAATTACAAATAAACTGAGGACCTTGATATTATGTTTGAAAACCTTAAGGTAGAGAATGCTACCCTAGCCAGTTCTCACTTCCTTAACCTCTTTGTCTTTCTTTCCACCTATGATCCCTTGATTCCCTGGAGCTGTTCCGGCCAAAGATTCTAAAGATAAGTTGAAATTACCAGATGATTTTACTATTTCTTACACAGTCCATCTGTAGTTCAGCCCAGAACAGCAGCTCTAAACAGTTTTGTTTTGCATTTGTCTCTTTAAATCTATTTATTGATTTTCTGATTTAAAACATGATTTTTAATACCTTCCTTGTCTAATATACACAGTTAGGATTAATGGATAAAATATTCGACAAAGTTGCAACCCTCAGAAATCTCCAAGCTGAGGAAGACATGCATTTATTCAGTAGATATTTACTGTAATCATGGAAGCAATTCTTAAAAAAAAAGTAGGTTAAAAAAAATCCTCAAAAGTGAGGAAGTCAAGAAAGTGAGGAGCCAAACCAATGTAAAAATGGTCTGTGGGATGAGTAGTCGTTAAGAATGATGACAGGATTAGTAGCAGACAGGACTGAATGGGAAGAGAGTTCTGAAGGGAAAAAAGCAAGTGCAGCAATGAAGGGTCCTGTTCTAACGTCATGTATGTAAGGAGCTGGGCTTCAAAAAAGGAGGAAAGAAAGTGATCTGGAGGCAGCAAAGAGAAGCCCAAAGAGCAAGGGAGACACCAGGACAATAGATAAACACAGAGTAGGTCGGTTGATGTACATTTTAAAAAATTCCTGAATTTTATTCTGTACTGTTGTGATCTTGAAAACCTTGGCCTTTAAATAACAAAACTAGACAATGACAAGTGAAACCTAGGCCTATATGGAAGAACTCAGGTAAACTCAAATTGTCTTGGGCACTCAAAATACAGGAATAGTTTGCAACACCTGCCAATGATACCCTGATAGGGGTTGAGAAGTGATCAGTATGTAAGTACTACTATAGAAGAAAGAAATTATAATTCTTCAGAATGAATTGCAAGTGCTGTGTAGAAATACGCGGCATAAACCAGAAAAAATATATAGATATGCGTGTCCAGGACACAGCATCAGGGAGGAAAGAGGTCAAAGTAAGACTGGCCAGGCCTGTGTGCTTTTAGACAGCCTGTGTGGATACATGTGGATAGCTCCAAGCAGGCAGTGGAAGAGACCACGTCAGTGTCCTGTGAGTTGGCACAGGCCTTCAGCTAGAACTTGGCTCTCCTTAAGCAGGATAAAGACAAATAGATCCCTAGAGTCCAGGAGGAGCAGCTTACATCTAACCTATTTCACTGCCTGTATTACCCACAGGAGGTTTACTCTTTAAGTGCAATGCAAAATCCCTATATAAATGGTAAGTTGAAATTAACATTATAAGGAATGCCATAGAAAAGAACTTTCTTTTACAATCAAGAAAACTTGTGGGGGAAATTTCTGTTCACAGCTTAGGGTGAAAATAGAATGCAGAGGGCAGACTAGTTCAAAAGACATAGCCATTCTCAGGAGCTCTCAGCTTGCTAATGCGGATGGCAAATACCTGGAGACAAGGAAACCTACAGTGGGGGTAATTAAGGTTTATCTTACATGCCTGTGAATTCTGACTCCTTAGACAATTTGTGAGAAATTCACAAAACACATTTTCTACATTATCCCCTACACATGATTTTTTTTATGTTAATATCCTACCATCTTCTGTCTTTGTCATTCTCCAAACCCACTTAATTTTTATTTTATTTTATTTTTGAGATGGAGTCTTGCTCTGTTGCCCAGGCTGAAGTGCAGTGACACGATCTCGGCTTACTGCAAGCTCCGCCTCCCGGGTTCACGCCATTCTCCTGCCTCAGCCTCTCGAGTAGCTGGGACTACAGGCGCTTGCCACCGTGCCCGGCTAATTTTTTGTATTTTTAGTGGAGACGGGGTTTCACTGTGTTAGCCAGGATGGTCTCGATCTCCTGACTTCATGATCCACCCACCTCGGCCTCCCAAAGTGCTGGGATTATAGGCGTGAGCCATGGTGAGCAGAGAGCAGGAAAGACTTTGCTGACGACTGCTGAGAGCTGTGGGGAGAAGAGGAAGCACCAGGGTTTCTGCACAGAGATGGGGAGATTCTGCAGTGCTGTGGCAAAGCTGCTGGCACAGAAATATAGGCCCAAGTCCCTGGGTTCCATGGGCTGGATCCTCAGAGTGGAGAATGATACATCAGGCATCTGTGCTGAGAATCAATCCTTGGACACTCCTGAGTCATCTACGAGGGTCCAGCTGCAGAAGTAATTCAGCAATTCCAGTCCCTGCACAAAGGTCTGTCTGTACCAGAGAAGATCATTGTGGCCTGAAATTGGTTCGCATCTCAGAGTTACTGATTGTCCCATCTCTGTCACTTTGTGCCTGGGTGACTGGATAACACCAGCATCTGTGTGTGCTATAAAAGAAGACAGAATTGGGGGAAAGAATAAGGAAAATATAAGGAGTCATCTAGACAGAGGTCCAGCATGACCATAATAAATATCGGAGAACTCACTCGCTACCAGGATATAAAGGGACACACAGAGGGTCCAAGAGCCCATGGCAGAGTGAGAGCAGAAGTGGAACATTCCAGACCAGGGCCTCTGTGAGCATGAACAAAGAAATTAATTTTGTGACATTTTATCCACACAAGATGCATCTGTCAGTGACGTCACTGAATGGGCCACCACCTCCAATTTGAAAGCTCCTTATTTAAGTGGAGGCTGCATCTCTGGGAGATGAATCAGGCAGGACTGAACTATAATTGATCTGAGACACAAATGCACACCTACGGAGGCTCTCTGTGGATTTGTCTTGATATTACCAATTCATAAAGCCTTCTCTATAGTATATCTTACCTAGGATCTTGCCAACTATATTCATCTGCACCTCACACTCCAATTATTTCAAGATGAACTCATTGTCTTACAGCAAGCCAGATTCTCTGCAAACTCTCCTATTCCTCTCCCTGATGTCTCTGTGCTCCTACTCCTTTGAATGCACTTCAATTATCCACAAGTGAGTTAGGAGTTGGCCCCTGAGATCCCTAGGAAGGGCAAGCATGTCAACTGCGTTGTTAGAGATACAGGAGCCGAACTGATATCCTGAAAGTTCATTCGATTTCAAAGCTCTTCTTTGCAGTGAAAGACCTCTCTGAGTGTATTTATTCTTGAACTCTAGTGAGTTTGCAAAGCCCAGAGTACAGAATCTCTCTCATTCTCTATCCATACAATAAAACAGGAAGAAGATTGTCTTTTTCATAAACATTTGGAAATTAAATGCTCCAGAGTTGACTTACATCCTATTTTTACCTCTAGCAAAGCTCAAAGTTTCTTAATCTTTACAACTGGACTTTTCCTTATAAAAGAGTCTTGCATCTCAGAAGCCGACTTCCTCTCAGGGTGTAGAGTGTACAGAGCTGAGAGAAGCCTCTGCTCTGTGGGTTGGTCAACTGGGTTAATTGCTAACCAAGAAGGAGCAGTTTAGGGCCACATTTTTGCTGCTGGCACAGAGGCATACTGCTGAGTCCCCTGCACCCCAGAGTACTTTCCGATCCTAAGGAGCAAATAGTTTACAGACGAGCTTGTGAGACCTGAGGTGTCTATTTCTTTGTGGGCTCCATCCCTTTTTGTGTCTGTTAGGCCTGGGATGTAAAACGGTGGTCAGTATTCTGGTTTCCAGGTGATCATTTTGTTTTCCTCCCTCTTACCAAGTTCCTAGGTTTGGTAGGCAGAACAAAGGCCCTCCAACCACGTCCAGGTCTAATCTCTGGAACCTAGGAATGTGTTAAGTTACTTGTAAAAGAAAAATTAAAGTTCCACACAAAGTCAGGTTGTCAATCAGCTGACCTTCATACTGGGAGAGTGTCCTGGATTTTCCAGGCGGGTCCAATGTAGTCACAAGGGTCCTAAAATGTGGAAGAGGGAGGACAAAGAGTGTCAGAGTGATGCAGCATGAGCAAAGGCTCAGTCAGTCCCTGTTGGTTTCGAAGATTGAATGGGGTAACAAGCCAAGACATGCTGGTAGCCTCTAGAAGCTGAAAAGGGGAGAAAAACAGTTCTCCCCTAGAGCTCTGGGAAAGAACGCAGCCCTGCCAACACCTTGATTTTGGCCCAGTTACACTGATTTTGGACTCCTGGCCTCCAGTATTGTAGGGTAGCAAATGTATTTTGTTTAAGCCTCCAAAATCAGTGGTAATTCATTACAGCAGCAGTAGAAATCAAATACTTTATAGTGTCCAAGGCACACATGAATACAAGAGGCAGAAGCTAGATACAAGATACAGGTAGAGGCAAATGAACGAGTCATATGGAAAGAACTTTAATTCAAGCCAAAAGAAAAGGTACTATCTCTACCCAGACCCCACCTTCTTCCAGGGGACACACAGGAGTCTGAAGTGAGTAGCAGAGGTGAACTATTAATAGACTGGGCCATTTTCCTGCTGAGAGCAAAAGGTCTTGGTGGAGAAAACTCTGTTCTACTCCACCCTGGTGTCTGCCTAATAAGTGTATATGCTACTGGTGTTGTAATTGTGATTGCCCCCTCCCTGGGGAACAGGGTCCCTCCGATGGTCCAGGGTAGCACCTCCGTCTCTCCCTGCTCTTCCTTCTACTTTTAACAGAGCAGGTAGGGCTGGCCTGAGCTGGTTTGGGGGTTTGGGGCCAGGCTCTCCAAGGCTCCTGTAACATGAAAACTGCTTCTCTGCTTTCCCAGCCCAGAACCTGGGCACTGCACCACCCCAGCTACTTGTGCCTCCACATCTTAAGGGCGCTCAGACATATATCCACTGCAAGCACACCTGCCACTCAGCCCCATTCAGAGCTCAGTTTAGAGCAAAACCCTTCTCCACAACAATACAGGCAAATTGGTTGGTCTCTAATTCCTTCATTCCCAGCCTTCATTCCAGACAGCCCAGCTCCCTGAATCTAGGGCCAAACCCAGGGTTTCCCTTAAGAATCTTCCAGAGAGCCATCTTCGCCCCTCCCCATTTGACTCTGATGACAACAAAGCCACAGTGCCTCCTTGTGGCCAGTAGGCAGAAACAGCACAAATCTGCTCTCTTGCCAGGACACAGGGGACTTGTGCTTTGCTTTGTTGAGTCATGGAGATATGGGAATTATGATTTGTTGGTGTTAGAAGGTCAGAAAGCAATCTTAATGTTGCTATGGCCTAAGATGGAACCACCTGAGAGGTGGACATTGAAGTCAGACAAGTGGAGATAAAATATCAGTGTTAATAACTAATAGTGCTCAGATAGGAGAGCAAATAGGCCAACCCACACTATTCTGAATCAGAATTTAATCCATTCTCTCTCCCCTGCAAACTACAGGCCAACCCTGTAAGGAAAGAAAGTTCTCCACTGATCTTAGTGTATGTTGAAAAAGCACCAAAAGAATCTACTTTTTTTTCTCAGTAGCCAGGATGAAAGGATGATGATGAAGAGAGACTAACCTCAGATGAAGAGGAGACTAAATAAGATAACTTATTTCACTTCCCATAAGAAACATTTGGCAAATAATAGACAAAAACCAGTGTATCACTTTAGGGAAGTTCCCCCAAATGGAAAATGTGGAACCAAGCACCTTTCCAGGGGACTGGGAAGGAAAAGATGATAGCCACACACCTGTGACTCCCTCCAATTCTGACCCCTGCCCCTCAGGTGTGCTCACAAAACATGGCACAAATGAGTCACGACAGTGCAGGAATGAAGTAAATTCCATGTTCACTCTCTGCTCTCTGATCAACTTTATTTTATTTATTTATTTTTATTATACTTTAAGTTCTGGGATACGTGTGCAGAACATGCAGGTTTGTTATATAGGTATACATGTGCCATGGTGGTTTGCTGCACCCATCAACCCGTCATCTGCATTAGGTATTTCTCCTTATGCTATCCCTCCCCTTGACCCCCCCGCCCCAACAGGCCCTGGTGTGTGATGTTCCCCTCCCTGTGCCCATATGCTCTCATTGTTCAGCTCCTCCGTATGAATGAGAACATGCGGTGTTTGGTTTTCTGCTCCTGTGTTAGTTTGCTGAGAGTGATGATTTCCAGCTTCATCCATGTCCCTGCAAAGGACATGAACTCATTCTTTTTTATGGCTGCATAGTATTCCATGGTGTATATGTATCATATTTCCTTTATCCAGGCTATCATTGATAGGCATTTGGGTTGGTTTCGAGTCTTTGCTATTGTGAAGAGTGCTGCAATAAACATACATGTGCATGTGTCTTTATAGTAGAATGATTTATAATCTTTTGGGTATATACACCCAGTAATGGGATTGCTGGGTCAAATGGTATTTCTGGTTCTAGGTCCCTGAGGAATCGTCGCACTGTCTTCCACAATGGTTGAACTAATTTACACTCCCACCATCAGTGTAAAAGCGTTCCTATTTCTCCACATCCTCTCCAGCATCTGTTGTTTCCTGACTTTTTAATGATCGCCATTCTAACTGGCATAGGATGGTATCTAATTGTGATTTTGATTTGCCTTTCTCTAATGACCAGTGATGATGAGCTTTTTTTCATATGTTTGTTGGCAGCATAAATGTCTTCCTTTGAGAAGCGTCTGTTCATATCCTTCGCCCCCTTTTTATGGGGTTCTTTGTTTTTTCTTGTAAATTTGTTTAAGTTCCTTGTAGATTCTGGATATTAGCCCTTTGTCAGATGGATAGATTGCAAAAATTTTCTCCCATTCTGTAGGTTGCCTGTTCACTCTGATGATAGTTTCTTTTGCTGTGCAGAAGCTCTTCAGTTTAATTAGATCCCATTTGTCCATTTTGGCTTTTGTTGCAATTGCTTTTGGTGTTTTAGTCATGAAGTCTTTGCCCATGTCTATGTCCTGAATGGTATTGCCTAGGTTTTCTTCTAGGGTTTTTATGGTTTTAGGTCTTACTTTTAAGTATTTAATCCATCTTGAGTTAATTTTTGTGTAAGGTGTAACGAAAGGGTCCAGTTTCAGTTTTCCGCATATAGCTAGCCAGTTTTCCCAGCACCATTTATTAAATAGGGAATCCTTTCCCCATTGCTTGTTTTTGTCAGGTGTGTCAAAGATCTGATGAAGTTTAAATATTTACTCTCTATTCTCATTACCCTGTTCGAATGAAGCATCGAAGGTTATGTAATTAACAACATAATAATACTCTAAATGATAAAATGTCAAAACCAAGTGAGTGTCCCAATTTGATTATAAATCCCCTTCAAGTTTTTAAAAAAGTTCTTTCCTCGAAATTAAAGTTTCAGTAAAACATTCCTCTATGCTATTTAAGTTAAATATCAAGCAAATCACAGACTAAGAATCAGACATTGAAATTCAAAGAAAATTAAAACTTTAAATGAAATTCTTTGACCTTCATCTGAGTAATTACAGAAGAGGAAACTCAAATTGTCAGAGGCGTTCAAACCAGAGTGACTCCATCTTACGTGAAAAAATGAGGCTGGGCCTTGCTGGGCTGCATTCCCAGAAAATCAGGTATCCCTAACCTCTAGATGTTTATGGTTAAAGCAACAGATTAATAATGTTTACTAAACAGACCCAGACTTGGGAGTGTCATGATACCCCAATATCTTGGGAACAGAAACATTCCTAATTTCTCTTTAAAGATAATAATACTGATTCTTGCAAAACATAGTAATTAAGAAAGTTAATCCTTTATCACAAACCCTTGTAGCAGAGCACATCTCTCAACGATCTTTTCTTATCCTATATATAAACAAGTATTGTACCTAGGGTAGATGCGCTCCTCCTGTTACTTTTGGGAAAGCCCTACTCTGTCTATGGGGTAGCTGTTCTTTCACCATGTTACTTTCTTAATAAACTTGCTTTGGCTTTTCACTGTGGAATCACCCTGAATTCTTTCTTGCATGAGATCCAAGAACCCTCTCTTGGCGGTTGGATCAGGACCCCTTTCTTGTAACAAAATTAACCCTTCTGTTATTATTTAAATAGTTGGGTAAATTACCACACTAACAAAAACTGAAACTAATTAATATCCCAAAAACATTATGAGGGATAACTGGTCCAGAATCTTGGAGAAGGCAGGAGCCTGGGGGAGTGAACACAGCAGTCACTGCCCTTAGGGGCATTTGCTGATCCCAGCCCAGCTCTCAGGAAGCTGATTCACAGGCTGGGGGGTAATGGCTAAGACCAGAACTTACTGAGGGTGACCACTGAGGAACTTGAATTGAAACAATGAACTAGTAGGAAACCTGTTCTCCAGGGGCTCCAGGACACCTCAAGCCTTTAACTCTTTTTCAGGGAGTCCTGGATTGTTTATGTATCCATGCACTTTACAAAACACAATAAAATTATCTCTGGAGAAAGATATGTCCATCCTAGACCAAAAATTATTTCTACAACCATAGTGTCTGGCATGATGTCAAAAATAATCAGGTTTATAAGGAAAAATACAAACAAATGACCAAGAAGCAGCACAAAAGGAAATCAACACAAACAAGCCACAGAGATCTCAGAGGTGAACAGGAGCAGACAGACTGAAATAAATGGGAGTCCTACGTTCAATGAAATACAAGATGCTCTCAAGAAGTGTTACGAGGGAATCACTGACAGCCATGGTCCTTCGGAGGATTCCCAGGAAGCTGCCTTCCCAAACATTCTAACCAGTACTTTAGAATGAGTTCTAGTACAGGAGAATCTGGGCAGAAGTTAGGGTAGAGACTAGAGTTGGACACACACAGTGCATTATCAGAGGAGACAACTGGACCAGGGGCAACTCATTGCTTCTGAAGTTCTGGCAGGAATATCTAATGCACTAAGGAGCTATTTTAGTGGGCAGACAAGGAAGTAGGCAGGCAGGTGGAAGTGTCTTCACCAGCCTCTGAACTAGCTGGCCCAGGCCTAATTATAGTGTTGGGCTGTGTCTGTTACACTGAAAAGTTAAAGCACTCCAGAGAAGCAAAATTCATTTTGAGTTAAGATTTGGGAATTGTTTCCAGGATAACCATTTGTGTGCATTTCTTTGAAGTTTAAAGTGTGCTGAATGAAATAGCTGAAATGATCAACATCATCATCATTACAATATTATTATTATTGTCATATTTCCACAAAAACAGAGGGAAAAGATTTCCAAACACACAGTGTCTGTTGAGATTTGACTGCATGAAACATCCAGTGAGAGGTCAAGAAGAGGCTCCAGAGCCAGATAAGATTCACATCATTCAGATGCTGACAACGGCAGAAGGAGGGCCTGCTGTTTGTTACTTGCATGTAATCAATATCTATATTATTAAAGTTTAACACACATGTTTTGGTGATTAAATGTCTTTATTTTTCAAGTTTATTTATTTATTTTCTTAATTAACGTACAACATTGTGTGCATTTTTTATAGAAGAACAACCATCACTGCCCCTGAGGACTAGGTCTGGGATAAATCACTTTCAGTTTTGGTTTCTTGAATTCCCACCCAGAAGTGTTTCAAATCCCTAAGACATGTTTTCAACCAACAACTATAGCGCTCATGTTTTAAGAAAATAGTTCATTTCCTCCCACTATATGAACCCTAGCTATATCTGAAAACTCACTTCTTCCCTGAGAGGATGAGGAATAAGGAAAGGCTGCTGTGAGCTGAGTAGAGCGGAGAGAGCCCTGGAGTTTTGTGCACAGGACAGAAAGTCTCTGCAACGCTGTGGCTAAGCTGCTGGCACAGAGATACATGGCCGAGTCCCCAAGCTCTGCAGGCTGGATCTTGAGAGTGGAGTCTACTCCTTTGAGCCTCTCTGCAGAAAATCGATCCTTAGGCAACTGTGAATCATCTACTACACTCTCATCCTGAAATTGAACCAGAAGCTCCGGGCCCTGTCCCAGGATCTGCCGGTACCAGTAAAGGGTAGCATGGCCAGAAATAGGATCACACCAAAAAGCCACAGCCTGGCTTTTCTCTGTAATCTTATATCTGGGGGACTGGGCAACTTCAGCTTCTGAGAGTTCTGTTGGGGAAAAAGACAGAATTTGAAAACAGAAAGACAGAAATGATTGAAGAAATCACTGGAATTTCCAATGGGATGATCATGGTGTTCTTAGGACACACCTGCCCCCAGGAGACAGAGGGCCATCCAGCAGAGAAGCCTGGTGCTCATGGCAGGGTCAGGGCAGGATGGGAGCTTTGCCAGTTCAGGGTCCTTGTGAACAGGAGCAGAGGAGGTGGGACATCCTGTCCTTATACGGTAGTTCCTACAGTAACATCATTGTCTCCACAAGTGCCTAAGTTCTTAGAAACCAGTTGTTATGAACTAAAACAGAGCTAGAAGTTGCTTTAGCGTATTCATGGACTGTGTGTAAGTTCATCCAAGTGTCTTTACTCACATCTCTAGGGCTTGGGGGATTGGATCACCCACTGCATCTCCAGGGCCATCTTCTGCTGCATGTTTCTACTTGAATGTGTCAAAGGCAACTCAAAATACAGACAACAATTAGTAACCTCTATGTCTTATCTGTATATCCTTCTCTCTGGGCATTTCTGTCTTACCAGGTTCTCCATTTTCTCATTGCTATGAGCTTAGACAGAGTGGGAGCTGGGGTAGTTGACACAGGTTTATCCTAGAAGCATGTTGAACCAGCTGACATGCTCTAAGCTAAAGGGGTAAAATAATACCCTGAGAGAGAGTTGGAAGGGTTCATTTTTGGTGAAGGTCAATGGCCAGCTTTCTCTTTTCTGTTATCAAGCTTCATGATGCATTGTGTACCAAGTCTTCATCATGGTTCTGCCTATGGTTCTTGGTCATCAATGTAATGAAAGTTCTGATATCTTATAAGATGGGTGGGGACTCTCTTATCCCTGAAAATATCATTGTGAATACAGTAAGAGATCCAAAATCGGCCGGGTATGGTGGCTCACGCCTGTAGTCCCAGCACTTTGGGAGGCCAAGGTGGGTGGATCACGAGGTCAGGAGATCGAGACCATCCTGGGTAACACGGTGAAACCCCGTCTCTACTAAAAATACAAAAAATTAGCCGGGCATGGCGGCACATGCCTATAGTCCCAGCTACTCTGGAGACTGAGGCAGGAGAATGGCGTGAACCCGGGAGGTGGAGCTTGCAGTGAGCCGAGATCGCGCCACTGCACTCCAGCCTGGGCGACAGAGCAAGACTCCGTCTCAAAAAACAAAACAAAAGAAAAAAGAAATCTAAAATCAGATTTGTTGAAATCTTAAAAAAAAAAAAAAAACCTTACAGATTTAGTATAAGTTACAATTGAACAGCAGTGGCTAGTATCTGGCATTTTTTTTCTAATGGGGCAACATTAGTCACAAATATACTTTTATTCATTGCCTAAGGGGTAAAGGATGGGAAGAGTTAGGGGATGAAGCACCTGAGAGTTGGCATAAGACAATAATACAAGGAGATGCATGTCCAGAGAGCTGGGAACGAGGATATATGTGTTCAGTGAGGCAGGCTCAAAGTCCCCAAAACCTAGGGGACACATGTGAAGGTTATCAGGTGAATACCTGTGGGTATAGAATTACAAGAGCCCTCTGTTTCTGTCATAAATCCTCTATCACTGAGGTAAACAGCTGCTGGTTTGAGTCTAACTCATGTAGGCACCAGGTAACAATTGCATGATGGAAAATTTCTTCACATTAAGGTGCCACTACTTGCTCCATCTTTGTGACCAGAGTTGTGGCTCTGAGTTGACAACAGCATTCAGGGGATAGAGGCTGGTGGCTGGAAACAGGACGTATCCATCTATCAAACCTATCAATCACAGGACCCACATATGGTGTGCTTGCGAGTGAGGCATGCCAAGTCCAGGGACGACATTCCTCATTGTTCCTGGGCCTCACCTGCTTCCTGGGCAGCACAACCAAGAAATCCATGACAGAATCCTTGTCAAGACAGGAATGGAGCATCATCATGCTGCTCAGGGAAGAAAAGGCCAGAGCCCTGGGAAATCTGGCTCTTATTCAGAATATTTGCAAGGTTATTTGAGCTAAGCCTATCTGGAGAGGTCTGGAATTGTCCACTCCCCTCTCCTATGTTCCCTTTACATCCTCCTGTCCACCATCCAGGGCACAACTGGAATGGGTTAGGTGTGGGGTACAGGTGAATTGCTAAGGTTTCTCTGAGTTCTCCTGAGGAGGAAGTGGTTCTCCCTTTATATGGGTCTGTGAGCATGCAGGCTGGCTCCTGGCTCTCCTCCATCTATCCCTGATGCAAGCCCAGAACATTATTCACTCAATGTTTTGCTACAGTTGGGGTTTCCCTGCTGAACAGAGGATACTGGCATTGCTGGAAGATGAAGAGTTTCTGTTTAATGGCTCACATTCCACAGGACACTCAAACATCTGCAAACTAGATTCTGGATGCTGGGATGAAGTCACACTTTTCCTTTAAACTTAACTCCTCAGACAGCACTGAGCCCTGATTTAAAAGCAAGCCAACCCCAGCAAACCCTAGTGCCGCCTGCTGGTCAATGAACGGTTCAGAGTTACCAGGCTCAGGCCCTCCATTCATGGGTCAGAAATACTGGGGCCATGTCTACACTGTCCTCAGTAGAATCAGGGCTAATATTGGACAGTGTTTGCGCGGCACTGGGGGGAGTTCCTCCCAACTCCATCTATTCCTACTGTCTTGCCAGAGCCCCGCCTGCGGTTTGGCCGTGGTTTGTCCCCACCAAAACCATGTCCCTTGGTTTTGATTTACTTTTTCCTCTGGGACAATATCAAAGATCATGTATTTCAGGAAGTTGTCGGATCTCTTTAGTTACTTTTCAATGATACATCTCCTCCACCCACTTATTATATTTTCTGTTTTTCATGACCATAGATTTTTGAAGTGTCCTGGTCAGCTTACTTGTAAAACAGCTCACGATAAAAATTTTCATATTATTAGAGGTTAATTACTTGGAAAATATACACCATAGATGATGTCTATTTCCCATTGCATCTGGTCAATCACAAGAATATGGAATGTCATTTTTATGCATTTTGGCAATGCTTAATTTGAGATGACTGATCCAAGATCTCTCCATTGTGAATGTGCCCTTTACCCTTTGTAATTAAGTAATAATCTGTGTATTGATGCTTTGAAACAAGGTACATATGCTGTTAGGCCCCAAAAACATATATAAGGAAATAATGGTTGAAAATTTCCCAAATCTGAGGAAAGACAGCAACATCCAGGTGCAGGAAGCTTGGAGGCTGCCAATCAAATTCAACCCAAAAAGGAGTTCACCAAGACACAATATAATCAAATTACCAAAAATCAAAGACAAAGAAAGAATACTAAAAGCAGCATGCAGTGAGAAACATATCACATTTAAAGGAGCCCCAGTATGGCCTTCAGCAGATTTCTCAGCAGAAACCCAACAGGCCAGGAGAGAGTAGAACAGTATAACTCAAAGTATTGAAGGAAACAAAAACTGTTAGTTTAGGCATCTACTAATGGAATTTGTCTATAATTATGTGGATGGTTGCATTGATTTTCTCATTAGATATATCAACTAGCATTCTTCCGTAATGAAGAGATTCTTATCTATCTCTTTTGATTGTCATTATAGCCTTATAGATTTTTATAACTTGTTACAATTCAGTATCCTCATTATTCTTCTTTAAAGCTTGCATTGACCCGGATTTGGCTAATGGAGCCCCTTGAAATTGCTTCTGTGGATTTTGGACATGTCTTCTTGGTTCTGACCTTTTTCTTGATTTCTACCAAAAGATGTTCTAACACTTTTCCTTCCCTTGATATGGAAGCAGCCTTTTATAAGGAATAACATTTGGAATAAAATAATGTACCTATTGTTACTGGGGAGCACAAAAAAAAGCAAATATAGCCATTCGTTTATTTACTTTGTATTGTTTTTTAGACCCTTCTCTGGATAAAGTTAGGAAATATATAATCTTTAAAACCTTAAGTTTGCATTAATAACTCCAATTCAAGTCAGCACCACAGATTTCTTCCTCATCTTCCCGTTTCTTATTTATATCTCTCTTCTCTTTGTAAAAAAAAATCTAATTCCCAGAAATATCAATAAATTACTTATTTCTCTCTTCTACAGTATACCAAAAATGTCTCAGAAGTACTGCACTAAAAACACTAGCCACAACAAATCGCCCAAGAGAAGTTTAATCTCAATCTCAATTTCCTTTAGTATCATCACAGTACACCAGCTTAAATCTAAAGTCAACAGCGACTCTAAAAACACAATCAAATAAAATAAATATTACCTTCAAAGAAGGTATGCAAATTGCCCATAGGCACAAGAAAAGACACTTAACATCTTTAGTCATTAGGGAAATGCAAATCAAAACCGCAATGAGATATCATTCACACTTACTAGGATGGCTATAAAAACAGTAATCATCATCATCATATTTTTGAAAAGAAAAAAGAAAAAGAAAAGGAAATAACAAGTTCTGGAAATGTTGTGAAGAAACTGGACACTGCTGGTGGAAATCCAAAATCGTGCAGCTGCAACAAAGAAATATTTTGGTAGTTACTCAAAACGAGAAACAGAATTACCAAAGGACCCAGAAGTTCCACTCCTAGGTATAGACCCAAAAGAATTGAAAACAAGGAATCAAACAGATATTTCCAGGCCAATCTTGACTGCACCATTGTTCTCAATATCTACAAGGTGGAAACCACCCAAATGTCAATTGACTAATGAATGAATAAACAAATGTGTTATATACACACAATGGAATATTATTGAGAATGAAAAAGAATGAAGTTCTAATAAATGCTACAATGTGGATACACCTGGAAAGCGTTATGCTAAGTGAAAGAAGCCAGAAACAAAAGGAAAAATAGTGCCTGGTTTCATGTAAATTCATTATCTAAAATAGGCAAATTCGTTCATATACAAAATAGATTAGAGTTTGCCAGAGGAGGGAGAATGTGAAGTTATTTCTTAATGGGTACAGGGTTTCTGTTTGGGGTGATGAAAATAATTTTGGAAATGGATAATGCTGATAATTCCACAACAAGGTGAATGTACTTAATGTCATTGAATTGTACATTTAAAAAATAAAGTGATGAAATTATATGTTACGTGCATTTTATCATACTTTTTAAAAGATGGAAAGACTACCTTCAAAATAGGAAAAACACTGACAGTTGCATTCTCCATTATTGAACTTAAAGACAATGAAAGGAACCCAAGTGATTTAAATACATTGATAAATTTTCCAGAAATGTGGTTTGTCACAATATATCCCACAGTGGGTTTTCTGATGTAGTTGTAATTATCTTTTGTAATAAATATACAAACAATTTTCACCAGCCCATATGTCTACTCAAATGTAGGACTGTCATTCCTTGGAAAAGTATCCAATCTAGTAATTTTGAAATCATAACTTACTGTTTCAGGTTGCAATATTCTGATTGTAAGTAAGGTTGCGAAGTTATTCTCATGTTTAGTGGTAACTTATGTTCACTCTTGTGTGAATTGCCTACTCAGCCTCAGTATTGCTATTTTTATTGAGCTGTCTTCTTAATACTAAGTAATAAGAATATTTTACTCATTCTAGATACTAATTCTCTTAGACAAGAACAGCTGTGCTACAGAAAACAAAACAAACAAAACAAATCCTAAAATCTCACTGGCATAGCTCTATGAAGTCTTACTTCCCATGACCACAAAGCCCAGTGTGGCATGAGCAGCTTTCTTCTGTGATTGTCCACCAAATTCTGACTCAGTGAGCCAGGCTGCTTCCATATTATCATTAGGCAATCTGTACCGTGTAGCTCCCGAGTTCAGGACATGGCAAAAGAGAGTTGAAGAGTGTCTGTGCACAAGAGTTGACAGGAGGCTGGAGACTGCGGTGCTTAGAAAGTCCTGCTTGCAAGATTGGACTCTGGCAGACATCTGGGAGCTTGGCTGGTGAACGGTGCCCTGAACTGATGCAAAGTTTCTCCTGACTGACAGGGGTGGCTCATCGTTCCTAGGCTGGTGTTGCAAATAATATTATGCTGAACATCAGATTTTCTTTTGGGATCTAGACTTTTGGTTCATGCTAAAAAGTAGGTGCCTGTGTGACCAGCTTCTACTAAAACCTCTTGGGTGCTAAGTCTGTAATGGGCTCCCTTGGCAGATACACTGCACGTGTGTTAATGCATTTTTGCTGCTGGGAGGAGAGAGAGCTCTGTGTGACCCCTCCTGAGAGGAAGAGAGCATAAGGAAGCCTGCCTGTGAATTCCTCCAGATTCTGCCTGTGTGTTTTCTCCACATGTTCTGCTGCAGAGTATTTACTATGACACTTTAATAAATCTTAGCCATGAGTACAACTCTATGCCATATACCAACACTCTAAACATGGGAGTACATTTAGAGACCCTCAACATGGTGCCACAGAATATTTTTAAGGGCCAGGCTTGAAATGAGCTGACATCATTTTATCCCACTATTCAGAACCTGGTGACATGTTCCCACCCCTCCAACTGCAAGGGAGACCAGAAACCATGGAGGAGCTACAGGTATTCAGTGATGTTCTGAATGTTCTCTGTTACACTGAATGTTCTCTGTCACACTGATTTTTCATCATTTGTATGCATTCCTCATGCCTTTCCCAGGCTGTAGCTTAACTTTATTTTTTATGGTGTGTTTTGGCTTGAAACAATTTAATGCAACTAGCGTTATGAATGTTGTTCTTTTGGCTTGTGGCTTTTTGTCTCCTCTAAAAATGTCATCCCTCAACTGAATGCATAAAATGCTTTTCTTAAATTTTTCTAGTAAACTTTCTTTTTTGCTTTTTACAATTAAGAGCAAGTGTGCCTGAAATACACTTTAATTTAAGAAATGAAGTAGAGATGTAGGACTAAGTGGGTGGTATGTATGCTCAGTGCAGAAGAAAGAATTTATATAAACAATCCCCAGGGTGGAAAACAACAGACACATATGAAGAAATAACTGCATGTAAGGGAGTGTGGCTGGAGCAGAGAGCCAGGGAAAACATGGTGCAAAATGATGATGAAGAGGTACGTAAATGGCTAATGATATAGGACCTCGTGGGTCTATTGCCCTTAGAATAAAGGGCCCCCAGGAGCAGAGACCACATGGGCAAAGATTTATGATTGGGAGTTGAAAGGCAGTAGAGGGTAGGGGAAAGGGTATGTGGAAAAGTCACCCAGCCCTTAGGGTAGAGAAGAATATGGTGGGTTTCAAATTTTCAACGAAATTAGGAATCTCGACTAAAGATGCCTTTTCCATTTTACAAAAGGAAAGAGGGAACTGCAGAAGCTAAGGGTGTTGGGGTGACCTCCAGTTGGTCTGAGACTGGGGTAGGAATGGACCTCAACATCAAGGTTTATATGGCCCCTGCTCTATGGCCCCCAGGCTAGCCAGGGCTCTCCGACTCCTGTGAAGGCTGGGACTTGGGAGCACAGGCAACCTCAGTCATTCTAACTGCCCTTTATGTGCAGAGAGGAGGCAGCTGTGCAGCACTGTGGACTCACTGCTGGCGCAGAAATATACAGATGTCTGGGAGGAGGCAGCAGACTCCAGAGTGAGGGGGAGGTCCTCTGTGTTTGATCTAGAGACACTGTAGCCATCTGAGACTTCTCCTTTGTTAGTGTCGTGAACACCATATGAGTAATGGATCAGCCTCAGCCCATGTCCCAGGTCTTGTCGATACCAGAACATATTGTTGTGGTTCCAAGTCTGGTGACACGCCAAGGTCACCTGCCTTCCTGTCTCTGTGATCTTGTGTCTTGGGCTCTGGGTGATTTCAGCATCCCTGTGTCCTGTAATAGAGAACAACAGATGCTGATGCTGTCATCCCAACAGAAAAGCCTGCACTGAGGCCTTGGGAATTCCAGGGAAGGAGGCCCTCCTGTGACCAGCCCTCACCTGCCCACAGCAGACAAAGGGCCACATAGAAGAAGAGCCTCGTGCCCATTTCAGCTCCAGGGCAGGATCTTGTGTCTCCCAGCCCTGCTGTGGGCAGACTGAAGTTGGGCTCTCAGTGACTTGATGATGTCACTGTTCCTGCTGAATGCTTGAACTGCGGAGCTAACCTGCCATGCCCCTTCTCTTCCCCGCAGGAACAAATTATTTATAACAGAGTTGAATAATTTTTAGGTCTGTTTTGAAAGAAATCTAATAAACTCCTAAGCTCTTTCCCTGATTTTAATAGGGGAATTTGTTCTTCTATGTATATTTTATTTCCATCATGAGAAATTCTTTATTTGAATACTATTTTCACTTTTATGAATATTTCTGTAGGCTAAAGAACATTGTCATAGCAGTCCTGGTGACTTTTATGACTTCCTGCACAAAATTCAACTCCAAGTTGAATTATTTTCCTCTTCGTTTAACCTCTGGACACTTGTATGCCAGCATACAGGGATACCCTCGGTTAAATGACATCCAGAAATGTCTCCAAGTTCCAAGTTCCAGGTTCAAGGTCATGACCGCTTGAAGACTTGTTACATGCTGTAGCACCTCATTACACCTGATGGGAATGTCACCATCCAAGCTCAGGCTGCTGTGTATTCTCATGGGGGTGTTTTCTCCCTTTGCTTCAGGTGAAGCCACAAACACTGCCCCATCTAAGTCCCCTGAGTGACTGTACTTCCTGTGAAGAAAAGAGGAGGCTCATTAGGAATATGGATGAAATGTTCACCAAGAACTACACCTACCTGGAGTCTCTAGGGTCACAGGAAAATCCTCTATTCCCATCCAGCAGATCTTATATTCACCAAATGGGAGAAGGTTGATGGATTTGTAAACGTGCTATGGTGCAAAACTCACATGTAGTCCATAGCACTGCAATAGTTATTTCAGATACAATAGGCTATCTATTGCACATCTTGATGCAACCTGGATGGGTAATTCCCACAATCATGCTCCAGTGAGAGAGGACACAGAATCAGAAGTGGAGACAGGGAGGAGGCCCATGAGCACCCCCATAGGAGGCCGTGGTTGGGGCCCGACAAGCCCAGGAAGGACTTTCTCATCTATGCCCAGAACTCACCTGATCCTGGGAGACCAAGAGCCACACAGCAAAGAAGCCAATCCTCATGGTTGGGCCAGGGCATAAAAAAAAAAAAAAAAAAAAAAAACTTTTCAGATCAGGACCTTCATTTTGCAAGGTAAGGCACGTAGAATTCCAGAGCTCCAAGGATCATTCCCTAAATCAGGTATGATTTACCAAGAATGTTGATATTCTCAATGACACTCTAACTTCTCCGGGAAGATAAGCATCTACCAGGAATATATCCTTCTACTTTTAAATTAATTTATTATTAAGTATAATAAATTATAACAATTATGTGTTAAAATCGTCTACCTCAACTTGAAGCTTTGTCTGTTTTTTGCACTGGTGTTTCCCAAGTACCTGGACAGTACCTGTGTATTTGCCATGAAGCCGATGAAGAATAACCTCAGGCCTTCTCACTTGCACAGGGTCTTTTCAACTCTTTGCTATTTTGCACTCTCTTTTGCAAAGAGCTACCTAAAATGTATCAGCTTTGTGCGCCACAAAACTTGAATCTAATCTTCACCTATAATTCATTAAATATTTATTGAATGAAGAAAGGAATGAATGATTATCTGAGTCCAGGCAGATTCTACTTCTGTAAACAGAATCCAAGTTTATTCAGTTCAAAATAGGTTTGAAGTTTTAAGGGAGCAGAGAGCCATCCTGAGAACGCTGGGAATTCCAGATGAATCCAAATGGATTTGGAAAAGATTAGTTTATATACATCATCATAAGACTTTTTAAATGAATGGGTAGCCATATGAATAAAAGATAAACAGTTGTCTCCTTCAAAAGGTAGGGTCTTTTGATGGTCGCTTCATTCCATCACTGCCACAGTTTAGTCTGTCTCTGAAGACAAAGTCTGTGATGGGGAGACTTGGGTGCATGTAGCTTATTTGGGAAATGATTCCAGGAAGAAGTAAGAGAGCAAGGAAAACAAAATAGGGAAGGGAGAAACCAGGATAAAGGTGCAATATTGTATTTGTGGCGGGGCAACAGGAGACGGAATCCATCAGGACCTCCAAGAGCATAGGGTGCTCTCTGGAGTATCTGCATGAATGGGCAGGTTGGAGCTTTTGTCCCCGTCCTGTTCCACCAGGAGCATCAGGACCTCTGGCTGTCTTTGAATACAGCCCAAGTGGATTCAGATACCAGAGAAGACCCCAGAGCAGGAAGCAGCAACATTCCAAGCAGGCACTGCAGAAGGGCACTGTCAGCAAGAGGTGAATGGGAACTGGCACCGTCCACAGCAGCAAGGCTGAAATCAGAGGTGGGCGGAGAGGATGTCATGGAAGCCACTAGAGGCTCCTCTGTGGTCTTCTTTCCAATAAAGCTGTGCCTTCTTCTATCAGCTCTCTTGTGTGATGTACAATTGCACTGAAGCCATATCTTTCTAGGAGCACCACACCTTCATGCACATCAGACTCAGTTATCAAGCAGGAAGTTCATAAGAGGTAACATTTTCATATTTCCTTAAACGGCAACTCTTTATGTTAATTTTACATAATGAACTATCAGACTACTATATTTGCATTTTAGATGACTTTGTGTCTGAAACATGATTTAATCAGGCAAAAGTAATCTGTGCTTGTCTTTGTTACCAGAATTTCAGAGAGTAAATAACTGTGCTAGATTGGAGATTTGTCAGAGAATTTATAGGGACCTAAGATTTCTTGAACCTACACTTTATATGACTCTAATTTTTAAAGTTACCTCTCTCAAATCTCTGCCAGACTGGCCAACATGGTGAAACCCCATCTCTACTAAAAATACAAACATTAGCTGGGCTTGGTTGTGTGTGCCTTTAGTCCCAGCTACTCGGGAGGCTAAGGCAGGAGAATTGCTTGAACCCAGGAGGCGGAGGTTGCAGTGAGCTGAGATCGCGCCACTGAATTCCAGCCTGGCAACAGAGCGAGACTCTATTTCCAAAAAAAAAAAAAAAAATCTCTGCAAATTGAATTCGGTTTACAAATGAGAACACTCAGCCAAATATATTTCAGGTCACCAGCCCAAGGGGTCAGAATATGAACTGCCGAGGTCTCCTTGTCTCTTTGATGAATGAGGACTATAATCTGCATTTATAGATATTTTTAACTCCCTTTCTTCACCGTTCCTGTCGGTCTCAGTCTATTCCTTTGCGAGATATTTGTCTTTCTTGGACTGCTTGAAAAATTGTGTCTTCATCATTCATATTCTTCTATTTTAACACTGAGGTAACTATTTAACCTGGGATTTATTTGAATTCTTGAAACTCACGTTTTAGGTCTTTAGATGTCTCTGGAAATTTCTCAGCTAGCATCACACACAATATCACCTCATATCATTCTCCTTATTTTCTTTCTCTGACACTTCAATGACATAAGAATAAATGGAAAATTCTTATGAAATGTTACATATATTCGAATATAACTGAAACCTCCATTGTTTCTTCTCTGTTGCTTCCTCTCTGTTTCATATTATACATTTAATTTTTTGTGTTGTTTTGGGTAACTTCTTAAGATTTGTCTTTGAAGTCAATAATAATCTCTTCAATGAGCATCTAATCTGCTCTTCAATTTATCTGCTTTCTTTTAGTCATTTTAGGGATCATTTCTAGACATCCCATTCAATGCTTTTAAAAAAGTTATCTAATGATTTCTGAGAGTCTCTTTTTTCTTGTTCAGGTTTCAATTCTCTTTTGTGTGCATTTAACTACAGCTCTTCAAACTGTCATATGTCATGATGCTAAAATTTAAACCTTCAGGCTGCCTATTGCGAGTGTTTATGAATTCTGCTAACTTTTAATATTCTTCATAGTGGCAGTATATTTGTCTGACATTCATCTATGGGGTTTTGGAGAGGCTATAGCACAGCCTCAACAGCCAGTACCTTCCACAAGTGTCTCCAGTCTCACCCCCCCAACTGCATGAGTCAAGAACTGTCTGCTACACTCTGGGCTGCTAAGCACACCATGGATTATGTTCCTCATATCATAATCTTTTCTCAGGACAACCCCAGTGTAGGCTCCAGAAGAGAGTTCTGATTTTCTAATTCTTCTTCATTATACTATCTTCACAAATTAGAGCCCCTGAGCCCTTGAAGTTTTATATAATGAAACTTCCTAAATCTGCAAATATTATCTCTTCTTTCCTTTTTGTCCTACCCAAATCTTCAGGCACTAGCCTATATATGCAAATTATATTTGTAGACTTTATACTTATACAAGATAAAGAACGTACCATATTTTAAATTAAAAATTCCCAAACCAGCTGACAAACTGCTTCCATAGAGAGTGGCCCTAGGCTTGTTCAACAAGTGAATGCTCATTTATAAACCCCCACAGACCATCTCAGTCATGACTCTTCAACTCTTAACTATTCTGGACTCTGGGTAACTAGGAACTAAAATGTGAAAAAGAAAGTCCTAGTAAAGAGATTTGTTTTACCATGGGTTGTTTTAAGACTATAATGGAGTGATATCCTCAGTTTACTACTTAGTTCCAACTCATTCAAAATAAAATGAATATACTTTACATTGAAACCATACGCTCTTCATTCTCCCTTTAATGGGATTAAGAGGTCAAATTAATCGTAAATTAAATCTGCCTAGATATCTAGATAGACCTGGTGGTCAGAGGACAAAACTCTTTTTTTTTTTTTTTTTTAAGAGATGGAGTCTTGCTCTGTTGCCCAGGCTGGAGTGTGCAGTGATGAGATCTCAGCTCACAGCAACCTCTGCCTCCTGGGTTTAAGCAATTCTCCTGCCTCAGCTTCCCACAGGTATGTGCCACCATGACCAGCTAATTTTTGTAATTTTTTTTTTTTTGGAAGGAACGGAGTTTCACAATATGTTGGCCAGGCTGGTCTGGAACTCCTGACCTCAGGTGACCAGACCAGACCTCGGGCTCCCAAAGTGCTGGGATTACAGGCGTGAGCCACCACGCCCGGCCAACAAAACTCTATTGGCAAGACCGTTTCTGGAGGTTGGAAAGAGGCCAGTATCTGAATTAGTTGCTGTGGGGTTAGATACTAGGACGTGTGATATCCTGGGGGGACCAGATGATATGGGGGTCAGAGGGTGAGGTGTGTCTTACTAGGAACTGAATGAAGTCAGGAGAAGGATTTTCTTAGGAAATTTTCTTTCAGTCTTCTCAGACATATTTGGGCACTTTTACCCTGTCTGGTTTTTCCTGTTTAGTGCCAGGTCTACACAGGGAAGAAGGCATCTCTACAGCACTGTATTCTTACCCTCATCAGAGAAATGCAGAGCTAGTCCCTCAGCTCTGAGAGTTTCACTTTGAGTGAAACTCAAAGTTTGTCATCAGATTACTGAGCTAGGGGTCAGCTATGAATCCATGAAGTGCATTTCTCATACTGTGGAGCCCAAAGGGAGACCAGAGCACTTGCTTGGGGTATAACAGAACTGGGCCCCAGAAGGCAGCTAGAGGTGAGCTTCCCTCCCAGTGCCTCCGTGGGCTGCCGCACATTGACCAGGGGCCCTGATATCCATGCAACTCCAGCAGGGCGGAAGTTCAGGACGGAGATGGGAGCAGGAGGCAGATCCCTGCGTCTGAGTGGAGGGAGACTGCCGGCACAGGTTAAAAGAAAAGCCAGTAGCTGGGGCCTGGAAAATCTAGGACAGAGACATCTAAGTTGTGTCCACAGTCACCTGGGCAGCAGTGGTGCCGCCAAAAATGGATCCTGGGGACCATGATAGGTTGAAACTCGTATGTGACCAGATGCCTCAACCTGGGAGAATCCATCCCGTACCGGGTTGTGTTAAGTTAACTTAGCCAGGACAAGAAGTTATATTTCTAAGAATGCCTTTATCTTTATGATTCTGGGTTACAGTTGGTCAAGGAGCTATTCGAGTGAACTGTGGAAGATAGAAGTAAAACTGTCACCACTATACTTGGTAGGACATTAGGCTAAATGAGATAAGCCAATCACAAAAAGACAAAAATCTGCATAATGTCATTTACATGAGTTATCTAAAATAGTCCAACTCATGGAAGCAAAGACTAGAATGGTAGCGGTCAGGGTCTGGGGAATGGGGTAAATGGGGAGTTGCTGCCAATGGGTATAAAATTTCAATCATGCAAGATGAATAAGATCTAGAGATCTGCTGTACAACGTTATGACTACAGAGTATAAAACTGTATTGTGTGCTTATAAGTCTATAAAAAGGGTAGATCTCATGTTAAATATTGTTACTAAAAACTTTAAAAAATCTGGCAAAAGTGTGTAGGTAGCCAAAGAGAGAAAGAGAAGAAAGAGGAAATTCGTATAAATCAGAAACTGAGTAAACTAATTAGAATATACCAAAAATTACAGACTTTGATACCCTCAAATGCAAGAAACACCCTTTTCTTCATTTTTAAAAAATTTCCCTTTTTTCCAATTATCTTTTTTCATTGTATATTTCATGTGATATAATCCCTTGTACAAAGTAGGATGCCCCAAAAGATTTATTGATAAAGAATAAAAAATTGGCCTAGTGCAATGGCTCTATAATCCCAGCACGTTGGGAAGCCAAGGCAGGTGATCACCTGAGATTGGGAGTTTGAGACCAGCCTGGCCACCAAAGAGAAACCCCACCTCTACTAAAAACACAAAACTGGCCAGGTGTGGTGGAGGCCACCCGGGAGGCTAAGGCAGGAGAATTGCTTGAACCCAAGAGGTGGAGGTTGCAGTGAGCCAAGATAGCACCACTGCACTCCAGCCTGGGCAACAAGAGTGAAACTCTATCTCAAAAAAAAAAAAGAATAAAAAATATTAACTAATGAATAACAATTTTTCATGTCCTTTCACTGATGGCAGATTGCATCCGCCACAGGAAGACTACACGCCCCATAAAAAACGTTTCCTGCTATTTGCTGTGAACCTAGGAAAGCTCCCTCCTCATACAGTCTCCATAAAAGAGATGACCTGGCCTTGCCCATAGGAGGGCTACAGAGCAGAAAACTGCACCTTTCTTTTCTTTCTTTTTTTTTTAAATCACAATAAAGAATAGATGGATATGTTTTGCCTGGAAATCATGTGTCCATTGGACTTGTCAGGGAACAAGTTATCATGATCACAGTTTCATATATGACCTTAGCATCCTGCTCTTGGGGACACAAAAAGGGGACACCAGGTAAAAGGACAGATCTCCGGAGTGAGGAGGGACAGTGCAGAGGTGTTGAAACAATAGACTTCAGCTAGCTACTAAATATGAGCCCCAGGACATCTGCTGTCCCTCAGATATATAAACAGGTAAAATAATATTTCGCTTACACAGCTTCAGTGAGCAGTAAACCAGATCACATACAGAAGCACCAGAGAGTGCCTGGGAAAGGCCTGTCCACTCTCCAGGGCCTGAGCCCCTCTGGCTGGCAGCCCTCCCCTCACCGTCACTTCCTGAGTGGGGCAGGAATGTTATTGCACAGAAGGCTGATGCTCATGCAGGGCTGTGCTACGCTGCTGGCACAGAAATACAAAGCTGAGTCCCCCAGCTCCAGAGAGCTCAGGTTTAGTTCAGAGTGCAAGTCAGGGAACTGTTGTGCGGAGAATCGTTCAAGAATGTTTCCTTTTGCTCTCTCTTCTCCATTATAATAGTGAATGAGGAACTGGAGGCCCTGGTCCAGGCTCTGTTGGTACCAGTACACAGAGAGGTCTCCAGACCTAGGGGAGCATCTCAGCGTCACTCGCTGTCCAGTTGCTGTGATCAGGTGCTTTGGGGTTTGTGTGACTCCAGAATCCACTGGGCCTGTGTGTCAGAAGACAAAAGTTAACCATAAGGCACAGAAGAAAGCCTCCTGCTGAAGCCATCGTTGGCCCACATGCATTTCAGGGACAAGAAATGAAGATCGGAGACTTTCAAGCTGTGCCCAGGACTCACCTGCTCCCAGGAGACAAAAGGCCACACAGCAGAGGAGCCTGAAGCCCATGGCAGGATCTCCTAGCTTGGGGCTGGTGTCTCTGTAGTAAGCATTCTGAAGTTCCTAAGCTCCCTTCTTCCTGATAGGAGCATTGACCTGTGATGTCACCACACTGACATACTTTCCCCTGCAGGCCACTCCAGCCCACTGTACTCTTTGGCAGGCCTCAGGTTCTGCTACTCCATGTACTATTCCTGTCTTGCACAGGCCAGAAGCTAAAGGTGAGGAGGACTGAACACAGTACCAACATACCCACATCACACCTTACTTTCCTCTGCCCGCCCTGTCCCTGCCCTGACACTGATTCCCCAGCCCTTGCCACCCCAGCCCCTTCACCCTCCACTGCCCGTGCAGCAGCAGAGACACTCCCTCCTTGATGCAAACTGAGGCCTCTGGCACCCCAACTCTTTCAAGGCAATGATAGTCTGTGCTTAACTCTACATGGCCAGGCCCCACTCAGGGAATTCCATCCACCCTACTGATGCCAGCAGGCAGCCAGGGCATCCCCTTCAGTCCTCCTCTCTTGGCCACTCTCCCACCCCTCCGCTGAGTTCTCTGCAGCACTGTGGAGCCACAGCGCCTCCAAGTGGCCAACAGTCTACAGTCTCATGGATTCATACCCTCTGACGTGATATGCTCAAATTGTCCAAATCAGAAAGAGAGATGCCCCCACTCCTGCCACCCCCACCCTCTTACACACCCCGTCCATGCTTTCCCAGAAGAGTCAATTTAGGGTTGATTTTCAAATCTACCCTTAGCCAATGGAGTCAAAGGACACATGAACCAACATTTTGATTACAAAATAAACAATTGTTACATAATTGCAAATAATATGTTAAGATGGTAGAGACCAGCCAGAATTATAAAGGCCATACAATTAAACAGTGTGATGCTATCAAGGAAACCCAGCCTGGAAACCCTATATTCCACAGCTAATCCCAGTTAATTACACCCATATGTTTTCATATTTTGTATTTAGGTTCATTATTACTAAATTTTAGACAGTGCATTTCACAAAAGGATTTCTAGATTTTAAAAATTTACTTCTAAATTATAAAAATTTTGAAATGAATAATACTGCCAGCTGTAATTCAAACAGATTCAGCTGGTTCTCACATTTGCTATCATTACACAGAAGTGACTTTGATCTCTAACCAGGAAATAGTTAGTGGTTAATAATATCCCTCACATGAATAAAAGTAATAATATTCCAGAACTCTATATAAGCAGGAATTAACATAGATTTCACAACATCAAATAATATTCATTATATATTTAATTAATACTTGGCTTTTCCTATGAAAATAATAAAGATGGTGGTATAGTACAATGCTGGGGAATGTCATGGTAAGAAGCAAAGAGGAAGCAGGTGTGAGCCCATCCTTGACCGATAAGCAGGGTCTGGCTGTTTCTTGGGAGACAGAAGGTCCTTCCAGGCCATGGAAATACTGAGCACAAATGCAGAGAATGTAAAGGCTGCAGAGTTTTAGGAAATATTCAAAGAGGTGTTTGATCACAGAAGGTAATGGATCTGGGCGGTAAGTGTCAGAAAGAGATACAAGGGAAGCAGAATGTATCTTTGGGGAAATGGGAGAGCCTTTATCTGTTTACCATCAGCAGTGAAATGAATTCCTCTGTTTTGAGAATTGAGATATAAGTCCAGAAGGAAGACATTGGAACCAGCTCCAGGGCCCTCCCACAGGGCAACTGGCTACGTGGTGATGACCATCATAGAGTGGCCTCGGGGTGATGCCAGTTGCTACAAGGCCTTGCTGCGTATTTTCTAGCAATTGAAAACTTTGACAGGTTATGTTGCAGAGAACACAATTTTTTATCATCTGGTAGCTCTACTTCTATTTATTTAATAATCTTTAATCATGTTCTCTCTCCTCAAGTTTCTCCAAACCAAATCTCAATTTCTTCTCCCTTAATTATATAAAGCAAACCCTTGAGATTTTACCTTCTATACTACACATCTGTCGAACAATCCTGACACCAAAATGAATTTCTTTTTCTAAAAAGGAGAGTGCCAGCTACTCTATCACTATAGTGTACAGCATCCGACAAAGAAAGTAATTTTGCCGTGAACCTCCTGAAGCAGCACCATCCTCTGAGCATATCCTCCTGGCCTTGTTTCCGCCAGCCTTGTTCAGAGTCCTGAAATTGTTTATCTTTCCCCCTGAAGGCCCCAGGTACTCACAGCTGTCTGGTCTGAGACTGCTGTACACGGAAGCAGAGAGATTAGTGCACAGAGTTCCAGTGACTCTGCAGGGCTGTGCCAAGCTTCTGGCACAGAGATACAGGGCCGAGTCCCCCAGCTCCAAGGCACTCACATTCATCTCAGAGCAATAGTCATGGAACTGGCGCCCTGAGAATCGATTAGGGAAGTTTCCTTCTGATCTCCTTAACTCATTAGCATATTCAAAGATAAACTGGGGCCCCTGACCCGGGGCCTGTTGGTACCAGGACACACTGCTGTGCCCAGAGATAGGAGAGCATCTCAGAGTCACTTGCTGTCCTCTCGTTTTGATCAGGTGTGTGGGACTTTGGGTGACTCCAGCCTCCACTGGGCCTGTGGGAAAAGCAGATGGAGGATGAGCACAGCAGACAGCCTGGAGGTCCTCCCCAGTGTAAAGTGGAGGACACAGGGGTGGGAAATCTGAGAATGGGGCTGCTGTTCTGTGCACAGGACTCATCTGCTCCCAGGAGATAAAGCAGTTCCCAGCAGAGGAGCCCAGGGCCCATGGCACAGTGGGGCAGGCAGCACTGCATCTGATTCAGGGCTTGGTCCTCCTGGGGAAGGGCCAAGTGAGTTCTGGGCCTTGATTTTCCTGATGGGTGGGGTATCCTGTGATGTCACTGTCCTGTGTCCTCCCTATAAATGCTTCCTGAGGTCCAGTACTCCCCACAACCTGAACTCCCTCCCTGTCCAGCAGAAGGGTTGGGTGAGGGCAGAAGCTTCTGTGATGAGACAGTTGCTCCTCTGCCTACACTGCTCCAGCTCCCAGGCTGCCCCATCACCCTCTCACCCTCCTCCCACCTAGTGCTGTCGTGCTCCATGCTGGAGCTCACACACCTGCCCATCAGCAGAGGGTGAGGAGCCTGTGATTAAACCTTCTTGTTCCAGCTCTCCCTGGCTGTCCTAATGTCATCTCTCTGACGCTAGATTCAACCAAATTTTCTAATTCTATTTTTTTGTCCTCAGAAAATATTTCCAGCCCCTCCCTTGAGTGGCCAGTGGTGCAAAGTCCCCAAGATTTAGTCTATCTGATCAGATCCAAAGCAGACCTTGGTTGTCTGTAAATTATTAAGAGTACAGATTCCCCAGAAATAATACTAGGGCTTTATCAGCTCACAGCACAGACCTAGCCAGACAGTTTGGGATTCAGCACCCTCAAGGCCATCTTATGCGTAGTGATCTGGATAATTTACGTTAATTTCTCCAGATCCACCCTGCCTTCAGAGGCTGACCTCAGTGTATTATGTTAACTGGCTCTCTTCTTCTCTAACTCCAGAGTGAGTTTGGCTAATGGGAGACAATGGCAGGAGAGTAGAGGGAGGTAGGGGCACCACTTGTTCTGATTCATCTATGCCCTGGCTATCCTCTTGCTTCATTATTTTATATAGGTTACTTTTCCCTACCAAAGTCCACAGCACCTTATAGGCAGCCTTGCCTTAGAGCTACAGTACCTGATGCTTTGGGATCCACATCCTCTCCTACTTATTTCAGGCCAATGTGAATAAGAGCCACAGATTCTGCTGTTCTTAGGCTACTTCTACTTCTCTTACTGGGTTCCCTTAACCCTGCCACACCTTTGCAAATACTCCTTTTGTCCCTCCTTGATATCTCCAGGACCACGACTAATAGACACAGCAATGGAAAGGTGAGTCCAGGTATTTTATTTTGCCTTAAGAGTCAACACAATTTCTAACATTCTGCCATTAGAAGTAATACAATTTCTAATATCCTGCAATGAGCATTGCTAAAAGAGTCAGGAGAACCATGAGAAATATGCATATGAAAATAAACCATGTGACAGGGGACATAGAATCCAAAGAGATTCCAGCAGAGAATCAAAGTGCACGCTCACCTACTCTGACCTCTCCCCATAAAAGATGAGAGTCATATACAAATAGATGCTTGTATTCTGTACAGTCCTATTTAGAAATGCACCACATAAAATAAGAATAAGACAGGAACACACTCATGACCACAAAAAATACAGAGAATGTGAGACGTGCTTCTTGCTGAGATACACAACAATCAAATTTAGTATCAAAGTGAGCTGGACTGATAAGAGGCTAAGACACAACTGAGGATCGATGGCTGAAAGAAAGCTATAGACAAAGAAAAAAATGCTCACTCGCTGTTGAAGTTATACCAAGAACCATGAACTGTCATCAGTCTCATATATTAGCCTTTCATTTTGACTTTCAGCAGATTGGCCAATTGGTGAATTCATTTTTTTGCCAAGCAAGCAACCAGCTCCCTTTTGCACCGGGATATGCGCTTCTCCCTTTAGGTGCTAAAGAGGACTACAGGCTACAGGAAAATAAAATGTGTGTTCTATATTATTTTATAATATTTTACAAGAAAAACAAGTTAAGGAACTCATGGATTCTAATCCAAGCCACAGTGATGGTAAGAATTAAGTTCCTTCCTTCATCTATCCTCAGAGGACCTCAAACAGGTACTCAGTAAGAGTCTTACAATCTCTTTGATAATTCTACTAGCTGATTATCTTCAGGTCTAATGGCAGAGTTTGTTGTATTTATTAACATTCTCCCTAACTGGATTGTTCTCTTGTGTGTTTATAACTTTATAACAAAAAAAATGGATTTTCTTGTCCTCCACAGAACACATGCTTGGTATCTAAAGGAACCAAAGCCAAGGTGATGTTATGTATGCTACCTGAGAATCCCAGATCACTCAAGCAGGCTAAAGCTTCCCAGCTGCTTTCTGCTTTTTTCTTCTCTCCTGAAAAGAAAGTGAAATATGAATTTCTTGTTAGAAGCTACCATTCCTTTGCACAATTACCAGAATATTCCAAATTGAGCAAAATAACATTACGTTGTTTGCATTTACACATCCGCACTACAGTGACAGACCCAGCTCACTCTAAGTTTTATGCTGCAGGAGCACACATAGAATGAGATCCCATTGCTGGGAAGTCTGGGAAGAGCTTCAGAAAGGGCAGCTTTTTCTTCTGGTTGAGACACGGGCTTCCATAAGGAGTGCCCACCTCCAGCCTGTGACTGCCCTTTTTGTGCAGAGGGCAGCTGGCTGTGCAGGGCTGCGGATGTGCTGCCACAGTGGTACAGATAGGTCTGGCTGGTGCTGGTGGATGCCAGGATTGGGGAAATGCTCAAGCTTGTTTCAAGAGACACAGTACCCCTCTGTGACATCAACTTTGGTCCTGCTGTGACCACTGCCTGAATAGTGGATAAGCTTCAGCCCCCGTCTTGGGTCTTGTCGATATCAGAACACTGTTCCTAACCTGAGCACATTCCAGGATCATCTCTTTCTTCTGTACAATGTGATATCTTGGCATCTGGGTGATCCCAGCATCAATAGAGCCTGCTGGAGAGGCAGACAGAAAGTGAAGACAAGACTTAAGAAATAGGGGGACTCTGCAGAAGAAAGGACAAAAAAGGCTTGTAGCCCAGACATTGCAAACCCATGACAGGGTTTTGCAGCTGTTTCCAGAACTTATCTGCTCCCAGGAGACAAAGGGTCACACAGAAGAGTTTGGGGTTCATGGTAGGGTCAGAGTGAGGAGGGGCTGGCCCAACTAAGTGCAGTGATCCTCAGGACTGTGAGCTGGGGCTCGGAGGCTGCTCCCTAGGGAATAGTCTGGTGGGCCTGTGGTGTCACCCCCCATGCCTACGGAGTCCAGCTGGTCCAGGGCCTTCTGACTGGTCTCAGGCAGGATCCACCTCCTCTCATGAAGGCTGTTGCCCGGCGAGGTCTGCAGGGAAGATGGGGTGCAGCAGAGACATACTGAGCTTAGGGCACAGCCCGCCCCTAGCTTTCCCACGTTCCTTTGAGGCAGTTGCTCCTCTGCTTGCACCTGCGCTTGACACCAAGGCTGCCAGGCCAAAATTCTTCAACTGTGGATCTCATTAAAGATTAGAGGTATTTCCTGCATCTTGCATAGCTGTAGGTAGCCTAGCAATGACTGAAAACTGCTGCAACATCTGCATAATATTGGATTCCAGCCCTAATTTTTCTTAACCCTTCCCTTCCTAGGCTGCTCTCCCAGGCTCTCCCCAGAGTCCCTTAGATCCCAGTGGACCACAGTGCCATCTTGTGGCCAATACGTGAAGTTTCATCATTGCTTTTGCAATGGCCCAAGGGATGCTGGGAAGTGTCTGCAGAGTGAGTGAGAGACTATTCTAGAAGTGTCATCCTGCAGGTTTTATGAGCAACTTCCCTAAACCCTGATTCCAACACTAGTTCTAACCCTGACTATTGCTTTACTCAAAGCTTAATATCCCACCCTCATTCTAAATAACTCTTATCACATAGCTGCAGTTAGAGTCTAATTAATATTTTCTCCCTTAAAACTATCATATAAAGGGAGTGGGATAGAATGGGAGGAATGGAAGAAAATTGGATTTACTCTTAAGTAGGCAGAACATACAGGAATTGAAGTGCATAGTTATTTCATTTCATTACCAAAGATGAAATACATGTCCCCCAAAATAACAATCAATGTTACCATAAACATAAAGATTAGCAAAAGATTAGGATGATAATGAGATTGCCTTCAAGATGGCATCAAATACGTATTAATAAAAAGTAAAATTTGAATGTAAAAAGTAGGATCTTTTGTAGGCAACAAGTAATCTTGAAGGGAGCAGTATCCAATGTGGAAAATAAGGATGGATAATGAAGACCAGCAACGAGCCTTCCACAGAAAATGATTAACATATACAACGCACATCTGCTGATCTGAGCAGCGGACATGCAAGCAATGATTCTGGAAGAGGCAGTGGAGTGGTGTGAGATGAGGATCCCCTGGTGCAAAATAGTATCATAAGGAAGCAAGGAGAGAGAGGAGGAGGTTTATGAGCAGGAAGGAGGCGATTGTGTCATGCTGTGGTTAAGCTGCTGGCACGGAGATACGCGGCTGAGTCCCCCTGCTCTGTGCGCTGGATCTTCAGAGTAGAGACGGATCCCTCAGGCCTGACTGCAAAGAACCGATCTTTGGGCAGCCCTGAGTCATCTGCCGCACCCGTGCCTTGGAAGTAAATTAGAAACTCTGGGCCCTGCCCCAGGCTTTGTCGGTACCAGTAAAGGGCAGTATGACCTGAAATTGGATCACACCTGAGCTCTACATCTTTTCCCTTCTCTGTGACCTTGTTACTGGGGGTCTGGGAGACTCCAGCACCTGTGTGATCTGCGGAGACACAAGTTGAGAACAGGATGAGGAAAACAGTTGTACTCATCACACACACACACACACACACACATACAGACACACAGAATGAGACTGGTTGGTGTCTGAGGACTCACCTGCCCCCAGGAGGCACAGGGCTGCCCAGCAGAGGAGCCTGGTGCCCATGACAGAGTCAGGGCAGGATGGGAGCTTTACCAGATCAGGGTCACTGTGAGCAGGAGCAGAGGAGGAGGGACGTCCTTGTCCTGACACAGAACAGTACCCACAGTGACATCACTTCCTCTCTCAATCCCCACAACCTCAGGAACACAGGATTTATATTAGAACACACTTGGATGACTGCTTTAGATATTTATTAGCTCCCTTTAAACAACATCAATGCATCGGTCTTCACTTTGTGCTCTAGAGCTGTCTGGAGCTACAGGCCTCATGCTGCATTTCTGAGTTTATCTCCTCACCACACAGGCGCTCCTCTGTCTGCTGGGCATGTTCTCTAGGATGTGCCAACAGCGCCCCCAACACAAGGCACCAAGGGATGAGCTCATTGTCTTTCCTGCAAGTCAGGGTCCCCTATGCCATCCCCATTGATGCCCCAGCCTCCTCCATCCCCCAGTCACACGTGCCCAACGGGGCTGTCCCAACACATGGGTTCCCTCACAAGCTGCACCTCATGCCTTTCTTCTGGGACCACTTCCCACCTTTGTTGACTATAATTCAGAAAAGATACCTTATTGGAAAACTCATAGTCTTTTTTTTTAATTTTTCCACTTGTAAATATATTTTCCTCCATCTCAGTGTTTAATGAATGGGGATTATAATTCCTACTAAATGGTTATTTCTGATCCTCTTTCTTTCATTGATTTTTTCAGTCTATTCCACTAGGAGAGATTTATCTTTTCTTTTTGACAGCTTTTAGAATCATCTATTTGTCACTTATGTTCCACAATCTCATTATAATATAAACATTTATCTTATTTCATATTCATTTGAATTCTTGAAATTGAGAATTTAGGTCCTGAACCACCTCTGGAAAATTCTCAGCTAATGTCTCATCACAATCACTTATTCCCTCTACTTTCTTTTCCTGAAACTTCAATTATCTATAAGAAAAATGGGAAATATATATATTTATATATTGTATATAATATATTCTATAGAATATATTTATATATTCTATATTATATAATATATATTCTATATTATATAATATATATTATATATTATATATTATTATATTATATATTTTTATATAATAAATATATAATTAAATATATAAATATAAATAACTTTATATAAATAAATATATATAATTAAAAATTATATATTCTACTATGCTGGAAACCACCCTTAAGCTCTTTCTAAAGTTACATATTTAATTTTCGGTGCTGCATTCTATGTAACTTCTTCAGCTCTGTCCTTGACATCACTAATAATCTCTTAGAAGCATTTCATCTTTCTTCATTTCCATTTTGTTTTCAGTGATAATCTTAATCATTTCTGTATTGAATTTGATTTTTTTTTAATGTTATCTTGATGGTTTCTGTCAGTCTTTTTTTCTTGTTCACATTTCAATTTCCTTTAAATATAGTTCTACAAACTTTCATACCTTTTAATGGTAAAAATTTCTTGTCTTCAAACACTTCAATTGCTTATTGTTTCTGCTCACTTCTCTTCATTGGTTCTTGTTTTAATAGTCTTAATAGTGGAAGCATATTTATCTGACATTAGTCTGTGGTGTTCAAGAGAGGCCTGCATTGAGAGTGAAGAACTTCAAGACTCCATGGTTTTTCCAACTGTCTCCAGTCTTACCACCAAATTCATGGGGCCAAGAATTGTCTGTTGCACTCTGGGTTCCTGAACATGCTCATGGTTTAGGTTCCTGGGGAACATGCTCTCAGGACAGCCACAATTTACCCTCTAGAACACAATTCTGATTTTCTCTTACTTTTATATGATGCCTTCTCCACAAATTAGCAACTATAAGGCCATTCCCATCCTGTTCTTCCAAGGGAAAATAATATAAATATATTTTAAAAATCCTAAATCTACAAATGTGCCCTCTTCAGGGGTTTTTTTGATCCTAACCCAAAACTTTAAGAAATAGCTTAGATATTATAATTATATACAGAGAGTTTACCCTCATTCAGCTTGAAGAACACATCATATTTTAAATTGGAAATTCCCAGACTGACAAACTGGCTTGCACCATGCATGGTCCTATGCTTGTTCAACAAGTGAGTGCTCCTTGATGAGCTCATAACAGAGCATCTCAGGCAAAGTTAACTCTAGACCTCTGCCAGGGTACAATGAATCTAGTGTGTTCCTGTTACTGGTTCATTCACCCACTCATCACTCACTCACCTGTCACTCACCCATCCATTCTCTGTGAAATGAATGAGGACTCCCTGCCTGCCAGGCACTGCTGGTGGTAAATGTAACAAGCTCAGCCTTCAGCTTCATGAGTTTAAAATTAAGTGGAGCACAAAAGGAATAAAACAAGTGTTGGAAAAATTGCAATGGTGCTGAACTTTACTAAGAGGCACATGATTCTGTGAGCTTATGAGAGGGAAACTGAAATTTGACCTCAGCTGAGAGTTGAGGGAGTGCTTCCAGCAGGAGAGGCTGATCATGCTGAGATCAGAAGTGCAGGTAGAAGCTGACCACTGCAGAAAGGAAGGCACTAGCCCAGGGTGGAGGAAATGGCCTTTGAGGTCTCTGTGTTGGAAAGGAAGGAGGCACAGAAGAGGCAGCCTCATGGCTGCAGTAGAAAGGCGAGGGGAGGTGGTGTGCAGAGGCCCAGCAAGGCCTTCGGGGGTGACTGCTCAGATGGGAAAGGCGGGCCACAGGTGAGACCACATGAGAGTGGGTACTGGAGGAAACCCTGGAGAGAGGAAGCAACGTGGCCCCCAGAGAGAAACAGGAGTCTAGACAGATTTGAAATACAAATCCTGTTCCATCCTGTGGACCTCGGACTCAGGATGATGAGTAGAAAAGTAAGAGCTGGGAAAGCCCTGGTCCCATCCCAAAAAGATAGCTTGGAAGAAAGACCAGAGAGAAACAAAAGAGACCTCTGAGGCTCTGGGACCAGTCCAGGCCTGGCTGGGACTGCCTGCAGAGGCACCTGGCACAGACTGAGGCTCACACTGCCCGGCACCCATTGGGCTTCCAAGATTCCCAGTGCTGAGAACTCTGCCAAGGACATGGTTGAGTCTGGGGTCGGGGAGGAGGGCAGAGCCTCCCCTGCATTTATGTACAGAGAGGAGATGGCTGTGCAGCACTGTGGAGTCACTGCTGGCACAGAAGTACACAGATGTCTGAGAGGGTACAGCAGACGCCAACGTGAGGGGGAAATCATCTGTGTTTGCTCTGGAGACACTATAACCATCAGGGACTTCTCCTTTGCCAGTGGTACCTGCAGTATTTGAATAATGGATGAGCCTTAGCCCCAGTCCTAGATCTTGTCTATACCAGTACATGGCATTATGTCTCATATCCTGGGTACATCTCAGTGTCATGCTCCGTCCTGCTGCCAGGATCTGAGATGTTGGTGCCTGGGTGATCCCAGCAGTCACTGGACCTACAGAGAAGGAGAACAAAGCCAATGCTGCAGCCTCAATGGGAAGGCTCTGGGTCTTGAAATCTACACATGGGCCCTGCCCAGGACTTACCTGCCCACAGGAGAGAAAAGGCCACACAGCACAGGAGCCTGATGCTCATGGCAGATGCTACAAGACAGAGAGGTCTTCTGGGTCTGTGTGTTGATGAAAGGGGAACAGGGCTGTCAAGGAAGTCATCCTGAGACCTCATTCTCTCTGCCTGGTCCCCAGAACCTTCTTGTCGAGAGAGGCCATGGCCCTTCCCCAGAGGGTCAAATCCAAAATAAATGCACCACTGAAGTTTGGATGGGAAGAATGCTTCTTGATATAAGGCTTTCAAGTTTTTCTTGACTTTTGTGCAAACAGTTTGTAATTCAATATAAATTTTATTCCTGCAATGATATAATTCCTCATTAATATTCTGGTGTTAGTTATCTATGTATTGCTGTAGTCTAGAATCTTAGGAAAAATCCTCTTGTCTCCCTGGTGTTTTTGATTCCTGTGTCCCAAATACTCCTTCAAGTATCCTTTTCCAATTTGCTTAATTGACCATAATCCTGTTAAAGTCCTGTGTCTATATTGGTTTTCTCTGTTATCAGGTTTCCAAATCCCAGGGGCAGGCTCATCAACATTGCAGGAGACGTTTTGCTCTGTTTCTTGTCAATTCACTGACAGATGGGACTCCTGACAAGTCCAGCTGAGCACCTTCAGCTCCATCCAGGAGTCTTGCTTTCTGTTCCTGGGGTGAGACCACAGCAGGCAGAACCACCTCATGCTGCTGACTGCCCTCTCTGTGTGGACAATGGTGGCCACCCAGCGCTGCTGAAGACTTGTGAGCACAAAGGTGTCCTGATGAGTGAGGGACTTGGCGAGAGGGAGCAGACTTCAAGATAAGGAAAAATGCTCTCGTTTTATTTGAGGTGTCATGTCTCATAGGGAATATCCCTTCGTTCAGGATTCCTGCCATTAATTTAGTAATAAATGAAAAGGAGCTCAAAAACTGTATCTTCGGTGTACAGAGCCCTGCATTCAGAAGGATCCCACGCTTGCTTTATCACTCTGCTGTCATGATTTTTAAATTCTTAATAGTGTTTGAACAAAGGATCTGCCAGTAAGTCCTGTCGCTGGTTGTAAATACATGATTTTGTTTCATATTCTGCTCACCTCCCCCTGTGCTGGTTTCCTTTCAGCACAATGCATCACCAAGGTCTGGTCATTCAGCGTCTATGGGGCTTCACTTAGCAGTGAAGAACACAGAAATTAAAGTCACAGCTAAGGGCCACCTGGTGCTGAAAGTCACAGCTGGGATCCAACAAGCCCATTAGTGGGTTTCATGTGCGTGCCCAGGACTCCTGTGGTTCAAGAGACAGGAACACACAGCTCAGCATCCTAGTGCCCAGGACAGGGCCAGAACAGGAAGATGAATTCTAGCTGAAGGCTCAGGATTTATGAGTTAAACACTTGGGGTTAAGGCAAAAAGAATGCTTCTCCCAATGTAACATCATCTTTCAATGAAGTCTCTGTTACCATGGTTTGCTTGACGCCAGCGTTCTCAGTGTGTGAACACAAAACCAGCTGCATGTGTGTCCTATGGGAACTCAAAATAATTTCCTTGGAGATAATTAACTGTTATCAGGATATCATTACTAAACAATTTGAGTTAATGAATGGAGAAGAAAAGAAATGAATGAAAATGAATAAATAAATGTTGTCGAATCAGCTTCTACCAGCTGAAAAGACCTTTTGAGGTTATTTCGGCACAACATCCATCTCCAGATAGAATCGTTCCTACCATGGATCAAGGTAGCTCTCATGGTTTCAATCCCTTCTAAAACCATAAAACCTCCCAGAAACTCTTCCTTGCCTTGATTATTTAGCTATGTATTCAAGAGGATTAATCAGTATGGGTTTTAAATTGACATTAAAAATATTTGTGAACAAAACTACTCTCCAGTGATAGAAGTTACATCATTGGTTTTCTGGGACCAAGATAGGCATTGCAGAGGTGTTCGAGGGAACTTTCTGGAGATATTCTACATTTTAATAGGGGTGGGGATATTTTACATTTTAAGAGGGGTGGGGATTATAAGGGCATATACATATATATTGCTCAAAAATCACTGATCTGTTCATTTAAAATGTATAATGTTTACATTGTATAATTTATATGTCAACAACATTGATTTTTAAATGCCTCAAGAGGGATCCATACTGCATTCTTTAGTTAATTAGTTAATTTCATCAAATAAATCATCAGAGGAAATGTATATTTCCATTTCTGTGACTTCTGAATCCTCAACCTAAGATTTCTAGGTATCATATGTCCGTATCTGCCTTTGCACATTGGCATGGTGAAAGAGGCTATCTGAGATTATCAAAGGAAATGAAAATATTATGTTGGTACAAAAGTATTGCAGTTCTTACCATTAAAAGTAACTAAAAGTAACGGCAAAAACCTCAATTAGTTTTGCACCAACCTAATATCTAGATTTCTGCTACATGCTAGATACTTTATGCTATTTAATTTTGTACACAGCCCTGCAGATGGACAGTAGCAGTCTCATTTCATAGATTAAAACAAACAAACAACAACAACAACAAAAACAAAAAAACAGAAAACAAACTAAGCCAAATCTGTCAAGAACTGGCCTCACGTCTTGAGGAGCTGGTGCTAGAATGGGAGTCAGGCTTGATGTCATGGTACCCATTCATAGTTGTTTCCCACCCCCCCGCCCAGGGTAAACTGATTTCTGTCTATGATGTTATTAGAGCCAGCAGGTCTGAAAGGGACCTAGGAGATAACATTTGAATTTTTGTGAAGATAAGCATCATTTGTTATGAAATAGATTATAGTATATAGCTATAAAATACAGGGCTTTGATAGACCAGGGTTAGAACCCCAGTACTGCATCCTAATTCCTACTTAATTTGGTCAAGTAATTTAAACTATGGGCCAATTCCTCTACCTGTAAAATGAGAATAGCTTTTGCACGTTAAGATGTTTTCGTATAGTTGAATTTCTAATTAATTGAAATTTTCCTAATGAAGGCTTTCTATTTTGTGCATCATAAAATGATAATGAATGATTAGATTAATATTTTCTCTAAGTCTTCTCCATGAAGCAGAATTGAACTGTGAATGTGCATCAGTGTACTCAGTGCTTGCAGTTCTGCAAATGACTGCCAGTCATGTGACAGACTGTTTCATAGAAACAGTCAGATATGACACATTTTATACTTCAGACCTTAAACATGTTAGATGCATACAAAGAAGTATTTTAAACATTTAAAAAGAGGAAAATCCAGCCATATATGACAATGTGGATAAACCCACAGGACATTACACTAAGTGAATAAGCCAGGCACAGAAAGGCAAATACCACATGATTCTGCTTATATGATGGAACGTAAATAATTGAAGTAACGGAAGCAAAGGTGAAGGTAATTTCCAAGGGCTGGGGATTGGAGTAAATGGAGAGTTGCTGTCAATGGTATACAATTTCAGTTAAGGAGGATGAATAAGATCTAGAGATTGCCGTACAACCTTTTGCCCGTAGATTACAATACCGTATTGTACATACAAAAATCTGTTAAAAAGATATATTTCATATTACATATTCCTACCACAGTTAAATTAAATGGCTGTCTAAAATGGGACTAGTTAGCCAAAGAAAGAGAAAAAAGTAAATTTGTATAATTTAGAAATCAGTAAACTATTTTTAATAAAGAAAACAATTTAAAAAATAAATGCAAACCTTAACACTCTAAAAAGCAAGAAACATTTTTTCCACTTAATATTTTTTCTTTTCAATTTTATGTCACAGAATACCTTATACAAAGAAGGATCCTCAAAAAGTTTATTGAGTAAAAGAATAAGATTAATTAATGAATGAATAGCAACTATTTATGCTCATTTTCCTCAAGGTATATTACATCAGTTACAGAAAGTCCACAGTGCAGAAAATTTTATTTCTTTTTCTTTCCTACAGTGAAGGATGAATGTAGATGCTTGACCTGGAAGTTCCTTGGGCTTGTCGGGGAAGAGGTTTTAATGACCACATATGAGACATGATCTTTCCCTCCTGCTAACGGGGATCTGAAATGAGGAAGCCAGAGGAGAGGACACATGTACAGAGCAGGGCGGCGTGCAGAGGTGTTGGAGGAACTGACTATAGCCGGTTACTAAACATGAGAACAGGGACAGCTGCTTCCCCCATATGTATAAACAGGTAAAATCATATTTACCCTACCTGATATCAGTGGGCATTAAAGCAGATCACATGTAGAAGCAGCAGGGAGTGCCTGGGAAAGGCCTGTCAGCTCTGCAGGGCCTGAACCCCTCTGTCTGGCAGCACCCACCTCATGGTCATTTCCTGAGTGGGGCAGGAATGTTTCAGGCATTTCCTTGGGAAACCGGCCTTTCCCAGTAACTCTCCCTGCAGGCCACCCCTGCCTGCTCTACCCATTGTCAGACCCCAGGCTCTGCTGCTTCCTGCACCATTCCTGTCCTACACAACCCTGAAATTAAAAGTGGGGCAGGTGGAACACAGTCTCCACATGCCCATATCCCACCTTATTTTTCTCTGACAACCCCTGTCACTTTCTTGGCACTGACTCCCAGCCCTTGCTGCCCCAGCCTCTTCACCCTCCACTGCCCATGCAGAGGCAAAGACATTCTCTCCTTGATGCAAACTGAGGTCCCTGGTGTGCCTACCTTGCCCTGGGCAGTCCCAGGACCTACTCTGAATTCCAACCGCCTCCTGATGCCAGCACGCAGCCAAGCATTCCCTTCAGCCGTCCTCTCCTGGGTCACCCTCCACCCCTCCCCAGGGTTCCCCACAGCTTTGTGGAGCCACAGCACCTCCAAGTGGCCAAAGTTCCAGTCTCATGGATTCACACCTTCTGACCTGATGAGCTCAGCATTGTCTAAGTCAGGAGCAGAGATGCCCCTACACCAACCCCTGCAACCCACACCCTCTCACACACACACTCTCTATTGCTTTCCCAGAAGGGTTGACTTAGGGTGGAACTTCAAATTCACCCTTGGCCAGTGAAAACAAAAGGGCACATCTTGATTGCACAATAAACTGCTGCTACATCATTGCAATGAGTATCCTAAGATGGAAGAGAGGAGCCAGAATTATACAGGCCACAGGGTGAAACAGTGTGAGGATATCAAGCAGATCCAGACTGGAAACACGACATTCCAGAGCTCCCTTTGAATAATCAGAGCCACACCTTTTCACACTTTGTATTTAGACTTTTTTTTTTTTTTTTTTTTTTTTTTGAGACGCTGTTTTGCTCTGTCACCCAGGCTGGAGTGCAGTGGCGCAATCTCAGCTCACTGCAACCTCCACCTCCTGGGTTCAAGCCATTCTCCTGCCTCAGCCTCCTGAGCAGCTGGGACTACAGGTGCCTGTCACCATGCCCAGCTAATTTTTGTATTTTTAGTAGAGACGGAGTTTCACCATGTTGGCCAGGATGGTCTCGATCTCTCGATCTCGTGATCCACCCGCCTCGGCCTCCCAAAGTGCTGGGATTACAGGTGTAAACCACCGCGTCTGGCCTATATTTAGATTTATTATTCCCAGATTTTAGATAGCACATTCTATAAAGAGGATTTTTCAATTTTACAAATTTATTTCTGAATTTTAAAAAATCTTGAAATAAACGACCCTATGAGCTGTATATAACTTAGGCAGATTCAATTGGGTCTGATATTTCCTTTCTTTACCCAGAAGTACCTAGGAGCTCTGCCAATGACCCAACACCTCTTAGTAATGCCACCCTGAGAAACTATTTCCATGCGGCTGAGTCTCCACAGAAAACACACACAAACACACACACAAACACACACACACACACACACACACACACACACACACACAATATCTTGGGTTTTTTTTTTTTTATTTTACTTTAAGTTCTGGGATACATGTGCAGAACGTGCAGGTTTGTTACATAAGTATACATGTGCCTCGGTGGTTTGCTGTACCCATCAACCTGTCATCTAGGCTTTAAGCCCCGCGTGCATTAGGGATTTGTCCTAATGCTCTCCCTCCCCTTCCCCCAACCCCCCGACAGGCCCCGGTGTGTGATGTTCCCCTCCCTATGTCCATGTGTTCTCATTGTTCAACTCCCACTTATGAATGAGAACATGTGGTGTTTGGTTTTCTGTTCCTGCACACACAATATCTTTTACTCAGAAAGGATGATAAGATTCCATTACTGAGCTTAACTAATTTTTATTTCAGTTTTTTAGGTTGATTTCTGAGAAGCATCTTTGATGATGTTCCAGTCTCATCAAATCTCTAAAAATGTGGCTGTGGAAAGTGTGGTTATGCTGAATAATTTGTTTTTTCAGGATCATGAGACTGGATGAATATTACTACAACACAATTTTATTTGCTCCAAAAGAGTATTTGCAAATTCCAGCCTTAGAGTTAGGATACTTTATAGCATTGGTTATCAATTCTGACTATGAAGACACAATTGCTTAGAATATTGCAGAAATTATATGAAAAACTGACACTGTCTCTAAGAATCTTCATTACATTTTAAGAAAGAGGAGTCCCATTGAAGGGAAGATGGTGATTAATGATATTCCAGGATTCTATATAAGTATGCATTAACTTTTTCATTTTACAAACTTCAGATACTATTAATTATAAACTTGGCTTTTCTTATGAAAATAAAGAAAAGAAAGTGATACAGTCCAGGGCTGGGCGCAGTGACTCATGCCTGTAATCCCAGCACTTGGGAGGCTGAGGCGTGGGGATCACTTGAGGTCAGGAGCTTGAGACTAGCTTGGCCATCATGGTGAAACCGTGTCTCTACTAATAATACAAAACAAATTAGCCATGCATGATGGCATGTGCCTGTAATTCCAGCTACTCTCAAGGCTGAGGCATGAGAATAGCTTGAACCGGGGGGATGGAGGTTGCAGTGAGCCAAGATCATGCCACTGCACTCCAGCCCAGGCAACAGAGTGAGACTCTTGTCTTAAAAAAGTAAATAAATAAATTGATACAGTCCAGTTCCAGGGAATGTCAGGGTAAGAAGCAAAGAGTAAGGCAGATGTGAGACCATCCTTGACAGATGAGCAGGGGCTAGATGTGTCTGGAGAGAACAAAAGTTTCCAGGCCAAGGAAATAGCAGAAATGCAGATGATACCAACGCTGATGAGTTTTAGAAAATGTTCAAAGAACTGTTTAATTACAGAAGGTAATTGAATCTGGGCACTGAGTCTCAGAGAGGAATCCCAGGGATGCAGAATTTTATCTTGGGAGAAAACGGACAGCATTTGCCCCTTTAGGACCAAGACTGACCTGACCTCCTTTGTGTTTTGGGAAGTATTTGACTGTGCCTCGAGCAGGCAAGACTAGATCCAGAAGTCGAGAAAGAAGATGTCAGAACCAACCCCAAGGCCCTCACATCAGGCAGGCTGCTATTTGTGATATCCCCAACTAGGACCAGTCCCCAGGTGATGTCAGTTGCTATAAGACCTTTCTTTGTATTTTCTGGATATCAAAAACTGTGGGAGGAGAAGGGAGCTCATGGTGCACAGATCACCATGTTTCATTACCTTCTGCTCTATCTCTATTTTCAACTATCTTTGATCATTTTCTCTTTCATAGAATTTCCCCAAATCTCACTTTCTTCTCCCTGAATTATATAAAGCAAACCCTATGATTTTCCCTTCCACACTATTATCAAGAATCTTGACCCTGAAATTAAATCTGCTGCCCTGTAAAGAGGGCACCAGCTATTAAATTACAAACACTTCCACTATCCCTATAGTGTACAGCGTTTGGCGAAGAAGGTAGTTTTCACCACCTCCTGAGCAGACCCTCTTGGCCTTGTTATCCCCACTCCTAACTGGCAGAAAACCCCAGGTTTTAGGATCCAGCTTCCTGAAACTGCTTTTCTTTCCCACTACAGTCCTCAAGTTCTCACAGATATGTTAGGGCTGAAGTTCTCCACACTGGGGCAGGGATGTTTGTACACAGAATGTTCTTGGCTCTGCAGGCCTGCATCAAGTTGCTGGCACAGAGATACAGGGCTGAGTCCCCTAGCTCCGTGTTTGACTCAGTAATAGTTATGGACGTGGTGAGCTGAGAATCAATTAGGCAAGTTTCCTTTTGCTCTTTGTAACCTATTACAATATTGTAACAATAACTAGAGGGGCTGACTTGGAGTTCGTAGGTACCAGGACACACAGTTATGCCCAGAGGCAGGGGAGCATCTCAGTGTCACTTGCTGGTCTCTTGTTTTGATCAGGTGTCTTGGAGCTTGGGTGATTCCAGCCTCCACTGGGCCTGAGGAAAAAATAGGTGGAGAATGAACTTGTGCCTCCCCATGGTGAAGTGGGGGACACAGGGGTGGGCAAGCTGAGAATAGGGGTGCTGTCCTGTCCACAGGATTCACCTGCTCCCAGGAAACAAAGCAGCGTCCAGCAGAGGAGTCCGGAGCCCATGGCACAGCGGAGCAGGCAGCACTGCACCTGTGCTCAGGGCTTGGTCCTCCCAGGAAGAGCTGAGTTCTGAGCCTCACTTTTCCTGATAGGAAGGATATCCTGTGATGTCACTGTCCTGTGGTCCTTCCCCTTCAGGCTTCCTTAGGTCCAGTGGTCCCTACCCATGGAACTCCCTCCTCATCCTGCAGAGCAAGGGGATGAGTAAGGGCAGAAGCTTCTGTGATGAGGCAGTTGCTTCTCTGACTGCACTGCCCTCAGCACTCAGACTGCCTCATCGCCCTCTCAGCCTCCTCCCCACCTACTGCTGCAGTGCTCCATTCTGGAACTCACAGACCTGCCCGTCAGCTGAGAGTTAGTGGCCTGTAATTAAATCTTCATGTTCCAGATCTTCCTGGCTGTCCTCTCATCATATGTCTGACACCAAATTCAAACCAAGGTTTCTCCTTATATTTTCCTTTCCTGGACAACAATCCCAGCTCCTCCCCTGTGTGCGCAGTGATGTCAAGTCCCCAAGATTTTGTCCATCTGATCAAGTCCAAAGTGGATCTGTGTTGTCTGTAAATTATTAGGAGTATAGATTCCCCATAAATAATTCTGGGGCTTTATCAGCTCACAGCACAGACCTAACCACTTGGGATTCAGCACCCACAAGGCCACCCTATGAGTCATCCTCTGGGCAGGTTATGTTTATCCCTCCAGATCCATCCTGCCTTCAGAGGTTGATGCCAATGGATTATAGTAACTGCATCTCTTTTTGTGTACTCCAGAGTGAGTTTGTCTTATGAGAGACAATGGCAGGAGAGTAGAGAGAGAGAGGGTAACCAACTGTCCCGGTTTGTGTGTCTCCTGGCTGCCTCCTTGCTGGACTATTTCATATTGATTGCTTTTCTCTACCAAAGGTCACAGCACCCTACAAACATCCTTACCCCAAATGTAAAATGTCAAAAGCCCCGAGATCCACACACTCTCCTACTTATTTTAGGCCAATGTGAATAAGAGCACTCACTATACTATCCCCATAATCCTTTCTCTTCTCTTACTGGGTTCCTTAACCTTGCCACAGTTTTGTAAATTGTCTTTTCATCCCTCCTCAATACCTCCAGGACCATGGTTAATAGACATAGCAATGGAAAAGTGAGTCTTGGAGATCTTATTTTGCTTTAACAAAATAATACAAGTTCTAACATTCTGCAATTAGAAATAATACAATTTCTCACTCTTTGCAAATAGCAGTAACAAAAATTCTATCACATGCAATTAGCATTACCAAAAGAGTTGGGAGAAGCATTAAAATATGCAGTATGAAAATAAATAGTATGACTTGAGTACATGGAATCTAAAGAGGTTCTAGTAGAGAATCATGATGCATGCTCACCTCCTCTTACCTAGAAGTCTGTGGCAGGGTGGATCTACTTCATAAACATAGTGGACACTGTGATGCTTCATTGAGAACCCATTTTCAGACCCATTGCCACATCCCTTTAGAGTTGAGCCCCACACTGGGTTCCCGTCCACAAGAACCATCTTCACTCAAGGTGACACCTTCACACAGTAGAAAAACTGTGTTAATTGCAGAGATGCAAGGTCCAGCATGTCCTAACAAGATGTGCCTTTGGCTTAAGAGGCAAGAAGAGAAGAATTAGGGACTGGAAAAAAGTCTTAAATATTTGAAACAATATTTGAGGAGGGTGAAAGACTGAGCTAGTAAAAGGACCATACTATAATCTCAAAGCAGGGATATAAAGGCAGGTAAGCTTAGTGACTATGTATTTATCATGATAACAGTTTGTGCCGGTGTGACTTACTCTGACAGCATTCAGCTTCTGCCATGCCAAAGAGATCAGTGCATTTATTCTTGTTTATTTTTGTAAATGAAAGGGAAGCCTAAGAGTATCAATATAAAATAATAACTATTTGCAAGCTAGGATTTTTAACACGTAACATCCTCATATCTGCTCTAGAATGAGTAAAGAAATTCTGTAGGGACCCTAGGAAATAGAAAGAATATTTACCAGTGGAGAGGAGATGTCAATAATATCAAAGAACAGGTATGATAGGATAAGAAGCTGTAGGCAGATAGTGGAATATTTAATTTGTGATTTTGGAGATTTAGCATTTTCAAGTGATGACAAAGAAAAAGGGATGGGGCTACTAATGAGGAGGAGTAGAGTAAGTAACAGAATGGAACAACTCATAATTCTGTTATAGGCAAGATATCCTTGAAATGCAAAGAGTAGTCACTGTAAAAGGAAAAATATATATGAATTAAACTTCAAAAAATAGAAAATTTCAGTTCATGAGAAGACTCTATTCAGAAAGTACAAAGGCAGGCCACTCTGGGAGAAGACTAACTCAATATATTTAATGGTCAAAAGGTTTATATAAAAAATACAAACATATTATACGTATTAGTAATATAAGAACAAACAACGTAAGATTTTAAAACAGGCAAATTTAAAAGCAGACACTTGAAAAAAGGAGATAGAAATTACTAATGAAAACAGAAAAAAATGTAAATATAATTACTTATAGAAAAATGCATAGAGATATCACTACAGACCCAATAGAATGATTAAGAAGAAGGTAGAACATGATGGCCAAATAGAAGCCTTCGTTAACTGTTCCTCCAAACAAGAACATCAAACTGAACAACTATCCACACAAAATAGCACCTTCATAAGAACCAAAAATCAACTAAGTGACCACAGTACCTGGTTTTAACTTCATATCACTGAAAGAGGCACTAAAGAGGTAGAAAAGACACTCTTGAATTGCCAATACCATGCCTCCCCCATCCCCTGGCAGTGGCCATATGGCTTGGAGAGACAGTCTGTGCATTTGGGTTAGGGAGAGTGCAGTGACTGTGGGACTTTGTGTTGGAAGTCGTTGCTGTCCTCACACAGTGGATAGCAACAGCAGGCAGGACTCAGCCAGCACTCATGGAAGAACATTTAGACCAGCCCTAGTCAGAGGGGAATCACTTATCCCAGCAGTCAGAACCTGAGTTCTGGCTAGCCTCGCTACCATGGGCTAAAGTGCCTTAGGGTCCTAAATAAACTTGAAACACAGTCCAGGCCACAAGGACTACAATTCCTGGGCAAGTCTTGGTGCTGTGCTGAACTCAGAGTCAGTGGACTTGGGGACACATGACCTAGTGAGATACCAGCTGGGGTGGCCAAGAAATTGCTTATGCCACCCCATCCCCAACCTCAGGCAGCACAGCCCACAGCTCCAGGTGAGACTCCTTTGGATATAGTTTGGATATTTGTCCCCACCCAAATCTCATGTTGAATTGTAATCCCCATGCTGGTGAGGGGTGTTTGTATCACGGGGGCAGATCCCTTATGGCTTGATGCTGTCCTCAGAATAGAGAATGAATTATTGTGAGATCTGGTCATTTAAAAGTATGTTTTAAATGACCTTCCCTCCCTCCCCCACACACTCTCTTTCTCTCTCTTGTTCCTGTTTTCACCATGTAATGTGCCTGCCTCCCCTTTTCTTTCTTCCATGATTGTAAGCTTTTGAGACTACACCAGAAGCAGATGCTGGTGTTATGCCTTCTGTACGGCCTGAAAAACCATGAGCCTATTAAACCATTTTTCTTGTAAATGACCTAGTCTCAGGTATTTCTTTACAGCAATGCAAGAATGGCCTAATTCAGAAAATTGATACAAGAAGTTGGGTATTGTTATAAAAATAACTGAAAATGTGTAAGCAGCTTTGGAACTGGGTAATGGGCAAAAGTTGGAAGAGTTTAGAGGGCTCAGAAGAAGACAGGAATATGATGGAAAGTTTGGAATTTCTGAGAGACTGGTTAAATGGTTGTGACCAAAATGCTGATAGTGATATGGAAAGTGAAGTCCAGGCTGTTGAGGTCTTAGATGGAAATGAGAAACTTATTGGGAACTGGGGCAAAGGTCACACATGTTATGCCTTAGCAAAGAACTTGGGTGCATTTTGCCTCTGCCCTAGGAATCTGTGGAAGTTTGAACTTGCGAGTGATGACCTAGTGTATCTGGTGGAAGAAATTTATAAGCAGCAAAGTGTTGAAGATGTGGCCTGGCTGCTTCTAACAGCCTACACTCAGATGTGAGAGCAAAGAAAACACTGAAAGCTGGAATGTATATTTAAACAGGAAGCAGAGTGTAAAAGTTTGGAAAATTTGCAGCCTAACCATGTGGCAAATAAAGAAAATGTTGTGGGAGAAGAATTCAAGCAGGCTGTGGAGCTACCACTTGTTAGAGATATTAACATAGTTAAAAAAGAGCCAAGTGCTAATAGCAAAGACTTTGGGAAAATTGCCTGAAGACAATTCAGAAATCTTCCAGGCAGTACCTCCCATCACCAGCCCTGAAGCCTAGGAGGAGTGAATAGTTTTGTGTGCCAGGCCCAGGGTCCTGCTGCTCTGCCCAGCCTCAGAACACATCGGCCTGCATCCCAGCTGCTCCAGCTCCAGCTGTGGCTCAAAGGGGCCCAGATACAGCTTGAGTTGCCACTTTGGAGAATGCAAGCTATAGCCTTGGTGGCTTCCATGTGGTGTCAAGCCTACAGGTGTACATAATGCAAGAATCAAGAAAGCTTGGCAGCCTTCATCTAGATTTCAGAGAATTATGGAAAATCTTTGGTGATCAGGCAGAAGCCTGCTGCAAGGGTGGAAACCTTACAGAGAATCTCTATTAGGGAAATGCAGAGAGGAAATTAGAGGTTGGAGGCCCCATACAGAATCCCACTGGGGCATTGCCTAGTGGAGTTTTGGAAAGGGGACAACTGCCCTCCAGACCCCAGATCGATATTGTCACTGACAGCTTGCACCCTGTGCCTGGACAAGCCAAAACACCCAACAACATGTGAAAGCAACCCTGGGGGCTGAACTCTGGAAAGCCACAGACGAAGAACTCCCAAGACCTTGGTAGTCCCCCTTTGCACCAGTGTGTGCCCTGAATGTGGAACATGGAGTCAAGAACTATTGGAGATTTAAGATTTAATGACTTTGGCTGGGTGCAGTGGCTCATGCCTATCATTTCAGCACTTTGGGTGGCCAAGACAGGAAGATCACCTGAGGTCAGGAGTTCGAGAACAGCCTGGCCAACATGGCGAAATCCCATCTCTACTAAAAATATGGAAATTAACCAGGCATGATGGCACGTGCCTGTAATCCCAGCTATTCAGGAGGCTGAGGCAGGAGAATCACTTGAACCCAGGAGGCAGAGGTTTCAGTGAGCTGAGATCGCACCACTGCACTCCAGTCTGGGTGACAGAGCAAGACTCTGTCTCAAAAACAAACAAACAAACAAACAAACAAAAAGATTTAATGACTCTCCTGATGGGCTTCAAAGTTGCATGGCGCCTGTAGCACCTTTCTTTTGCCCAATTTCTCCCTTTTGGAAGAAGAATGTTTACCCCATGCCTATACTCTTGTTGTATCTTAAGAGTAAATATATATATTTTTAATTTTACAGGCTAGTAAGGTGGAAGAGATGTGCTTTGTCTTAAATGAGGCATTAGACTTTGGACTTTTGAGTTAATGCTGGAAAGAGTTAAGACTTTGGGAGACTGTTGGAAAGGCATGATTGTATTTTGCAATGTGAGAAGGACGTGAGATTTGAGAGAGAAAAAAGGCAGAATGACAGAGATTGAATATTTGTCCCCACCCATGTCTCATGTTGAATTGTCATCCCCAGTGATGGAGGTGGGGCCTGGTGGGTGGTATTTGGGTCATGGGGGCAGATCCCTCATGGCTTAGTGCTGTCTTCACGATAGTGAGTGAGTTTTTGCAAGATCTTGTCATTTAAAAGTGTGTGGCAGCTCCCCCTCAGATATGGTTTGGCTCTGTGTCCCCACCCAATTTCACCTTGAATTGTAATAATCATCATGTATCAAGGCGAGGGCCAGGTGGAGATAATTGAGTCATGAGGGTGGTTTTCTCCATACTGTTCTCATGATAGTAAATAAGTCTCAGGAGTTCTGATGATTTTATAAATGGGAGTTCCCTTGTGAAAGCTCTCTTGCCTGCTGCCATGTAAGACATGCCTTTGGTCTTCCTTCACCTTCTGTCATGATTGCGTGGCTTCCCCAGACATGTGGAACTGTGAGTCTATTAAACCTCTTTTTTTTTTTTTTAAATAAATTACCCCGTCTTGGGTATGTCTTTATTAGCAGGATAAGAACAGACTAATACACCCTCCACTCTCTATCTCTTGCTCCTGATTTTGCGATGTGATGCGCCTGCTCTCCCTTGGCCTTCTGCATACTTATAAGCTTTTGGAGCCTTCCCAGAAACAGATGCCAGTGTTATGCCTCTTGTACAGCCTGCAGAACCATGAGCCAATTAAACCTCTTTTCTTATAAATTACCCAGTCTCAGGTATTCTTTATAGCAATGCTAGAATGGCCTAATATACCTTCTCTCCACTTAAAGACAGGAGAGGGAAGAGTAAAGAGGACTTTTTCTTGAAAATCAGACACCAGCTCAGCCATAGTCAGATAGGGCAATGAGCAGAGTACTGAGGCCCCAATTCTAGGCCCTAGCTCCTGGATGACATTTCTAAACACACCATGGGCCAGAAGGGAACCTGCTGCCTTGTGGGGAAGGAACAAGGCCCAGAAAGATTCATCATCTGCTGAATAAAGAGCACTTGGGCCCTGAATAATCAGCAGCAATGCCCAGGTAGTACTTGCCATAGAGCTTAGGTGAGAATCTGAGACATGCTGGTTTCAGGTGTGATGCAGCACATTCCCAGCTGTGATGAATATGAGGAGAGGCTCCTTCTGCTTGATAAAAGGAGAGGGAATAATAAAGGAGCCTTTGTCTTGCAGATTAGCTACCACCTTGGCCACAGTGGAGTAGAGCACAAAGTAGGCTCCTGGGGTCCCGGATTCCAGGACTTTGCTGTTGGATTGCATTTCTGGACCAGTCCTGGGCCAGAGGAGAGCCCATTGCCCTGAAAGAAGAGTCTCAGGCCTGGCAGCATTTACCACAAGCTGGCTAAAGAGTCCTTGGGCCTTGAGTGAACATTGGCAATAGTCAGGCAATTCTTGCTGTGGGCCTGGGGCGGTGGTAGCCATAGGGAGAGACTCCTCTGGTTGTGAAAGGGCAGGGAAGAGTGGAAATAACTTTATCTTGTGACTTGAATGCCAGCTCAGTTGCAGCAGAATAGAGCACCAGTTAGATCCCCAAGGTTTCTGACTCCAGGCCCTGGCTCCTGGATAACATCTCTGGATGTGCCTGGGGTCAGGGGGCCTCGTGACCCTGAAGGGAAGGGTATAAGACTGGCTGACTTTTCCACATGCTGATTGTAGATCCCTGGGGCCTTGAACATAGGCAACAAGCAAGGCAGTGGTTACTGTGGACCTTGGGTGAGACCCATTATCATGCTGGCTTTTTCTGACCTAGGATCTCAGTGATGGCAGCCACAGGGAGCTTGTACCACTACTCCTCAGTTCCAGGTAGTTCAGCAGAGAGAGAGACAGAGATGTTTGTTTGAGTGAAAGTGAAGGAAGAGAACAAGAGTCTCTGCCTGATAATCCAGAGAATTCTTTCAGATCTTATCCAAGACCACCAAGGCAGTATATCTGTGAGTCCACAAGGACCACAGAATTACTGGACTTGGGGTGCTCCCTAATGCAGATAAGGTTTCAGAGATAGAAAACTTAGATTACAACACCCAAGTACATTCAAATACCTGAAAAGCTTTCCAAGGGCGAGTACAAACAAGCCCAGACTGCAAAGACTACAATAAATACTTAACTCTTCAATGCCCAGACACAGGCAAACATCCACAAGTCTCAAGACCATTCAGGAAAACATGACCTCACCAAATGAACCAAATAAAGCACCAGAGGCCAATCCCAGAGAGAGAGAGAGAGATGTGTGACATTTCAGACACAGAACTCAAAATATCTGTTTTGAAGAAACTCAACAAAATTCAAGACAACACAGCCAAGAAATTCAGAATCCGGAAGAGAGCTAAATAATTAAAAACAATCAAGCAGAAATTTTGGAGCTGAAAATGCAATTGACATTCTGACGAATGCATCAGGGTTTCAACCTCACAATTGATGAGGCAGAAGAATCAGTAAGCTTGAAGACAGGCTATTTGAAAATACACCACCAGAGGAGACAAAAGGATAAAAATTAATGAAGCACAAATACAAGATCTAGAATATAGCCTCAAAAGGGCAACTTTAAGAGTTATTGACCTTAAAGAGGAGGTAGAGAGAGAGATAGGGCTGAAAGTTTATTCAAAGCTATGATAATAGAGAAATTCCCAAACTTAGAGAAAGATATCAATATTCAAGTAAAAGAAGATTATAGAATACCAAGCATATTTAAGTCAAAGAAGACTACATCAAGACAATAATCAAACTTCAAGGATAAATCAAAATTTCAAGGATAAAGAAAGGATTCTAAAAGCAGCAAAAGAAACAGATAACATACCATGGACCACCAATATAGTCTAGCAGCAGACTTTTTCAGTGCAAATCTTACAGGTCATGAGAGAGCAGCATGACATATTTAAAATGCTAAAAAAAAAAACGTTAATACTAGAATAGTGTACTCAGTGAAAATACCCTTCAAACATGAAAGGGAAATAATGACTTCCCCAGACAAACAAAATATGAGGGACTTCCTCAACACCAGACCTGTCCTAGAAGAAATGCAAAAGATAATTTTTCAGCATGAAAGAAAAGAACATTAATGAGAAATAAGAAATTATCTGCAGGTGCAAAACTAACTGATAATAGTGCGAAGAAAAACACAATATTATAATACTGTGATTACGGCGTGTAAACTACTTATAAAGACTAAAAGATGAACCAATTAAAAAAAAAACTACAGCTTTTCAAGACATAGACAGTGCCTAAGATATAAATAGAAATGACACAAAGTTGAAAGGTAGGTGGACAATGTTAAAATATAAGATTTTTACTAGTTTTCTCTGTTTTTTTTTGGTTTGTTTGCTTAGGCAATCAGTGTTATGTTGTCATCAGTATAAGATATTATTTGCAAGCCTCATGCATAGTAATTTTAAATACAAACATATGCAACGTAGTAACTTTAAATACAAACACATACAACAGATACACAAAAATAACAAACAAGAAATGAAAACACGTTATCAGGGAAAATCACCTTTACTAAAAAGAAGACAGGAAAGAAGAAACAAATGAAGAGAAGACCACAAAACAACCAGAAAACAAATACATGGCAGGAGCCAGTACTTAGTTATCAACAATAACATTGAATGTAAATGATGTAAACTCACCAATCAAAGGACATAGAGTAGCTGAATGAATATAAAAATAAGACCCAATGATCTGTCACTTACAAGAAACACACCTCCCCTAAAAAGACATATAGATTGAAAGTGAAGAGATAACAAAAAGATGTTTCATGCACGTGAAAACCAGAAAAGATCAGGAGTAGCTATATCTATATCAGATAAAATATATTTCAAGACAATAACTATAAAAAGAGGCAAAGAAGTTTACTATATAATAATAAAAAAGCTAGCACAAACATATGTATGGAAACTGCCACATTGCCATTATTGGCACATGCTTCTGAGCATGTACCCCAATGCCACCATTTGGAAAAAGTACTTTGGCTGGCATTCCCCATTGCAGTGTTGTTGCCAGTGGAATTGGGAACGCCTCAGCCCCTCTGGTGTAGCAGGTGCTTTAACCTTAAGGGGTCAAAAACCAAAGCTCTGGGCTTAATTCCAGCACCACAGGCCTACAACACGCAGCCCAGAAATACTGAGCTGAATCTTAGCCCCCTGAAATATTCCATAAATGAAGCCAGTCTCCTGAACCCAGCTTATGTAACAGTGAAACCCTCAAGGGCATAGAATATAAAAGCAAAAAACCCTTCCAAAAGACATCAGCTTAAAAGATTAAAGAAACCTCAGACCACAGAGATGAGAAAGAACCAGTGAAAGAACTCTGGCAACTTAAAAAGTCAGAGTGCCTTCTTAGCACCAAATGAACACACTAGCTTCCCAACAATGATTCTTAACCAGGCTGAAGCGGCTGAAATGATAGACATAGAATTCAGAAACAGGTTAGAAACAAACACTATCAAGATTCGGAAGAAAGCTGAAAGTCAATCTAAGGAATCTGATGAATCCAATAAAATGACACATTAGCTGAAAAATGAAATAGCTATTTTATGAAAGAACAAAATTGATCTGATAGAGCTGAAAAACTAACCTCAACAATGTCATAATGTAATCAGAAGTATTAACAGCATAATCAATGAGAAAATAATCTCAGAGCTTGAACACTTATTTTTGAATCAATTCAGTCAGACAAAAAAAGAATGGAAAAAAAAGAAAAATGAATGAAGTAAACCTCTGAGAAATATGGGATTATGTAAAAAGACCAAACCTATGACTCATTGATGTCCCTGAAAGAGGGGGAGAGAGAGTAAGCAACATTGAAAACATATTGGAGGATATTGAGCACAAAAAATTCCCTAACCTTGCTAGAGAGTTTAATATTCAAATTCAGGAAACACGGAGAATTCTTATGAGATACCATAAAAGACAACCACCCCCAAGACACATAGTCATCAGATTCTCCAAGGTCAACATGAAAGAAAAAATATTAAAGTCAGCTAGAAAGAAAAGGCAGGTCACCTACAAAGGGAATCCCATCAGACTAACAGCAGGTTTTTCAGGAGAAACTTTACAAGGCAGAAACAATTGGGAGCCAATATTCAACATTCTTAAAGACATGAAATTCCAACCAGTATCCCTATATATTTCATATCCAGCCAAACTAAGCTTCATAAGGAAAGGAGAAATAAGATCCCTTCAGACAAGCAAATGTTCAAGGAATTTGTTACTACCAGACCTGCCTTACAAGAGGTCCTGAAGGGAGTCCTAAACATAGAAATGAAAGATCACTAACAGCCACCAAAAAACACACTCAAGTACATAGACCATTGACATTATAAAGCAACTACACAATCAAGTCTGCATAACAACCAAGCAAGAACACAATGGCAGGATCATATCTACACGTATTAATATTAACCTTGAATGTAAACAGGCTAAACACAGCACATAAAAGTCGTTTATTATTAAAAGAGCTGCCAGGCGCCGTGGCTCACGCCTGTAATCCCAGCACTGTGGGAGGCCAAGGCGGGCGGATCACCAGGTCAGGAGATCAAGACCATCCGGGCTAACACGGTGAAACCCCGTCTCTACTAAAATACAAAAAATTAGCTGGGCGTGGTGGCGGGCACTTGTAGTCCCAGCTACTCGGGAGGCTGAAGCCGGAGAATGGCGTGAACCCAGGAGGCGGAGCTTGCAGTGAGCCAAGATCGCGCCACTGCACTCCAGCCTGGGCGACAGAGCGAGACTCCATCTCAAAAAAAAAAAAAAAAAAAAAAAAAAAGAGCGTCCAGTTGTATAGACAAGTGAAACACTGAACTGTATGCTGTCTTCGGGAGACCCATCTCATATGCAACTCCCATAGGCTCAACATAAAGCGATGGAGAAAAATGACCAAGCCAATGGGAAACAAAAAAGAGCAGAAGTTGCTATTCTAATTTCAGGCAATACAAACTTTAAACCAACAATTATCAGAAATGACAAAGAAGGGCATTGCATAATGATAAAGGGCCCAATTCAACAAGAAGACCTCACTATCCTAAATATATAGGTACCCAACACTGGTTCAGCTGGATTCATAAAACAAGTTCTTAGAGACCTACAGACACGTAGAAAACCACACAACAATACTGGAAGAGTTCAACACTCAGTATTAGATTGTCAAGGCAGAAAACTAACAAAGATATTCATAAACTAAACTCAACATTTGACTAAGTGGTCCTAACAGACATCTACAGAACACTCCACCCAATAACAGCATAATACACATTCTTCTCATCTACACATGGCACATACTCTGAAATCAACCACATGATTGGACACAGACTAATTGTAAACAAATTATAAAAAAAACTGAAATCATGTCAACCATACTCTTGGACCACAGCACAAAAAAAATAGAAATCAAGAGTTATAAGATCTCTCAAAATCATACAATTACATGGAAATTAAACAATCTGCTAGTGAATGACTTGGGTAAGCCATAAAATGAAGGTAGAAAACAAGACATTCTTTGGCACTAATGAAAACCAAGATTAAATATACTAGAATCTCTGGGACACAGCTATAGCAGTGTTAGGAGTATTGTTTACAGAACGAAACACCCACATAAACAAGTTAGAGAGATCTCACATTAGCAACCTACCACCACACTTAGAGGACATAGTAAAACAAGAACAAATAATCCCAAAGCTAGCAAAAAAAAAAAAAAAATTAGCATCAAAATGAGATCAGCTGACAAGGCGGCTGGGAAACAACTGAGGATCAGTGGCCGAAAGAAAGCTGTCGACAAAGAAAAACTTAAAAAAAAAAACAAACCACACATGGTTGAAATTATTCCAAGAATCGTGAACTGTTACACATTTCACAATTTGGGAATTGGGCATTCATCATTCTCACAATTTAGCCTTTTATTCTGGTCTTCAGCAAAGTGGCCAATTGGTGAACTGATTTTTTTGCCAAGCAAGGAGCCTGCCCGCCTTTATGGCAGCCTCACAGAGGGGTATTGGGCACAGCGTAGACACAGGAGGGGTCACTGCATTTGGGGTTTGCACTTCCTGTGAAGGCCAGCTGTGTACCTCCCAGTCCTGGAGTTAATGGATCTCATCTTAAGGAACCCTGCTCATGTGTGTGAGCTTCAACCTGCACGTTCTAAAGAGGAATAAACGCTAGAGGAAAATAAAACGTTTGATCATTATTATTCTGTAATATTTTACAATAAAAACGACAAGCTCATGGATTTTAATCCAAGCCAAAGTAATGGTAAGAATTAAGTTCCTTCCTTAAGATACCCTCAGAAGGCTCAAACACTGCTCTATGCTCAGAGGTAATAAGTAGAGGCTTAGCTGATAATCTCTACATAATAATTTCACTAGTTGATCATCGTCAGGTATAATGGCACTATGCGATGGATCTACTAACATTTCCTATAAGTAGATTGTTTATTTAGGTCTTTTATAAATTGTTTTCAATACTTTTTGTAGTGTTTGGTATCCATTGGCATCCAGGCCAAGGTGATGTTCTTTGTACCACTTGTAGACTTGTAGAATCCCAGATCACTCAAGCAGGTTAAAGCTGCCCAGCTGCTTTCTGTTTTTTTTTCTTTTCTCTCATAAAGAAAATGAGACACAAATTTCATTTTGGGAGCTACTATTCCTATTTTACGCAACTGCCAGAATATTCTGAATTGAGTAAAATAACATTAAGTGTTGTTTGCATTCGTGCATCCACATCACAGTGATGGACCTCAGCTCACACTGAAGTTCCTGCTGCAGGAGGATGCACAGACTGGGAGCCCATTGCTGGGACATCTGAGAAGAGCTTCAAAAAAGGCATCTTTATCTCCTGGTTGAGATAGAGGCCTTGGGAAGGAGTGCCCACCTCCAGCCTGTGGCTGCCCTTTTTTGTGCAGAGAGCAGCTGGCTGTGCAGGGCTGCGGATGCACTGCCACAGAGGTACAGAGGTCTGGCTGGTGCTAGTAGACTCCAGGGTTGAGGGAAAATGCTTGAGCTTGTTTCCAGAGACATTGTACCCTTCCTTGGCACCGCCTTTGGTCATGCTGCCAATACTACCTGAATAATGGATCAGCCTCAGCCCCTATTCTTGGTCTTATTGATAACAGAACACTGAATAATGGTTCCTAATCTGAGCAAATTTCAGGATGATCTTTTTCCCTGTGTGTCTGTGATATCTTGGTATCTGGCTGATCCCTGCCTCCATGGGGGCTGTGGGAGAGGCAGGCAGAAAGTGAGGACAAGGCTTCAGAAGTGGCAGGACTCTGCAGAGGAAAGGGGAAAAAAAGGCTTGGAGCCTAGACTTTGGAAACGTGTGAAAGGTGGGCCTGTTGTGTTACTCCCCATGCCTACAGAGTTCACCTAGTCTGGGGCATTCTGACTGGGCTCAGGCAGGATCCACCTACTCTCATGGAGGCTGTTGCCTGGTGAGAGCTGCAGGGAAGATGGGGTGCAGCAGAGACGCACTGGGCTTAAGCCACAGCCCACCCCTCACTTTCCCATTTTCCTCTGAGATAGTTGCTCCTCTGTCTGCACCTGCCCTTGACACCAAGGCTGCCAGGCCAAACTTCTTCAACTGTGGATCTCATTAAAGATTAGAGGTATTTCCTGTATGTTGTATAACTGTAGGTAGTCTAGCAATAACTGAAAACTGCTGCAACATCTGCATGATATTGGATGCCAGCCCTGATTTTTCTTAACCCTTTCCTTCCTAGGCTGCTCTCCCAGGCTCTCCCCAGAGTCTCTTAGAGCCCAGTGGACCACAGTGCCATCTTGTGGCCAATAAGTGAAATTTCATCATTGCTTTTGCAAGGGAAATGGCCCAAGGGATGCTGGGAAGTGTCTGCAGAGGGAGCCGGGAGACTATTCCAGAAGTGCCATCCTGCAGGTTTTACAAGCAACTTCTCTGAACCCCGATCCCAACATTAGTTTTAACCCTGACTGTTCCTTTGAGTTATCAAGCTTAATATCCCACCCTCATTCTAAATAATTCTTACCCCATAGCTGCAGTTACAGTCTCACTGACATTTTCTCCCTTAAAACTATCTAAAGAGAGAGGAATAGAATAGGAAGAATAGAAGGAAATAATATTTACCCTAAAGTAGGAAGAAAACACAGAAAGTGAAGTGTAACGTAATTTCATTTCCATTACCAAAGATAAACAAATATGTCCCCCCAAATGACAATGGTACCATAAAAATAAAGATTAGCAAAAGTCTAGGCAGATAATGTGATTACCTTCAAGATGGGGTCAGATATGTGTTAATAAAAAGTAAAACTGGGATATAAAAAATAGGATCCCTTGGTCAGGCGTAGTGGCTTCTGCCTGCAATCCCAGCACTTTGGGAGGCCAAGGCGGGCGGATCACGAGGTCAGGAGATAGAGACCATCCTGGCTAACACGGTGAAACCCCGTCTCTATACTAAAAAATACAGAAAATCATCCGGGCGTGGTGGCGGGCGCCTGTAGTCCCAGCTACTCGCTACTCGGGAGGCTGAGGCAGGAGAATGGCGTGAACCCGGAAGGCAGAGCTTGTAGTGAGCCGAGATTGCGCCACTGCACTCCAGCCTGGGCGACAGAGTGAGACTCTGTCTGGGGGCGGGGGGTAAAGGATCCCTTGCAAGGCAATAAGCAATCATGGAGGGAGCAGTATCTAATGGGAAAATAAGGATGGATATAATTAAGACCAGCAAAAGGTCTGCTACAGTAAAAGAATAGCTTGTGCAATGCACATGTGCTGATCTGAGCAGCAGAGAGGGAGGAGATGATTCTGGAAGAGGTAGAGGAGTGGTGTGAGATGACGGTACGCTGCTGCAAAATAGTATCATAAGGAAGCAAATCAGCCAGGGAACTGGGGATTATATGACCTTTCTATCCACTATCTTCTGTGACAGACCAGATGAACCATTTCCCTTTCCAATGACTTGCTCTACAGTCCTTGCTCCGTCCCAGTTAAAGGCTCCCGGAATTTCTGCTCCTCAGGTTCCCATGGACCAACTCATTCCTTCGTCGTTGAGCAGAGTCTAAAGGGGAGGTCATCTCTTCGTGCCCTGAAGTCCCAGAGTAGCTGGTATAGTCCTCTCTTGTGGCTTGATCACAGGCCCCCAACTCTGTGCCTTTCATTTCCAGTAGACTGAAAGTTAGGTGTGAGTAATGAACCTTGAACAATGCCTTTATCAGAGGGCATGTAAGTGACTGCTTTCAGAATCATTGCTGTTTCTTTCACTGCCTCAGATTATATCTGAACAGAAAAGATGCACAATGGGAATGATTTCTTAAATTAATTTAACCACAAAAATCTTTCAAAGTTCCATAAATAATGCAACCAAAATAATTGCTCTCCTAAATGGTGACATTGTAGAGTGAAACAAAAAGCAAATAAAATTATGTCAAGTATTTGAGAGGAACCTCTGAAACCCAATCCTTCTTATACAAACATCATCGTATGGCCTCCCTCTACCTGAGAGACAGCAGAGCCACACCCATGCCCTGCACCTGGCAGGAAAGCCTTGCTGGAGCCTGTGGGGAGCTGGCGAGGAGGAGACGTGGTGATTCTGCCCCAGAGCAGAGATTCTCTGGGAGCTCTGGATGACCTCCAGGGACTGAGATGGACGGGGGCTGTACTATATATTGGAGAGGAGGACATTTAGGTAGTGTGATCTTTTTGACCTCTCAGCTGGAAATAGATCCAAGGTCATTGGTGACTGGTGTGGAACTGCTTAGTTTCCAAAGCAAATTAGTCCATGCCCAAGGGTGTGTCTGTGCCACTGAAGAATTGTCTGACTCTAAAGTGGTTCACGGCCCAGAGCTGCTGCTTGCCCCATCTCTGTTCCCAATGACTGCAGCATCTACATATTCCATGCAAGGAAGGATAATTTGAAAATAATAAACTGGTTCACTGTATCCTTTAGCTACATTCAAAATAGTTGTCAAGTTGTGGACTGACATGCTTACAGGAGACACAGACCCACAAAGTGAGGGAATTTGGAGATTGAATAGAAATAGTGTCAGGTGAGGTTATTTTAGATTATGGTTTCTAAAAGCAAGAACAGAGAGGAGGTGAATTCGGAGTCCTTTTGGCCCCACAAGACATGACGACATAACAGGGACATCACTGTCTCAGAAAACATTCCAGTGATGTGCTGGTACACTGAGTGTCTGTGGAGGTGGGCACATGCCTAGTAGTACTTACCAATTTCTGTTGTATCAACACAGGCACTATGGTGGATTTCAAGCTGTCAACATGGCTTCACTGAATGGGGAGCTGGGAAGAGTGTGCCTATTTGTCTCTCGTGAGTCAGAAAAGTTGGCTCCAGCACATCAATTGACTCAGAAGCCCAACTTTCAAAGCTCTTCAGTGCTTAATACTCAACTCCTAGAAATGAGGCATCAGCAACGATAGCAAAGCCCATTGTTTTTGTAATAGGATGAGAGTGTGACCCTGGGTCTTCGAGTGGACAAAGGGAAGTTTGAGCCCAGAAAGGATTGATGAGTTCTCTGAAGTTGCTGAGAGCACAGAGCTCTCAGGGTTGTGCTGGCTGGTTTGGAAACTTCTAGACTTTGATTTGAAATACTTTTATTGACGTGCTCCTTTTTTAACTCAAAGAGATTAGTTACATTCATTTGGAGCAGGGCCTTTATTGCTTCTTGTTTGCTTATTAATAAAACCTTCCCTTTGCTGTCCTTGTATGTTAACTCTCAGTGCAGGTGGGAAACCCTGCTCACCTTTTTTTACCACTTCTTTCAGCATCAGTGTTTACAGTTGTGGTTTGTGTTCTGTTCAATCTTAAGTTTCAGAGCTGGTCCATTATTAGGACCATTTGTCTTAGGGGTCATGAGGATAAAGGTGGGAAAAGCTGGAGACAGGGTCTAGCAAGGAAGTCCTTGGAACAGCATCCTAAGGTCAGGAAATTCCCATCTGTGCCTGGGACTTATTCACTCCCAGGACACACAGGGCAACTAAAAAAGGAATGATCTGTTGATAGAACAATTAGAATGGATTCAGAACAATCCCTGCCAACGATCATCATTTGCTAGAGAAAGAAATTTGGTATCTGAGCTACCACAATTTCTGATAAGTGAATTTAGGGAACTATAATTCCCCAACCAGCTCTGCAGGACTCAGGGCACCTCTGTCCTGGCTGGGTCTGGGATAATCTATCTTAACCTTTGTGTATAGGGCTGTCTCTGAGGACTCCCAGAAACCCATGATCCATAATCATGTCAGCTCTGACCACAGCTTGAAATTTCATATATGTGAAATGTAGCTTCACTCAAAGAGAGGTGAAGAATTTTTATTACAGTATACTCATTTATATTTGCAACAAACACTATATTGCAATATGTAAAATAACAAACAAAACAAAAGTAATATAAGCATTATTGTTTTTAAAACTCCATCTTCTCAAGTTAAAGACCTCAGGGAAATTATTTCAAATCAAAAGACTAGAGCAGCAATTACCAGAGGTTGGGATGGAGATGGGGTGCTGGGGAGATGTTGGTTAAAGGATACAAAATTTCACTCAAATAGGAGGAAGAAGTTCAAAAGATCTATTGTACAACACAGTGACTAAAGTTAGTAACAGTGGATTGTATTCTGGAATATTGCTAACAGAGTACATTTCAAGTATTCTCACCACAGGAAAGGATAAGGATTGAGGTACTGCATATGTTAATTAGCTAGATTTAGTCACTTCACCATGTACATACATTTTTAAACGCAGGTTGCATGGTATACATGTACACAACTCTTATTTGTCAGCATTCAGGTTCTAGAAACCCGATTTCCTAGGGAACCAAGTTGACACTGGAGCAGTAGTGGACGCATGCTTCAGTCTCTCAGGACAGGAGCAGTGGTAAACGAAAACAAAATAAAGAACTCGCATTGCTTACACTAGGCAGAAGAAACGAAGTCTTATTGTTATCTTGGCTGTATTCACCAAGTAATGGCCACAAAAGCCACAAAGACTTTTAAATCAAACAGGAAGAATGGTTTGCTCTTGTATTGCAGAAAACTTCCAATGTAACAGAAGAGGCTTCAGAAGAAAGAATGTTCTTGTGGATGAAGCTTCAGACCTTGCAGATGCCCCAACACATGTAGGGGAAGACACCTGTTCCTCAGCCATGCCCGAAGCTTCTCTATGTGGGCAGCAACCTCCCAGGCCCCAAAGAAGACTGTGTGTCCCAGCCCTGAAGGCCAAGGCTAAGACACCCAGTGCTTGCCTTAGAGCAATGAGCTGGCTCTGAGGACTCCAATAGCCCGGTGGGCCACGATTGCTTCCACCACCCACATTTACAGTTACTGTGTCTTAAGGGTAAATCTGTGGTCTCTTTCTACCCAAAGGACAAGCTGAGGTCCAAATCTACTTGTTTCCCATGGGGAGGGAGAAGCAAAGAGAAGCCTCTGTTAAGGGTGTCTAGGAGCTGCAAGGAGAGAGAAGGATGAGGTTTATGAGCAGGAAGGAGGCGACTGTGCCATGCTGTGGCTAAGCTGCTGGCACAGAGATACACGGCCGAGTCCTCCTGCTGTGTGCGCTGGATCGTCAGAGTGGAGACGGATCCCCCAGTCCTCTCTGCAGAGAAGCGATCACTGGGCAGCCCTGATTTGTCTGGTGCACTGTTGCCTTGGAAGTAAATTAAAAACTCCAGGCCCTGCCCCAGGCTCTGTCGGTACCAGTAAAGGGCAGTATGACCTGAAATTGGATCACACCTGAGCTCTACATCCTTTCCCTTCTCTGTGACCTTGTTACTGGGGGACTGGGAGACTCCAGCTCCTGTGTGATCTGTGGAGACAAAGTTGGGAACAGAATGAGGAAAATAATTTTAGTCATCACACGAATGCACACAGCCCACCCCTACACACACACACACACACACACACACACACACACACACACACAATGAGAATGGTTGGTGTCTGAGGACTCACCTGCCCCCAGGAGACAGAAGGCCACCCAGAAGAGGAGCCTGGTGCCCATGGCAGGGTCAGGGCAGGATGGGAGCTTTACCAGATCAGGATCACTGTGAGCAGGAGCAGAGGAGGAGGGACGCCCCGTCCTTACACGGAAGTTCCCACAGTGACATCACTTCCTCTCTCAATCTGCATGACCTCAGGAACACAGGATTTATATTAGACCACACTTGGGTGACTACTTTAAATATTTATAAGCTCCTTGTAAACAACGTTATTGCATGGGACATCGCTTTGGGCTCCCATGCTGTCTGGACTTGGAGGCCTCACGCTGCATCTCCGAGTTCACCTTCTCATCCCACAGCCGCTCCTCTGTCTGCTGAGCACGTTCTGTAGGATGTGCCAACAGTGCCCCCAACACCAGGCACCATGGGATGAGCTCATTGTCTTTCCTCCAAGTCAGGGTCCCCTCTGCCATCCCCATTCATGCCCCAGCCTCCTCCATTCCCCCACTCACATGTGCCCAACGGGATTGTCCCATCACATGGGTTCCCTCACAAACTGCCCTCATACATTTCTTCTGGGATCATTTCCCACCCTTGTTAACTATAACTCTGAAAAGATACTTTGGTGGCAAACTCACAGAATTATTTTGGTTTTCCATATTTTCTTGTCCTGTCCTGTAGGTATTTTTTATCAATCTCAATTCTGATTTAACAGTTATTTTTAATCCTCTTTCTTGACTTTGACTATTTCTTTCTTTCTATTCCCCTGGAGGATATTTATCTTTCCCTTTTGACTGCTGTTAAAATCTTTTCTTTGTCATTTGTGGTCTGCAGTTTCACAGGGACCTGCCTACTTGTCTTGCAATTCATCTGAATTCTTGAACGAGGATTTCGGTCCTCAAACATCTCAGGAACATTCTCAGCTAGCATCACATACACAATCACCTCAGATCATTTGCCTTATTTTCTCTTTCTGAAACGTCAGTTATATACAAGAAAGTAAGAAAAGTTTCAATAAAACATTATATGCTTTCTAATATTCTAGAAACTTCATTTTTTCCTTGTTCCTTCACTTTTTTTATATTTTACATTTAATTTTCTGTGCTGCATTCTAGGTGATTTCTTGAGATCCTCCTTTGATATTGCTAACAATCTCTTTAGAAGCATTGAATCTGCTGTTTAGCTTCCATTTTGTTTTGTGGAGTAATCGTAATGATTTCTAGACATTCTATTTGATTATTTCTTTAATGTTTTTTGATGGTTTCGGGCCGTCTCTTTTTTGTGTGTATACTTGTTTCAGTCCCTTCTTGTATTCATTTAAATGTAGCTCTTCAAACGTTCACATCTTATGATGGCAAAATTTTAAATCTTTAGGATGTCCATTTTAATGGTTTATTGCTTCTGCTCACTGGTCCTCCTTGGTTTTTGTTCTAATACTTTTAATAGTCGGAATAAATTGGTCTTATGTTAATCTGTGAAATTCAGGGAGAGGCCAGGCTTGAGAGTGCAGAATGTCAAGATTCCATAGTTTTTCAACTGTCTCTGGTCTCACCCCCAAATGCATGGGGTCGGGAACAGTCTGCTGCGCTCCAAGCTGCGAAATACCCCTGTAGATTTGATTCCTCACATCACAACCTGCTCTGAGGACAGTCCCAATGTAGGTTCCAGAAGAGAATTCTGATTTTCTCTTTCCTATTTATTATGCTTCCTCCATAAAATAGAGCCTGTAAGACTGTATATGAATGATGGTTTTTTTCCTGTTCTTTCAAGGAAATCAAAGTCGGATTTGTTCCACCATTAGCCAACTTAAGACAATTATGGGACAAAAATAGCTCACTATTTGGATCAAACTTTTACAAAGGAAAATCAATATTTTTTTTGTTGAAATCATATGCTCTCCTTTGAGTAGAATAAGAGGTCACGGTCACATTAATCATGAATTAAATCTGCCTAGCTATATCTCCCCTCCAGACCTTCTCTTCCTCAGCTCCCCCTACATTTATATAAGGTCTAACTCCTGTCATAAATCCTCCTCTCCATAGTACTTTTAGTGATTCTGTTTTATTGATGTAAACCTAATGGAGTTTTTGGTACCAGAAGTGGTTCCAAAATAACACAACTCTATGCATGGGTTTCTGGAAAGGGATCTCTGATCTGTGTAGAGTTGTTGTGGGAAAGAGTCTGAAGGAGAGCACAGAGACCTGGAGGAGGTCTGGTGCTGCAGACTCAGGAGGAATCTTTGACCAAGGTGGGGCCGCCCATGATAGCGACTCCCCATTAATTTCAAGGACCTCCCGTAGCCCAGCAATCAAAAGGGTAAGAGTTCTTGTACTTACAGCCAGATCTCCGCAAGGGTAAAATGGATCTAGGGTGCTCCTGTTATGGATTCATCCATCCACTCATCACTCACTCCATCACTGACTCATCCATTCTCTGAAATGCATCTCCCCTTGTGCCAGGCTCAGCTGCTGATTTATAACCCAGGCATAGCCTTGGCCTTCATGGGGTTTAAAGTACTTGGAAGATTCCAACTGTGCTAAATTCTACTGATTAACAGACACATGATACCATGAGAGATTATGAGAGGGAAACTGACCTCAGCTGGGAGCCAAGGGAAGCATAATGGTGATTATCACTAGGGCTGATGATGCTGAGATCTGAAGCACAGGTAGGTGTTGACCACTACAGAAAGGAAGGCTCCAGCCCAGGGCACAGGAAATGGACTTTGGAGTCTCTCAACATGGCTGGAGTAGAGAAGGGCAGGGAGGTCGGGGAGGAGAAACCCAGCAAGGCCTTGGAGGGCGACTGTGAATATAGGAAATGCAGGCTGCAGCTGAGACCACCGTAGGGTTCAACATGAGGAAAAATCATAGAGAGAGGAAAGCACGTGGTACCCAGGTAGAGACGGGAGTCTAGATGGATCTGAAATACAAATCCTATTTCACCTAGGAGGCCTCAGACTCAGGTGAATGACTAGGAAAGTCAGAGCTGGGAAACCCCTGGCACTAGCCCAAAAGGACACCTCAGAGGAAAGACCGGAGGGCAACAAGGAAGACATCTGAGGTCCTGGGACCGATCCAGGCCTGGCCGAGACCGACTGCAGAGGCACCTGGCACAGATGAAGGCTCGCACTGCCCGGGCCCATTGGGGCTCCAAAGTTTTCGGTGCTAGGACCAAGGGCATCGCTGAATCTGTGCTGCGGAGGAGGGCAGCACCTTCCCTTGCCTTTCTGTGCAGAGAGGAGACAGCCGTGCAGCACTGTGGAGTAACTGCTGGCACAGAAGTACACAGATGTTTGGGAGGGAGCAGCCGACTCCAACCCCAGCAGGAAATTCTGTTTTTTTAATCTGGAGACATTGTAGCCATCAGGGACCTCTCCTTTGGCAGTTGTACCCTCACCAACTGAGTAATGAATCAGCCTCAGCCCCATGCCTGGGTCTTGTCGATACCAGTACATGTATTCATGGTTCATATCCTGGGCACACAGCAGTGTCATGCTCTGTCCTGTCTTCAGGACCCGGAATTTTGGGGTCTGAGTGACACCAGCATTCACTGGACCTGCAGAGAAGGACAAAGCTGATGCTACAGCTCCAGTGGAAAGGGGATGGGCCTTGAAATCCACACAAGGGGCCCCGCCCAGGACCCACCTGCCCACAGGAGAGAAAAGGCCCCACAGCACAGGAGCCCGAGGCTCATGGCAGGAACTGCAGGATGGAGGGGTCCTCTGGGTCTGTGCATTGGTGAAAAGGGAACACGTCTTTCAAGGGCGTCATTCTGAGACCTCATTCTCCCTGCCTGGGCCCCAGAGCCTTGCTGTCAGGAGAGGCCACGCCCCTTCCCCAGATGGTCAAATTCAAGATCAATGCACCAGTGAACAGTTTGGATGGGAAGAATGCCTTTGTCTGAATCGATGCAAGTCTACCATTTTTTAAATATCTTTTGGTAATTAGTTTGTAACTCAATGTATATTTTTTATTCCCATGATGATACAAATTACTTGGCTGTGCATAGTGGCCCATGCCTGTAATCCTAGCCCTTTGGGAGGCTGAAGAGAGCAGATCACTTCAGGCCAGGAGTTGGAGACCAGCCTGACCAACATGGTGAAATCCCATCTGTACTAAAAATATAGAAATTATCCAGGCATCCTGACGTGCACCTATAGTCCCAGCTACTCGGGAGGCGGAGGCACCAGAATTCTTGAACCAGGGAGGCGGAGGTTGCAGTAAGCCGAGATCATGCCACTGCATTCCAGCCTGGATGACAGAGTGCGACTCCATCTCAAAATAATAATACTAATAATTACTCATTAATACACTGGTATTGGTTATCTAAGTATTGCTATAGTCTACAATCTTGGAAAAACTCCTCATGTCTTCCTGGTGTTTTTGATTCCTGTGTCCCAAATACTCCTTCAAGTATCCTTTTCTAATTTGCTTAATTGATCATAATCCGATAGTCCTGTTTAAAATCCTTTGTCTATATTGGTTTTCTCTGTTATTAGCTTTCCAAATCCCAGGGGCAGTCTCATCAACATTGAAGGAGTTGTTTTGTTCTGTTTCTTGTGAATTCACTGACAGATGGGACTCCTGACAAACCCAGATGAGCACTTTCAGCTCCACCCAGGGCTCCTTCTTTCTGTGCCTGGGGTGAGATCCCAGCAGGCAGAACCACCTCACGCTACTGACTACCGTCTCTGTGTGGACAGTGGTGGCTGCCAAGCACTGCCCATGATCTATGGGCACAAAGGTATCCTGATGTGTAAGGGAGTTTGGGAGACAGGGCTGACTTTAGGGTAATGAGGAATGTTCTGGATTTATTGCTGCCATTAATTTAGTGATAAAGAAAAAGGAACCAACCCAAATGCCCATCAATCAACGAGTGGATAAAGAAACTGTGATATATATATATCATATATATATCATATATATCACATATATATCATATATATCATATATATATCATATATGTATGATGAAATACTACACAGCCATAAAAAGGAATGAATAAACAGCATTTGGAATGATCTACCTGGATGAGATGGGAGACTATTATTCTAAGTGAAGTAACTCAGAAATGTAAAACCAAACATAGCATGTTCTCACCGATATTTGGGAGCAAAGCTATGAGGTCACAAAGGCATAAGAATGATACAACGGACTTTGGGGAAGTGTTGGGGAAACAGCAGGAGCGGGTGAGGGATAAAAGACTACAAATATGGTGCAGTGTATACTGCTCAGATGGTGGGTTCACCAAAGTCTTGCAAGTCATCACTAAAAACTTACTCATATAACCAAATACCACCTGTACCCCAATAATATATGGAAAAATAAAAATTAAATTAAAATTTAAAAAAATATTCTCGCATGGCCTACAGCCATGAACATAGAGTGTTGTTTCCGTTTTTGTTTAAAAAAAATGAGCTCCAAAAGTCTATCTTTGGTGCACAGAGGCCTGCATTTGGAAGGACCCTGCACTTGGTTTCACATTCTACTGTCATGATCTTCAAATTCTTAACAGTGTTTGAACAAAGCACCTGCCAGTAAGTCTTGCCACTGGTTGTAAATACATGATTTTGTTTCATATACTGCTCACCTCCCCGTGTGCTGGTTTCCTTTCAGCACAAGAGCATGACCAGGGTCTGGGTCACTCAGCATCTGTGGAACTTAAGAGTAAAGAAAACACAAATTCAAGTCACAGCAAAGGACCCCCTGGTACTGAAAGTCACAGCTGGGATCAAACAAGCCCACGAATAGGTTCCAAATCTGCGCCCAGGACTCTGCTTCAGGAGACAGAGAAACACACAGCACAGTGGCCTGGTGCCCAGGGCAGGGTGAGAAAAGGAAGATGGATTTTAGCCTAAGGCTCAGGTTTTATGGGTTGGACACATGGGGTCAAGTCAAAGAGAACCCTTCTCCCAATAAGACATCATCTGTCAATGAAGTCACTGTGATCATGGTTTGCTTGACCCCAGCATGCTCACTGTGTGAACACAAAGCCCAGCTGCATGTGTGTCTGATGGGAACTCAAAATAATTTCCTTAAAGATGATTAACTTTTGTCAAAACGTAACATAAAATTATTTGATTGAATGAATTGACGAGAAAATAAACGAATGAAAATGAATAAATTTTGTAGAATCAGCTTCTACCATCCGAAAAGACCTTTTGAGGTTATTTCGGCACAACATCCATCTCCAGATAGAATTGTCCCTACCATGGGTCAGGTAGCTCACCTAGCTTCAACCACTTCTAAAACCATAAAACCTCCAGGAACTCCTCCCTGCCTTGATGATTTAGCTATGTATTCAAGAGGATTATTCAGAAGAGGTTTGACATTTGCATTAAAAATATTTGCCAACAAAACGACTCTCCAGTGATAGAAGTCACATCATTGGTTGCTGGGACAGACAGAGGCATTGCAGAGGGGAGTGAGGGACTTTCTGGGTGATGCAGATACATCTTCATAGAGGTGGGGTTGCATATATAGATATATGTTGCTCAAAAATCACAGATATGTTCATTTAAAAGGTGTCCTGTTAACTTCATATACTTTAAAGATCAATAATGTTGATTTTTAAATGCCTGAGGAGATATGTATGCTACATCCTCTAGTTAATTTTATCAGATGAATTATCAGGCATATATATTTCCATTTCTGTGACTTCTGAGTCCTCAACCTAAGATTTCTTGGCAGAATGTGTCCATATCTGTCTTTGCACATTGGTGTGGTGGAAGAGGTTGTCTGAGATCAGCAAAGGAAATCAAAATAGCTAGGCTTCTACTATATGCTAGATATTTTATGCCATTAAAGGTGCTATGATGTTCTGAATCTTCTGCCGGGGCTCTTGTAGGAAATGTTCATCGAAGGCTTTGGTGGCCCCCACAGCTTCCTGGAGGGCCCCTAAGGTTTCTGCACAGGAAAGCGGTGACTCTGCAAGGCTGTGTCTTGGCTGCTGGCACAGAGATACAGGGCCGAGTCTTCTGGCTGCAGGGTGTGTAGGTGAAGGAATAAGTGAGAGCTGTTGGGGCATTCAGGTGAGAAGCGACTTGGCACACTGTTGTTTTCAGTCTGTTCTTTAAAGTTGTAGACAAACATGAGCTCCAGTGGCTTCTTAGCACTTTGCTTGTACCAATACATAGCGTTATGCCCCAGATGTTGTTCACATTTCAAAGACTTCTTATTTGTCATTCCCATGACCAGGTGTCTTGGTGTCTGCGTAACTCCCGTTTCCATGGGGACTGCGGGGGGAAAGGGACAAAATTCAGGCAGAGCCCAGGAGGAGGCTTGTTGCTGAAATCACAAGGAAAAAGTTTCGAATTCAAGGACAGCTGATGTGAACCCAACTCACCCGCTCCCAGGAGACAGAGAACCGCACAGCAGAGCAGCCTGCAGCCCATGCTAGCCTCGGGTCTGAGATGGGGCCTCTGACTGGGGTCCTCTGGGTGAGGTGCTGGGCTCTGGTCTCCTTGGCCTTGGTTGGTGGTTTTTCCTGTGATGTCACTGCTCCTGACAGTTTCCCCAGACCCAGGGGATATTTATACCCGGCCGTTTTACATCCTTTCTAGGTCCTGATAGAAGGCAGATTTGAATTGTCTGGGCTGGGATGAATGGGCTGGGGAGAAAGGGCAGAGCCAGCTTTTTACCCCCCAAGGATATTCCTCTGGCAGGGGCTCCTTTGTTCTCAGCTGCTTCCTCATTATGTGGATCCTACCCCTGTCTCTGTCCCCGTGTCTTTCAGGATCCCTCTCAGCAACAGACCACTCCCATTCAAGAAATCTCCTTCTCCTCTGAGGGATCACACAAGACAGCACCATTCAAAATGTCCATTCCCTCAATGCCTAAGCGCGGTGGAGCCCTTTTTGCTCGGTTCTGTGGAGGGAGGGTGGCTACATGACCACGGATGCAGTGTGGACCAGCGCCCATCTTTCAAGGGCATGGCTGTGATGCCAACCAGCAACCAGGCACCGGGGAGGGAGCTGAGGGAGCACGAAAGGGATGAGCCACCCTCTGTCCCTGAAGTGGAGGGGCATGAGCCTTGGCTGGGCTTAGAGCTAACATACACAGGATGCTGAAAAAGAACAACCCAAGGTGTGTGGAACAAGGGAAAGGGAAATCAGCTTGAAACTGACATAATAAATAAACACAAAAATGAAATGATTCATAATCCCTAAGTGATTTTAACCATCCATTGTTAATAGCACATGTTTGTTAGTATTTTATAATGACAATTGTGATTGTACGGTTAAGGTTGTAGTTACAAATCAGTTACATAAAAATCTATGTTGGGGGTAGAAGGGAGTTACCATGATTAAACTATGGGTTGATAATTTAGAGATTTTTTTAACTTGGAGATGTGCTGGGCCAGGAGGAAAGTGTTAGCATTTTTCTGATGTGTAAATTGTTTCAGAGTATTTTTATGTGGCCCTTAAAGCAAAGAATGTAAAGGCATGTAGATCAGAATTTAAGAAAAGTGGTTGAATTGTCTCGTCCTGAACAGGTTACATATATGAGAGACCTTCAACCTGCTACAGTTGGATATACTTCATTCTTAGATAAGAACCTAACATCAACCTGATTTAAAGGTTAATGTTGTTAGTATTCAAATTATTATAATAGGAGTCTGCTTCAGCAAGGAAACAGTTCTTGGCCCTTCCACCAAAAAAGAAAAAAAAATTGAATTAAAAAGAATTTGATTGCATTGTGTGGCTCTCAATAAGGAAACCAAATTTCAAGGATTTTTGTTTTTTAGTGGGATTCAACCTACCTTGAATAACAATGACAATGAGAGGCTTGACTACCCTGAGGTCAGTAGCTAACATAAACATGTCTCAAAGCATAGGGTGGGTGACAGGTGAGTTGAAGTCATCTGAATTCCAGATGGATCTGAAGAAGGAGAATGACCTCAGGACTGTCTGAATTGCAAGAAAGAAGAGTGAAGAGTGGAATGGTAACGTGAAGTAAAGTCAGTAAACATGTCTGTACCAAATATCGTTAGTTTATGTGATTGAAGATAGGACATAACTGACTCCAAGACAGCTGGGATTTAAGACACAGGGTAGTAAAAAGGAACCCAAAAATTATATGTAAGAAACCCCCCTTTTTTTTTTCCTGAGCCAGATCCTAAATTGTGTATGCAGAGGGTGGCAGACCAGAAGGCTGAGCAGAGAACAAGTTCTGGAAGGCTGAAGACATGGGCAGAGATTTCAGAAGAGCCAGGGCATTCAGACCCAGTTGCAGTGGAGTGATGTGGCGAATACACTGTGATTCCCACTAAGACCCTGGGAAGGCCATGCACTAGCAATGATGACCACAGGCTGGGGCTCCCTAAGAGGAAGGGCAAAGCTCAAATAGAACCTAGCAAGTCCTACATTTAACCCTTCCAGAATAAAACCCAACACTCTTTCCAAGAGATAACATAATCCAGAGCCTCAAGCCTATGTCTTCCACAATGCTTTACATAAACCCTTTCTAATCTTTCATGGAGGATATTTAGAAGTCTCCTAATCATTCATGCCACCCAAAAATCTATCTCCTTTCAGATCCGTACTACTACCAATGTTACTGTAACACAATATCAGTTTCATCATGTTGTTTCACTTGGAGTAGGACCAGTGGCTCACCACTGCCTAGGGATTTATGTCCAAAGTCCTTTCCATGTCAATTCTAGATTTGCTTCAACTTCGCTCCTGCTCACCTCCCCACGTGCTGTCTTTCTTTCAGCCCAAGCACATGGCAGGGGCCCAGGCCACTCAGCATCTATAGGGCTTATTTGAGAAGGACACAGAAATTAAAGTCAGAGCAAAGGGGGCCCTGCTACTGTCATTCACAGCTGGGATCCAGCAAGCCCATGAGTGGGTGCTACAACTGTGCCAAGAACTTCTCTGGGCCAGAACCCAGAAGGAGACATGGTGCTGGAGCCTGGTGCCCAGGGTAGGGCCAGAACAAAAAGGGAGATTTCCTAGCTCAAAGTTCAGGTTTTATGGGTTGGATACTTGCGGTAAAAGCAAAGAGAACCCTTTTCCACATATGACACCATCTCTCAACAAAGTCACTGTTACCATGGTTTGTTTGGTGCCGTTGCATTCAGTGTGTGAACTTGAAGGCCAATTAAATATGTGTGATATGGGAACTCAAAATAATTCCATTAAAATGATTAATTGTTGTCACAATACCATTATAAAATAAATAATTTGAATGAGTGGGTAGATGAGAAAAGAAATAAATAAAAATGAATAAATAATTTTGGAGAATGAGCTTCCACCAGCTGGAAAGTAATTTTGAGGCTATTTCATCCTCTTACCTATCTCCAGATAGGATTGTCCCTAACATGGATCAGGTAGCTCACAGAAATTTAGCCTCTTTTAAAACCATAAAACTTTCCAGGAGCACCTTGCACTCTTAAATGTATGTATTTGAAAAGGATTAATCAATACAGGTTTTAAAATGTTACTAATAGATTTTTTGAAAAAAATGTATTCTCCAGTGATAGAAATCACATCATTGGTTGTCAGAGATGGAGAGAGTCATGGCAAAGGGGTATGAGAGAGATTTCTGGGTGATAGAGACCTTTTTATAGGGATAGTGGTTATAAGGATATACATATATATCCTTATAACCCATATATATGTCTATATATATATATATATATATATAACCATTGATCTGTTTATTTAACATGTGTAATGTTTATATTGTACAATTTATATATCAATTGTGCTGATTTTAAAATGTCTGAGAAGGCATGTACGCTATGTTCTGCAGGTAATTTCATCAAATGAATCATCAAGCATATATATTTCAACTTCTGTGAGTTCTGAGTCCTCAACCTAAGATTCCTGGGCAGAATGTGTTCATATTTGTCTTTGCTCATTGGCACAGTGGAAGAGGCTGTTTGAGATTAGCAAAGGAAATCAAAATAGCTAGAATCTACTATATGCTAGATACTTTGTCATATTAAATCTTTGTACAACTCTTCATAAGGGCAGTAGTCATCTCATTTTACAGAAAAAAATAAAAACCCAAAACACAAACTAAACGCAGCATGTCAAGAATGGCCTCAGGTCTTTACAAGTTGGTGTTAGAATGGGAGTCAGGGCTGAGTGTCATGGCATCTAGCCAGAGATCTCTCCTTACATCACTGTCTCCAGGGTAAACTGATCTCTTTCCATGTTGTTAGAGCCAGTTGATCTGAAAGGGATGTAGGATCCAATATTCTGATTTTTGAAGGTAGGCATCTCTCTCTATGAAATGCACTATAGCACAGAGTTATAAATGCAAAAATTGGACAGATCAGGTTGAAGTCCCAATACTGTATCCTAATAGCTCTTCAATTTGGTCAAGTTTTTTAACCTATGAGCCAATTCCCTCATCTGTAAAATGAGAATAGCATTTGCATCTTAAGGTTTTTTTCTGATAGCTGAATTTCTAATTAATTGAACTTTTTCAAATGAAAGATTTTTATTTGGCATATAGTGAATTGACAAATAAAAGTTGGCATTATTATTTTTTTCTGAATGTTCTCCATGGAGCAGAATTTATCTGTGAATGTGCCTGAATAAACTCAGTGCTTGCAGCTCTGCAAATGACTCTGCCACTCACATGACAGAGAGTTTCATAGAAATAGCCAAATGTTATATCCATTTAATCCTGCAGATCTGAAACATGGAATATTATTAAGGGTTAGAAAAGAAAAACAATCCTTCCATATGTGTCATAGATGAACCTGGAGGACATTGTTCTAAGTGAACAAGTCAAGCACAGAAACGCAAACACTGCATGTTTCTGTTTATATGAGGCAACCATGTCAAACTCATGGAAGCAAAGATGAGAATGTTTCTTTCCAAGAGCTGGGAGTTGGGGAAAATGCGGAGTTGCTGTCAACAGGTATAAAATTTCAGTTAAGCAGGATGAGGAAGTTTTAGAGATCTTCTGTACAACCTTGTGCCTGTAGACTATGATACTGTTTTGTACACTTAAAAATCTGTTCAGAGGATAGGTCTCATGTTAAATGTCCTTACCAAAAGTTTAAATAAAAAAGAAATACAAGCTGGCAAAGAAGAGAGAAGGAGAAACCAAAGAGAGAATGAGAAGAAGAAAGGAAATATATAAATTCAAAAACTAAGTACACTAAACATAAAACAATTGAAAATAAACATAAAACAATTGAAAAATGAAAATAAATGCAGACCTTAGTGTTATAAATAGCCAAAAAATATTTTTTATTTTAAAATATTCTTTCTTTCTTTATTTATTTTCTTTTTTTATTTTTTAAAATCTGCCATCATCTGCAGATACTTTTCTTTTTCATTTTCTATTTGACGACATAGGGTATCTTATACACAGTAGGTCCCCCAAAAAAGTTTATTGAATAAAAGAATAAAATAAATTAACTAGTGAATAACAATTACTAGTGTTCCTTTTTCTCAAGATATGTTGCATCCGTTACAGGAAGTCTACAGTTCAGAAAATTACCACCCCTTTTTTTTTCTTTTTCTTTTTCTTTCCTTCCTTCCTTCCTTCCTTCCTTCCTTCCTTCCTTCCTTCCTTCCTCTCTCTCTCTCTTTCTTTCTTTCCTTCTTTCGGGCGTCTAGCTCTGTTGTCCAGCCTGGATTGCAATGGCACAATCTCAGCTCACTGCAACCTCCACCTCCTGAGTTCAAACAATTCCCATTCCTCAGCCTCCTGAGTAGCTGGGATTACAGGCACCCACCAGTATGCCTGGCTGATTTATTTTATTTTTAGTAGAGACGTGGTTTCTCCATGTTGGCAGGCTGGTCTCGAACTCCTGGGCTCAAACAATTCACCTGCCTCAGCCTCCCAAAGTGCTGGGATTACAGCTGTGAAGCATCATGGCTGGCCAGAAAATTACACTTTTTTTTTTTGTCTCAATGAAGGATGAATGTATATGCTTGGCCTGGAAGTCACATGTTCCTTGGACTTCTCAGGGAAGAGACTATACTGATTACGTATGAGGCATGAACTTCACAACCTGTTGATGGGGACCTGTAAAGGGGAAAGCAGGTGAAAGGATAGAGCTACAAAGAAGGGGTTAAGGAGAGGTGTTGGCACAACAGGCTTGAGACTTTTATTTTATTTTATTTTATTTTATTTTATTTTATTTTATTTTGTTTTATTTTGAGACAGAGTCTCACTCTGTTGCTCAGGATGGAGTGCAATGGCATGATCTCGGCTCACTGCAACCTCTGCCTCCAGGGTTCAAGCGATTCTCCTGCATCGGCCACCTGAGTAGCTGGGATTACAGGTGTGCACCACCACACCTGGCCAAATTTTTATATTTTTAGTAGAGATAGGGTTTCACCGATTTTCCCAGGCTGGTCTCGAACTCCTGAGCTCAGGAGATTTGCCCACCTCGGCCTCCCAAAGTGCTAGGGTCACAGGTGTGAGCCACTGCACCCAGTCTTCAGCCAGTTATTAAGTATGAGACCCCGGACAGCTGATTTCCTTCAGATACATAAACAGGTAAAATAATACTTATCCTGCATAATTTATGTGAATATTAAAGCAGATCACATGTAGAAGCAGCAGAAAGTGCCTGGGAAAAGCCTATCAGCTCTCCAGGGCCTGAACCCTTCTGGCTGACAGCATGTCTCTCACGGTCACTTCCTGAGTGGGGGCAGGAATGTTTCTGGAGCTTCCTGCGGGAACTGGCCTTTGCGAGTTTCTCTCCCTGCAGGCCACCACTGCCCCTTGCACCCTTTGGCAGGTCCCAGGCTCAGCTGCTCCATGCATCTGTCCCGCACAGCCCTGAAACTAAAGGTTTGGTGGGTGGAGAGCAGGCCCCACATGCCCACATCACACCTTACTTTCCTCTACCTGCCCTGTCCCTGCCCTGACACTGATTCCCAGCCCTTGTGGCTGAAGCTCCTTCACCATCCACTGCCCAAGCAGACACAGGGACACTCTACTCTTTGGTGCAAACTGAGGCCTCCAGCACCTCTACTCTTCTCTGGTAGTGGGGAGTTTGTGTTTAACTCTGGATCCACTCTGAATCAAACCACTCCCCTGAAGCCAGCAGGCAGCCAAGCATAGGCTTCAGCTCCTCTCTTGGCCACCTTCCCACCCCTCTCCAGGGTTCCCTGCAGCATTGTGGAGCCACAGCGTCACCAAGTGGCCAACATTCCACAGTCTCATGGATTCACACCTGACCTGATGAGTTCAAGATTGTCCAAATCAGGAACAAAGATGCCCCACTCCCACCCTTGCAACCCTCATCCTCACACCCTCTATGCTTTCCCCAAAAGGCCAATTTAGGGTTGATCTTCAAATTCACCCTGGGCCAAGTGAGGCAAAAGGACACATGAACCAATCTTTTTATTACAAAATAAACCGTTGTTGCACTTAGAGAGCAGCCAAAATTACACAGACCCTTAATTAAACAGTGTGAGGATGTCAAGCCCACCTAGCCCAGAAACACTGCATTGTTCCCTGGCTCCCTTTGCTTAATCAGGCCCAATCTTTTCCTATTTTGTATTTAAATTAATATCAGTAAATTTTACATCATGTGTTTTATAAGAGAGGATTTCCTGATTTTCTTTTTTTTTTTTTTGAGACGGAGCTTCGCTCTATCACGCAGGCTGGAGTGCAGTGGTGCGATCTCGGCTCAGTGCAACCTCCACCTCCCAGGTTCAAGTGATTCTCCTGCCACAGCCTCCCGAGTAGCTGGGATTACAGGGGTGCACCACCACGCCTAGCTAAATTTTTGTATTTTTGGCAGAGATGGGGTTTCACCATGTTGGCCAGGCTGGTCTCAAACTCCTGACCTCGTGATCCACCTCCCTCAGCCTCCTAAAGTGCTGGGATTACAGGCATGAGCCACTGCACCCGGCCCCATTTTTTGAGTTTACAAATTTATTTCTGAATTTGTAAAATTTTAAAATAAACAACCCTATCAGCTATAACTTAGGCCGATTCAGTGGCTGTGACATTTCCCATCACTCCCTGGGGTTAGGAAAGTGCCTATGAACTCCACCAGTGATCCAGTGATGCTTAGTAAATGCCACCCACAGAAACTATTTGCATCTCCACAAGAAAACATACTCACACTCACAAGCACATGCACACAACGTGTTTTAATTGGCAAGGCTGATGAGGTTCAATTACTGAGCACAGCTACTTTTTCTTTCAGTGTTTTAAGTTGATTTCTGAGAAGGACCATTGTTGATGTTTCCAGTCTCACCAAATATCTAAAGATGTGGTCATGGAAAGTGTGGTTATGATGACAAATATTTTTCAGCAAGATTGTGAGACTGGATAAATGTCACTAAGATGTAATGATTTTCTTTTTTCTCAGAAGAACATTTGCAAATTCTGACTTTAAACACAGTTCGGGTACTTTAGAGAACAAGTCATCAATTATGACTGTGAAGACAGAATTGTTTAGGATATTGCAGAATTTGTGTAGAAAACTGAGCCTATCCCTAAAGACTCTCCAGTATGTTTCATGTAGTAGAAGTCTCTTGTAAAGAGGAGATAGTAATTCATGTATTCCAGGGGTCTATGTAAGTGGACTTGAATTGATTCATGTTATAAACATCAGGCAGTTCCAATTATATTCTTGGTTTGGCCTGTGGAGTGAAGAGAGTGATATCATAGAGTGCCAGAGAATGCTGGGATGAGAAGTGAAGAGGAAGACAGGTGGGAGGGAGCCCGTCCTTGGCAGATGAGCAGTGTCTGGCCCTGTCGTGGGAAAATAAATGTCCTTCTGGGCCATGGAAACAGTGAGTGCAAACGCAGAGGATGTGAAAGGCTGCTGAGTTTTACAAAATCTTCGGAAACCGTTTGGTCACAGAAGGTAATCAGATCTGGATGACGAGTGTTAGAAAGCATTCCTAGGAAAGCAGAATTTATCTTGGGGAGAAGCGCAGAGCATTTTCTCCTTCAAAACCAAGGGCAATCTGACATTCTCTGTATTTTGGGAAGTACCTGACTTCCCTGAGGAGTTAAGATCAGGGCCAGAGTCCAGAAAGAAGACATCAGGACCAACTTCAGGGTTCTTACAGGAGACAAGCGGCTGTTTGGTGTTTTTCCCAACTGAGACTGGCCTCAACGTGATGCCAGTTGCTATCAGTCCTTTCTTTATATTTTCTAGGTGTCGAAAACTTTTGGAGTGGGGAGAAGAACGTTCGTGGTGCACAGAACACGACTTTTCATCATTTTCTGCTCTATTACTATTTTCAGTCATCTTTGATCAGGTTCTCTTTTCTTGACTTTTCCCAAATCTCAGTTTCTTCTTCCTCAAGTATATAAAGCAAACTCCTGTGACTCTACCTTCTTCACTATGCCATTTTCAACAATCTTGACCCCAAAATAAAATTCCCTGCCCTGAATAAAGAAGACCCAAGCTATGAAATCACAAAAACTTCCTCTATCCCGGTAGCTTACAGCATCTGGTGAAGTCGGTAATTTCTCAAAAAAAAAATAAAACAGGGACCAACCCTAGACAGACAGAGATATGCGACCTTTAAGACAAAGAACTCAAAATCGTGCTTTGAGGAAACTCAATGAAATTCAAGATAAACAAACATGTCCCCCAAAATGACAGTCAATGTTACGATAAAAATAAAGATTAGTAAAAGACTGACCAGATAATGAGATAGCCTTATATTTCCAAGGTCATCTTGACCTTCAAGAAGGGGTCAAATATGCATTAACAAGTGAAAAATAGGAATATAAAAAGTAGGATCATTTGCAAGGCAATACACAGTATCTAATGTGGAAAGTAACGACGGATATAATTAAGACCAGCAAAAGGCCTGCTATGTGAAATGAGTAACTTGCACAAGGCACATCTGCTGATCTGAGCAGCGGAGAGGGAAGAGATTATTCTGGAAGAGGCAGAGGAGTGGTGTGAGATAAGGACACACTGGTGCAAAATAGTATCATTAGCAAACAGAACCTGCCGGGGGACTGTGGCCTATATGACTTTTCTTTCCACTGTCCTCTGTGAGAGCTCAAATGCACCATTTTCTGTTCCAAGGATTTGCTCCCGCAGCCCTCACTCCACCCCAGTTAGAAGCTGCTGGTATTTATTCCTCTGCAGTCTCCCATGGACAAACTCCCACTCCTTCTTCGTGGAGCATGGTCTAGAGCAGAGGTCATCTCTCCCTCCCTCCAAATCCCACAGTAATTGGCATGAGCCTCTCTCATAGCTTGCTCACGTGCCACCTAATTCTGCACCTTTTCATTTCAACTAGATTGAGAGTTAGGTGTGGATCATGAACCTTAAACAACACCTTCATCAACAGGATGTGTAAATGACTGCTTTCACTGTTCTATCGTGAACAGAAGAAATACACCATTAAAATGATTGTTTAAATTAATTTAACCACAAAAACTTTCCCAAATGCTGTCAACAATGCAACCGCAAAAGAATTACTCTCCTAAATTGTGAGATTGTAGAATGAAACAAGAAGCAAAGAAAATTATGTCAAATATTGGAGAGGAGCCTCAGAATTTGAATCCCTCTTCTACAAATATCATTTGACATGATGCCTCTCTCTACCTGAGACACAGAATGGCACCTGTGCCCCATACCCACTGGAGACTGTGGAAATCTGGAGGGAGCAACCTTGGTGATTCTGCCCCAAGAGAAGGGATTCTCTGGAGCTCTGGACAACATCCTGGGACTAAGATGGACAGTGGGAGTATTGCAGCTTGGAGAGGATAATATTTAAGGTGAGTATGATCCTTCTGACCTCTCAGCCCAAAATGAATCCAGGGTCATACCTGATGGTCAGGGGCTGCTTAGTTTCCTATGCAAATTAGTCCATGCTGCAGGGTCTGTCAGTGCCACAGAGGAATAGCGGGGCACTATAGTATAAAGTGACTCACAGCCCAGAGCTGCTGCTTGCCCCATCTCTGTTTTCAGTGATTGCAGCATCTGCATACTTCATGCAAGGAAGGATAATTTGAAAATAATGGACTGGTTCCCTGTTTCCTTTAGCTACATTCCAAATAGTTGTCTTGTTTCAGATTGGCATGCTCATAGGAGACACAGACCCACAGAGCAAGGGAATTTGGAGATTGGAGAGAAGTAGGATCACTTGAGATTCCCTTAGACTATGGCTTCTAGGAGCAGAAACAGATGGACAGTGGATTCTGAGCCTTTTTGGCCCCATAAGACATGCCCTAATAGGATCATCATTGTATCAGAAAACATTCCAGTGATGTCCTTGTAAACTGGATATCTGTGAGGGTGGGGCCATGCCTAGTAGCATTTGTCAGTTCCTATGGTATCAGCATAGCCACTATGGCAGATTTCAAGCTGTCATCATGGCTTCATTCAATGAGGATTTGGGAAGGGTTTGCCTATTTGGCTCTTCTGAATCATGCAAGCTGGTTCCAGCACATTCCCAGACTCAGGAGCATAGCTTTCAATCTTGTTCAATCCTCCATACTCAACACCCTTAAAACGAGTTACCAGCAACTGTAGCACAGCCTGTTGTTTTCGTGATAGGATAAGAGTGTGTGTCCCTAGTTCTTAGAGTGGACAAAGGGGTGTTTGTGCAGAGAAAGGATTGCCAAGTCCTCTGAAGCTGCTGAGATCACAGAACACAAGGCTATGCCAACTGGTTTGAAAGCTTCTAGACTTTGATTCAAAATAATTTTATGGACATTCTGCTTTGGTTCAACTAAAAAATTCAACTCTGTTAGCATGTTCCCAGAATGTAGTCCAGTGTTATTAACTCTAGTCACTTTGTTGTATAAAAGATTTTTTAAACTTCTTCCTCCTATCTGAGTGAAATTTTGTATCCTTTGACCAGCATCTCCCCAGCACCCCATCTCCACCCCAGCCTCTGGTAATTACTGCTCTAGTCTTTCGATGTGTCTTAATTTCCCTGAGGTCTTTAACTCAAGAAGACAGGGGTATTTTCTTTATAATAATGCTTATATTACTTTTTGTTTTCTTTATTTTTTCAAATATATTATTTGTTATGAATATAAATAAGTATATTGTAATAAAATCTTCCACCTCTCTGTGGGTGAAGCTACAGTTCTCATTTCATTAGAGCAGGGCTTGTATTTCTTCTTTTTTTAGCTATTAATAAAATATTCCCTTTATGCCCTTGTATGTTCACCCTCAGTGTAGGTAGGAAGCCCTGCCCACCTTTTTTACATCTTTTTTCAGCAACAGTGTTTACAGCTGTGGTCTGAATTCTGTTCAAGCCTAAGAATCAGAGCTGGTCCACTATTGTGAGCGTGGGTCTCAGGAGTCATGTGGATAAAGGTGGAAAAAGATGGACACAAGGTCTTAGGAAGTCCTTGAAATAGCATCCGAAGGTCAGGGAATTTCCATCTGTGCCCGGGGCGTCCTCACTCCCAGGAGACACAAGGTAACAGCAAGGAGTGATTTGATGATGGCAAAATTGTAATGGGTTCAGAACAATCCCTGCCAAGGACCATCATTTGCTAGAGAAAGACGTTTGGTGTCTGCGGCACCACAATATCCAATAACTGAATTTGGGGAACTATAATTTTCCAAGGAGCTATGCAGGACCATGCACTTCTGTCCTGGCTGGGTCTGGAATATTCTATCTTAAACTTGGTGTATGGGGCTGTCTCTGAGGACTCCCAGAAACCCATGATCCATAATTATGTCAGCGTTGGTCACAGCATGAAATTTAGAATATGTGAACTGTAGCTTTACCCAAAGAGAGGTGAAGGATTTTTATTACAATATACTTATTTATATTTACAATAAACACTATATTGCAAGACATAAAATAACGAAACAAAAACAAAGCAAAAATAATGTAAGCATCATTATAGAGAAAATTCCCCCATCTTGTTGAGCTAAAGACCTCAGGGAAATTACTTCAAATTCAAAGACTAGAGCAGTAATTAGCAAAGGCTGGAGTAGAGATGGACTGTTGGGAAGATGTTGGTCAACAGATACAAAATCTCACTCAGATAAGACGAAGATGTTACAAAGATCTATTATACAACAAATGACTAGAGTTAGCAACAGTGGATTGTATTCTGGGAAAATGCTAACAGAGTACATTTTAAGTATTCTCACCACTGGAAAGGATAAGGATTGAGGTACTGCATATGTTAACTAGCTAGATTTAGTCATTGCACTATGTACATACATTTTTAAACGCAGGTTGCATGGTATACACATATACAACTCTTATTTGTCAGCATTCAGGTTCTAGAAACCCCATTTCCTAGGGAACCAAGCTGACACTGGAGCAGTAGTGCTGTGGCTGAGCTGCTGGCACAGAGATACACAGCCAAGTCCCCCTGCTGTGTGCGCTGGAACTTCAGAGTGGAGATGGATCCCTCAGACCTCTGTGCAGAGAACCGATCACGGGGAAGCCCCGATTTGTCTGCTGCATCCTTGCCTTGGAAGTAAATTGGAAACTCCAGGCCCTGCCCCAGGCTCTGTCGGTACCAATAAAGGGCATTATGACCTGAAATTGGATCATATCTGAGAGCTACATCCTTTCCCTTCTTTGCTACCTTGTGTCTCAGGGACTGGGAGACTCCAGCACCTGTGTGATCTGTGGAGACAGAAATTGGGAACTGAATGAGAAAAACAACTATAGTCAGCTCTCTCTCTCTCTCTCTCACACACACATCTCACACACATACACACACACACACACACACACAGGAGACTGCTTGGCATCTGAGGAATCACCTGCCCCCAGGAGACATATGGCTGCCCAGCAGAGGAGCCTTGTGCCCATGGCAGGGTCAGGGCAGGATGGGAGCTTTACCAGATCAGAGTCACTGTGAGTAGGAGCAGAGGAGGAGGGATGTCCTTGTTCCCACACAGAAGGTCCCATAGTGACATCACATCCTCTCTCAATCCACGCAATGACAGGAACAAAGGATTTATTTTAGGACCTACTTAAATGCCTCCTTTAAATATTTATGAGTTCCTTGCTTTTTGCTTGTTTGTTCTTTGAGACAGAGCCTTGCTCCATTGCCCAGAATGGAGTGCAGCAGTGTGATCTCGGCTCACTGCAAACTCTGCCTCCCAAGTTCAAGTGATCCTCCTGCCTCAGCCTCCTGAGTAGCTGGGATTACAGACTCACACCACCATACCAGGCTAATTTTTGTATTTTTAGTAGAGACGGGGTTTCACCACATTGCCCCGGCTGGTCTCAAACTCATGACCTCAAGTGATCCGCCCACCTTGGTCTCCCAAAGTGCTGGGATTACAGGCGTGAGCCCAGCACTTTGGGAGGCGGAGGCAGGTGGATCATGAGGTCAGGAGATCGAGACCATCCTGGCTAATATGGTGAAACCCTGTCTCTTCTAAAAATACAAAAAATGAGCCAGGCGTTGTGGCGGGCGCCTCTAGTCCAAGCTACTTGGGAGGCTGAGGCAGGAGAATGGCTTGAACCCGGGAGGCGGAGCTTGCAGTGAGCCGAGATTGCGCCACTGTACTCCAGCCTGGGCGACAGAGCGAGAATCTGTCTCAAAAAAAAAAAAAAATCCTTTTTAACAACATCAATGCATGTATCATCGCTTTGGGCTCTCATGCTGTCTGGACCCGGAGGCCTCACGCTGCATCTCTGAGTTTATCTCCTCATCCCACAGCCGCTCCTCTGTCTGCTGGGCATGTTCTCTAGGATGTGTCAACAGCTCCGCCAACACAAAGCACCAAAAGGTGAGCTCATTGTCTTTCCTGCAAGTCAGAGTCCCCTGTGCCATCCCCATTGATGCCCCAGCCTCCTCCATCCCCCCAGTCACACGTGCCCAATGGGGCTGTCCCATCACATGGGTTCCCTCACGAGCGGCACCTCATGCCCCTCTTCTGGGACCACTTCCCATCTTTGTTAACTATAATTCAGAAAGGATACCTTGGTGACAAACTCACCGTGTTTTTTCTTTCTCTATCTATAAATATATTTACCTCAATCTCAATATTTAATGAATGAGAATTATAATTCTGACTTGATGCTTATTTTTAATCTCCTTTCTTGACTTTCACTGTTCCTTTCAGTCTATTCTGCTGGGAGATAGTTATCTTTTGGGCTACTTTTAAAATCTTCTCTTTGTCATTTGTGTTCCGCAATTTCACCATAACATATGTATTCATCTACTTCATATTCATTTAACTTGTTGAAACAGAGGATTTAGGTCCTGAAACACGTCTTGAAAATTCTCAGCTAATGTCTCATAATTATCACCTATCATTCTCTCTACTTTCTCTTTGTGACACTTCAATCATGTGTAAGAAAAATGGGAAGTTCCAACAAAATATTATATATACACTAATACACTAGAACCCACAAGTGTTTTATTCCTTATCCCTTACCTTTTCTTGTTTCCTGTTTAATTTTCTGTGCTGCATTCTAGGTAACTTCTTCAGATCTGTCTTTGACCTCCTGTAACAATCTCTTTTGAAGCATGTCATCTTTTCTTCATTTCCATTTTGTTTTCAATGATAATCTTAATCGTTAGTGTATTCTCTTTGATTATTTTTTAATGTTTCCTTGATTATTTCTGACAGTCTTCTTTTTCATGTTCACATATCAATTCGCTTTTGTATTCCTTTAAATATAGCTCTTTAACTTTTATATCTTTTTATGGCAAAATTCCTTGTCTTCATACATTTCAATTGCTTACTGTTTCTACTCACTTTTCTTCATTGGTTCTTGCTTTAGTTGTCTTAATAGTGGGAATATATTTACCTGACATTAATCTGTGGGATTTCAGAGAGTCCTGCATTGAGAGTGCAGAACGTCCAGTCCATAGCTTTTCCAGCTGTCTCCAGTCTTATCCCAAATGCACGGGGCAAAGAATTGTCTGCTGCACTCTGAGTTGCCAAACACACTCCTGGGTTTGGTTCCTGGGATCAGAACACGCTCTCAGGACAGTCACAATGTTCCCTCCAGAACACAGTTCTCATTTTTGTTATTTTTCATGACACCTTCTCCAGAAATTAGCACCTATAAGGCTGTGTAGTCATGACTTTCCCTACCTGTTCTTCCAAGAAAAATTTATATAAATACATTTTCAATAAAAAAACTCCAAAGTCTAAAGATATTCCCTCTTCTTTCCTTTTTGGTTCCTAACCCAAAACTTTAAAAAATAACTTAGAATTGTATAATGTAGACTTTACCCTCATTGAGTTTGAAGAACATATGATATTTAAAATTGGAAACTCCTAGATGAACTGACAAACTGGCTTGCACAATGAATGGTCCAACGCTTGTTCAACAAGCGAGTGCCCTTTGAAGAGCTCATAGCAGAGCATCTCAGGCACAGTTAACTCTAGATTTCTGCCAGGGTACAGCGGACCTGGAGTGTTCCTGTTATTGGTTCATCCACCCGCTCATCACTCAATCAGCCTGTCATTCATTAACTCATCCATTATCTGTGAAACAGGTCTCCCTTCATTCCAGGAACAGCTGTTGGTAAATGTAACAAGCACAGCCTTCCCCTTTATGGAGTTTAAAATCGACATGAGCAGAAAAATATCCAGACAAGTAACTGGAAAACTCCAACTGTGCTCAACTCTGTTGACTAACAAGCACATGTTACCATCAGTGCTTATAACAGAAAAATTGATCTCAGCTGGGAGGCAAGGGCATGCTTCCCACAGGAGGGCTGATCATGCTGAGATGTGAAGCACAGGTAGGAGTTGGCCACTGCAGAAAGGAAGCCTCCAGCCCAGGGCAGAGAAAATGGACTTTGAAGTCTCTGTGATGGGAAGGAAGGAGGCACAGAAGAGGGGCTCCCCTCATGGCTGCTGTGGAGAGGTGTGGGGAAGTGAGGGGAGGAGAGACCCAGCAAGGCCTTGGAGGGTGACTGCCCAGATGGGAAAGGTGGGCCACAGGAGAGACAACATGAGGGTGGGGGCTGGGGGAAACCCTAGAGAGAAGAAGCAACATGGTCCCCAGGGAGAGACAACATGAGGGTGGGGGCTGGGGGGAACCCTAGAGAGAAGAAGCAACATGGTCCCCAGGGAGAGACGAGAGTCTAGATGGATCTGAAATACAAATCCTGTTTCATCCTGGGGGCCTCAGACCCATGATGATGGGGTTTCAAGTTTCCTGGTGCAGAGAACTCTGCCCAGGGCATCACTGAGTCTGGGGTGAGGGAGGAGGGCAGAGCCTCCCTGCCTTTATGTGCAGAGAGGAGACGGCCATGCAGCGCTGTGGCTTCACTGCTGGCACAGAAGTACACAGATGTCTGGGAGGGAGCAGCCGACTCCAGCCTGAGCGAGAACTCCCGTTTGTTTAATCTGGAGACATTGTAGCCATTGGGGACTTCTCCTTTGTCAGTGGTACCCTCAGAAGCTGAGTAATAAATCAGCCTCAGTCCCATGCCTGGGTCTTGTCGATACCAGTACATGGAGTTATGGTTCATATCCTGGGCACACTGCAGTGTCATGCTCTGTCCTGTCTTCAGGACCTGGAATTTTGGGGTCTGAGTGACACCAGCATTCACTGGACCTGCAGAGAAGAACAAAGCTGATGCTGCAGCCACAATGGAAACAGGCTGGGCCTTGAAATCCACACATGGGGCCCTGCCCAGGACTTACTTGCCCACAGGAGAGAAAAGGCCACACAGCACAGGAGCCCGATGCTCATGGCAGGTGCTACAGGATGGAGGGGTCTTCTGGGTCTGTGCATCGGTGATAGGGGAACAGTACTCTCAAGGGGGTCATTCTGAGACTTCATTCTCCCTGCCTGGGCCCCAGAGCCTTCCTGTCAGGAGAGGCCACGCCCCTTCCCCAGATGGTCAAATTCAAGATTCATGCACCGGTGAACCGTTTGAATGGGAAGAATGCCTTTGTCTGAATTGACACAGCCTTACGAGTTTTTCTTAACCTTTTTGGAAGCAGTTTGTAACTCAATGGAACTCTTATCCCTGTGATGATATAATTCCTCATTCATACACTGGTGTCAGTTATCTAAATATTTCTCTAATTTAGACTCTTAGGGAAACTTCTCATGTCTTCCCGGTGTTTTTGACTCCTGTGTCCCAAATCCCCCTTCAAGTATCCTTTTCTAATTTGCTTAATTGACCATAATCCTGTTTAAAATCCTTTGTCTATATTGGTTTTCTCTGTTACCAAGTTTCCAAATCCCAGGGGCAGGCTCATCACCATTGGAGGAGTCATTTTGCTCTGTTTCTTTTCAATTCACCGACAGATGGGACTCCTGACAAGCCCAGCTGAGCACCTTCAGCTCCACCCAGGGCTCTTGCTTTCTGTGCCTGGGGTGAGACCGCAGCAGGCAGAACCACCTCACGCTGCTGACTGCCCTCTCTGTGTGGATGATAGTGGCAGCCCAACGCTGCCCATGATCTGTGGGCACAAAGGTGTCTTGACATGTGAGGGATGTGGGGAGAGGAGAGAAGAGGCAGGCTCCAGGATAAGAAAAAGCGCTCTCATTTTATTTGAAGTGTCATATTTCATAGGGAATATTCCCTTGGTCAGGATTCTCACCACTAATTCAGTAACAATTAAAAAAAAAAAAAAAAAAGGCCAGGCGCAGTGGATCACGCCTGTAATCCCAACACATTGGAAGGCTGAGGTGGGCGGATCATGAGGTCAGGAGTTCAAGACCAGTCTGACAAACATGGTGAAACCCCGTCTCTACTAAAAATACAAAAAAAAAAAAAAAAATAGCTGGTCATGGTGGTGCGCACCTGTAATCCCAGCTACTTCAGGAGGCTGAGGCAGGAGAATCACGTGAACCCAGGAGGCAAGGTTGCAGTGAGCCAAGATTGCACCACTGCACTCCAGCCTGGGCAACAGAGCAAGACTCCGTCTCAAAAAAAAAAAAAAAAAAAAAGAAAAGAAAAAAAAAAACCCGTATTTTAGTGCACAGAGCCCCACACTTAAAGAGATCCCTGTTACTGTAACATTGTCATGATCTTCAACTTCCTTACAATATTTGAGCAAAGAGCTGCCAGTAAGTCACATTGCCGGTCCTGAGTACATGGTTTTGTTTCATATTCTGCTCACCTCCTCTTGTGCTAGTTTCCTTTTGGCAAAAGCACATGACTGGAGTCTGAGTCACTCAGCATCCATGGTGTTTAGGAGAGAAGGACACAGAAATTGAAGTCAGAGCAAAGGGCCACCTGGTGCTGAAATTCACAGCCAGGATATAACAAGTTCGTGAGTGGGTACACTGTCTGTGTCCAGGCTAGACCAGGAGACAGAGAAACACACAATGTAGGAGCCTGCTTCCCAGGGCAGAAAAGGGCATTTCCTAGCTCAAGGCTTAGGTTTTATGAATTGGACACTTAGTGTCAACACAAAGAGAACCTTTCTCCCAATGTGACGTCATCTCTCAACAAGGTCACTATTACCGTATTTTGTTTGGCCCCAGGGCACTCAGTGTGTGAACACAAAGCTCAGCTGCATGTGTGTCTGATGAAACTCAAAATATTTCCCTTAAAGATGATTAATTTTCGCCAAAATATCATTACAAAATAATTGGAGTGAATGAGCAGATAAGAAAAGAAATGAAAGAAAATGAATAAATAAACTTCGTAAAATCAGTCTGTACCAGGTTAGAAGACCTTCTGAGGTTGTTTCATCACAATATCCATCTCCAGATAGAATTGTCCCTAATGTGGATCTGGTAGCTCACCTGGCTTCAACCCCTTTTAAAACCATAAAACTTTTCAGGAGCTCCTCATTCTGTTAATTATTTGGTTACGTATAACCGATCTGTTTATTTAAAATGTGTAATGCTTATATAACTTATATATCAATAATACTGAGTTTTAAATGCCTGAGGAGGGATATATGCTACATTCTCTAGTTCATACTTTCAAAGTAATCATCACGCATATATATTTCCATTTCTGTGGCTTCCTGAGTCCTCACCCTAAGATTTCCAGGCAAAATGTGTCTTTAACTGCCTTTGGGCATTGGCGCAGTGGAAGAGGCTGCCCGAGACTAGCAAAGGAAATAAAAATAGCTAGATTTCTACTATATGCTAAATATTTTATGGTATTGGGGTATTGGCTGGGTGCGGTGGCTCACACCTGTAATACCAGCACTTTGGGAGGCCGAGGTGGGCAGATCACGAGGTCAGGAGATCAAGACAATCCAGGCTAACACTGTGAAATCTCATCTCTACTAAAAATACAAAAAATCAGCCAGGCATGGTGGTGCATACCTGTAATCCCAGCTACTCGGGAGGCTGAGGCAGGAGAATCACTTGAACCCGGGAGGCAGAGGTTGCAGTGGGCCAAGATCACACCACTGCATTCCAGCCCAGGCGACAAAGCGAGACTCTGTATCAAAAAAAAAAAAAAAGAAAAAAGAAATTCTATTTGTGTATAGTAAAATAACAATAAATAGTGAAATTATTATTTTTTTGAAGTCTTCTCTATGAAGCAGAATTGAACTTCGAATGAATGTGCATTCATATACTCAGTGCTTACTGTTCTGCAAATGACCCTGCCACTCCTGTGACAGATGGTTTCGCAGAAACAATAAGATACTATACATTTAATATTCAGACCTTAAATGTGGTGTATGCATACAATGGAATATCATTAAGTATTAAAAAGAAGAAATTCTGGCCATACATGACAATGTGGCTAAACCTGGAGGACATTATGCTGAGTTGAAAAAGTCAGGCACAGAAAGACAAATACTACATGATTGTGCTTATATGAGGCAACCTAAAAGTCAAACTGATGTAAGTGAAGATGAAAATGGTGATTTCCAAGGGCTAGGAAGAGGGGGAAATGGGCAGCTGCCACCAGTGGCTACAAAATTTCAGTAAAGAAGAATCAGGAAGCTTTAGAGATCTGCTGTCCAACCTTGTGTCTGTAGATTACGATACTATATTGTACATTTAAAAATCTGTTTAAAAGATAGCCTTAGGTTATTAAACTAAAAAAGCTGGCAGAAAAAGCTGTAGGTGGCTAAAGAGAAAAAGAGAAGAAAAAAAGGAAATCTGTATAATTCAGAAACTGAGCAAACGTCTTTGAATAAGTTAAAAAAATTAATGCAAACCTTAATACTCTAAAAAGTAAGAAACACTTATTATTCTTTCAAGCTTTTCTTTTTTATTTTCATTTGTTCTTTTTTATTTTGCTTTTTATGTCATAAAATATCTATACAAAGAAAGGATCTCCAAACATATATTAAATAAAATAATAACTAATGAATAACAATTTTTCTTGTTACTTTTCCTCAAGGTAGATTATATCAGTTACAGGAAGTGTACAGTGCAGATAATTTCATCCTTCTGTTTTGCTTCAGTGAAAGGTGAATGGATATGCTTGGCCTGGAAGTCACGTGTTCCTTGGACTTGTCAGGGAAGAGGTTACAATGGTCACATATGAGGCATGACCTTGTGCTCCTGCTAATTGGACCTGGAAAGGGGAAGCCAGATGAAGGGACAGATATAGAGTCGGGGGACGGGGCTGGTGCAGAGATGTTGGAGGAAAACACCTCAGCCAATTACTTAATATGAGACCCGGAACAGCTGCTTTCCTTCAGATGTATAAACAGGTGAAATCATACCTACCTTACATGATTTCAGTGAGCATAAAACCAGATCACATACAGAAACAACAGGAAGTGTCTGGAGGAAAAGCCTGTCAGCTCACCAGGACCTGAGCCCCTCTGGCTGGCAGCACCCTCCTCAGGGTCACTCCCTGAGTGGAGCTAAGAAAGTGTCACCCAATTCCTTCGGGTACAGTCCTTTTCCAGGTACTCTTTCTGCAGGCCACTCCTGCCTTGTTCACCCATTGAAAGACTCAGGCTCAGCAGCTCCATGCAGCCTTCCTGTCCCGCACAGCCCCTCAACTAAAGGGGAGGTGGCTGGTCACAGTCCCCGCATGCCCACATCACACCTCACTTTCCTCTGCCCACCCTATCCCTGTCCTGACACTGATTCCCAGCCCTTGCCACCCCAGCCCCTACACCCTCCTCTGCCCATGCAGAGGCAGAAACACTCCCTGCTTGGTGCCAACCCTGGCCCTACCTTTCCCTGGGCAGTCCCAGGCCAGGACCTACTCTAATTTCCACCTAATCTCCTGATGTCAGCAGGCAGCCAGGCATTCCCTTCCGCCCTCCCTTCCTGGCCACCCTCCTACCCCTCCCCAGGGTTCCCTGCAGCATAGTGGGGCCACGGCGCCCCCAAGTGGCCAACATTCCACAGTCCCATGGATTCACACCTTCTGACCTGATGAGCTCAGGATAGTCCAAGTCAGGAACACGGTTGCCCCCACTCCAACCCCTGCAGCCCCCATTCTTTCACACACCCTGTCTATTGCTTTCCCGGAAGGGTTGATTTAGGGTGGAACTTCAAACTCACCCTTGACCAGTGGAGACAAAAGGACACATCTTGATTGCACAAGAAATTGCTGTTACATTATTGCAATGAGCATCCTAAGATGGAAGAAAGGAGCCAGAATTATACAGGCCACAGGATGAAAGTGTGACAATATCAAGCCAATCTGGGCTGAAAATACTACATTGCAGAGCTCCCTTTGATTAGTCAGACTCATATCTTTTCACACATTGCATTTAGTTTAATTATTCACAAATTTTAGCTAGCACATTTTATAAAAAGGATTTTTTGATTTTACAAATTTATTTCTGAATGTATAAAATCTTGAAATAAACTATCTTATCAGCTATAACTTAGGCAGATTCCGTTAGGTCTGCTATTTTCTATCCTTACCTAGAAGTGCCTAGGAGCTCTGCCAGTGATCCAGCACCTCATAAAATGCCACCAGGGGAGAAACTTCTATGTGAGTGAGTATCCACAAGAAAACACACACACACATTCACACTCACAAACACATAATATCTTTTCATTGTCAAGGATGATAAGATTCCATTACTGAGCAAAGCTAGTTTTTTTTTTCAATGTTGTAGGTTGATTTTGGTTGATTTCATCAAGGATGATTAAGAAGCACCTTTGACTATATTCCACCCTCACCAAATCTCTAAAAATGTGGCTGTGGAAAGTGTGGTTATGGTGAGGAAGTTTTTTACAGGATTATGAGTCTTTATAAATATTACTGTACCATAATTTTCTTTCTTTAGTGATTCTTCAGTCAGCCTAAATAACATAATTTTCTTCACTCCAAAAGAACATTTGCAAATTCCAGCATTAGATACCCTTTGGGAACTTGACAGCACTGGTCATCAATCCTGACTGTGAAGACACAATTGCTAGGAATATTACAGAAGTTACATGAAATACTAAGACTATTCATAATCATTCTCCATGATATTTCATGTAGAGTCCCTTGTAAAGAGAAGACAGTAATTAATCACACTCCAGGATTCTGTATGAGAGGGCAATAACTTATTAGTTTTGCAAACATCAAAGAGTATCAATTGTATGCTTGGCTTTAAAATAAAGGAAAGAGAGTGATACAGTACAGTCCCAGGGAATGTCACAGTAAGAAGTGAAGAGGAAGGCAGGTGTGAGCCTGTCCTTGACAGATGATCAGTATGTGGCCCCGTCTTAGGAGAACAAAGGTCCTCCCAGGCCATGGAAACTGTAAGGACAAACGCAGAGGATGTAGAGACTGCTGAGTTTTAGAAAATGTTCAAAGAGCATTTGGTCATAGAAGGTAATTGGATTTGGGAGGTGAGTGTCAGAAAGGAATCCCAGGGTTGCAGAATTTATTTGGGGGGAAACTGGAAAGTATTTGCCCCTTTAGGAAGAAGGGTGACTTTACCTTCCTCTGTGTTTTGGGAAGTACCTGACTGTGGCCTGAGGAGTCAAGATCAGGGCTGGAAGAAGGAAGACAGCAGAAGCAACTCCAGGGCTCTCACAATGGCCAAGCGGCAATTTGGTGATGCCTCCGACTGGGACCGGCTACCAGGTGATTCCGGTGGCTATAAGACCTTTCCTTATTTTTTTCTAGGTGTTGAAAACTTTCGGGTGGGGGAAAGAGAGTTCATGGTGCACAGAACACCACTTTTCATCACCTTCTGCTCTATCTCTGTTTTCAATCATCTTTCGTTTTCTCTCTCCTTGACTTTCCCAAAACCTCAATTTCTTCTCCCCAAGTTGTATAAAGCAAACCCTGTGATTCTCCCTTCTACACTACACTGTTATCAACAATCTTGACCACAAAATTAAATCTCTTGTCCTGAGAAAGAGTGCGCCAGCTGTTAAATTACACACATTTCCTCTACTCCTGTAGTTCACAGTGTCGGCAAAGAAGGTAATGCTGCAGTCAACCTACGGAAGCAGCACCATCCTCTGAGCAGGCTCTCTTGGCCTTGTTTTCCCCAGCCAAGTTGCAGAAAGCCCCAGGCTGTGGATCCTAGCATTCTAAATTGCCTTTCTTTCTCCCTGCAGTCCCCAGGTTCTCACAGATATGTCAGGGCTGAGGTTGCTCCACATTGGGCCAGGGAGGTTTGTGCACAGAATGTGGTTGGCTTTGTAGGGCTGTGCCAAGCTGCTGGCGCAAAGATAAAGGGCCGAGTCCCCCAGCTCCAAGGTGCTCACATTCATCTCAGAGCGAGAGTTAGAGAACTGGCGCCCTGAGAATCGACCAGGGAAGTTTCCTTTGTTTCTCTGTGTCTCACTGAAGTATTCAAAGAGGAACTGAAGGCCCTGTCCTGGGGTCTGTTGGTACCAGGATACACTCCTATGCCCAGAGATAGGGGAGCAGCTCAGTGTCACTTGCTGTCCTCTCGTTTTGATCAGATATCTTGGAGTTTGAGTGACTCCAGCCTTTACTGGGCCTGTGGGAAAAGCAGATGGAGAATGAGCACCGGAGACAGCCTGGTGGTGCCTCCCCATGGTAAAGTGGAAGACACAGGGGTGAGGACAGGCTCAGAATGGGGCGCTATCCTGTCTGCAGGGACTCACCTGCTCCCAGGAGACAAAGCAGCACCCAACAGAGCAGCCTGGAGCCCATGGCACAAAGGGGCAGGCAGCACTGTGTCTGTGCTCAGGGCTTGGTCCTCCTGGGAAAGAGCTAAATTCTCAGCCTTGCTTTTCCTGGTGGGAGGGGCATACTGTGATGTCACTGTCCTATGTCCTCCCCTTGCAGGCCTCCTGAGGTCCACTGCTCTCTGTTCTGCACAGCAGAATCCACTGGGCCTGTGAGGGAGGGAGACAGAGGCTAGGGCAAGAACACAGGAGGGAGCCTGAGGGTGCCTTGGATGAGGCGTGCTTCAGAGACATCCCACCTGTGCCAAGGATTCACTTGTTCCCAAGAGACAAAGGTCTTCCCATCAGAGGTACCTGGAGCCCATGGCCAGGTGGGACAGAGCTGGTCAGGTGTCACCCTGTGAGGGATACTGGTCCTCTGAGAGCTGGGGTTTTGGGCATTGCATCTCTGATCAGATGTTAGGCTGTGATATCACTTCTCTGATGTCATCTCTGCGGGTTCCCATGCATCCTGCCTTCCTTGTTAGGCCCCTGGCTTACCCGATCCAGGACCTCTGCTTTGTGCTGTTAATACTCTCACATACCATGTGGGGCTGGACTGAGGTTAGGCTGCATGTCCCCCCCACAGTTCCTTTGCTTTTCCTTCCAGGCAGTTGTTCCTCTATCTGTCCCTGCCCTGGACATGCAGGTTGTCCCATCCCAGCATGGGACATCCCATCTTCATTCTCCCTCTTCGGCTCACAGAGGCTTCCTAACCCAGGCATAGCTGAAGTGCATGGCTCCCTGATGAGAGGCACACCTGCAGTTTTATGTATCCGTCATCACATTTTTTAGTGAGCACAAACATCAAGCAAGGCTGCTCCTTAACCCTCCCTGTCCCAGGCTCCTGGCTCTGTGCATGCCCCAGAGACATTTGGAGCTCAGTGGTTCCACAGCACCCCCATGTGGCCCACTGCGCAGTAACCAAGATTTTGCCATTGTTAGTGGACTGAATATTGATGTCCCTCCAAAATACAACCCCCAGGGAGACAATATTTGACAATAGGGTCTTTATAGAGAAAATTATGTTTACATGAGTTTATAAAAGTGGAGCCCTGATCCAGTATGATTAATGCCCTCTGAGATGAGACACTTGATGGCTAGCTTGTTCTCTCTCCACCATGTGAGGATTCAACTGGAAGAGGGTGCTCTGCAAGCCAAGAGGAGGGCCCTCACCAGAGCCCCACATGCTGGCATCCCCATTTCATGCTCTGGAGTTGTGAAAAAAAAAGATTTGTATTTAACCCATGCAGTCTGTGCTATTTGCTGTGGCTGTCTGAGCTGATGGATACAGCCTTTCTAACATGGTGCAAGAGACATGGGACATATTTAAATTAGGAACAATTTCACCATCTTGACTATTATACTGTTTCTCTAGGGGAACTAAAAGAAACCCCCACATTTTAAAATTTATGTTCTTCAAGATCACTTTTTGCACTGTAAAAGGGAAAAAAGTGATAGAAAAGAAATGTTGCCTTTGAGAAAATGCTGATGAAGGAGATGATGCAAACCTGGCCTAGCTCAGGTAGGTGTGCTGCAGGAAGAACTGTGCCAGAATCACATCAAGTCATCCCGTCTCCCTTGCGGCAGGCAGACTCTCAGGGATTTGTGGATGATTTATTATTAAAGTTCTTTTTTCTGTGATGACTCCAGCCAGCTTGCTCCAAGAAGACCTTTCAGACCACTCTGTGCTACATGCCAACTAATCAGCTTATCCAAAAATAAACAAAACAGTACCCACTGTTCCCATGCTGCTGGGGAATTTGTTTCTTTCCCATCTATACTCTCTCTTTTAGAAATCCTCTTTTTGCCTGAGTTCACTGACAATATCCTCTTGCCCATTTTCCCATATATGAGTAAAGATATGTGCAGAAAATGATTAAATTTCTAAGTTTCTATTTGTGGTTCTATACTTAGTAAGCTAAGAAGGAGAGGCCAGACTGGGTTTAAAAAAGAAACATGAGACTAGGGAAAACAGAATCTGAGAAAGATTCCATTACAGAACCGCTATCCTTCACTTGCTACTTCTGATTTAGTGTATTTCCAATCCAAATTTCTTTAAATATCTACATTTGACATATCTGTTATCAAATTTTAAGAATAGTTACATATATACAGTAAATCTAGATATTGTCATTATGAAATTTCTTGATTTTTAAGTCCAAAGGCAAATGACCCCATGAGAAAGCAATGAGAAGAGATTCCAATCCAGCTGCATGTGACATTAGCGGTCACTAGCCAATGTGCCAGTGAGATATGATCAATGACCAGTACCTCTTCCAAGATGCCATCCAGAGAACAAAAATACCCTACTGAGGGAGTATTCATGGATATAAACCAGTTAAAATTCTCTCAAGATCAGATGGTGGATCAGATGGTGGTGTTCTATAACTTAATACCTTTTATGGATTTTCTGCATACCTCACTCTCCAAATAGAAGAATCAGCTTCTTTCATAATAGAAGCTGATTATCTGATGTGGTTTCTGATCCTAGGGAAGGTAAAGCTACTACACAAAATCATAAAAATATAAACTATCAATAGAAGTCACGTTAAGAAAAACTATGTATTTTTTACTTTTAAAGGAATACCTAAAATAAAATTGCTAGAATACTGGTCAATTCTTTACTAGAAAAAGAAACAAACAGATATTTAGATTGCTTCTGAGATGCCTCATATCCCATGATGAATAGCCATTATATTTCAAAGAAGAGGAGGCTTAGATAATATTATAAAGAAGTGCAAAAGACCAGTGCACTCCATCTGACTCCCCCTAAAATTGCAGACTTGTAGCATCTCCTGGCTCCTTCCTCAGGGGAGCCTGATGAGACAAGAAATAACTAAGAAACCAGAAACAAACTGAAAATCATGAGAATCTTCTGGGAAGACTGAAGCTATTCTGAGCCAGAGAATGAAGAGATGAGTGGTAAGTCCAAGACTGCAGTGAGAAAACAAACCGTGGACATTGGTTAAGCTCTGCCCTGTCTGACTTCCTCCTTGCGTGGAGACAGTCTGATCTCCATTTAAATTTCAGAAATCAATAGGAGGAGCTAAGCACGGTGGCTCATACCTGTATTCTCAGAACTTTGGGAGGTAAAGGCGGGAGGATCACCAGAGCTCAAGAGTTTGAGAGAAACCTGGCAACATAGCAAGACCTCATCTCTACCAAAAATGTAAACAAAAAAGTTAGCCAGTGGTGGTGGTGTGTGCCTGTAGTCACAGCTACTTGGGAGGCTGAGGTGGGAGGATTGCTTGAATCTCAGAGGTTGAGGCTGCAGTGAGCCATGATTGCATCACTGTACTCCAGCTTGGGTGACAGAGTGAGACCCTGTTTCCAAAAAAGAGAAGGTTCCCAGCTACTCAGGAGGCTGAGGCAGGAGAATGGTGTGAACCCGGGAGGCGAAGCTTGCAGTGAGTCGAGATCGCACCACTGCACTCCAGCCTGGGCAACAGAGCAAGACTCTGTCTCAAAAAAAAAAAAAAAAAAAAAAAAAAAGAGAGAGAAGGTTCTGCTACCTCAATTCTTACACAGATAGAAACTTTAGAGGAAAAAATAACCAATGTAACCCCAGAAAATATAACTTGATTAGCAGCAGCTGACCAGTTACCTGGGTTATCATTAAGTGAGGTCAAATAAGCAAAAGAGAAACATAAACATGTCAGATGTTAATCAAATAAACTACAATTAAAGTTAAAATATAAATGGAAATGACAATAAGAAAGAGAGAAGTCTGAGAAGCATGGTCACTGCAGGTCTCAGCAAAAGCTTCCCAGAGAAAAATAGGGAGCTAAGTAGAGAGCATGGCTACCTTGTACCAAGCAAAGGGGCTAAATGATTACCTGGCCCACAGTTGTGCTAATGATTTGAGAAAGTGTGTGGAGTAATTACAGATGACAGAATCTAAGTTGAAAGCACAATATTAGGAAGCTGCATCTTCCATTGGAATGTGCGCTGGGTTTTCCCGCTTACTTCATTTACAGGATTTCAGCCCAAATGAATCCATTTTCACCTCCATGGCCTTGCTCATGTAGTCCCTCTGTAACCACAATCGGGCATTATCATAGAACCCCACTTCTGCCTCTGGCTGAAATCAAGTGTTCCTGACTTGGTGAAGATGTTGCTCACTTTGCCCACCTTCTAAGGCAGGAGGAAACCCTTTCTTCACAGAAACTCCAAAGCCATTAAGCACGGACTTCTTTCTAGAGGTGATTAAATTTCTCTTTATGAGAACTTTTGTTTGTTCCTTCCAGCCTCAGAATTCTGTGAGAGCACCATCATATGAAGGGACATGTAGACAGCACTAGCCCTGTGCAATATACACATAAAACAAGATTTACTGGGGAAAACTCACAAGCAAGAAGCAGAAACACTGACTCAATTATCCACCCCTTCCTTCGTCCATGCAGAGATGTGCTTGGATAGGCATAGCTCCATGCATTGTGGAAAGTCTGCCAAAAGAAGGATCCATCACCATTCTACCATATGTACTATGGAGAGAGTGGGAGGTGCACATTTAAGGTCTACTCATGGTAGAATACATAGCAGGGGTAGCTTCTGGGCTGGCAAATTGTTTCGTGTGATTGGAGATTAGAGGTGTACCCAAGCCAGTGTTGCGAGGGCTAGCTAGAAGCCTTTGCACTCTCTCAATCTGACTGAATTAATTGCCTGCCAAATACTGATAAGGGTGAAGGTAGAGAGACAAAATTAAAGGAGACAGAAGGGTACTCTCATTTCATAGGGGTTGTGCCCAGGTACTACCAAGAAAGTGGAAAGGAAAATTTTCAGACTGAGGAAAAAGTTTCACAATACATATATCAGACTAGAATATTGTATCCAGATTATATAAAGGATTCTATATAATATAAAAATCCTTTATATTTTATAAAGGATTCCTATAAATCAATATAAAAGATATATAATTTAACCTTTAAAACTGGGCAAAAGCATTAATAGGTATATGAAAAAGACATATCTGCAAATGGTAATAAAAACATTAAAATGTCCTCAACATCATTAATCCTTAGAGAAATGCAAATTAGAACTCCAATGAAAGATTAATATTATGCCAATAAATTCAAAAGCAGACAAAATAAACAAATTCCCCAAAAAACACAATTACCCACTCAAAAAGTGGATAACTTGAATGTCCATAGGGATATTAAAAAATACATGTAGAAGTGGTTTTAAAAATTGAACTCATAATAATTAAAAGCATTTCCAGAAAGAAAACTCCAGGCCCAGCTTACTTTATTGATGAAATTGAGCAAGTTTATCAATTTACAAATTGTGAAGAATAAATAGTACTAATATTAACATAGAAGCAAAAATCCTTAACAAAAATAAAGTAAATTTAACTCACAATGTATAAAAAGGTTAATATCTAATCAGTAGATGAGATTTGCCCCAGGAATGCATAATTGGTTTTATATTTAAAAAGCAATTAATGTAAGTCACCTTATTTAAAAATTATTTAATTCGATGCAAAAATTTTTAACAAAATACTGGCAAGCTGTATCCAGCAGCACATCAGAAAGTTTATCTACTGCAATCAAGTAGGCTTCATTCCTGGGATGCAAGGTTGGTTCAACATACACAAATCAACAAATGTGATTCACCACATAGACAGAACTAAAAACAAACCCAGATGATCATCTCAATAAACACAGAAAAGGCTTTTTGACAATCCTATTAAAATCTCTGTAAACCTCTAGCCAGCTTTATGACCCAGGAATGTCTTTCCCAAGACTCTAGGAACCATCTTTTTGAGATACAATCGTCAAGGAAGATAGAGGCCCTGTCTCCCAGTTTTTGTGGGAGAGTAGGAGCCTAATTTAGGATCCTAACTTTACTTAGGCAAAAGCCTAATTTTGACAACTAACTTAAGAGGCTGCTCCCCGCAAGTTGCGAAGCTACCTCATTTCATAAAACTGTGAGAAGAATATCTTCTCTTTTGATACAGCACAGATGACCATATATCTTGGGATAGGGAATCTTTTGTCTCTATAATAAATGAATGAATGAATTAGTGAATGAAAACAGATAAACAGAACAGCCAGGACCCACTCTCCTCTCTAAAAGCTAATGTAGAGCTGCGCTCTGGAGGCATCAGGCTCTGAGCCTGATGATTGAACACATTGGGAATAAAGAGACCAAAGGGGGAAAAATAATCCTTCAAGTGTCAGTCTGGAGAGGCAATCCAGGGAGGCGCTGAGATCTGAAACCAACAAGGAGGCTTCCAGCCAAGAGAAGGAGAGTGGATGAGTCAGGAAACTTCTAGACCATGATCCATGGACTCTGCAGCAAGGGGAGCAGACAGAGGCAAGTTTGCTGCCTGCAGGGTTCAGAGAAGGTGTCTGTGTATATGTGGAGCTTTGATCAGGGCTAGAATTCACAGTCTAGCTTTCAGTGTACAAATGAGAAATTAGAGAATAGACAAGCTGGAATATAGAGTAATAGAACTGGTGAAAATAGATACATATTTCTCAAACATATTTCCCAAAGGGTGAGTCTACTACTGTCCTCTCTAGCTGGCTTCTGCACTGGGACCCTTGCCTGGAAGTTCCTTCTCTGATTTCCCAGTGCTCAGTGTTGCTTGACTCTGCATGACAACAACCTATGATGAAAGGGAACCCTTGGCCCCAAAGAAGAGTCATGGAAACCACTGGACATGAAGTGTCAGGAGAACACAGCTCCTCACAGGACAGTGTCTGACCCAGTGCAGGGTGTGCCTCTGTGGTGACACAGGTGATTGTTTAGAGGGTTCTTATAAAATTTTAAGCTACACAATCCTTACAGCATGCTTGCTTTATTTCAGGAATTTTTTTTTTTTTTTGAGACAGAATCTCACTCTGTCGCCCAGGTTGGAGTGCAATGTCACGGTCTCGGCTCACCGCAACCTCCACCTCCCGAGTTCAAGTGATTCTCCTGCCTCCTGAGTAGCTGGGATTACAGGCATATGCCACCACACCCAGCTGATTTTTGTATTTTTAGTAGAGACGGGGTTTCACCATGTTGGCCAGGCTGGTCTCAAACTCCTGACCTCATGATCCGCTCGTCTTGGCCTCCCAAAGTGCTGGGATTACAAGCATGAGCCGCCATGCCCGGCCTATTACATGATTAAAAAAATTTTTTTTTTTAAACTAGATCTGAATATGTTTCTCTTTTTTCAAATCAGTTGACGGGGCAGTCACACTCAGGCGAAAGGAAACCCACACTCTAAATATGTCATAGGATGTAAAGTTGCCACATGGATGAATTAGCAGGTGCTATGATGTTCTGAAGCTTCTTCGGGGCTCTTGGAGGAAATGTTCACCCGAGCCCTCCGTGGCCCCCACGGCTTCCTGGCAGGCCCCGAAGGTTTCTGCACAGGAAAGCGGTGACTCTGCAAGGCTGTGTCTTGGCTGCTGGCGCAGAGATACAGGGCTGAGTCTTCTGGCTGCAGGGCGTGTAGGTGAAGGTTTAAGAGAGAGCTGTTGGGGCATTCAGGTGAGAAGCGACTTGGCACACTTTCATTTATAGAGAGTTTCTCATAGCTGTAGACAAACATGAGCTCCGGTGGCTTCTTAGCTTTCTGCTTGTACCAATACATAGCCCTGTGCCCCATATGTTGTTCACATTTCAAAGACTTCTTATTTGTCATTCCCATGACCAGGTGTTTTGGTGTCTGGGTAACTTCAGTGTCTATGGGAACTGTAGGAGGAAAGGGACAAAATTCAGGCAGAGCCCAGGAAGAGGGTTGTTCCTGCAGCCACAAGGAAAAGGGTTGGAGTCCAAGGACAGACAATTTCAACCTAACTCACCTGCTCCCAGGAGACAGAGAACCGCACAGCAGAGCAGCCTGCAGCCCATGCTAGCCTCGGGTCTGAGATGGGGCCTCTGACTGGGGTCCTTTGGGCGAGGTGCTGGGCTCTGGTCTCCTTGGCCCTGCTTGGTGGTTTTTCTTGTGATGTCACTGCTCCTGATAGTTTCCCCAGACCCAGGGGATGTTTCTTCCTGACTGCTTTACATCCTTTCTAAGTTCTGATAGAAGGTAGATTTGAATTTGCTGGGCTAGGATGAATCGGCTGGGGAGAAAGGGCAGAGCCGGCTTTTTACCCCCCAAGGATATTCCTCTGGCAGGGGCTCCTTTGCTCTCAGCTGCTTCCTAATTATGTGGATCCTCCCTCTATCTTTGTCTCCCTGTCTTTCAGGATCCCTCTCAACAACAGACCACTCCCATTCAAGAAATCTCCTTCTGTCCTGCGGGATCACATAAAACAGTGCCATTCAAAACGTCCCTTCCCTCAATGTCTAAGTGTGGTGGAGCCCTTTCTGCCCGGCTCTGTGGAGGGAGGGTGACTGCATGAACACGGATGCAGTGTGCACCAGCTCCCATCATTCAAGGGCATGACTGTGTTGCCAACCAGCCACCAGGCACTGGGGAGGGAGCTGAGGGAGCACAAAAGGGATGAGCCACCCTCTGTCCCTGAAGTGGAGGGCATGGGGCTTGGCTGGGCTTAGAGCTAACATACACAGGATGCTGAAAAAGAACAACACAAGGTGTGTGGAGCAAAGGAAAGGGAAATCAGCTTGAAGCTGATGTTAGTGTGCTTGAGCTGAGTACAGCCATGCTCTCAGTTGAGGTACGGTTGGCTCCCCATGGGCAAGATCCCTCCTGGCCCATCTCTCCTCTTATTCTCTATCCCTTCCCCAGGTCCCTGCCTTAGAGGTTTCACCAGAGCACAGCTCCTGCCTGTGGCCAAAACAGTATTTGGCCACTCACCGACCCAGTGTCAGCATCCAGATGGGTTCCACATCTCACAACCCTGAGCAGCAGAGAAGGGTTTGAAAGGCCAGGGGAGAATGAAGACGAAGGAGGTGTTGGCAACAACACAGAGAGTCAGCAGCCAGAACGCCAGGTATCCACACACATAAGACATTCTAAATTTTTACTCAACAGAAATTGTCTATGTCTGTGTCTGGGCACCATGGCAACACCTTATCTCTACAAAAATTAGCGGAATGTAGTGGTGCCTGTGTGTAGTCCCAGCTATTCAAGAGGCTGAAGTGGGAGGATTGCTTGAGCCATGGAAGTCAAGGCTGTAGTGAGCCATGATTGTGTCACTGCACTCCAGACAGAGCAAGACCCTGCTCCCACCACACCCCTCAAAAGAAAAAAAAAAAAGGAAAAGAAATGAAATGAAATGAAATAAAGAAAAGAAAAAAGAACAGAAAATTGTCTATGCCTGGATCTCTAGTAATGTGCAGAACAGACAGTATCCCAGCCCTCTTGAGTTCTTGGGCCAGTCTGACTTGTTCAACAAATACTCCTTGAGCAACAGCTAGGAGCAAGCAGAAAATCACCAACATTTTCACCCCCAGAATTCTATTTGTGTAAGGCAATTCAACATATTCAGAAAACAACTAGAGAATAAAAATATATCTTACATAAAGTTTGAGAAATGTAATCAGTATGTCATTGTTCAATCACTTCATATATGTGATGCCATATTTCCTCATATATTAAATCAGGAGAACTGAAATGAGATGATCTCTAAAGCCCTGCCATTTCTAAGATGTTAGAAACCACATTAGTTCATCAGTTCTGTGGAGAACTTTCCAACTAGGAACCAGCTGGATGACTTCCTATGGGTCTTCTGTACTTCACTGCATAAGCTATTTATGCTTTGTGACCAGTTAAGAATTGGAATATCATCAATTTTCTTAAAAGGTACTTTTATGCCAATATTGGCTTTTCATTCTAGAGCATTTGGAGATACAAATGAACACAAATAAACACAAAAATGAGATGATTCATACTTTCAAAGTGATTTTTACCATCTATTTATTGTTGTATTACATCAGTGTTACCTTTTCATGATGATAATTATAATTGTAGGCATGAGATTAGGGTCGTAAATCTATGTTATATGTAAATCTACATGGGGCTGAGGGAAGATACTTATCCATGATTTAAGTCAAGGATTTATAATTTAGATTTGTTTTAACCTGGGGATGTTCTCAGTCAGGAGGAAAATTGTAGCATTCTTCTAATGCAAAAATTTCATCAGATTTTCAATGTGGCCCATAAAACAAACAAACAAAAAATGTAAAGCATGTAGATTAGAATTTAATGGGGTTGAGTATTCTCCCCCTCAACAGGTTACATATAGGATCGATCTCTATCCTGCTACAGTTGGAGATATTCTATTCACTAGACAAAAACCTAAAATTAGCCTTATTTTAAACACTAGTATTATTACCATTAAAATTGTTTCCATTGGTATCTACTTCAGCAAGAAAACACTTTGGCCCTTCTACAAAGTAGAACAAATTTGAACGAATAAAATTTTATTGCATTGTTTGGCTCTCAATAAGTAAACCAAATTGCAAAGACAATTTAAAAAAAGCAATAGAATTTAAACTGAAAACTTGAATAATGGTGAAAGCGAAAGGTTTAATTGTCCTGAGGACAACAGCTAACATAAGCATTTCCCACAACAAGGGGTGGTGACCAGCGAGTTCAAGTGGTCTGAATTAGGGATGGATCTAAGAAGGAAAATGATCTCAGGACCATGTGAATTGCAAGAAGAGTGAAGAGTGGAATGGTAAATATGAAGAAAAGCCAAGTAAACATATTTATATAAAATAGAAGTAGTATATGTGATTGAAGATAAGAGGACATAACTGACTCCAAGACAGCTGGGATTTAGGACACAGAGTACTACCAAGGAGCCCTGAGAACCTGTGTAAGAAAATCTTTTTTCATTTTTTATTTTTCTTTCTGGGCCAGGTCCTAAGTTGTGTATGCAGAGGGTGGCACTCCCGAAGGCCCAGCAGAGAACAAACTCTGGAAGGCTGTAGACACGGGCAGGGATTTCAGAGGATACCCAGGGCAGGAAGGCAATGGCATTCAGACCCAGTGAGAGTGGAGAGTCGTGGTGGGTGACTGTGATTCCCACTAAGACCCTGGAAAGGCCATGCACTAGCAATGATGACCACATGCTGGGGCTCCCTAAGAGGGAGGGCAAGGCTGAAATAGACCCTAGCAAGTCCTACATTCAACCCTCCCAGAATAAAACCCAATACATTTCCAAGAAATAACATAATGCAGAGCCTCAAGCCTATATTGTCCACAATGCTTCACATCAACCCTTTCTAATCTTTCATGTAGGATATTTAGAAGTCTCCTAATCATTCATGCCACCCAAAAATCTATCTCCTTTCTGATCCATACTACTACCAGTGTTCCTCTACCAAAATATCAGTTTCATCATGTTGTTTCACTTGGAGTAGGACCAATGGCTCACCACTGCCTAGAGATTTGTGTCCAAAGTCCTTTCAGGTCTCCCAATATCCCCAGTCATCTGGCTATTGCCTGCTCTTGAGGACAGTTCAAGATGATATTCATCAGAATTGGGAGAGACACTTGCTGGTCACCCTTCTTGAAGAGAAGGAGCCCACAACGCACAAGGCTACCTCCACCGGCATCTCCTCAACACTTTCCAGTTTACCTATTGCCATGGAATTTCATGCCTCTCCAAATATTTTTCTGTTGAATAAAGTACTCACTGATCATCAGAATTGTCTCTTGATCTTGGAAATATTTCCTTCCCCCTCCTTTATGCTTGTGCTCATCAACCATTTTCAGCAATCGTGTTTTTTTCATAATGTTATATAAAATACGTACCAATATGTGCCACACAGAAAGAAAAGAAAGAGCTTCCCCCATCAGTTAAGATCATCAGTGCATAGGACAGGCTCTTTTTTGTTTGTGGAGCCCTAATACTTTAGTGGCTTTGTTGTGAAGCCCTGCTCTAGCTGATAAACAATTCTGTGAGACTTTTGTGTGCATAAGATGGAGGACTTCTCCACTGGGTGCACTAGCTGGCTGTACTACAGACTGAAACTCCATCAGAGGCCATCAGGGAATGGAGACTGGAGCCCTGGGTGCAGGTGCACACGCTGCCCTGCAGCTTCCTGGCTGAGCCGGGAGGTTTGTGCACAGGGATGCAGTGACTTTGCAGGGCTGTGTCTTGGCTGCTGGCACAGAAATACACAGCAGAGTCACCAAGCTCCAGGGAATTGATGTGAAGATTTAAGTGAGCTTTGTCTGGAGATTTAGGTGAGAAGCGATTTGGAACTGTTTCATTTATAATGAGCTCCTTATTATTGTAGCTAAACATTATCTTCAGAAATTTCTTAGAGTCCTGTTTATACCAATACATAGTATCATGGCCCAGATTTTGTTCACATTTAATGGACTTGTCGTTTCCCATCTGTGTGACCAGGTATTTTGGAGTCTGGGAAACAGCTGTGTCCAAGGGACCTGCAAAGGAAAGAAGCAGAATTCAGGCAAATCCTAGGAGACGGCCTGCTGTTGTTGTCATGGTGAAAAGGCTTAGGGACTCCAATAGGATCATGTCACCTGGGCCCGGGACTCACCTGCTTGGAGGAGGCAGAAGACCACACAGCAGAGGAGCCTGCAGCCCATGGCAGAGTGAGGCAGACCAGGCAAGGCCCAGGGCAGGATTCTGGTCTGCAGTGGTGAGAGGACTAGGCTGTGGTTTCCACTGCCGCTGAGAGGTGCTGCGCCAGTGAGGTCACAGCCTGTAATCATTCCCCCATTCCCAGGGTCTCCTCTAGCATGGCTCCTCCCTTTCATGCCCTGCACTTGCTCCTTTAAAGGAGTTTTTGGAATTTCTGGGAATAATTGAGAGGGTGGAATTGTGACCTCCAGGATGTGTCTCTGACAGTCATTCCTGGGCCAGCAGCCCCCTCCCTCCCTGCTCCTTCCCGGGGATCTGACCACCTCCTCCCTTCCTCTCCTTTTCAGGCCCTTCTCTCAGAGTCAGCTGGTTTCCTCTCTGGATCCTTTGCGTCCCTTCACAATAGCGCAGGACATTAATTTGCTCTCTTGAATCTTTGCTCACTTGAAGGTCTCATTAATGATCAGTGGTCCCCTTGATTCAGGAGAGATTGGCCTGAGATTTCACCTGAATACCAGCCATAGCCACCTACTCCACATGACTGTGATGCTACTGCAGAGCAAACCCTGCTGAGGCGTTATTATTGGGAGTGAACTGCAGCCCTGCTCCCTGTGATGTTCTTATCTGTCCAAGGGGCAGATTTATGAGGAAACAGGAGGCTGCTGGAAAATATGCAGACACCATGTGCTGGGAAAGAATGGCGATGAAGGTCAACAACGCGGCAGTCAGAGAAAACAAAAGTAGTTGACGGTATTGCCCCTTGAGTTGTCTGCAGAGAATTCTCCTTCTTGGTACAAAGTTTACAACCGAAGCTTATTGCGGGGTTTCTCAATTTCAGCACTACTGCCATGTTGGATCAGGTGATTGTTTGTTGTGGGGAGCTGTCCTGTGTAGGGAGGATGCTTGGCGGCATCCTTGGGCCCTACCCACCTGATGGCAATGTGACGACAGAAAATGCCTTCGCGTTTTGTGAATTATCTAATGTTGAGGACCACAGTCCCCTTTATTCTTGCCCATGGTACTCCTCTCCTCTGCCAGCCATCAACCACCCAACCTCGGGGGTGTGGCAGGGCTGCAGCTCCTCCTGCTCTGGTCAGCAAGGTCCAGCACTCAGACCTCAGTGCCTCAGTCAATGGCCCCAGGGCAGGAACCTCCAGGAGGAAAAGCAGAGACCAGCACTGCCAGAAAGGTATCACACACACACACACACACACACACACACACACTTTGGTAGTGTTGTCATCTACTGGTGAATCCCCTGCAAAGACAGACCTTGATGGTTCATTTGTGATTTACTAAACACAGAACTTGAACTAAACAAAAGAAAAATGACCACCATCCTTCTTGGAACTTCAAGCATGCTTTATTTGTTTATAGTCACTGAATGGCTACTTAGTGCAAAGCATGAGTAAACAATATTCTCACTCTCATGATGCTTATAATCCAATAGGAGCAAAAACACATTCACACATTACTTGTAGACTAAGAATATGAAATACATATTACATGGAGGCCAGCAAAATAGTTACTATTTACATTTAAATACTTTTTTTAAAGCATCCCATTTCCTGATCTATGAAACAATGGGCAGAAATAAATAATTTTCAACACTCTGTCTAGCTCTACAATTCTGTGAACATAACCAGGTACCCCCGTAGTTGTGGGTCTTATTCAGTACCTACCACATTGCACCACACAGCTGACATGGGAACCTTTTCAAAGAAGGAACGGGTGGGGAGGGAAGATAGTGAAATGACAAGAGGCTACATTCAATGGTGATGATCATAACTATGTAAAGATGTAACCATTCTTAAAGAGTAGACTTTAAATAAATATGTATTTCACTATTTTACGCAAGACTTTTTACCAAATCAGACGGACAGCGTCTGGGAGAGGCACTGGAATGAAACTGATAGAAAGAAACTCGCCTCATATGAGGCAATGTTAGTTCTGGTTGTTGTTTTGTTTTGTGTTTTACAGGAGATATGAAAAGCAAAAGTGTTTGATTGTCCATCAAGAATTGTCTAGACCGGGTGCAGTGGCTCACGCCTGTAAACCCAACACTTTGGGAGGCCAAGGTGGGCGGATCACGAGGTCAGGAGATCGAGACCATCCTGGCTAAAACGGGGAAACCCGTCTCTACTAAAAATACAAAAAAAAAAAAAATTAGCTGGGCGTGGAGCGGGCGCCTGTAGTCCCAGCTACTAGGAAGGCGGAGGCAGGCCTGAAGCCGGGAGGCGGAGCTTGCAGTGAGCCGAGATCCTGCCTCTGCACTCCAGCCTGGACTACAGAGCGAGACTTGGTCTCAACCAAAAACAAACAAACAAACAAACAAAAGAATTGTCCAAAGGATAAGAAGGACAAATAAATTGATTATGTACGTATTTTCTGACAGGGCCCGCCATACTGGAGAAGCGGAAAAAAGCTACAGAAAGGAGAGAGGATAGACGCTGGGATCCCTGGGAAGAGCCAGGCTGCCGACAAGAAAGTCAAAGAGGGAAGACAACATAATAATTTTATCATGGAGATAACTTAATCCACAAAAAGGTGGAGAGTTGTAGGGGCAAAAGGAATGAGACAGAAAGCTGCAGAAGAACTAGAACACGTCGAACTGAATGATACCAGGATGCATATTTTGAACATGGGTCATATTTTTGGCTGTCCAATATTTAAACCCCATCTTATATTTGAGCAATTCCCCAAAGTTTGCATCTTGGCGGGAAAAGCAAGTGTGTTGATATGTTTATAAGCAAAACCTTCCACCCTTCTAGAACCAAACTCTCCATCTCTGCCTCTTCTTTTTCACTTCTCATGAGAATATCACTCCACCTGGCAGAGCTGTCTCCCTCTTCCAGCTTCCCAAGAACGCACGGGAAATCTGTCCTGTCTCCTCTGGCGGAATAGAATGGATGAACAACTTCTTGTGTCCAATTACGTCAAATTTAGTTTCCTGAGCAGGGTCTTAGGAAGATTTCATTTCACCTGATTCTGTTTCTCTCTTCACACATGCTCAACACTGGGTTTCCAGGTTTGCAAGGGGACGAGGGCCATGGTTTCACTTCCATTCTATCAGCTGGCTGCTAGTTACTCGAGACTCTGACCCTGATTTAAAAAAAAAAAAATTATTTCATGCTGACAAAAATACAAAAGTCAACATTGCATATCAGCTCATGGGATCATATCCCTGCAGGTTGACCAGCAGCTGCCAGTTTTCCAAATGAAATTCAGACCAAAATCAGATAAGACATCCTGTCTCAGGCCAGGTGTCCCTCACCTTTGCAGAGCATCAGTTCATGCTATTTGCCTGTTGAGCTATTAAAATCTCGCTTGTTCACTTAAAACATTTACATTTATTATTTCTATTATTATATGAATCACAAATGTTTAACCCACAGTCATTTTTTAGCAACAATTAACACAAATTCAATGCAATGCCATGATGGATAGAGATTATTTATTAACAATGAAAAATGATTATACGTCATCTTATTTTTGTTACTGAGAAGAAGTTCTAGATTTTTTGTGAGGGTAGGAGTTTGAAAAGTCCAGGGGGACCCTGCCTCTCCAACCCTACGTTAGTTAGTCACTTTAGATATTTAATATTGAGCTTAGAAGTGTGTGTTTCCCATAGTCTGGTTTTAGGACTTTAGCTGATTTGAAAATGGCCCATACTACAGAAAGTTAAGAAATTTAGATTCTAGCATATAGAAATGAGATTCCTATCTTCAATACCTTCTTTTGTTCCATTCCAAAATAAACTGCAAAATTAACCTCCACAGGACAGCTAACGGTTTTCCTGTTAAACTGTTTGGCTAGACTTTCACTTCCGGGCAGCATGCTAGAATATGCATAGTAGAGTATAGAGATATTCTGAAGCTCCCTCCTACTGAATAACTAGAGCCTATAGAAAATGTATCTTTGCTGTATTTTTGGATTTCCAAGAAGTAAGGGAAATTCCAAATGCTTTTTGAAAAGGCGAAACAGGAGGCTGTAGTCAAAACAAAATGAAGAGCCTGTTTCAGATGTGCATCCTGGAGGTCTGTCCACGCCACCTTCTTTCCCATCTCCAGGTGTTTGGCATCATCTTTTGATATCTGGACAAGTCTAGCTTCCATGGGTCTTGGTAGACAGGGATAGATATTGAAGCTGGAAGCTGGAAGGGAGTCTGGTGAGGCTGTTTTGATAGAACCATTAGCTCAGACCCAGGAGACAGGTTTCCTATCCTTCGAAGAAGCCCTCACTCCAAGAACTTAGAGGAACATTCAGAAGAGGAAAAAGAAAAAAAAAAACCCTTTCTAGCTTAGGTTTTTCATCATTTAGAGTCAGGAGAATGGTGCTCCAGGTATTCTTTGGTCTGATAGGTAGATTTCCCTTGGTAATTACTCTCTTTGCAAGATCCCTCAAGGAAGCCCTGATTTGTCAGGCTCACTGCCCAGGTTCCAGGAAGTCATTTCATGGCAGGATTGAACTGGAGAAGAGGCCCAGCATCCAGAGCCTCTCTTATTCCTCTCAGGAAGAGTTCCTCCACTGGCATCTGCTTGTGAGCTCTGCTCTTTCCCAGCTCAAATTCTCTCCCTTTCTCATCCCATGCAGGTTCACATGCAACAAATCTGGCAGTCTAGGCTCTTTGCTAGATCAAAAGCACCTGCACAGCAAGGCAAATGAATAGTCTATATTTATCCTCTCACATTTCAGCATTAACACAGCTTCTGCAGACCACATTTTCCCCTGTTGTAAATAAACCCAATATTTCTTTTAACTGTCTCCCATCCTGAGAATGCTCTGCCCTTCCTCTGAGTTCCCTTAATCTCAGTAGAGTCACAGCTCCTCCTTGTGGTAAAAGGTCAAACGTGTCAAGACTCTGTCCCATGGTGGACCAAAGGCAGAAGGGTAATAGAACTCTTAGAAATAGAGATAATCTGGCCGGGAATGGAGGCTCATGCCTGTAATCCCAACACTTTGGGAGGCCGAGGCGGGCGAATCATGAGGTCAAGAGGCCAAGACTATCCTGGCCAACATGGTGAAACCCCATCTCTACTAAAAATACAAAAATTAGCTGGGTGTGGTGGTGCACGCCTGTAATCCCAGCTACTCCGGAGGCTGAGGCAGGAGAATCGCTTGAACCCCGGAGGCAGAGGTTACAGTGAGCTGAGATCGCCCCACTGCACTCCAGCCTGGGTGACAGAGTGAGAATCTGTCTCAAAAAGAAAAAAAAAAAGGGAAGGCAGAGAGGTTCACTCCTTCCTTTCTTCAAGATACTTCTACCTAAAATAAAAACATAAAACATTGCACCTCACCTTTAATAAATATAGAAACTGGCTTTCAGAGTTAATAGACTGATTTTTTGCAGAACAACACTCCCACCAAAAACAACTAGAAAAACTTAACAAAATATAAAAATAAACGTTTGAAGGCACTTGGAGCTACTGAGGCAGTAAGAACTTAAGGGATTGGGATCTCAACGAGAAAGGAGAGATCTAACAGACCACTTTCGCCTTAAGTCATTTGCCAGTTTTATATCGTTGGCTAAGTAGCTGAGAAGAAAAGGGAAGACTGAGAGTGTAGCAGGCTTTGAGGAGCATCCACCACCTTTCTGGTCTGGAGAACATTTACGTTCAGTGACTACTGAATAGGAGAGGAGCCTGGCAAAGACCCCAGTCCTTGGTGCTGGGGGTAGAAGCAGGGATTGACTGAAAATGAGCATGAAGGAACTTTCCGGGTGGGGAAAGATGAAATGTTTTAGAGCTGGATCATGGTGATTGTTGCACAACTCCACAAATTTATCAAAATTCATTGAATTGCATGCTTGCAATGGGCAAATATTATGTTATGTAATTTACAATTTGATTTAGCTGTTAAACTTCAGACATCTAGTTGGAACTTACATGGCTAAGAGCAAAGGCGAGCAGCCATCATGCAGGCTGAAGCTCAGGTCTGATCCAGCTCATTCATCAGCTCAATTAAGGTGATCCGCCCCTGCTACAATCCCAGCAGAAGCAAAAGTGAATCATTTGAGGAAGATGAAATCATTCAGAGCCTCAAATTATCTCTATAGTTTTTATATACAATATCCGGCATTCAAGTAAATTACTAGTTGTATGAGAAAACAAAATCACGTGCCCAGAAACTGAACAGAGAAAACAGACAAAAGAAATAGACCCAAACAGATTCAGATGTTAAAGTTATCAAAAAGTGGCTTTAAAATGACAGATGTTAATATAGTCAACAAAGTAAATGACAAAATATGCAATTTTAGCAAACAACTGGAAATTGTAGCAAGATTTAAATGGAAATTCCAGAACTGAAATATATAAAATACCTAAAATTTAGACTTCAATAGGTATGTTTAAAAGAGGAATAATTTCTTAAATGAAACTCAAGAAGTTAATCTGGCTGCTTCAGGTTAAGTTGAAAGTGACAAATTCATTCCTGCCTCTGCCTCTAGGTGTCTCTTGACTTTTGCTGCTGAATTCTGTTCCTGCACTGCCTTGCTTTATTCTGGCGATTCTCATGCTGGTCTAGAACTCTGTTGACCTTGAAATGGTGTGAAATATTAGACTCCATGTTTTCTACTCTCTTAACTTGTTATTTTGTGAGCTAGCATCATTAGCCCAAATGCATCACACCAGGTTCACAGGGTCATCAGATAGTTCTGCTCTTGACCACATGCTGAGCAAGAGTCATTGATAATTGAGTTCTTTGTACCAAGCCCCTTCTTCTGAAGATTTCTGTGAGCACCCTCTATATTCTCATGGAAATACCTGAACTCCCACTCAGGAATCATCTCGCCACCCTAGAAGTTAAAATATGTTTTCCTAAGCAACTAAAACAAAACAATTCTAATAAAGATGGCCAAATGGGAATGAGGAGAAGATATAAGTTACTTGGTTGTGTACAATTCTCTCATATTCAGAGCCCACCATCACACTCACACTCTGTAGTATCTGTAAACATTCTTCAAATCCTACAGTGTCTGGTCATTTCTGCCCAAGATACCTTTGGTAATTTAATTTCAGATATCTGTCTATTTGGAGACAGCTGCAAGAACAAACCCAACCAGAGACTTCCTTTTCTTAGGCAGGAAGTGGGAGCTGGCGGCTGGGAGGGAGGCAGCTCTGTGAGGGATTTTGCACAGGCTGGAGTTGTCTTTGCAAGGCTGTGGCTTCACTGCTGGCACAGAAGTACATGGCTGAGTCCTCCAGCTTTGTGGACCGGATCTTCAGAGTGAAATTTGATCCATCAGGCCTTTCAACTGAGAATTGATCATCGAATATTTCAGACTTCTCTGAGATTTCATTATTATAAAAGGAAACCAGAAACTCGACTTTCTGCCCCAAGATTTGTCTGTACCAATAGAAGTATAAGTGATTAGAGATGGGGACACAGCGCAAGATCACTTCCTGTCCCATCTGTGTGACCTGATGGCTGGGAGTCTGGGTGACTTCAGGTTCTGTGAGTCCTGTGAGAAAAGAAGAAGATTAAGAGAATGGTTTAGAATTGTCTTAGGTAAGTTCAAAGCAAGAATTTCCTAGAGTCTAAGCATCGACCTGCTTTCAAGAGACTAAAAATTGCCCAGCATACGAGCCAGGTATCCATGGCAGGATCACAGCAGGAATGAGGCCTTTCCTAGCTCAGGCATCTGGTCCTGTGGAGGAAAGGAGGGGCATTTTGAGCTCCCATGGCCCCACAGGCAAGGTCTGGCAGAATTACTGGTGTCTCTGGCAACACCCACCATCCCTGGAGCGCCCTCTATAGGAGAGAGGAGGGAGCCTTTGTGTTGTTGCAGAACCTGACAATGCAGGGCTGTGCTCAGCCCCTGGGATCTGATGGTGTGTGCAGGACTGAGGGCCATTAATTAATAAGAGCAATGCTGGAAAATATGGGGGTCAGCAAGGTAACCCTGAGTACAAAGTCTGGCTCAGAAATTCCAGGAGGTCTTGTTCTCTTATTACCTGCTGTGAGTAACAATTCAGGTACAACAGATTCCACGGCTGATAATGAATGCCAAGAAAACTTGGTATTAGGATTACAGAGATAGAAGGAAAAAGAATCAAGTGTGAATGTTTTAAATCCTGAGTGGAAGAGAGCAGCCAACAAGAAGTTGAAACTCTGCACATGCCCCAGGGAGAGGGAACTAGAGAACAGTGATCCAAACCCCATGGGGAAATACTGTCCTCAGGGTGAGGCAGTGATAGAGCCACCTGAGGAGGGGATTGGGTATTCTTTAGTTTTTCAAAAAAAAAAGAAAGAAAGAAAAAGAAAAGGACCTGCCGGGCGCGGTGGCTCACGCCTGTAATCCCAGCACTTTGGGAGCCCGAGGGGGGCAAATCAAGAAGTTAAGAGATTGAGACCATCCTGGCCAACATGGTGAAACCCTGTCTCTACTAAAAATACAAAAATTAGCCAGTCGTGGTGCTGGGCGCCTGTAGTTCCAGCTACCCGGGAGGCTGAGGCAGGAGAATCGCTTGAATCTGGAAGATGGAGGTGGAAGTGAGCCAAGATCGCGCCACTGCACTCCAGACAGTGAGACTCTGTCTCAAAAAAGAAAGAAGGAAAGAAAGAAACAAAGAAACAAAGAAAGAAAGAAAGAAAGAAAGAAAGAGAGAGAGAGAGAGAGAAAGAAAGGAGGGAGGGAGGGAGGAAGGGAGGGAAAGAAAAGAAAAAAAAAAAAAAGAAAGGAAAAGAAAAGAAAAGGTCTGACCATACATATTTGGAGCTGGGATGAGGGCTGAGATCCAGGGTCTAACTTGAGTCAAAAGAAAAGTCAAAAAACAGTCCATATTGGAAGGTGGATTGGTGAGGCCAGAGTGTTAAATACCTCACACAACATTTCCCAGAGGCACAAACCGACTGAAAGATACTTGGAAAAACTTAAACTTGACGGCATCTGTCCTACATTCAAGTTCAGGCACAGTCTCATTCAAGACAAACTCAGGCCACAGGCTGCAGGAGTCTGGGCAATTTAGCATTGCCACATCCAATAAATGACAGTATTATGATCTGAGATGTCTGCTGAGGTCTTACAGAATGCTGAACCGAGTGCTGAGGCTCAGCTGGATGCGTTGCCCCCACGGTTTTCTGATTAGATCCAGGAGGTTTGTGCACAGGGAGGCGGTGACTCTGCAGGGCTGTGTCTTGGCTGCTGGTGCAGAGATACGCAGCTGAGTCTTCTTGCTGCAGTGCGACCACATGAAGGTATAAGCGAGAGCTGTCAGGGCATTCAGGTGTGAAGTGATTTGGCACAGTCTTGTTTTCAATGAATTCCTTACAGTTGTAGTAAAACATGAACTCCAGGGATTTCTTAGCTTTCTGTCTGTACCAATACATAGAATCATGTCCCAGATGCTCACGTTTCATTGTCCTTTTACTCCCCATTGCTGTGACCAGGTATTTTGGTGTCTGGGTAATTCCAGTATCCATGGAGCCTATGAAAATAAGAAGCCAAATTCAGACTAAGCCTAGGACAGAATCTTCTGAAGCAGTTCCATGAAAAAAGCAAAAAATTTAAGGACAGAAATGTCCCACCTGTGCCCAGGACTCACCTGAGACAATGGACCACACCACAGTGGAGACTTCAGCCCATGGCAGGGTCACCCGGGGCACAGGCAGGGGGACCCTGTGTCTCCCTGCTCTGTGTCCTTGTCGTCTGGGTGTGCTTCCCTGGCCCTGAGACAGGGGCTGCTTGGGAAGTCTCTGCTCCTGTTGGTGTCACTATTAGTGTCTACAGCTCACACTTCCTCTTTCCTTTCCAAGCTTGGCACTGGCACCTCAAGAGGTGGGTTTAGACTAGCTTCTCAGGGCCAGGTGTGCAGGGCGGGTTCTTTAGACAGTTGCTTTTTTCTTAGCAGCTGCCTGCCCTTCCCACAACGAATGAATGGGTCTCCCCTTCCTCTTTCTACTTATGGCTCCCCTCCTCCCTAACACACAGACCCCTTCCCTTTGGGCAGATGCCTTCCCGATGCCTGTCTTGGACCCAGGATGAGCACACTCCAGCTCCCCTCCCTCATCTCAGTGAATTCCAGGAGGACACCTCACCTAGCTCAGTGGAGCCCTTCCCTGGAGCCAGCTGTGCATCATTTTAAGACCCAGTAAGGTAATGCCAACTAGGGAGGAAGCACCTTTCAGTGGGTGCTCGAGGGGACATGAGAGAAATAATCTGCGACCCCTACCCCCAGGGAGCATCTCACCTACTTAGGATGCAGGACCTGAACACAGACTAGAATAACAGGAGGCCCTAAGGGCATGAGCAGAGGGACTGCAGAGATGCAGGTCCAGGTGGAATGGACTTTAGTGTCTTCAAGTTGTCCACACATGGTCTCTCAACTACAACAAGGAGCAAACCCTGATACCAGAGCATTTGATTCCTTCGTTAGTCCTTTCCTCCCTCCTGCCTCTCTTCTCCCTCCACATGACTCAGGAATTTCACTAAAGTCGTAGCTCCTCCTGGAGGTGAAAGAGGCACATTGCCCTCATGTCAGCCATCTGCCCTCAGTCCTCCTGATACAGCATTGAGAGAATAGAATACAAAGGGATTCCGCAGGGGAATGCACAAAACAAGAAGGCATTTGAAACGCCGAAGTAAAGGTTTAGCAACTCTAACTACCACCTACTGGTGAAATGCCTCCAACAACCTCCATATACACACTTAAGATATCAAAATAATATTATCCAATAGGTATTTATGGAACACATAACTATATGTCAGGCACTGTTTGAGGACCAGGAATATAACAGTGAATAAAACCAACTCTCATGGGCACATGGGCCATTTTAATTTGTTCAAACAGCTTTTGTGAATAATATTCACATTCTCAAAGTGCTTCAGGGATTACAGGAGCTATAAGACATGTTTGACGTGGGCTGGGCATGGTGGCTCACGCCTGTAATCCTAGCACTCTGGGAGGCCGAGGTGGGCGGATCACGAGGTCAGGAGTTTCAGACCAGCCTAGCCAATATGGTGAAACCTCATCTCTACTAAAAATACAAAAAAATTAGCCAGGGGTGGTGGCGTGCACCTGAAGTCCCAGCTACTCAGGAGGCAGAGGCAGGAGAATCGCTTGAACTCGGGAGGCAGAGGTTGCAGTGAGCCAAGATTGTGCCACTGCACTCCATCCTGGATGACAGACTGAGACTCCATCTTAAAAAAAGAAAGACATGTTTGACATGTTTAGAGATAACATCTAATTTGGAAAGTTTTACAGGGTATGCTTTAGGAGGGTTAAAGGGTTTTAGGTGCCTAAATCATTTCATCTACTGACCTTCTTATTGCCTCAATCTTGAAATCTGGTTGTGGGGAGAGGCTGAAATAATTTTCCCCAACTGTCTACCCAGCTCCGAAACAATGTAAGCCAAGCAGGGTAGACTTCACTAGGCTGCTGTGCCAGAAGCTTACATGGTTCATGGCCACTGTCAAAATACTTTACAGAGTGCGGGTGCTTAATACATATTTGCTTAGTTGGTCAATGAATAGATAGATGGAATGGAAAACAGTAAAAATCATATGTAAAAGGTAGGTCTAAGCACTTAAAAATTGTATTTCTAATCTGCTATGGTTGGCATTGGTATATTTGTATCTGCAAATCTACAGAAATCGGGTCATAGTCTCAGTATGTAAGGCTGGAATGTAACTGATAAAAACAATTTTTATTTCAAAGGTTTTATTTATGAATAATAATCTTTCAATGTTGATGAAGCATTGTGCAAAGATGATACGGAAATAGAGGGGTTGTTAATTCTTAAATTCTCCTTCCTGTCAGGGTCCCCATCATTCTTTCAGCATTTCCTTACTTTATGGCACAAGGGGTTCTAGGCTTTTCCTGCCTGTCTTTGTATCTACTATATGTCCAAAAAGTCCTGGTTCCTTCTAGTGGACAGTGGTATTTAGAAAACAGAATATGGATACTAGATCTTTTGGGGTGCTTTTGGGGGGAACTACTCTTAGGTATCACAGTGGACAGAGCTGTACATACACATATGTTTTCACAGTACACATATATTTACAGATATCTTTAATTCCTGTCTATACATATTGAGAAGCGATGAGTTCACACTAGTTCCAATCCCGTATTATAAGGTTTATTCTTATGTTCTTGTGTTCTAGTGTTTTCTCTTTCCATATTTGCAACTCTCTTATCCAATAACTGAGAAACATGGTTCTGTTATCCTTATAGATTTACATATTTGATTAGTCCCTTTACAGGTAACTAAATGTGTGCTGTGGCTGCCATCATCTCTCCTTTGTAAATGGCCTCCTCTCTCCGTTCAAGTTCTGACTTCCTGTGCCATGGAGACCACCCATGTTGAAACTCTCCTCACCTCAGTCCAATTTCTGACACACCACACGAGGGATGCCTTGCCCCACGCGGTGCCCTTTGCAGTCTGCTGGGGCTTCCACAATCTGCAGGAGGCTGCTTTCCTCATCCCCTTTTGACTCCACCCCACTTTTGGGGAGACACCTTCCACATGCTGCATGGTCTCTGTCACCTTCCAACAGGCCTCCCTTCTACACAGATACAAAGAAATGCACGTTAGTCCTCTGTATTTCATGTCGCTGTGTGTTTATTGCATAACTTGAGGCATCTGACATGGGCGATGATCAGGGAAGACCTCAGGACCTTTCAGGAAGATCTTCTTAGTGTACAGGGTGGTGGTTGCAGCTAATGAGCTTGTTTGTACTTGATTTGTCCGGGTTTACAAATATATAGAAGGACCCTGATTGCAATGGGTACCATGTGAAAGGGGGAAATAAATCCATACAAATAAAAAAAAACTACAGGTTATTCATCTTGGTTTTCAGTGTGTGTGAATATTCTAGATGGTGTGACTGAGCCAATATTGAGAAGAAATAACTTTTTAAAATCACTATATGATATTTGACTGACCATCAAATAATCGGGCCCAAACTATTCTCATCAGCATTCATAGACTATATAGAAAACCAATTATCAGTTGGGGATTGATGCAATTGGAGAAGGTTTTTTGAAGGAGAGTACTCTAAGCCAGATCTTAGGGCAATCTATCTAATCCTGTTCCAAGTATTTTTTTTCTAAGAAACTATTTCTGCTGAATTGTCTACAAAGAAGCCAGCATTAGCTTTGACTACTACTACCTGGCATGCTATTTCCCAGTAACAGGGAGACACTTTTTTGATTTCCTTTCACAATTTGTAACTGCTACCTAAAGAGAAAAATGTATATTTGCTGGGCTGGAGTTTTCACTTATCTGACTCATCTTTAACTATTTTAGAACCTACAATCTTCTTTTCGCTTTGTTGTCTACTTATCTTCTTACTATCTCTCTCCTGATCCTATGTCCCCAAGCTATAGGACAGAGAGAAAAAGAGTCAAAGCTCTAACAAGACGATTTTCCAGCTCGACAGAAGGAAGAAGTTTCCAGAAGGTCCTGTGGTTTCCTGTCCAGAATAGAGGCTGGATGACTGTTGGTGAAGATGTTTTGGACAAGGCTTAAGTGCCCAATGGGGCAAAGAAGAACAGAAGAACTTAAGCATCTACTCTATGCCAGAGACAGTGTCATAAACTGGAAATTTTAACATACAATATTTTCTTCAGAAGCTCGTATTCTAGTTGAAGAGAAAAGGAAATCAAAGCCTGCAACAAAATTCAAAAGTTATAATAGCAACATGCACAGGGTTTCAAAATGGCACCGATAAGAAATAGAACGGATTAGCATCTAACCAATTGGGGCATTATGGCAGTAGAGTTAGGGGAGGTCATAGGTTAATGTCAGAGATTAATTATAGATAGAGATGATACTTCAGGTAAATTTAATGGATGACTAGAAGTTCACCAGCAAAGAGGGAAAGTAACCTCATTCATTCATTCAGCAGTTATTCACTGAGCAATTACTATGTGCCACGTACATACCGGCTTTGAGGTGTAATAGTGAGCAAATCAGACATCATTTATGCCCTCAGGAATTTTAAACAACCTGGAAAAAATAGACATTAAGCAGATATTTATACAAGTAATATGTGACTGGAAGTAAATGTAATGAAAGTAAAGCTGCCTAGAAAGTTCAGGAAGGCCTGACTTTAGTTGGAGAATGCAGGTGGAGTTCAGAGTTCTCCACGATTAGAGTTGAAGAATGATGGGAGTTAACCAGGTAAGGTGTGTGGGAAGGCACAGAGGTTTAAAACAGCATACAGTGTCCAAGAACATGAACTTTGGTGCTGGAATTTAAACTTATCCTGATGTCAATGTGGAGCCACCAAAGCATTTTAAGCGGAAAATGTAATGATCCATGTGCATTTTAGAAAGATTACTCTGATGTGGAGAGTGAGTTGAAGGAGAATAAAGCCACAAACAAGGAAGTGGTTTTAGCACGATTTCAATAATTCAGGAGAGAAAATGTGATACTGAACCAAGTCATAGGTGGTTGACTTGAAAGGAAAATCAAGGATCTTCAAAGAAAAGTCAAGGATCTTTAAGACAGGTAAAATCGTCAAGACTTTGAATACAGGTAGTAAGCAAGGTGGATAAAGAAGTTAAGGGTGGGCCAGGTGTGGTAGCTTAGGCCTATAATCCCAGCACTTTGGAAGCCCAAGGCAGGTGGATCACCTGAGGTCAGGAGTTCGAGACCAGCCTGGCCAACATGGCAAAATCCCATCTCTACTAAAAATACAAAAATAACCCGGCATGGTGGCACACGCCTGTAATCCCAGTTACTTGGGAGGCTAAGGCAGGAGAATCGCTTGAACCCAGGAGGAGGAGGTTGCAGTGGGCCGAGATCGCATCATTTGCACTCCAGCCTGGGTGATAAGAGTGAAACTCAGTCAAAAAAAAAAAAAAGTTAAGGGTGACTTCTGTGTTTCAAGTTTGGCTAACCATATGTGTGTAGCTTCATTGCACTGACAGAAAATATAGAAAGAGAAAGCTATGATGAATTCAGCGCTAGACTAGCTGACCCTAGGTATGGGAGCAGACATGTTCAGTAGAAGTTGGATCTGAGAAGAGCTCAGGTGAGAGTCAGTATTTGAGGGACTGATTATGAATGATAAGAAATTAGATTATAAAAAGGCCAAGAGAGGTAATGTGCACAGTGAGAGAAGAATTTATCCATTGGTTGTATTGAAAGTATTTCATTCTTCGAGTAACGCAGCTCTGTTTAACAGTGCTTTGTGTCATCACAGTAAAACTCTATTAAATCAAGAAAGTCAAGAGTAGTCCTTAACCAGATGAGGTCTGTAAATCCCATACTTCCCTCTGAAGGCATGTTTATGAATAACTTCAGCAACAATATTTGCCATACTTGAAAAATGAAGAATCCTCCTGATGAATGTCTGGATGTCTCCTATCATACTCTTGCTGTTTCCCAGAGGTCTTGGAATATCGATAAAGTTGGTTGGTGTGATCTCGGCTCACTGCAACCTCCACTCCCCAGGTTCAAGCGATTCTGCTGCCTCAGCCTTCTGATTAGCTGGGACTACAGGTGCCCGCCACCATGCCTGGCTATTTTTTTTTGTATTTTAGTAGAGACGGGGTTTCACCATGTTGGCCAGGATGGTCTTGATCTCCTGACCTCGTGATCTGCCCACCTCGGCCTCCCAAAGTGCTGGGATTATAGGCTTGAGCCACTGCGCCCAGCCCTGTTCTCTCTTATTATATTCACGGCATCACTGTTGAGGGCATGAACCCTGAAGTGAGGCTGCTTAAGTTTTAACCATAGATTGGCCACTTAACAGCTATGAAACTTTGATATACTCACTTGACTTCTTTTAGCCTCTTTCTCCACATCTCTTAAATGGTGAAATTTGTAGTTTAACACTTACGATGCTGCTTGTGAAGACTGAATGAGTTGATGCACGTAATCCACTTCCACAGTGCTGGACACATAGTAAATACTTTAAAAATTTCAGCTATGTTATCATTGTCCAAGAATTTTGCATTATCTTGGCATCCAGATTTTGGTGAACTTACTGAGAGAAGTGTTTCATAGTGGTCAGGACCACAGACTCTGAAGGAAGATTTTTCTGGGTTGGAATGCTGATGTTACCGTGTATTTGCTATGTGATTTTGGTCAAATCCCCTACAGTTTTGTGTGCCTTAGTTTCCACATCTGTAAAGTGGGAATTATAATAGGTATCTTATATGGTTGTTGTGAAGATTACTAAATTAATATGGGCAAATACTTAAAATATCCCTGACATACGTGTATGTCAGTATTCTACATACTTACTGACTTATTCAATAAGTACTTAGAATAAGTACAGTAAGCTCAAGATAATTATAAGCTCAAGAAAATTATAAGTTATTAGCATTTTTTAACTTTCCTCCTTTTCTCTATTATAAGTTCAATTAATAGCAATCTTCTTTTTCTAAGGGAAACAAGCTGTTCCTTTAACAATGAGAAGGTGAAGTACCACCTGTTGGGTACTATGCTTACTGCCTGGGTGATGAGGTTGTTGGGACCCCAAGCCTGGGTGTCACGTAATTTACTTATGCAAAAAACCTGCATATGTACCCTTTAATTTGTAATAAGAGTTGAAATTTTAAAAAGAGAAAAGCTAACATGGATATATAAGACCAGAGCAGTCAAAAGACAAAGTATATAATTGTAAAAGAGTCTACATTATGAAACTTCAAAAGTGCAGTCGTTCTTAGAATAAACATATACAGTTGAGATGCCCAACTACTTAAGATTTTTTATCTGGGAATCTGGACACCTGTAACTCTGTCCTGTGACCTTACTCCGCCTTACTTACCTATTATGGGGTACAGTTTCTACCAGGTGGGCTTATTACTTTCAGTCCCATGACCCTCTAGAAAAGTAGGCAAATGTTAATGTTTAGAATTTATGTTGAGTTATCTTGCATCTGTCACAGAATTTAGATTTAGATTTGTGAGTTTCCAGTGAAATCACTTTTCTGGCCCCTGTGGCCATGAATGTCAAGACAAGTCCGTTGGTATAAATGGCTGTGGAAGAAAAGTGTCATCCTATTTCCAAGTCCAGGTGAAGTGAGCAACCACGAAGACCTTCATCTTCCTGCTCTCCTGGGAGCTGCTGGTGAGTATCTTTTAATGAGTGAATCAGCGGATGTCGAACATAAACTTAAGTTTGTACTTTATACTCTGGAAGACAACAATGAATGTTGAATCTGGTCTCTGTATTCAAGAAGCTTAAAATATTGAAACAACAGTGCAAAATACATATGTTTGTGGATAATTAAATTTCACTTGTTGGAGGAAGTTCACAGTGAGCAAAAGTGATCAGGGTAGAAGATATAAAGACACAGGACTTGCTCTCAACTTCTGGGTAATATTAAGGAAGAAGGAGAGAGAAGGAAAAGATAGCCCAGATTAAGGAGGCGCTTATCCTGACCTTTCCAAGAATTTGGAGTTAATAATTGAAACTAATCGTGTGCTCTTAAAGAGGCTGCAGGTGTCAGAGCCTGCACCTTCTCCACACTAAAGGGCTAGTGATATAAAGCCAAAGGGAAAAGCAATTTTCTTTCTCATGAATAAAAGCTATGGGCTGTGTTTTACGATATTTTTGCCATGGATATCTCTCTGGTGTAAAGTAACATGTCATTTCATCATGAATATAATAGAAAAATGATGAGTTTTCCTTTTATACTACTAAATTTTATAAGACTAAAACTTAATACTAAATTTTCTCAAGTTAGGCAGGTATAAATTCAATTCATCTGTCTACACACCTGCTAACTTCTTTCCTAAAACTATTAAAAATATCTGAACAATGGGGCTCATAAAATATAATCACAAACTTTTGGAGCTACAAGATATAAAGTGGGCTAGACTTTAAAAGCTGAATAAATTCGTAAGTGTTGGAAAGATAATTGGGATAAGAGGAAAGGCTGAAGAGGGTCATCCTATAATGCTCTGTAAAATGATTTTAATAAAAATTCTAGACTGGAATCAAGAAGAGAAATTAGGAGAGCAAAAATATAAATCTCTAATTTCCTTCCAGACGAGAAAATTCTCAGGTGCCTTAGTTTTTTTTTGTTTTTTTATGAGACAGAGTCTCGCCCTGTCGCCCAGGCCGGAGTGCAGTGGTGCCATCTTGGCTCACTGCAAGCTCCGCCTCCCAGGTTCATGCCATGCTCCGCCTCAGCCTCCCGAGTAGCTGGGACTACAGGCGCCCGCCACCACGCCCAGCTAATTTTTTGTATTTTTAGTAGAGACGGGGTTTCACCGTGTTAGCCAGGATGGTCTCGATCTCCTGACCTCGTGATCCGCCTGCCTCGGCCTCCCAAAGTGCTGGGATTACAGGCATAAGCCACCGCAACCAGCCTCAGGTGCCTTTTTAAAGCTTCCTTTCTGTTACTGTATGGGGCTCTCTCTCCCATACCAACATCCTACCAACGACCACAAACCAACATCAGCATGACTACTGAAAAGCATTACACCTAATTGTATGGCTGCGGAGCAGAGTTCTGTGAAAAAAGTTTCCTTGTGTCTTCAGGAAGTGATATTCAGGACATTTACTGTGTCAAGAGTTTCTGATCTTTGAGTGTGTGTGTGCGCGCGCTCGTGTGTGTGTGTGTCTGAATAGTACATATATTAAAAAAAGAATGCATTTATCAAAGTTAAAGCATAAATTAAAAAATAGATAGTTATAATGTTATAAGTGGGGTACAATTTAAAGGTATGGGATAATAAATTTCCCCCCCAAATTACCTTAAAGCCACCATTTCCTGATTATGTGAGACAAGAGAACGTTCTGCTCTTTTGGTAAATCTGAGAAAACTTTTCATGATATTGTAGAAACTTTAAGATGAATCTGTTTAACTGATAGTTCCCAACTTTCCTCTGTCAGCCACTTTCCCCACTAGTGATGATGATGACAAGATCGTTGGGGGGCTACACCTGTCAGACGAATGCTGTCCCCTATCAGGGTCCCTGAATGCTGGCTATCACTTCTGTGGTGGCTCCCTCATCAATAACAAATGGGAGGTGTCCACGGCTCACTGCTATAAGTCGTAATTCATTGATACTCATTTTCTTATGCACTAAGATTAATTAATCCTCTATCCCTGACAAAACACAATCCAGAGTAAACTGCAGAGTTGTGCTTGAGGGTGAGGCATTCAGACCTCCAGAGACTTCTTATTTTCTCAGGCATTATCTGATGTATAAAGGGGGGTTTGCATGGAGAGGTACCCTTCAGGGTTCCCTGATGTCTTCCCAAATGATGGTATTCAAGATATGGAAGGGAAATAGTGAGTGATGAACTATCCCTAGAAATAGCTTATGACATGAATCAGTACATAGTGCTAATTACTGTAGCTCAGCCAGTATAAACTGTATATGGAAGTAATAAAATACAGAGAATTTACAGTGCAACATTAAAAATATGCATGATTCATTCTGTTCCCTTAACATTCTGCCATTTCTCTGACTCCTGCTTCATTCCCTGTGATAACTGGTGATCCCAACCAGAGAGAAATGGCAAATGCTGATCAATCTCCACCAACTTCCTTTTTATCTCCAACTGTTTTATTCAAGTCCTTGAGTTCTCATTCCCATTCCTTACTATTCTAACAAGATGGCGGGCAGTGAGTCTGCACTTGCAGTGACACTTCTCTAAGGAAAACTCTAACCTGTACCATGTGGTGGTGCAGAATGCTACCTTAAGTGCACAATTACTGTATGACCGATTGCTTGAAAAGGATGGTGTCTGTGTTTATGCTCATAAATGGGGGGTCAGGAGGAGTGGAAATAACTCAAGCTAGATACTTAGGAACCTCTTATATCTTTTAATCCAGCCAAATCCATGTGCATCTTGGAGAATACAACATTAAGGTCTATGAAGGCAATGAACAATTCATAAATGCAGCCAAGATTATTTGCCACCCCAAGTATAACTCAGCCACCATTGATAATGACATCATGCTGATTAAGCTGAGCTCAGTCGCCACCATCAACTCTCAAGTGGCCACCATCTCTCTGCCAAGATCCTGTGCAGCGGCTGGTACTCAGTGCCTCATCTCTGGCTGGGACAACACCCTGAGCAGTGGCTTTAGTGTCGCCTGAAACAGAAGTACCAAGTGTGACAATTTTAGAGCTGAAAGACATGTGGAAAGTCAGCTAGTCCAAACTCACTTAAGGTTAAGTTCCCAGAGCATAGTTTTTGGATACATGGAATCTCAGAAATATACTATTAATAATTGAAATGAAGAAGATTCCTTTGCTGGAACCATGCAGAAGACATAATAATGAAGTACTATGAAGATATCAGGGTATTTAACTGAAGTGTGATTAGTGATGGGCAGAGAACTATAAACTGAGGAGGTAAACAAAACAAAGACTCAGGGATTTGGTCTTGCTTGGAGCATTCAATTGGAATGAATTGGAACAATTCATTGATTAGAACTATTTGGGAAAGCTTCTAGAAAAGAAAGTATTGCTCTCTCAAATGAGAAGCCGTTGGCTAATTGAAAGAAAAAGTGAGAGTATTGGGGAAGAGGGGAGATGTATTGAGAAAGAAAATTTTGGAAACCTCATGAGTAATCTTGCATTTTTCACTCTTCCACTCCACGGCCAACTACCCTGATCTCCTGCAGTGTCTGAAGGCTCCCATTCTCTCTAACACTGCTTGCCGCACAGCCTACCCAGGCAAGATTACTACAAACATGATATGTCTGGGATTCCTGGAGGGTTGAAAGGACTCTTGCCAGGTTAGTTTCTTTGTACTGCTTCTCAATTCCAGCTTATTCTTAGTCTTCTCCACCATAATTCCCCTTTTCAGAAACACAGAAGATTGTAAAACTGTCCCTATAACTGATTGTGAGAGGTGAGGGATAGCCTTGGGACAAATTAAATATTTTATTTTTATTGTATTAATGTCTAGGTTTAAGAGTTAAAAGATGCACAGAAGATGGTGTGCAAATAGTATTTCTAAGTGCCCTTCTGAGGAGGTAAACTGTGGAAAGGAACTCTAGTGGAAGGAGCAGAGCTAGTTAAGCAGCATGAAACCTCCTCTTGGCCCACTTGGCCTACCAAGGAAAGAGAAGGGGCTCAAATAAGGTATAAGGAAGACTAACTACTGATATAGTAAGTAGATTGAGGGTTGGAGGGTTTCAAGAGGAAGAGAAAGTGCTTCATGCTGGATCAGCAGTGTGGGACAATGGCTCCAGCACAATGGAAGAACATCTTACGGCCCATTCTCCCATCTGGGCATAAATAAGATCTCTGAATATCCCTTCCTTTTTGCCCAGGGTGACTCTGGTGTTCCTGTGGTCTGCAACGGAGAACTCCAGGGCATTGTCTCCTGGGGCTATGGTTGTCCTCAGAAGAACAAACCTGGAGTCTACACTAAAGTTTGCAACTACGTGAAATGGATTCAGCAGACCATTGCTGCCAACTAAACACCTTTATCTCTTCATGTTCCATATCCTATTCATCAACTTTACCTTCTTTCTATGCCAAAACACAGTATCTAAATAAAAATATACTGTCTTGTACCACGTCTTTTCAAGAATGGTCCCTGTCGGCATTGATTAACTTTCTCTTGAAACTAGCTGTTAAGAAGGTGGACATAGGGCCAAACTATTATATTGAGAAAATGTGAAAGGTTATTGATGTGGTTTGGCTGTGTGTCCCCACCCAAGTCTCATGTCGAATTGTAATTCCCAGTATTGGAGGTGGGGCCTGGTGGGAGGTGATTGAATTGTGGGGGCAGGCTTCCCCCTTGCTGTTCTTGTGATAGAGTTCTCCCAAAACCAGCTTGTTTCAAGTGGGTTGCACCCCCCTAATCCTGCCATCCACATGAAGATGTGTTTGCTTTCCCTTCTACCATGATTATAAGTTTCCTGAGGCCTCCCAAGAAGCAGAAGCCTGTACAGCCTGCAGAATCATGAGCTGCCTAAACTTCTTTTCTTTATAAATTACTCAGTTGCAGGCATGTCTTTATAGCAGTGTGAGAATGGACTAATGCAGTTATTTAGTCATTAATTCAACCTAATCAATATAAGTTTACTGATCACCAACTATATGCCAAACTCTATGTGATACATTGAGAATAAAAAGGTGAACAAGCTTAGAGGTCACTGTTACCACCACATTTTGTTTTTTTACAAAATCAAGAACTCTAAAAATATGTCAGATAAATTTTGTTTTAAGATTTGGCCACAGTATGTATTTTAACTTGCATTTCTGGGGCCAGGTGTGGTGGCTCATGCCTGTAATCCAAACTCCTTGAGAAGCCAGGTTGAGAGGATCACTTGAGGTCAGGATTTTGAGATCAGCCTGGGCAACAGTTAAGAGATCAGCCTGGACAACACTGCCTCTACAAAAAATTAAAAAATTATCTGGGCATGGTGGTGCATGCCTGTAGTTCCAGCTACTTGAAAGACTAAGGTGAGAAGATTACTTGAGCCCAGGAGTTTGAGGCTGCAGTGAGCTTTGATTGTGCCACTGCACTTCAGCCTAGGAGACACAAGTCCCTATCTCTAAAAATAAAAATCAATTAATTGAAAACATGAACTTTTATGGTAGATCATGCATTCATACCTTACAAGATATAATGACACTAAAATGCAGAAAATTAAACTTAATTGCCCAAAATCATTCAAAAGATTCACAGTAAAGCTAAGATAAAGCCCAAGTGGGCATTCCCAGTGGATTGCTGCTGATAGAACAGAATGGTCTTTCTTTCCTTTTTCTTCAATCTATCTGAAACTCTGGGAAGCTAGGTAGCAGAAACCTGTAGATGCAGAAATATTTAAAATTCACAGGTTTCCTGTGTTTTCCAAGGTTTCACCTACCTGTATATTCCTTTCCTCCAAGATCTTTCTTGTTTTCCAACTAGAAATTTGCTATAGCAGGCCTGGTCTCTGGAGACAATCTGTGTCCCTTTTTCACCACAAGTTCCCCCAAATCCCAGCCCACATGATGTACTAATTTAAACTACAAACAGAAACAAAAAGGTACAAATTCAGATAAGTTTGCAGAAAATAGATATTGTGCCTTGAGGTCATAAATGGCTACAGATATATTATCTATTCTCTTCAGTCCTGTTTGAAGAGTGCATCACAGACTCTGGCTTTAGTTCTTCCACGAGTCGTCCCTCAAATCTTCATTGTTCTGTGTGGCATTGAAAGGAGGGCTTGGAGCAGAAGACCCTGCACGTGACTCTCATGGTTATCTGGAATGAGACAAAGGAAAAGACACACTGGGATCAGAAAACAGAACGGTACAGGTGGAGGCAGTTGGAAATGGGAGTTTATTTGTGGTTCAGTGATAAGGTGAAGGAAGGGTACTGTCTTAGGCAGCTCAGTCAGCTATAACAAAAATATCGCAGACTGGGTGGCTTGCACAACAGACACTTATTTCTTGCAGTGGAGCCTGTGAAGTCCAAGATCAAGACACCAGGTAGTCTGGTGTCTGGTGAGGATAGCTTCCACGTTTCCTAATGGCCATCTTCTAGTTGCATCCACTCATGGCCAAGAGAGCCAGTTCTAGTCCTTTTTCTCTTCTTACAAATTGGTACATTAATCCCATCATGGGGGCCACCCTCTAGACCTTATCTAAACCTAATTACCTCCCAAAGACTCCACCTCAACACCATCCCATTGGAGGTTAAATTTTTAATATACGAATTTGGGAAGTGGGGCACAAACATGCAGTCCATAATAAATATTTCAGAGGAGGAGAGTACTGAAAGGTATACGTGCCCATTAGCAATTTTCTATCCTTTTGTAAGTATGGATGGCATGTTTGTAGAGAAAAGCTGAGCTCTTAATACTGCCTTATCACTGCCCCTAAAATGCAGCCAAAATTTCTTAGCCTTGCATTCAACATTCTCAAATATTTGATCACAACTAACCTTTTCTGTCTTATTTCCTTTGTTCTCATTGAATTGTTTTTATGTTTGTGTATAATCTAAATTAATTTCATATATAGCTCTCTTTGTGTAAATAGGTAGCCTTATATCTACCCCAACTAAAACATCTTGGGCTTCCGCCTTGAACAAAATGAGATTAAGTTTTCCCTGTTCCCTCTGAAATACTTTTCTGCTCCACTTAATTACCACCATCAATACCTACCTATTCAGCTTCCCACCCCAGATAGAGGGAAGGTTCCAAGACTTAACAGGAAGTGTGAGATACACAGAAGATGAGAGATCAGGGCAGGTCCAGAGAAAAGAAAAAGGCAAACAAATTATTAATCCTTTATGTTATCCAATAGTGTTTGTTTAGTACTTATTCTTGCCAGTTTCAGTCTCTTATTTTGTTTAATGCTTTACAATTTGTGAATTTTTATTAAACTGTATATGTCATATGCCATTTTAAACAACAACTTAGCTTTTATAAATTCACCCTAATAAAATAAGCGTTTAAGTTAAAAAAAAAAAGGTATAAATGTGAACACATCTCTTAGGAAGTTGCAAGGAACAGAATATCTGACTAATAAAGTCTTTAAAAAATTCACAAATGGAAGCTTAGGAGTAGGGAGGGCTTCAAGAATATTTATATAAGAACATTTGTCTTAATAAGATAAATTGCTAAATTTATCTCTATAAATAAATTATCTCTTTTCCCCTATAAATCTTATTTAATTTATTATTTTGCTGTAACACCACTATTTATCTTTCATGGAAAGTGACTTTAGTTTTGAAATCAAATTTTAAAATGTCTTTAAAAAATAAAATATTTTCTATCTTCATATTATTTAGTCTCACTTTTAAAAGTCAATTTAAAATGTCAATTTGTTGATGGGGCACAAATACAAAAGTCTTAGTCCTAGAGATACTCATTTATTCTGACTAGCTCAGTCTAACCACTTTCTATTTGTATGCCATCTAAACTATAGGATTTCCAGACATCTTGAAGAAATCATAGTTTTCAATAATTTCTTAGTTTCTCCATTTTTTTAACAAGCTCCCTACTTCTACAGAATAAATCAATTCATTTTCTCCTTTACTAACTGATCTCATCTTCTCACTGCAAGGCACAAATCCCTTCATCAAAACTTACCCGAGAGTTATATAAGCGCTCTAACATGACCTCAACAGTCTACTGTGATTTTATGTACACAGTCCCCATGCAAAGCCTTCATTACTTAACAGAGTTTATTTTTAAGGACACGTCCGTGTGCATAATCCAACTTCATTTTTTAAATGACTTTCCTATTTTTGTGGTCCATTTCTATTTGCAGTGTTCTTAGCCCTTGCCAGCTCTGCCTCTGAGACTCTTATTAGACTTGGAGGGACCCATGCAGTGAAAGGCCACAGGTTTCCTCCAAGGCCAGCTTCTGGCTCAAAGATCTGATAGCAGTAGAGTACACTGTTTTCCAAACAGAAAATATAAGGCCATATGTTCTGAAGAACTGTTGGAAAGTTAGTTTTGTCTTCATTCGTAAGGGGAACTTTCACAGTTCACACAACTTTGTGTTGTGGTAATTTCTCATACCACTCATGTACTATATCTGCAGTTTAAAAAATTATAAGACAAAAGATTATGCTTCCCTGGGAGTCACTGGATTGTTGTCCTGGCGTGTTAGAAGCCTCCCTCATCACCCCACTGCATTTCTCTCTATTGCATGTAGAATGGAAAGGCTGGGCAGATTTCTGAGAAACGCCTCTCCAAGCCTCTAAAGTTTCTTTACACATAACTGCCTCTCCCACAGGACCTCTTCCTCCATTTTCTTTTCCAAGGAGCACTCATACAGAATTATAGACACTGCTCCGATGTGACTCTCACCACTGAATTATCATTTAACTTTCTTTTGGGGTTTCCTCACTTCAAAATCACATTTTCCGTTTTTGATGATCAACACTTTGAACTCCGAAACTGCAGTTTTGAAATCAGTAACTCCCTCCTTAATCCCCTGAAGTCCTTTTCATTTTCTTCTTCCTGTTTAACTACTAGGATTATTTTGCCCTTGATAAAGAAATTTCCATTTACTGCCATGTCTAGGAAAAATAAATTTTCTTCACTGTAGCTTAGCATGTTCTCCACATTATTACATTGTTTTACATGTGTTTACCAAAAAAAAAAGACAAAATCTCTCATTTCATTTGAGAAAGAGGCATAACAAAATATTTTATTCTTTTTTTTAGCTATGTAATTTAACCCCCTTCTTTCAACCCAAATCAGCTACATTTTTGTTCAATCAATAACTTCATAAGCCACATGGGATGGGAGAGTTACACCCTCCCACAGGATGGCTACCTGCCATGTTCTACTGAGTGAGATATGCAAACTGAAGGCTGGATCTAATGGAGAAGACAATAATCTTTTAAAAAAGAGAGAGAGAGAGACATTAGAGATGTAGAAGAAGAAAAGAGGTAAGGTAGGATAGACTTAGGAAGAAATTTCAAAAAAGAATAAAAATAACTAAAATAGGTCTTTAGAAAATTATGCTGTGTGGTAATATAATACAAATTATTTTCTTTAGTTTCCTGTGTAGTGTCCAGAACAATTTTTATTTTTGCTACTGTATTTTAGTTTTGAATCTGATTTGGAGAATGGAATAAAATAGTAGTTAGATGAGCTTTAAACACTGGCTTTGGGCAAAAGATGACCCACATCTGGGTAACAAGAATGAGGCAGGATGGGGAAGGTATATTTCTTTGTCAATCATATATTGACATTACCAAATATTAGAAATAAAGTGTCTTCACACCATAGAAAATTTATCTTCCCATAGCTGTGGGTTCCACCAAAGGTTTTTCCTCAGACATTGTATTACTCCAGATTCATTCAGGAAATACAAACCACATCAGCAATATAAAGAGAAGAAATTTTAGTATAAACAACTATTAAATTTTGGCCGGGTGCAATGGCTTATGTCTGCAATCCCAGCACTTTGGGAGGCTGAGGCAGGAGGATCTCTTGAAGCCAGGAGTTTGAGACCAGCCTGGACAACATAGCAAGGCTTTGTATCTATAATAATAATAATAATAATAATAATAAGCGGGGTGTGGTGGTGCATGCTTGCAGGTCCAGGTACTCAGGAGGCTGAGGCAGGAGAATCACTAGAGAAAAAAGAATTATTTACTTTTTTGGCGAGGGAAAAAATATAAAGAATGGGGTAAAGGAAAAAGATCATTTTGTGGTGCCTGACATGTCAATGCGAGCAACTCTAAAAGGAGTTGCAGGTTTTTATTGTTGTTTCATATTTATGTTGTTCCTTTTCTGCATTTTTCTTGATAAACAGGTGTTGGGTTTTATAAAACAAAGATAACATTTGTCTTTAATGAAATTTCCAGGATGTCTGGCTTATAAAATGTAGTATTAATCTTTCTCACCTTACAAAAATCCCTTAATCCACCCTAATCTGCAGGAAGAAAGCCAGCTGACAATGAGTGCAACCCATTCAGGTTGGGAGGCTTCCCAGCACTGACCTGCTCCACCCTCTCATCCCTCCACATCTTTTCTGAGCCTCATGCTAGTCACGAGATGTCCCTAGTGAAACATGAGTAGAATTGGAGGGGGTAATACTTTTTCTCTTTAGAGAGAGGGGTATTGAGCTAGGAAGAGCTGAAACCTAAGAAGTCCAGTAATTCTGAATCACTGACCTCAGGAGGGACCCAGTTCCAAGACATTGCTGGAGCCAAATCACACAATCCTGTGAACCAGGAGCATCCAGAAGGTTTTCTCCTTTCTAGTACTCAGGAGTTTTGCAGAGGTGAAAAAGGTAATAGTGATGATAACTCACATTTATTATCTTCTGTGTGTCATATACGGTGCTTAAGTGTTTTTAAATAATATTTAATCCTCATGACTATCTTATGAGGTAAGTACTAATCTTCTTTCCATTTTATAGCTTAGAATACTGAGGCTTAAGGTAGTTAAACGTCCTTCTCCACGCTCTTCACTATGTTAACCAAAAAAAAAAAAAAAAAAAACAAAGAAAGAAACAAGAAAATATCATAAAGATTTAAGAACTTCACAACAATATTTTGACATAAGATAAATTACTGTCCCTGAAAGCCTGGAAAATATGGGAATCCTAAAGTTACAGTTATTTTATTTTATTTAACCAACATTTAACTAGCATTTACTATTTGTTAGGCAGTGTCCAAAGCCACTTTAAAAACACTAACTCTTTTCATTTTCCTAAAAACAATCGATGTAATGGGCTTTTCATTTTACAAGAAAGGAAACTGATAAAGCCAGAGATAAGAAACTTGCCCAAGGGCGTATGGCTACAAAATGTGTCATAATCAGAGCTCATTATGATCAAGCTTCAGAGGCTACCATGAGAATTACAGGTAGTGTATTATGAACACTCATACTCTTATCTTTTCTACTGTAGATTCCAACATCTTCTCTCATAGGAGCGTTGTCTAATCCTTTTTCTATTTTAGTTCTAAAGGTGGAAAGAATCACACCTCATGCTCACTTTAAACTGCCCTGCCAAACCCTTCTCTGGATGATCTTGATCCCTCCGTCCATCAAGCCACCACTCCCCAGAATTGAGGCTTAAACGTGAAATTAGAGCAAACTAATGGACCCAGATAAATTGCTTTCCAGTCCTTCAGGATTGGGAGGACACAACAGGGACCCCGGAACCACTCAGGCAGAATCACCCTCTTGGCATACTTGCTTCACCTATCACCATTAGAAAACGGAGTAGAGTTGGAAATGATTTGACTCCAGTCCTGGTTATTGATTACTGCATAGAAAACCACTTCAAATTTAGCAGAATATAGCAATGTCAATCACTTGTTATCACTATTTCTCATGGCTTTAGGATTTGACCGGGCTCCTATAGGCAGTCATTGCTGGGAATCTCTCATGCTTTGCAGGCAGCTGGTGGCTGGGCTTGGAGCCATCTCAAAGACTTCCTCACTCATAGGTCTGGTGGCTGATACTGTCTGTCAGCTGGGACTTCAGCTTGATTTTTGGCCACAGCACCTGTGCATGGCTTCTCTATTTGCCTCCAGATGGGATGGCTTCAGCTTACTTATAGCAAAGCAGATGTACTCTAAGAATATTTGAAGAAGAGAGCCAGATGGAAATTTATTGACTTTTAGAAACTGTTCTCCAAAATTATGCCAGTTCATATTTAAGAGGAACGAAATTAGAATTTACATTTTGTAGGGAAGAGAGCCAAACAATAAAGGAATACTTTCTAAGCCACACATCATCTCACATCCAGGAAAAATCTCTTGGGAACTGAATTATGCTTTTTTAAAAGTTTTATTTTAGGTTTTGAGGTACATGTAAAGGTTTGTTACATAGATAAACACGTGTCATGGGGTTTGTTGTACATATTATTATATCACCCAGGTATTAAGCTCAGTACCCAATAGTTATCTTTTCTGCTCCTCTCCCTTCTCCGACCATCCCCCTCAAGTAGACCTCAGTGTCTCTTGTTTCCTTCTTGTGTTCATCAGCTCTTATCATTCAGCTCTCACTTATATGTGAGATCATGTGGTATTTGGTTTTCCTTTCCTGGGTTAGTTTGCTAATTTGATGATAGCCTCTAGCTCCATTCATGTTCCTGCAAAAGGCATGATCTCATTCTTTTCTATGGATGCATTATATTTCATGGGGTATATGTACCAGATTTATTTTATCCAGTGTGTCACTGATGGGCACTGAGGTTGATTCCATGTCTTTGCTATTGTGAGCAGTGCTGCAATGAACATTTCTGGAAATGTCTCTTTATGGTAGAATGCTTTATATTCCTCTGGGTATATACCCAGTAATGAGATTGCTGGGTCGAATGGTAGTTCAGCTTTTGGCTCTTTGAGGGATTGTTGTGCTGCTTTCAACAATGGTTGAACTAATTTACATTCCCACCAACAGTGTATAAGTGTTCCCTTTTCTCTGCAACCTTGCCAGCCTCTGTTACTTTTTGACTTAATAATAGCCATTCTCAGTGACGTGAGATGATATCTCCTTGTGGTTTTGATTTGCATTTATCTTATGATCAGAGATATTGAGCTTTTTTTCATATGCTTGTTGGCCTTATGTATGTCTTCTTTTGAGATGTGTTTGTTCATGTCCTTTGCCCACTTTTTAATAGGGTCCTTTGTTTTCCTTTTGTAAGTTTGCTTAAGTTCCTTATAGATGCTGGATATTAGACATTTGTCAGTTTGTAAACATTTTCTCCCATTCTGAAGGTTGTCTGTTTACTCTGTTGATAGTTTCTTTTTCTGTGCAGAAACTCTTAAGTTTAATTGGATCCCACTTGTCAACTTTTGCTTTTGTTGTGATTGCTTTTGGTGTCTTTTTCATTAATATGGTTTGACTATGTCCCCACCCAAATCTCATCTGGAATTCCCATGTGTTGTGGGACGGACCCGGTGGCAGGTAACTGAATCATGGCAGCAAGTCTTTCTCATGCTATTTCTGTGATAGTGAATAAGTCTCAGAAGATCTGATGGCTTTAAAAAGAGGAGTTCCCCTGCACAAGCTCTCTCTGTTTGCCTGCTGCCGTCATGTAAGATGTGACTTGCTCTTCCTTGCCTTCTGCCATGATTGTGAGGCTTCCCCAGCCACATGGAACTATAAGTCCAGTTAAATATCTTTCTTTTGTAAATTGCCAAGTCTTGGGTATGGCTTCATCAGCAGCATGCAAACTGACTAATACAGTCATGAAATCTTTGCCCATTCCTAGGTACAGGATGGTATTGCCTAGGTTGTCTTCCAGGGTTTTTATAGTTTTGGGTTTTACATTTTAGTCTTTAATCCATATTGAGTTGATTTTTGTACATGGTGTAAAGAAGGGGTCCAGTTTCAATCTCCATTGGCTAGCCAGTTATCCCAGCACCATTTATTGAATAGAGAGGCTCTGTCCCATTGCTTGTTTGTGCCAGCTTTGTCAAAGATGAGATGTCATAGAAGTGCAGCCTTATTTCTAGGCTGTCTATTCTGTTCCATTGGTCTATGTGCCTGTTTTTGTACCAGTACCATGCTGTTTTAGTCACTGTAGCTCTTGTAGTACAGTTTGAAGTCAGGTAACTTGCTTCCTTCAGCTTTGTTCTTTTTGCTTAGCATTGCCTTGGCTATTTGGGCTTGTTTTTTTGGTTCCATATAAATTTTAAAATATTTTTTCTAGTTCTGTGAAGAATGTCATTGGTAGTTTGATAGGAATAGCATGGAATCTATAAATTGTTTTGGGAAGTATAGCCATTTTAATGATATTGATTCTTCCTATCTGTGAGCATGGGATGTTTCTCCATTTGTTTGTGTCTTGTCTGAATTCTTTCAGCAGTGTTTTGTAATTCACAGTGTGGAGATCTTTCACCCCCCTGATTAGCTGTATTCCTAGGTTTTGGGGTTTTTTTTGTTTGTGCATGGCAATTGTGAATGGGACTAACTTTCCAATTGGCTCTCAGTTTGTTGTTGGTGTATAGGAATGCTAGTGATTTTTGTACATTGATTTTGTATCCTGCAGTTTTGATGAAGCTGTTTATCAGCTGAAGGAGCTTGGGGGCCAACACTATGGGGTTTTCTTGACATAGAATCATGTCATCTGCAAAGAGAGATAGTTTGACTTCCTCTCTTCCCATTTGGTTGTCTTTTATTTCTTTCTCTTGCTTGATTGCTCTGGCTAGGACTTCTAATACTATGTTGAATAGAAGTGGTGAGACAGGGCATCTTTGTTTTGTGCCAGTTTTCAAGGGGAATGCTTCCAGCTTTTGCCCATTTAGTATAATGTTGGTTGTGGTTTTGTCATAGATGGCTCTTATTATTTTGAGGTGTGTTCCTTCAATACCTGGTTTATTAAGCGTTTTAACATGAAGTAATGTTGAATATTATCAAAAGCCTTTTCTGCATTTATTGAGATAATCATGTGATTTTTATCCTTAGTTCTGTTTATGAGATGAGTCACATTTATTGATTTTTGTATGTTGAACCAACCTTGCATCCCAAGGATGAAGCCTATTTGATCATGGTGGATTAGCTTTATGATACGCTTCTGGATTCAGTTTGTAAGTATTTTTGTATAGGGCTTTTACATCTTTGTTCATCAAAGATATTGGCCTGAAGTGTTCTTTTTTCCTGTCTTTCTGCCAGGTTTTGGTATCAAGATGATGCTGGCCTCATAGAATGAGTTGGGGAGAAGTCCTTCCTCCTCAATTTTTTGGAATTGTTTCTGTAGGAATGGTACAAGTTTTTCTTTGTACATACAGTGGAATTCAGCTGTGGATCCATCAGATCCTGCACTTTTATTGATTGGTAGGCTATTTATTGCTGATTAAATTTTGGAGCTTGTTATAGGTCTGTTCAGGGATTCAGTTTCTCTCTGGATCAGTCTAGGGAGGGTGTATGTATCCAAAAATGTATTCATCTCCTCTAGGTTTTCTAGTTTGTGTGTGTAGAGGTGTACATATTGGTTTCTGATGGTTGTTTTTATTTCTGTGGGTTCAGTAGTAACATTCCCGTCATCATTTCTAATTGTGTCTGTTTGGACCTTCTCTTTTTTCTTCTTAATTAGCTAACTAGTGGCTTTGTTTTTTTTTTTTTTTTTTTTTTTTTTCAAAAAACCAACTCCTGGATTCTTTGGTCTTTTGAATGGTTTACTTGTGTCTTAATTTCCTTCATTTCAGCTCTTATTTGTGTTATTTCTTATCCTCTTTTGGGGTTGATTTGTTCTTGCCTCTCTAATTCTTTCATTGGGAAGTTAGGTTGTTAATTTGAGATCTTTCTAACTTTTTGATGTGAACATTTAGTGCTATGAATTTTCCTCTTAACACTGCCTTAGCTGTGTCCCAGAGATTCTGGTTTGTTGTATCTTTGTTCTCATTATTTTCAAAGAACTTCTTGATTTCCACCTTAATTGCATTGTTCACCCAAAACTCATTCAGCAGCATGTTAATTTCCATGTAATTGTGTTGTTTTGAGGAATTTTCATTGTGTTGACTTCTGCTTTTATTTCACTGTGGCCCAAGAGTGTGATTGGTATGATTTTGATTCTTTTGTTGAGGATTATTTTATGTCTAATTACATGGTCAATTTTAGAGCATGTGCCATGTGATAATGAGAAAAATGTATATTCTCTTGTTGTGGGGTGGAGACTTCTGTGAAGGTTTATCAGATCCATTTGGTCCAATGCTGAGATTAGGTCCTAAATATCTTTGTTAATTTTCTGCCTCAATGATATAATACTGTCAGTGGAATGTTGAAGTATCCCACTATCATAGTGTAGGGATCTATGTCTCTTTGCAGGTCTCTAAGAACTTGCTTTATGGATCTGGATGCTCCTGTGTTGGATGAATATATATTTAGGAGAGTTAGGTCTTCTTGTTGAACTGAACCCTTTACCATTATGTCATGCCCTTCCTTGTCTTTTGTTGATCTTTGTTTTGTCTGAAATTGGAATTGCAATCCTTGCATTTTTCTGTTTTCTAATCGGTTGGTAGATTTTTCTCCATCCCTTTATTTAGAGGCTATGAGTGTCATTACATGTGAGACGGATCTCTTGAAGACAGCATACCATTGGGTCATGTGTTTTTATCCAGCTTGTCACTCTGTGCCTTTTAAGTAGAGTATTTAGCCTGTTTAGTTTTAAAGGTTAGTTTTGACGTGTGAATTTGATCCTGTCATTGTGCTGTTAGCTGGTTATTATGTTGGCTTGTTTGTGTGGTTGCTTTACAGTGATGCTGGGCTGTGTGTTTAAGTGTGTTTTTGTATCAGCTGATAGCAATCATTCCTTTCTATATTTAGTGCTCCTTTCAAGATCCCTTGTAAGGCAAGTCTGGTGATAATAAAGTCTCTCAACATTTGCTTATCTGAAAAAGATCTTATTTCTCCTTCACTTAGGAAACTTAGTTTGGCTGGATATGAAACACTTGGTTGAAGATTTTTTTCTTTAATTGTGTTGAATGTAGACCTGCAATCTCTTCTGGTTTGTAAGGTTTCTCCAGCCACATCCTACAGGTGCTTTTGGGCTGCCAATATGTCTGCACCTCCCTGGGACAAAGCTCCCAGAGGCAGGGACAGGCTACCATCTTTGCTGTTTTGCAGCCTTCATTGGTGACACCTCCAGGTTCTAGAAAATCCAAGGTGACTAGAGACTGGAGCAGGCCCCAAGCATATTGCAGCAACCCTACAGAAAAGTGGCCAGACTGGTACGTAGGTGCCTATTCCCATATCTCCTCACTGGGCAGGTCCTCCAGGCCTGGGCCTCCAGCCACCCCTCACCAGAGCTGTCATGCCAGTACCAACTCAGCAACTCCCTGGACTGAGCCTCCAGGGGAAACTGACAGCTCTAGGCCACTGCCTCTGCAGTGAATTATGCTTGCCGAGGTCACAATTGAGTGACCTTTATTAGAATATTATACGAGAAATTATAAAGAAGATAGTGACTATAATCTCTTATATCCATTAAATAAATTGTATCGTCTCACTTCTTTACAAAGCAAATAGTTGTATTTAGCCTATTCTTTCCATGAGAAAAGAAAAGAAAAAGACATTTTAAAAGAAAGGAAACTAACAATAGTCGCCTTCATATTCTCATTGGTGAGGCTTTGTGGGAGGGAGGCAGAGATTGAGAATAGAGAGAGAAAATATGGATTTCTCAATGTAAGATAGTAACAAAAATTTTCAGTTCTCCTCCGATAGCTTAAAAGGGTAGATGTTTGTCTCTCTCTACTTGGGGCTTCTGGGCAGCAGAAATGTGAGCTGACTAAAGACATGAAGAAAACAAGAAAATAAAAAAGGAATTCAGGGTAGGTTCCAGCAATGTGGCAGAAACCAGGTTATAGGTTAACAGACTCCGTGGACTGTAGGTGATTCATAAACATTCACAAAGTGATTTCTGATATACTATTTAAAGATGTTTTCAGGCTGGTGCCAAAATTTCCTGTAATATCTCCAAAGCTTCAGTAAAAGTCTGAAACCCACCCTAGAATTAGGTTAGTGGTGAATTAAGAAATAAAATGAAGACAGCTGTTTTCATGTGCTGGGACAAAGAAGGCTGGAGATAAGCAAAGAACTTAGCAGAAATAAGGCCCAGTCCTACCAGATAAATAATTGGAACAAGTAGAGGGATGCTGGATTTCCTAAAATGTTGGGGGTCGTGGGCTTCAACAGTATGGTTGTGAGCAAGGTTTTTAACCATACAGAGCTTCAGCTTGAAAATGGATAATAACGATATTTAATGTATAGGCCTGTGATAAAGGATAAATTAGGTCACACATGCTGGGCATATAGCACAGTATTTGTCACATGGTACAAAACAAATACTGACTTTATTATTTTAATAATTATTATTTTAAAACCTTTGGGTACTAAAGAAATATTGTCCCCAAAAGTTTAGAGTACATGGGAACATACTGATGAGGTTTTAAGTTAATAATTAAATTTTAGGAGAACTAAGTCTGCCTATAATTTTTACAGATATAGGAATGTTATGTTTATGGACTTTTATAACTGATCAGCTCCTTAATTACTCTGATAAAGATCAGTTTGATACTATATAGTTTGCATTTTTCCAGTCTACTCTATATAAAATGTGGGATTGAACCTACTGTTATTACCCGTCTCTGTGGGACAGGCTGGAAGTTACCATATAAGGGTAGCTAATAAAAAGAAAAAATGGGATGCATTTTGAGAGTAATCAGCATAGAAGACAAAAAGTGAACTAGTAAGGAGATTGGTTGCATTCAGATCATCCAATAGGAGAGCATCCAAGATCTGAAGATTATGAAGTATCTTGGCAGGGTGGTTTTGCCCTGGAATTTTTATAGGGAGAAAAAGATAAGTTTGAGGTGGGGAGATTTATAGTGGGAGTTGTTTTACAATCAGGGGGAAGCCTCAGTTAGTTGGCTGAATAGGAAATGTTTATTTTTTAATGTAGCTAGTTTCGAAGAGACAAACCATTCTAATCTCAGCTAATCATTTTTGAAACAAAAAATGGGGAGTTGGATGGTCCATGTCTGGCCATGTCAGCAAGTCCGGGCAAAAGAGGAAAGGTCTGTATTTGATGCATCACAGGTAAGCAAGAGAACCATGCAAAATTTTCTGGGAGCTGGGAGAAAGAAGGGGCAGAGAGTCTTATTTAAGTCATATAGGAAAGGTAGCTCTTTGTGGTAATTCATTTCTAAGAACACAAAACGATGGAGGGATTTCTTAACCATTGCTCTTTTCTGGGAACACAGGCTAAGATAGAGTTCAGCCTTGACACAGAGAATATGGAGACTGAGTTCTGAGTCCTGACTTTGCCACTAACTTCCAAGAGAACCATAGCTTCCTCATCACTAAAATTACAAGGAATGAAAAAAGCAATGATTTATTAAGTGCATTTCATACCCCAATCCTCTGGAAGTCTCTGGAAGAGGTGAGATGGCAGCAAGATGGGCAGGGAGAGCGGTTTAAGTCACAGAGGGAGAAGGAGACAACAAAGAAAGGTTGTGTCATAGAGAGGAGAAGGAAAATCAGCAGGTACATAATAACTCCAGGCAAGATTTGTAGGATAGGAAAGGAGGCACCAGGACCTCGGCTTGGTCTGTGCCACTCTCTTTCACCCACATCAGAGACGGCTCCCAGCAATGCCGTATATATTTGGGTCTTGATAAGGACTCATGTGAAGACTGCTCTCCTCTCATCTGTCTTCTGCCCATAATCTCCACAGCTGTTCTTGGCAAGGACACTTGGACTAAAGATTGGGACAGTTTACAGCTTGATCAACTTGTCTGTTCCTGGCGAGATCTGTCTGCCACGAAGGGTTTTCTCATCGTCGCTCTCTTGAGTGCAGCTGGTGAGAGTTTGGGGCTTTGTTTCTGCCTATTGTGACACCCAGGATAGTCTATGAAAGATTGGAAAGAGGAGTAGCTGGGCACAACTAAACAGCTAGGAAGCGGAGGACATTTAAATAAAACAACCGTTGAAGAAAACAAAAGGAACCACATTAGAGAACATGGGCCTGGAAAAGGGGGGTGAGCTGGGTCAGGGGCTCTGGAAGCCCTAAGCTTTTCTATTTCTTTCATCACCAAAGTCAGGCAGTAATTTTTTACCCCAATTTATGGCAAAAGTGAATTTAAAAAAATTTAAATCACGCCATACTTTTTTACCCCCATTTATGGCAAAAGTGAATTAAAAAAAAATTTCAAGTAGTCATTATTTTTTTCATCTTTGTAACACACAGCACTGCCAATAGGAGCTTCTGATCAGCATGTAAGTAAGTTTCACAGAATTTTAATGTAATTTCATCTCAGCAAAACCATGTGTCAATTTTCTTATTGTGTATAACTTAGAGGACATGCATAATTTTCCTTGATTAAAATATGAAAGGTAAATTGAAGACCTTTACATTACATTTGAAAACCTTAGGTTAGGGAAAACTACCCTAGCCAGTTCTGGCCTTTTAACTTCTTTTTCCCTTTCCACCTATGGCCCCTTGATTCTCCAGGAGCTGCTCTGGCTAAAGACTCTAAAGATAATCAGGAGCTGACATATAATTTTACTATTCCTTACATGGTCTATCTTCAGTCCTTCCCAGAACCCTGCGTGGGGTCTCTCATTCACCTTGACTGGGTATTGACAGCTGCCCACTGCCCCTTACCGTAAGTATCCCTTTCTCTTGCGAGCTGGGAGGAATCTGTTCAAACAAATGTAGATCTGGTGAAGCATCCCAGAAAATTTTTAGTAAAATCAGAAGACACGGAAAAAGAGAGACTCTTGTTCCCATTGGGAAACAGAACACAAATTTGGGCAGTTTAGGAGGAGATCAGTAGGAAGATGTCAGAGGATTCCCTCTCATGGGTAGTAAATAATATTCATTCATCAACAATACTTGTTAAACATTTATTATCTAGCAAGGGCTACTTAATCACTGATGAAACAGTGAAGGAACAAGATGAAAATAAGTGTTCCCTCATGGAGCTTACATTTTGGTAGAGGGAGTAGCCACCACAAATAAATGGCCAAAAACAAAGTATTTTTTTTAATGGCAAGCTCTAATATATGGGCATGAAATAAGAAATCTGCTTTAGTTAATGTGGTCATGTCCATCATCTCTGAAGAGGTGAGATCCATAGGAAGAGAAGGAGCCAGCCAAATGAATAAATCCTGGGGGATATTCCAGGCCAAGGGAACAATATTCATATACTCCCTGAAGTAACAAAGATATTAAGCTGAGAAATCGGCAGGAATTAAGGGTAATGAGCAGGGGGATCGCTCATAGGATGAGGTCAAAGACTTAGGCAGAAGCCATATCATGCAGTGACAGTAGAGGGCAAGGGAGCACGATACAAAATAAAGCAATTCCTTGCAAATCTCAGTGTTTCTGTTGTGTGTGAGAATGTGCTGTGTGATCAAGACCTACTCAGTTTCATGAGTATAGAACGGTTCTTTCAAATTCAGAAATCTTAGCCATCTGGCTGTTCAAGGCAGTTTAGTTTAACGCAGACTAACCTCTGCTCTGTGGTATATGGGAAATACAAAGGAAATACACAGTTCACATCCTTCCAGAATAAAAATTGAAAAGGCAGATGTTCTTTCTTACATCCATACTTAACACATGAACTGGATGTGTGCTGCCTCTCTATTAGCTGCTAATTCAGATGATAAAAATCTTAATAACAAGGCTCCACTGACTTGTGTTTTAGTTGCCAGACACGATGTCAGACATTTTACAAATTTATGTCTCTAATACAACAATTCTGTAAATTACTGCTATTGTTTTATAGACAAAAGAAGGCCATGTCAGTTCTCAGGTTAAGAAATAAAGTTAAAATAATTAAAGAGGGTGGCCCGTAGGATTTCTTGTAATCCATTATCTTATGACTCTCTTTCTTCTCATCTCTCTGCCCTCTTTCTTCCAAAGTGTTGAAATTCGACTGGGAGTTTCTCAACCTAGCATCACAAACAAGAAACAACAGATATGAAACTATTCATCGATTGTGACCTACCCTGACTTTGATGCAAAATCCTTGAACAATGACCTAATGATGATCAAACTATCAACACCTGCTTCACTCAACCCCCATGTGGGGACTATAGCCATAGCCTTGGAACCCATTCCATTTAATGAATCCTGCTTTATTCCAACCTGGACCTGGAATGAATATAAAAACCATATGTGTTGGATGCTGTGTTCTTTATGCTGAGGAGGTTGGAGCTGGGAGAAAATGTAGAGGGATGTCCCTAATGGAAATCGCTGCTATGAGACAATGTTGTCCACCATAGAGGGATTCCTGCCAGGGACCCAAACCACCATCACTGGAGGTCAAAGATAAAATTCAAAGAGACTGATAAAGGGCAGCCACTCTGACACCAACAAATGGAGCAGACAGTAATTTTCATATCTCTAGAATATTGAAGACAAGAGTCCAGAGAACTGGATTGAAATACAGGTGGGAGAAATAGGAGTCCTCGTGCACAGACAGTATGAAGGCAGCCTGCGGGAGGGTGACACCCATTGATAGTTGCTGAAAGCCCATCACACAATGGAAGAACAGTGGGGGAAATGAACATAAAATATATGTGATGCGGTGAAGCAGCAGAAGATGCTTCCTACACCTTCCGCAGAGAACCCAGTTATGTGCAGAGAACCCTGGGAGAGAAGAGAATGGTTGAGGGAGTACCTGTCCTGTCACCAGAGCTGGTTCCCTGCACAGAGTGCTACTCATACCCACTGCTTCTTCCCAGAGTTCCCATTTAGGGGTGGAGACTTTGGTGGTTCGTAGGGAAATTGATTATTATGACATAATCAGTTGTTATCTCCCTGGTCTGACATGCCTCACAAGAAAAACAGTGGCAGCCCATGTTGTAAGCACACACCCATCTCCCCTGTGAGCTGAAATTGGGATGAGCAGAAAGATCCGGTCTCAGCAGGAGTCTGTCTAATAAAGAACACCTGTGAAGAAAACTACTTTCTAATAAGTTTGTTGGTCCTTGTTGGCTGTTACTCCATTATTCTCTCCTTAGGTATTGTTGAGGATGAGGATACCACCACTTGATATCTGAAATGAAATGACAAATGTAAATCTATTGCTTATTACAGCAAGTCAGAGCAATGCTGACCAGGCACCATCCCACTAAGCAGAATGGAGTGCTGATTAGCATAAGGGGTTTGTGGGAAGCTTGGAGTTGAGGGATTGGAGGACTTTCAGAGGTATGAATGGGTTCCATCATCTGTTGAGGCCTGGCTACTTCAGGGGGATTGCTGTTGATTGATTGGTGCTCTGAGGCGTGTTTTTCAGAGGACCTCTGATCCTGATCAGCTGGTTTTAAGAAGTGAAGGCTGACATTGATTATACTGCAAAAGTTATGTTCACTCAAGCAAGTTGTCCTGGATCTATTAATCAGGTTTAAATCTCTCTCTGGTGGCTACAGAACAATGCACGTGCTCTGTAAAAGCAAATAAAAGTGGAATTTTAGAAGTCAGTCTTTGGTAAAAAACAGAAATAAAAAGCAGAAACTATTATATTCTCAGTATTTTGCAGATTCATTTTTCCACTTAGAAGCAAGTACTTGGGAATCTAAGTGAACATGTTTTCTGAACAGTTACAGCTTGTATGATTTTTGTCCTTGATTTTGTAAGTCTTATTCAAAGTAATTGAATTACAACTTACAGAAGTAATTTATTACGTACAATTTGAAAACAAAACAAAACTATTCAGAGGTATATAGGCTCTGCATGTCAAAATCACAGTGACAAACTCTACCTCTATAAGCTTTCTGGTGCAGGGCTTCCAATATTTATTAGAAATTCATTATTTCAAGTAACTTAAGTTACTTTCACCTAGTTTTTTACACATATTTTAATTTAGTTCCCATAAAAACATAAAACTGAACATAATTTCTCTTTCTTCTCTGACCTGACAACTTCTGGCCTAATCTGCTTTAGGGCATTTGATTGGATACACTCTATCAGAAAAAATCCTGCTCCTTAAACAACACTGGACTTAGCTTGAGCAATCTCTGGTCAGCGGTTTTTTTTTTTTTTTTTTTTTTTTTTTTTTTTTTTTTTTGAGACGGAGTCTCGCTCTGTCGCCCAGGCTGGAGTGCAGTGGCGGGATCTCGGCTCACTGCAAGCTCCGCCTCCCGGGTTCACGCCATTCTCCTGCCTCAGCCTCCCAAGTAGCTGGGACTATAGGCGCCCGCCACTACGCCCGGCTAATTTTTTGTATTTTTAGTAGAGACGGGGTTTCACCGTTTTAGCCGGGATGGTCTCGATCTCCTGACCTCGTGATCCGCCCGCCTCGGCCTCCCAAAGTGCTGGGATTACAGGCGTGAGCCACCGCGCCCGGCCTGGTCAGCGTTTTTGTTTCCTTTCTCTTTGCTATTCTCTACCAGAAATTTAAATTACATGATACCTTCGTTAAAGTCCCTGTATCCTGAATTTGACAGTATAATAGCAATTGCTATTATGGAGATGAACAACATGACAACTTCTTGGGGGAAATATATATGTATATTTATATCAATACACATACTATAAACACTTATAAATAATCTGTGTAACTCAAAAAGCAGTTTTATATGCACTAAAAATAGTTTCTCCCTTTATAACTAAACGTGAAAAGGATCAAGTAGATGCCCAATAAAGGTGTGTGTGTAGGGGGAAAATCTTTGAGACAATGGTTTCGTTACTGTCTCTTTCTCCTTGTGGTCACTAATAACTCACAGTTTTTTCAAAATTTTATAAATGATGCATAGCACAGAAAGAACTATGGATTTGATATCTGACAAAGGGGACTTATAAACCTACTTCTCTAACATGGAGATTACTGAACAAGGAATCCTACGGAGAATGGAGTGTCTGCTGCTACCTGCATTGAATATTCTCAGGACTGAATTTATTTACAAAACAGGATCTGGTTAGAAGAGCCCTTGTGATAAGAAGAGTCACTCTGGAGTTTGTTTTCTCTTTCCCACAGTCAGTGATCCTGACATCCTGACATGGATCAACCAATATTCTCTTCCATTCCGTGACTGTCAGGATAGACTCAAAGAAGAACAGGCAGGAAACATCATTTGTGTAGGACACCCTCTAAGGATCCTATCTAAAAACAAGGTATTTCTCCCTTCTCTATACTGGAAGATAGCAAGAGTCCCATGGGAGGAGTGATGATAATGCAGAATCAAAGAGCACTCATCCAAAAGGCCTCCTAAGAGAGAGAAGCAGAGAGCTGGAGTCCCTCTCCTCTCCCTACTCACCTCTGGGTTTCTAACCATTGCCCTTCTCATCTTTCAGAGTGGGAGAGATTTGGGGTAGAACTATTTGTCCTTTGTCTTGCACTTGGGTTGGGTCAAGCTTGAACCTTAGAAGTAAGACTTATGTGGATGTAAAGAGAAGTCTGCCACCTCTCAAGAAAAATAAGCCCATTCTCTTAGATGGTTTTGCTACTGTTATGTGCCGCTTTTTGGAATTTACTATTTTTTTTTTTTTTGGAGATGTAGTCTCACTCTGTCACCCAGCCTGGAGTGCAGTGGCATGATCTTGGCTCACCACAACCTCCGTCTCCCAGGTTCAAGTGATTCTCAGCCTGCTGAGTAGCTGGGATTATAGGCACGCACCATCACGCCCGGCTAATTTTTGTATTTTAGTAGAGACAGGGTTTCACCATTTGGCCAGCATGGTCTTGATCTCCTGACCTTGTGATCCACCCACCTCTGCCTCCCAAAGTGCTGGGATTACAGGCATGAGCCACCGCGCCCAGCTGGCATTTACTCTTGTTCCATAAGGACAAGGACACATTGACCTTCTGTTCCTTCTCTCTATAAGGATGTTTCGGCTGCCCCAGCCATCTGCAATGGGAGGTTGCATGGAATCTTGTCCTGGGCAGAAGGAAGTGTCACCCTAGGAAGTGAAGGATTCTTCACAGGTGTTCATAGCTATGCAAGATGGATCTTGAAAATTATGGATACCCACTGAGGCGCCTCTGTTCCCATATCCCCTCAGTACCACCTCTTCATAATTTCTACACTGGATCTACAACTCTCTTCATCTTTGTTATTTTGGAACAAAATCCAAAGAGGAAACATCTGATTAAAAAAAAAAAATGAGTAGCTGAGAACCTGTGCCATGACTCCTGCTGTCTTTGTCATGTAAACTTTGAGGATAATGAGAAATTTAGCAACCTCTTCACCTTGTGTTTGTTCATTCATTTATTCATTCAAAAATTAACCACTAGCTGTTTAGTAGGCACGGCCTTTGCTAAGGATGCCTGAGTGACTATGACATGACCTTGGCCATCAGTTAGCTAATTACAATACCTTTTGATAACTGCTATAACAGAGATGAGCAGTAAGCTCCACGAAAACATAAAATAAAACATTCTGAGTGGTAGTGCCAGGAGAAGTAACACCAGAGAGGTGGACAAATTAGGGGAGGATATTGTAAAACTGAGCACATAGTTTATTAAAAGGCAAAAAAGCATATGAAAGTGTGGTATAGGCTGGAAAATATATGTAAATAAGCAAACCTTGAAGGTAGAAAATAAATTGTAGAAAAGGAAAAATAATGCCATAAAATATTATTCTATTATAGGCAGGCAAATGTTGAGAGATGAAGGGCCTGACCTGCTCTATAAAGGAACTTAGATTTTTACCTTGTAGGCATTGGAGGGGGTGTCATTGAAGCTTTTACAGTAAACAAAACACCATCCAATTTCTGATTTGAGAGATACTAAGGAAGTAACATCTGTAAGATTTGGACATACTTACTGTAAGAAGAAAGGCAAGGGAGATGTCAGGGATAACTCTCCCAAGTTTTTGACTTGGACAACAGGTAAGATGGTGATTCTCAAAGATAATATGAGGATAACAAGTGCATTTGTGTGCAAGGTATCAAGAGCATGGTCCTGCATGAGGAGACAGGTGGCCTGCTATATTGAGATCCTTTAAGGATGTAGAGGTGGTTATTTCCAGCAGGCAGTTGGAGACATTGATCTGAAATCCAGATGCTGCCTGAGGAGTGACTAACAAACAGGAGTCCTACATTGGTGGGTGGGAGCTGCGGGGTTTGGGAGGGCTCTCTCCTATGGAGAAGAGCTGTGATGGGTGCTCAGCCCTTCTCTCACACTGGCATATGTTGGGGAGATGTGCAGCATCCCATAGCCACTGTCCAAATCATCTAAAAACAGAGACAGAGTTAAGGGGATTCTGAGTGGCCCCCCAAAGTTAGGGGTTTGAGTGACATATGAGAGACCAAAGAGCAACAGAGAGAAAAGGGTCAATATGACATAGGGATCTTATGTTAAAAAAGAAAAGATGGGCAGAGGAGGCCAGTGAAGATGGGAACAGAGAACCACACCATAGGAGAAACCCACTGTGGGAGGCGTAAAGAGGTTTGAGGTTTCTTCCCTTGAGGGGCGCAGTGAATCTAGGGCATCTATAAAGTCTGCAGAGGTGAGTTGGTTTTTGGACCCTGAACCTGGATGCCTGAATGTGTTTTCTCTTCTCCTAAAACAAAACAAAACAAAACAAAACAAAACCCACATGCGGTGACTCAGGTCTATAATCCCAGCACTTTTGGAGGCTGAGGTGGGAGGATTGTTTGACACCAGGAATTTAAGACCAGCCTTGGTAACACAGAGAAACCTTTGCCTCTACATAAAATAGTAATAAAAAAAAAAGCTCCTAACTACATGGGAGGCTGACAGGGGAGGAGGTCACGGCTGCAATGAGCTATTACTGTGCCACTGAATTCCAGCCTGAGTGACAGAGCAAGACCCTGTCTCTAAAACAACAACAACAAAAAACCAAAACCAGAGAGCTTAGGTGCATCTAAGACCAATAGCTTGTTCTGGTCCATTCACAGAAATTTTCTTTGTTCTAAAATCTAGATACTAAAGCCATTTCATTCACTATATGATTATTTTTTTCTTTAATTTCTGGCCCCATCCAAATGACACGTCCTCAGTTTGCCAGTCTTCTCTCACATTTTCCCCAGTTTCCTGTCTCTGACTCACTGCCCAAAGCACCCTTAATGAATCATGTCTGTATTTGTGCCAGAGTTTTTTTTTAATTTCAAATTTTATTTTAGATGCGGGGGGGACACGCGTAGGTATGTTACGTGGGTATATTGTGTTATGCTGAGGTTTGGGGTATGGATCCCATCAACCACGTAGTGAGCATAGTACCTGGTAGGTAGTTTTTCAAACCATGCCCCTCTCCCTCCCTCCAACTTCTAGTAATCTGCAGTGTCTATTGTTCTCATGTTTATGTCCATGTGTGCTCAATATTTAGCTCCCACTTATAAGTGAGAACATGCGATATTTGGTTTTCTGTTCCCGTGTTAATTCACTTAGGATTATAGAGCTCAACTAATTACTTCTTGTAACCCTTGAATTACATCTTTAGCACTTATTGGCAATCCTATCTTCTCCAATAAATTGTTTGTATAATTCTCCGCAGTAGCAATTTCAAACCCTCTCCTCTCTCCTCAAACTTTTAATGCTCACTTTTAGCAGATGACCTCTAGTGTGGGAGTAGAGAAAAACTGAAACCAGCAGAAGATACCTCTCTGAAATTGCCACCACTAAAACTGCAAACATACTTGCTTTCCCCCACCTTTTTTCTTTTTCATTCTTCCTGCTATAGTGGAAGTAAGACCTTATTATTTACAGCCTCTATCTCTACCTGTGAAATGGACCCCATCTTGTCTGACTTCCTCATGGACTTGCTGTATTGATTATCTCCAATTTTCCCTATCTATCACCTTCTTCCTGTTATCATTTAAGGAAAATAAAGCCTCACTCATCTAAAATACAGAACCCGAGGACATGTTTCTTTGACCTACTCTCTGATTGCCTCCTCTATTTCCTTTGCAGGCAGTTCTTACTCGACAAATCCTGCAAAGTCTGTTTCATATGATTCTCCTATCTGTGTCTCCTTGCCTGTCTCTCTCTTCATTCTCTTTTTTACATTCCTTGTTCTCCTTGGAGCTCTGGTTCATCCACCTGGAGATTTCTTCCCCATCTCTTCATTTGGCTAACTTCTACTCATCCTTCAAGTTTCAAACTTCACTTCCCAAAGAAGGTCTTCTTCTGACCTTATATTAGGGTCCTGCGACATGCTTCTCTACCTCCCTTTTCCTTTGACATTCACGATGATTGTTCTTGTTACATCTGTCTCCCCCTCATTAAGCATTATGATGTATGAGAGCAAGCTTCTTATCTCCCTTGCCATGGAATCATCATTATAGAATATGATGCCAGCATCCAGTATGCATTTGTATTAGTTTTCTAATGCTGTGTAAAAACATCACAAATTTAATGGCTTAATAAAAATACACATTTAGGAGGAGTTCAAGAAAAAATTAGTGGATAGGAGCAGGACTAGGTTGCAGCTCCCACTTGGAGGGACAGAGCAGCATGTGGATACCCACATCGTCAACTTTTTCTCCAAGAACTACTGCAGGAATAATGAAACCAAGAAGAAAATTTAAAAATTCTTTGAACTGAACAATAATAGTGACAAAACCTATCAAAACCTCTGGGATACAGCAAAAGAGGTGCTAAGAGGAAAGCTCACAGAATTAAATGTCTACATCAAAAAGTGTGAAATTGCACAAATAGACAATCTAAGGTTACACCTCAAGGAACTAGAGAAACAAGAACCAACAAAACCCAAACCTAGAAGAAGAAAAGAAATAATCAAGATTAGAGCAAAACTAAATGAAATGGAAATAACAACAAAAGAAAATACAAAACATACATGAAACAAAAACCTAGTTCTTTGAAAAGATAAATAGAATTGATAGACCATTAATGAGCTTAACCAAGAAAAGAAAAGGGAAGAATCAGATAAGCTCAACCAGAAATGAAATGGGAGACATTACAACCAATACCACAGAAATACAAAAGATCATTCAAGGCTACTATGAACACCTTCACATGCATAAGCTAGAAAATCTAGAGGAGATGGATAAATTCCTGGAAATATAAAACCCTCCCAGATTAAACCAGGAAGAAATAGAAACTCTGTACAGACCTATAACAAGCAGCAAGATTGAAATGGTAATTAAAAAGTTGCCAATAAAAAAAAGTCCAGGATCAGACAGATTCACAGCTGAATTCTATCAGACATTCAAAGAAGAATTGGTACCAATCCTGCTGACATTATTCCAAAAGATATTGACACTATTCCAAAAAGGGAATCCTCCCTAAATCATTCTATGAAGGCAGTATCACCCTAATATCAAAACCAGGAAAGAACATAACAAAAAAGAAAACTACAGGCCAATATCCCTGATGAATATGGATGCAAAAATCTTCAACAAAATACTAGCTAACAGAATCCAACAGCATATCAAAAAGGTAATCCACCATGATCAAGTGGGTTTCATACTAAGGATGCAGGGATTGTTTAACATCTGCAAGTCAACAAATGTGATATACTATATAAAAAGAATTAAAACAAAAATCATATGATTATCTCAGTAGATGCAGAAAAAGCATTTGAAAAAATCCAACATCTCTTTATGATTAACACCCTTAGCAAAATCGGCAAAATGTGGCATAGAAGGGACATATCCTAAGGTAATAAAAGCCATCTATAACAAACCCACATCCAACATTATACTGAATGGGGAAAACTTGAAAGCATTCCTTCTAAGAACTGGAACAAGACAAGGATGCCCACTTTGATCACTTCTATTCAACATAGTACTGAAAGTCCTAGCCAGAGCAATCAGACAAGAGAAAGAAATAAATGGCACCCAAATTAGTAATGAGAAGGTCAAACTCTCATTGCTTGCTGATGACATGATCGTATACCTATAAAACCCTAAAGACTCATCCAAAAAGCTCCTAGAACTGGAATATGAATTCAGCAAAGTTTCAGGACACAAAACTAATGTACACAAATAAGTAGCACTGCTATGCACCAACAGCAACCAAGCTGAGAATCAAATCAAGAGCTCAATCCCTTTTACAATAACCACACAAAAAAAGGAATATAGTTAATCAAGGAGGTGAAATACCTCTACAGAGAAAACTACAAAACACTGCTGAGAAATCATAGAAGACACAAACAAATGAAAACACATTCCGTGCCCATGGATGGGTAGAATAAATATTGTGAAAATGATCATACTGCTAAAAGCAATCTACAAATTCAATTCAATTCCCACCAAAATACCACCATCATTCTTCACAGAACTAGAAAAATAATCCTAAAATTCATGTGGAACCAAAAAAGAGTCCACATAGCCAAAGGAAGACTAAGCAAAAAGAACAAATCTGGAGGTATCACATTACCTGACTTCAAACTATACTACAAGGCCATAGTCACCAAAACAGAACGGTCCTGGTATAAAAATAGGCACATAGCCCAATGGAACAGAATAGAGAATCCAGAAATAAAGCCAAATACTTATAATCAACTGATCTTCGACAAAGTAAACAAAAACATAAAGTGGGGAAAGGACAGCCAATTCAACAATGGTGCTGCGATAATTGGTAAACCACATGTAGAAGAATGAAACTGGTTTCATCTCTCACTCTACACAAAAATCAACTCAAGATAGACCAAAGACTTAAATCTGAGACCTGAATCCATGTAATTTCTAGAAGATAACATAGGAAAAACCCTTCTAGACATTGGCTTAGACGAAGACTTTATGACCAAGAACCCAAAAGCAAATGCAACAAAAAGATAAATAGATGGTACTTAATTAAATGAGAAATCTTCTGCACAACAAAAGAAATAATCTGCAGAGTAAACAGACAACCCTGAGAAAATCTTTGCAATCTGTATAGCTGCCAAAGGGCTAACATTCAGAATCTACAAGGTACTCAAACAAATCAGCAAGAAAAAAAAAAACAATCCCATCAAAAAGTGGGCTAAGGACATGAATAGATAATTCTTAAAAAAATACTTACAACTGGCCAAAAAACATATGAAAAAAAAATCAAAACCACAATGTGATACCACCTTACTCCTGCAAGAATGGCCATAATCAAAAAAAAAAAATAGATGTTGGAATGGATGTGGTGAAAAGGGAACACTTTTACACTGTTGGTGGGATTGTAAACTAGTACAACCACTATAGAAAACAGTGTGGAGATTCCTTAGAGAACTGAAAGTAGATCTACCATTTGATCCAGCAATCCCACTCCTTGGAATCTATCCGGAGGAAAAGAAGTCATTATAGGAAAAAAGTTCTTGCACATACATATGTCTCCATAGCTTTGCCTTTCCCAGAATGTCATATAATTGGAATTATATGGTATATAATCTTTTCAGACTAGCTCTTTTCACTTAGCAATATGCATATAGGTTTACTCCATGTCTTTTCATGGCTTGAGAGTTAAGTTTTTTAAATCATAAAATCTCTGAATAACATTTCATTATATGGATGAATCACACTTTGTTTATCCATTTATCTATTGAAGGACATGTTGGTTGCTTCCAAGATTTGGCAACTTTGAACAAAGCTGCTATAAACATTTATGTGTAGGATTTTTGTGAACACAAGTTTTCAAATCTTTTGGTGTATCAAGAAGTGTAATTGCTGTATCATATAGTGAGGTTATGTTGAGCTTAATAAGAAACTTCCAAGCTATTTTCTAAAGTGACTGTACCATTTTGCACTCTCATCAGCAATAAATTCTCACCAGCATCAGTTCTTGATACTTCATATCCTCACTAGCATCTGTTGTTGTCAGTGTTTGAATTTTAGCCCTTCCACAGGGTATGTAGTAGTATCCCATTGTTGTTGTAATTCCCTAATGACATATTATGTTAAGAATTTTTTCATATGCCATTTACCATCTGTATATATTCTCTGGTGTTATCTTCCCCATCACTGCAAAATATATCTGTTTGAAGGCCTAAACCTCAATGCAACTGTATTGAAGATAGGGCCTAAAAGGAAGCAATTAAGGCTAAATTAGGTTAGAAGGGTGGAGCCCTGATCCAATAGGATTTATGTCCTTATAAAAAGAGTCACCAGAGAGCTTTCTTTCCCTCTTTATCTCTGTGTGCACAGAGGAAAGGCCATGTGAGGAAGCAGTAAGAAGGTGATCATCCACAAGCCAGGGAGAGAGGCCTCACCAGAAACTGAATTTGACAACACCTTGATCATGGACTTCTGACCTTCAGAACTATAAGAAAGTAAGTGTCTGTCGTGTAAGACACCTAGACTGTGGTTTTTTTTATGGCAGTCCAAGCAGACTAAAACATTTGGTAAGGATCTTTGGCCCACTTTTAGGTTGTGTTGTTTGTTTTCTTAATGTCGAATTTTACTATTTCCTTATACATGAATTATTTAGCAGATATGTGTTTTGCAAATATTTTTATCTAGTCTGTGGCATATCTCAATTTTTAGCCCTGAATACTTTGTTTCATAACCATCAACTTAAGTATCATTCCCACTAGTCTGTAAGCTCTTGGAAGGTAGGAAAGAAATCCTTCAGTTGAGGCAACCCCAACAGCAAGCACAGATCCTAGCACAAGTTAGATACATAAGATAAATAATTAGCAGGTTGGTTCACAGAATAAATGGATAAACAGTGACATGAAGGAAAAGGTTAATGTATTTCAAAGAGGAGTTTAATGTCAGGCAGAGGAAGCAATGTCAGCTCCAGAGGGCTACATTATGTCCACTGGAGAAAAATAGCATCACACAGTGGGAGATAGCATCACACAGACAGGAGGGGCAGCAGCCCACACATAGTTTAGAGGGGAACCTGCCTACCAAGGCTGGCAAAAAGGAGACCAGACAGGAGGCGTCTGTAGAGATATCATGAACTTCAACTTAGCTTTGGTACTTTCTTCCCTGAAGACAGAGGGCAGAACTCTGAGTTCCAGAACCATTTTCAACTGTATTGGGGACCAATCACTTGACTCTATTCTTGTCTCTCTGACAGATGACGCTACACTCTCCTCTGAATAATGGACACCATTTCTAAAACTGAATCCTGCTACTAAAATAATTCAGATGATATATTTTTCCAATTCTACAATCTTGCTTTGTTTTATTTAGTTGTTTTCTCTCTCTCTTCCCAGTTTTCCAGAGACTGGAGCTAAACTGGGCTTTCAACATCATCATGAAGTTTATCCTCCTCTGGGCTCTCTTGAATCTGACTGGTGAGTGTGTGCATATTTGTCTCTTTACCCACCAAAGAGAAATCCTGGGAAAAGCATGAAAGACGGGTAACAGCGAGAGGCATCATTCCAGAATTCAAGTGTAGGATGGTCCTCTGTCCCTCTCCACTGCCCCGTTCCCATCAAGTTTCCTCCTGTGATAGTGCCTGCCTGCCTGCCGCAGGAGGTTTGCTTGTGTGCTTTTGTGGGAGGCGTGGACATTGTCACTCAAATACCAGACCCACTCCTAAGACCTGACTCTGGACCTGTCTGCAACAGGATTGATGTTCTGCACCACAGAGGGCACAGCAGAACATTGAAGAATCAGATATCTCCTGGCACAGTTCCAGTTACTCAGGCATAAACCCAGGCTTATTCATAAATCCTCTCTTTCTCTCATACCCCACGTTTGATCTCTTAGAAAAATGTTGGCTTTGTCTTCTAAATGTATCCTAAATTCAATCACATCTCACCATCTCCACTGCTCACAATGATCTAAGCCACCACCTCTTGCCTGGATTAGCAAATTATTCTCCTAACAGACCCCTCTACCTCTATACTTCTACACTCTACAGGTTCTCCATGAGGAGACTGTCATCACTCCTTTGCACAAATCCTTGAGTGGTTCCATTTGTACTCAGGAAACAAGGCCGAGTTCTTACGATGGTCTACAAAACCCTCCATTCTTCTTTGAGCCCCTTTCCTCCTCTGCTCCCCTTCATTCACTCTGGGTCAGCAGCCATGGCCTCTGTGATGTAACTGACACAAGCCTCAGGACCCATGCTGCAGCTGTTGCCTCTGCCTGGAGTCCCTTCACCCAGATATTTGACTAGCAACTTCCCCCGTTTTCATGTTATTGTTCAACATTGCCCATGAAGTTATACTCTGATGACTGGTTTAATATTACCTGAGACTGGAGTAATGGCTCATGCCTATAATCCCAGCACTTTGGGAAGCTGAGGTGGGAGGATCACTTGAGCCCAAGAGTTTGAGACCAGCCTGGGCAACATATCAAGACTCCATCTCTATTAAAAAAATTAAAAAATTTAAAAATTAACCAGATATGGTGGCACACACCTGTAGTCCAAGCTACTCAGGAGGGTTTGCTTGAGCCCAGGAGGTTGAGGCTGCAGTGAGCCTGATCTTGCCACTGCACTCCAATCTGAGCAACAGAGTGAGATCCTGTCTCAAACAAACAACAAACAAATACTGCCTGAAACCCCTCCTTCTCCCCCAACACACAATTGGTAATACCTTTCTCTCTTTCCCTGTCCTACTTTTATTTCCATAGCACTAATCACCATTTAACATCATATATAGTTTACTTGTGTGTTTTTCCATAGCACTAATCACCATTTAACATCCTACATAGTTTATTTGTGTGTTGTGTTTATTATTACTGAATATCTTCATTAATTGTAATATATGAGAGCAGGAATATCTACTTTGTTCACTATATAGCCCAAGCCCCTAAAACAGAGCTTGACATATACTAGGTGCTCAATGTATATTTGGTAAAACAATACATTATTTTTCCCCTCCTCAGACTCTTAGCATTTGGTCTGTTCTTGTCATGATACTTATATAATTCTGTCTTGAGTTGTTGTTGGGAAAAAGAGATAAGACTTATTAAAGCATTCTAAATCAGAATGCCTTAAGACTTATTGAAGCATTCTAAAATTGGTAAAAATAGTGAAAAAAATTCGTTGATTTAGCATACAACCCACTAAATTGTGGAAGGTATTTAAGAAAGTTGAACATTTAATTTGAAAGATTTTATTGACAGTGAAAAAGCCAAACACTTTTTATTTTTCAAAAGAGATATGTTTCTACCATTTGTCTTTTCTTCGTGTTTTAGAACAAAGTAAGTCATTTTACAGATAAAGTTGCTAGAGAAAAGGATAGGGGAACTTGGAGCCTATTAAATGACTTTCCTGAAGTTTTTCTGGTGATGACTGAGAAATCTTGGAATTTCTTGTCTATGCTTCTCTTTCCAGTTGCTTTGGCCTTTAATCCAGATTACACAGTCAGCTCCACTCCCCCTTACTTGGTCTATTTGAAATCTGACTACTTGCCCTGCGCTGGAGTCCTGATCCACCCGCTTTGGGTGATCACAGCTGCACACTGCAATTTACCGTGAGTGATAAGCCTTCAAAGGCACTCCATTCTTTGGGTTCTCAGGTTGGGCACAGACTCTCACCCCTGTCTGAGACCATCTCCCAATTAAATGGGATTAGAAAAGCCTTTGGGAGACATACGAGGGTACAGAAAAAGGTCTGTGGGGAGGGATAATAGAGGCTCATAATGATGGAGAAGCCATCTCTGTTAAGTCCTCTCATAAACGTCTATATTGTTCCAGAAAGCTTCGGGTGATATTGGGGGTTACAATCCCAGCAGACTCTAATGAAAAGCATCTGCAAGTGATTGGCTATGAGAAGATGATTCATCATCCACACTTCTCAGTCACTTCTATTGATCATGACATCATGCTAATCAAGCTGAAAACAGAGGCTGAACTCAATGACTATGTGAAATTAGCCAACCTGCCCTACCAAACTATCTCTGAAAATACCATGTGCTCTGTCTCTACCTGGAGCTACAATGTGTGTGATATCTGTGAGTTCAAGACAATGTTCTTCTCTCAGAATTAGACATGCTTCTACACCTTCGCGACTCTTGGCTTCTTCAATTCGGCCTAGTGAAGCTTTCTTCTAACCTCTTTCCCCCCTTTCCTTTTCTCTGTACCTCACTGAAGGAGTGCTTCAAGGTTTTTGGGTTTTTTTTATTCACCCGCTGTATCTTTCTATCATTTTCTCTTTCATATATGATAGAAGTGGTTTTAGTGGAAAGAAAACATTTGTATTCCAATCCTAATTTTCTATGTGACAGCAGGTCATTTTACCTTGGAGCCTCAATTTCCTTAACTCTAAAATAAAGCAGATTACTCTGTTGTATATTTTCAAACCATTTCAGGCAATAAAGCAACTTGAAGCTTTGAAAAGTCAAGAAATAAATATCAGTGTATTAAATGTAAGATAAATATATAATATTTTACTAAATGCGATAGAACTTCCTTATGTAAGATTTTAATAAAGATACAGAGTTAAAGTTTTAAAAAGAACTTCTGAAATAAACATTTTAAACTGGTAACATTCTAAGCATTCACTCATTTCTTCAGAAAACTGACAAAGGGCTACCATTATTTTTATCAATGGAAGTTTTCTATACATAATTTGAAACTCCTGAACTAGATAGTCTATCTAAACTTTGTTCTAGGCCTCATGTTTCATATTCCATAAAACACCCACAACTTAAGGCAACTTTCTGTTTTCTAAGTTGCATCTCCATCTGCCCATTACTCCATCTCCAAATTTCTATGCAAACCCTAATTAACTGTCTATAGTTGCTAATTACGAGAGTTGAGAGTAGTGGTGAAAGGGAGTTGATTACCTATTAGCAAAATAGAACAATGATATATAATCCCTTGTGAAGAATTATTAATGCAACTTTACTCATGAGTAAGTTTGAGTATATATAATATACATCATACACTAGATACCATAGTATGAAAAGGAGATTTATTTGAAACAAACCTGTCAGATTACATTCATCTATCCATCACTACTTTCTTTTTATAGAAACCAACAGGCAGATGTACACTTATTCTATCATTGTTGCCATGATTCAAGCCTTTTAAAACTAATCCTTAGTAAATACCTTCAGATTTAGAGCACATTTTCTTGAATATATCAATAAGTAGAAATTATTTGTCCTCTGAGAGTCAATTTGATTTTTGGAAAGAGCCAAATGTCCTTCTGTGAGCAGTATGTTTGATTCATCTGGGTTATGGCATAAGGTTCAAAACGAGATATGACTTCAAAAAAAATGCATCTTATTTTGATCTGGGTCATCAAGTAGTTAAGTAAGCATTTCCTACAGAAGTATTCCCAAAAGAAATGTTTAGCCATGAAATTATTGCTTGGAAAATAAAGTGAAGGATCTTATACATTTTCTTTTCAAGAACTAATACATTATTTTCAAATAAAAACATTAAACATACTCTTCCATTATTAAAAAAACCAAAATCTTAAAATACAGTACTTCTTCCCAAAGAAATGTCCGTGGAAAGAACACGTGCCACATGTGTTCATACTACTTTGTTGTTTTTCTCATTTTGTTTCAGATTGGACAAATTTTGTTACAAGTGTGCACAATTCACAGTATTTGTGGACTATTGATACAAAGAAAAGAACTTTAATTAGGAACCAGGAAATCCAGTTTTAAATCTTAGCTTTACCATTTACTAGCTTTATATGTTTAAGAAAACTGCTTTTTCAGTGACTTTTTTGTGCAGATACTCGGTTTTGTTTTGACCTGACAATTGAGAAAGTAGGCCAGATATCTGTAAATTCATTCAAACTCTAAAAATTACATCTCAAAAGAAACCCTTTGAATGTTTAAATTTCCAGAAAAGTTTTTGGGTTTTTTTGAGATGGAGTCTCACTCTTGTCACCCAGGCTGGAGTGCAGTGGCGCAGTCTCGGCTCATAGCAACCTCCGCTTCTTGAGTTCAAGCAATTCTCCTGCCTCCCAAGTAGCTGGCATTACAGGCACTCATCACCACGCCCAGCTAATTTTTCTATTTTTAGTAGAGACAGGGTTTCACCATGTTGGCCAAGCTGGTCTCGAACTCCTGACCTCAGGTGATCCACCCATCCTGGCCTACCAAAGTGCTGGGATTACAGGCGTGAGCCACTGTGCCCAGCCAAATTTCCAGAAAAGTTTAAGACAAAGTGTTTCATTTCATTCCTGGAGTGTCTCACATGTACATGTAACTCCCAAGAATTTGATCACTTTTATAAGGTCACCGATTTTGCATCATAAGAAATTGTTAATCTGATCATCTCCTATACCCTCGTTGTCCTAACTGCCACAGTTCTGACTTCTCTGAATGTTTGATCTCTTTTAATTTCTGATGGTAGAAGAAGAAAAGTTTTTTAAAAGAAGTTTTAATACCTAACAAAACTCTTAAGGAAGTTTGACTTCTATCTTTTCTTTAGACAAAGAGCCCGATTCACTGCAAACTGTGAACATCTCTGTAATCTCCAAGCCTCAGTGTCGCGATGCCTATAAAACCTACAACATCACGGAAAATATGCTGTGTGTGGGCATTGTGCCAGGAAGGAGGCAGCCCTGCAAGGTAAAATACTCTTCATCCATTAATTTTCCCATTTTCTTCCTTCTGTCTTGCCAGAAAGATAATCTGCTTTTTTGTTGTTGTTATTATTGTTTTCCTGGCAGGAAGTTTCTGCTGCCCCGGCAATCTGCAATGGGATGCTTCAAGGAATCCTGTCTTTTGCGGATGGATGTGTTTTGAGAGCTGATGTTGGCATCTATGCCAAAATTTTTTACTATATACCCTGGATTGAAAATGTAATCCAAAATAACTGAGCTGTGGCAGTTGTGGACCATATGACACAGCTTGTCCCCATCGTTCACCTTTAGAATTAAATATAAATTAACTCCTCACATTGCCCCATGCATACCTGTCTCAATTCTGCTAAACAGAGTGGGTGCTTGAGCAGTTTTACTTGTACATATCTTCACTGTGATTATTCATAACAACCCTTCTTGCCTTCTAGATAAGGATGGAAAACCCAAAATTCCTCAGATAATTGAAGTTTATGAAGTGGGAATTATGTTCTCTCTAACGAATTGGTAACTGACATAAAATAAAGGCCACTCCACAGCCATTTGGGGTACAAAACCCTTTACTACATGCACCAAATTAGACAATGTGTGATTTTGGCACATTACTATGCTGATTGAAAAAAGGAAGTCTAATAAAGAGGGATCTATATAGAAGGGCAAAGGTGAGAGGGGAGGGGAGGGCAAAGGTGAGAGGGAGGTGTTACACTTAGCTTCTCCTTGCCCATGCAACTCTCAATGCCATCGATGGATTCTGGTCATTCATGTTGCAGGATTCTGAGTGTTTACTGGAGACATGAGGAGTTACTATAAAAGTTAACTGAGGTTTATGGCACAGCAGATAAACGGGAAATCAATGACAGATTTTCCTAGTACATACTTGCCTTTTATATAAAGCTAGTTGCCCAGGAACTCCACTTTCTCACTCTATAGTATTTTCCTCTCTTCCTTCCTTCTCTCTTCACTTCACCCTGCAGTCTGTTACCCCCTGAGAGTTTTAATTGATAGTTTTAAGTGGAGAGGTGTTTTTTTGGCCAGTTGACTGAGTATTTAAAAAAACAAAAACAAGAACAGATTTTAGAGAGTTCAGCCTGTGGCTGCTACAAGTGGACTACTGGAGTCTTTCAGCCCAGCTAGGGAAGAAGAGAACCCCCTCAGGAAGCAGAAGTTCTAGTAGGAAAACTTCATCTATCCAGGGCTCTAAAACCCCTAAATCAGTAACGCCTAGCTTGCAGTATTGAGAAGCTAAATTGGGAGTGCGAATTATTAAGTGCAACTGTGACAGCTTCATTTGCACATATTTTATTAACTGAAATTTTAGTTTGGAGAGGAAAATGGTTTGGAGACCATTTTTCAGAGGAGCACCTTAGCCTCTAAAGATGTCTCCCAACTTGAGCTGGTCCTAAGATTTCAATAGGTCGTAGTGATATTGTATAAGGCCAGCTGATCCTAGGTGGTGAAACATGGCAAGGCCACTGGATTCCATAAGCATTAGCACTATCCATAAGACTCCACTAGCACTGTGAGGTGACCTCCTTGGTTGGAGAATACATCATTTTTGTGTGGAATGCAATAAGGCATTCAGAGAATCCAAGGAATGTGATGCTAGGACAGTAACGGTGACAGGGGAAAGAAAATCCAAATTCAGAATATGTTATTTTGAGTGAGGACAAATAGCTACTCCCTCTGGCCTGAGCTGCACCATGTTGCCCATTTCTTTCTTACTGTACATGTGCTAACAAAAAAGGGAAGATGAAGCTTCTATGGTGGACATGCCTGGCCCCCAGGTACACCTTTTCTTTTGGTGTAGCTGCAGGCATCTCCCCATGCAAGTTTCCAGCTTTCTTACCTATGTTTGCAGCTCAATATTTCAGGATGCTCTTTGTTAGAAAAAAAAAAAAAAAATGAGGCCAGGTGCGGTGGCTCACGCCTGTAATCCCAGCACTTTGGGAGGCCGATGTGAGTGGATCACCTAAGGTAAGGAGTTTGAGAACAGCCTGATCAATATGGTAAAACCCCATCTCTACTAAAAGTACAAAAATTAGCCACGCGTGATGGTGGGCAATTGTAATCCCAGCTACTCGGGAGGCTGAGAGAGGAGAATCGTTTGAACCCGGGAGGTGGACGTTGCAGTGAGTTGAGATCACACCACTGCACTCCAGCCTGGGCAACAAGTAAGACTCCATCTCAAAAAAAAAAAAAAAAAAGATTTTAAAAGTACTTTTGTTCTCATCTACCTTTGTAGAGAGGTTTTCTGGGTTGGGGGATTTTTTTTCTCCTTGAATTATTTCTAATAATATTTATTTATGAAATATATTTAATTATATTTGATTAATTCATATAATTATATAATATTCAATTATTTTACTTAAACTTAATAATAGATTTAGTTATATTTTCCCAACAGCTCATAGTGTTGCCACCACCCAGTAGTGGGACCTTGGGTTTCAGCAGCTTCATCCATAGGATGGAAATAATAACAAAAATTATTATTTTTTTATTACATTTTAGATAATGTATACATTATCTAAATGTATTTAGGGTCAATACATTTTAGAATAGAGCTTGGCACAGACTAAGCTTTCAATAAGAGTTGACTTCTATGATTGCAATGGTAAATTTTAAATTCAATTAAAATATGACAACTGGTAGTAATTTTAGTCTTTAATTACCATTCACTTAGTACTCAACTGAGATTAAAAGCTTAAATTCTCAGAATTTTTTTAATTTTAAAAATTATTTAAAAAAATTTTTATGCATACATAGTAGGTATATACATGTATGGGGTACATGAGATGTTTTGATACAGGCATGGAATGTGAAATAAGCACATCAAGCATTTGGGCAACATGATGAAGCCCCGTCTCTACAAAAAATACAAAAATTAACTAGGCATAGTGATGCACACCTATAATCCCAGCTATTCAGGAGGCTGAGGCAGGAAGGTCGCCTGAGCCTGGGAGGTCAAGGCTGCAGTGAGCTGTGATTATGCCACTGCAATCCAGCCTAGGTGACAGAGTGAGACCTTGTCTCAGAAAAAAAAAAAAAAGCCTTTATACTTTGGGTTACAAACAATCCAATCACATTCTTTAAGTTCAGTCATAAAAAAGAATGAGATTTACCTATTTTTCAACATTGATAAGGGGCCTCATTTTTCAGAAAGCTTGGAAACCAATCATCTGGGAAATTCAACTTAAAAGGCCCTGTATCCACCATCTCTCCAACCGCAGCATTTTACAGAGAGCAAGAAGGAGGCACAGAGGGGTTTAGAAACTGAACTTCACTATTTCAAGACCTGGGACTGCACTGCCCTCAGGTCGGTGACCCTCTTGTGGTGTCTTCCCTGTCACAGGCACTTGATAAATGCAGAAGGGAAGCAGGGCCAGCCCCAGCCCCATCTCCCTAGAGAGCCTCACACAGGTGTAGCAATGGCCTGGCTTCCTGGGGTGGAAGCCAGATAAGGATCCAGGAGAAGAGACCCTCTGAGTCTGCAGTCACTGCTCCCAGCTCTTTATTGAGGACCTTGCCTCTGTGCTGAGGACAGTGCTCTGTCCAGCAGGACAGATTGCAGGATAAGGGATCCTGGGCCCGTCTCAATTTACAAGACTGGCTATCCTGTCTCCCTACTGCCCCCTCCCTTAATCCTTAAGTGAGATTGGGATCAGAATGTCTCCACGCACCTGTTATCTCTCTCTCTCTGGTGTTACTGCTCCTCAAGGTCAGTGCCTCCCAGGCTCCGACCTCTCCTCTTCTCTTGGCTCAGCTCTGGTCCTGGGCCAAGATAAGCCTCTTGCTTCCAGATGGCTGCCGAGCTCCCTGCCTTCTCTGTCAGGCCTAGAGTTAGGGGCTGTGGCTGCCCCCTTGAGGCATTTGTTTTCTCCCTCACCACACCCCAATTACTACTCAAGTGCTCACAGCAGCAGCAAACAACCTTAGCTGGGTCCTCACCAGCTTTGATGAGCTCAGTAGCCAAAAAAAAAAAAAAAAAAAGACTATGCCTGCAATGAGAAGCTGTAAGCAGATCGTGCCGGCATCTGTACATCTACTCCTGAGCTGAATTCCTCTGTGGAGAGGTGAGGCCCAGTCTGTGTGGGAGAGGCCCTCAGGGTCCATGTCCTCTCCATTGTCAAGTGGAGAGCCAGCAACCAGGGGTCAGATGAGGTGACTTCTAGCTCTAGGTCAGCTGTGTCAGTCACCAGGGGGAAAATACTGTGGAGTTAGAGTCAGACTTTGGTTTCTTCCCTAAGAAGCAGCCAACAAATGTCACTAAATTCTTCCACCAGGACAAGCCATGTGGAAATGCATGGCAGGGGTCTGGTACCTGTAGGGTGTCTGTGACCTAAGGAAATTATGGTCAGGGACCATGACCCACCATTGACTCAACGGGGCATCAAGCACCACTCTTGTTACCCTTTGGAGCTCCCATTTCATCATCTAGAAATTAAGGAGATAGAAATTTTTGGAAAACTAAGTGGCTCTAAAGTTCTTTTCTATTCTGGTGTTCTAATATTCTAACCTTCCTTCTGTGTTGCTTCCATTGTTTGCATAATACTAATGTGCTCAATCGGGCAAGCTCAGCCTGCCATGCAGCCATTAAATTAATTTCTCTGAAAGGTAATTGATGGCCGGAAGGGAAAGCACAAAGCATCCCAAAGGCAAACTCATGTTTATTTCTCATCTTCTTCCCCTCACCTCCTCTCTCTTCCTGCTCCTCCCTAGGAGTGTGCAGAAAACCAAAGCTGCCCGACTCAACCATCTGAGAAGCTGATATCCCTCCTCTCAGTGTCCTTCTAGGGATTAGTAGCAAAGCCTCCTCTAGCAGATGGAAATTGCAGCCTTCCCTCCGGTCCCTGCCAGCTACTTCCCTCCTTCCTGCACTGCACTGGGAAATTGAAAGACTAGGTTTACAAGCAGTCCCACATCCTTGCTAGTACCGAAGTTCTATACATAGACAAAATGGGAAATGCCCACAAAAAGTGGGGTGGGGGCATAGTCCAGAGGCAGAATGTCCTGTAAAGACATCCAGGATAGAAGATGGAAGAGGTGGGCAGGAAGGGAGGGGGAGAAAAAGAAACTAAACTTTCTTGATTCTGCAGGGTCCCCACTGGCAGGACGCTGGCATGGGGTCAGGGTGGAAAGTCTAAATGATTCAATCCTAAGAATTTTCTGCCAGGCCCCTGCTTCAGAGTGAAAGCAACCTGCCCTGTATCCTCTCTGGGCACCTCTCACCTCCAGAGTTATGTAAGGGGCATCGCTCTGAACCCGGAGGATAATCAGATCAGAAGTGCCCCAGCCTGGCCCTCCCCCATGGCATGGTGCCTGGCCCAGGTAGGACATAAAACTCTGAAGCTCTCGAATGTTCATCTGCAAGGGAGATGCTCCAGGTCCCAGGAGCCATGGCCCATGACCTTCTCTTCAGGCTTTTTCCACTTTTGGCCCTGGGAGTCCCCTTACAAAGCAACCGCCTTGGCCCCACATCTCGCCTGCGCTATTCCAGGTTCCTAGATCCTTCTAATGTCATTTTCCTGCGTTGGGACTTTGACCTTGAGGCTGAAATCATCAGTTTTGAGCTCCAGGTCCGTACAGCTGGCTGGGTGGGCTTCGGTGTCACAAATCGCTACACCAACGTGGGAAGTGATCTGGTTGTTGGAGGAGTCTTGCCTAATGGCAATGTCTATTTCTCGGTAAGTGTGAGGGTGACTTGCTTCCAAGGATGAGGGTCTTTGTTGGGTTGAGGATGGTTTCTGTCCAGAAAGGATTCACATTCCCCGAGGATATCTAAACACACTCCCAGAATGCCAGCTGAATGCTGGTGTGTCCCTCCAGAAATGGTCCATTGTAGAGTTTGAAATCTATGTCTTCCAGACTGCAAGTCTCTAAGACTGCTGAGAGAATGAAACCATTAGATTGTGAGATAGTCTTGCACCACTTACTTGCTAAAGCCCACTAAATGCAGGTCACTAGGGAAAATTCAAAGCTGTCTGAGAAATAGTTACATGAAGAGCCACATGAGAGAATGAATGTCATACATACTTCAGATAATATGTGAGACTTCAAGTATTAGGGATGCAGGAATATTAGACTTTATGGACATGAGATTTGAAATGGGAGAAGTAAAGCAAGGACAGGTGGTGAAACTCCATTATCCATAAAAGTGTGCTCTGCCATGTTCTTCATGCCATGCTTTGCCCAAGGAGAAAAACTACATAATAAAGAACACCTGGGCTCTGCTACTGTAGTATCCTAGGGGAGCTAAAGGAACAGCTACTGCTCCAAAGCATGACATTTGAAGCTCCTAGTTCTTACTTCTTGACCTTCACTGGACCCAAGGATCAGCACTTGGTGGACGAAGACACTCTGAAGGAGGATGGGAGCCAGGATGCTGAGCTGCTGCGGCTGACGGAAGATGCTGTCTACACCACCATGCACTTTTCCAGGCCCTTCCGCTCCTGCGACCCTCATGACCTGGATATTACGGTAAAATAGAGAGCAGAGAAAAGCATTTAATCACAAGCAGGTTTTCCTTCTGGAGAGGTAGTTGCCCCCAGTCAGGCAGCTAGTCATCATTCCCAGGACTTCTATTCCTCTCAGCCTTCCCAGGAAATGCTCCAATTGTGCCACCTGCTGAAATCCACAAGCCTTCCGCAGGGTGACCTCCCACTGATTCACCTCCTGCCCACCTGCCCCAGGGTTTTCCTTTTGAAGAATTCTGCCCAGTTTCGCTGACCTTTAGAGTGTTAGGATATAAGAGTTTAATTCAGTCCTTTCATTTTACAGATGTGGACACAAGCTTAGAGAGGGCATGCGAGAGGGAGTGTGACTTGCTCAAGATCACCAGCAAGTGAGCCTCGGAGGCAGAAATAGAACTTAACTAGTTCTCACTCCCAGTGTGAAGCTCCTTCCATTCCACCATGTAGACATGAGCAAGTGCCTTGTGTAGGTCCTTGGGTGCAGGGATATGCAGAGTGCTGCTCAGGGGTGGCAGCTCCTCAATGCTTATGGCACCCCGCAGAGCAACACCGTGAGGGTGCTGGCCACCTATGGCCTGGATGACACTCTGAAGCTGTATCGGGAGCGTACTTTTGTCAAGTCCATCTTTCTGCTACAAGTCGTCCACCCTGACGATCTGGATGTCCCTGAGGACACCATCATCCATGACTTGGAGATCACTAATGTAAGACACCTTCATCCCACCCAGCAGCCTCCAGCTCCCTTCTCCTCACCCCACTCAACCCAGATCCCTTCTCTTGCCCCCAGTATTCAGTACATCCCTTGGGTGGAGATTACTCTGACTCTTCTCTGTCTCCTAAGGACTGCCAATCTGACCCTAATGTGAACCCCCTTCCCTGGCCTGGCCCTTGCCCTACTTTTTCAGAGCCTCACTGTCATCTGGCTCAGCTTCTGTGCACCCTTCCACAGTTCCTCATTCCAGAGGATGACACCACGTATGCCTGCACCTTTCTTCCTCTCCCTATTGTGAGCGAGAAGCATCACATTTACAAGGTATGGTGGACCAGATGGGGGACATTGTCAAGGCAGGGAAGGGTGCTGGAGCAGAGCAGGGGGTGTGGTCAACCCTGGAGGATGAGGTCTGGAAAATTTCTTGGAGGAAGCAAGAAGGAAGTAGTTGCAAGAACAGGGGGACAGGCAGGGCTTGGTAGAGGTCGCGGCTACATCATTTCCTGAGCCCAGAAATGTAACTCCCAGCGCTATTTTATTTAAGCCCCACAATGCAACAGACATGTTGATGAAGGTTAAGAATTAATAATTGTTTGCAAAGAACAAAGTATGAGCCTCAACCTGGCCCCAGAATTGTGCTCTCTTAGCCCAAGAGGAGGTAAAGGCAGGGAGAGGATATGGCCAGGGGCTGTCAGGAGGTTGAAGAAGTCTAGCTAGAATGAACTCAAACTTGGTAACCCAATTTCATATTTGAGTGATTTCAATTTTGATCAAATAAATAAAGGTATGATCTCACAATATGTGGCAAATGTGGAGACTTTCTTTCTTTAGACAGATAATTTGAAAAGGCATGGCTACATGCTCAGATACAGTGAACTGAGGAGGTTACTAAGGGAAGGCAGAATGTCCCTGGCTAGATTTCATGTCTGCTCTCCAGAAGGGGCTTAAAGGAGAGGGGAGTTGAGAGGAGAGTCAAACTGAGTGGGTGGGAAAATGGTAGCTTGGGGAACAAAAACAGAGAAAAAGGGAGAGAGAGAAACAGAGAGAAGAGGGAAATGGGTATAGTTTTGACAGGAAGGAAGATAATATGGATTTGATGTAGAAGGTCTTGATCATGCTCTGCTCTCCTTTTCTGCCCAGTTTGAGCCTAAGTTGGTCTACCACAATGAGACAACGGTGCATCACATCCTGGTGTACGCCTGCGGCAATGCTAGCGTTCTCCCCACAGGCATCAGCGACTGCTATGGGGCCGACCCTGCCTTCTCCCTTTGCTCACAGGTCATCGTGGGCTGGGCTGTCGGGGGCACAGTGAGTCCCGTGATGGGGTAAACACATGGCTAAGCGGGTGCATGTGGTTGGGTAATGAGATCACTGGGCTGGTGGAAGACCAGGGGATAGGGGAAGTCTGGGATGACAATTAGAAAACAAGGCCAGGAGCCCTGAATCCCTATGGCTGGTTCCCAGCCCTTCTTGCTGCCAAATCTAACTCCTTCCAACAGAGCTACCAGTTTCCAGATGACGTAGGAGTCTCTATTGGGACCCCCTTGGACCTTCAGTGGATCCGACTGGAGATTCATTACAGCAATTTTAACAACCTTCCTGGTGAGCATCCAGAGGATTTAAGGAAGGGAAGCTGGTGGGGCTGGCTGTTTTTTTCGGTATTGGGAACGCATTGTGGGATGTGTGCTGACTCCCTGTTGTCAAAGCCCCACCCCAGCTTTCCTGAGCCTCTTTCTCTCCACATTGTGACCCACTCTCCTGCCTCCTGTGATTGACTGTTCCTCTCTGCACCAGGTGTGTATGATTCCTCGGGGATTTGCGTGTACTACACTTCTCAGCTGCGCAAATACGACACGGATGTCCTCCAGCTGGGCTTCTTCACGTTTCCCATCCACTTCATCCCCCCGGGCGCTGAGTCCTTCATGTCCTATGGGCTGTGTAGGACGGAGAAGTTTGAGGAGGTGGAGCTGGGAGGCGCACCCTTCCTGAGGAGGAAACACACTCTCCTTACCCCCCATCCCAGATCTGGTCAGATCCACAAGCCCACACAGCCTGAACCCCAGACTTGGAGAATAATTACAGCCTGGTGCTCAGGAGATTCACTAACATGAGTTTTGCAAGGAAGGGAAGGAGTCAGGGCTTTGAGAACAAGGGAAGTGCAGAAGGAAGAAGGGTCAGAAAGGTTCAATAAGAATTACAGTGGTAAATGTCAGTCATCAGAGGAAAGTGTCAAATACCAAGGGGGGGAAATCAAGCAGCAGGTCAAGAACACAGTCCTTAACAAATCGGGTGCACCTCTTCCCTGTTACAGATGAATGGAGCTCCTATGCCTGACATACAGGTGTATGGCTACCTGCTGCACACCCACTTGGCTGGACGGGCTCTGCAAGCAGTGCAATACAGGTGAGGGAAGACCTTGAAGCTCTCCCTTCTGCAGGTGGGAATGAATTTTAAGAATAGTGATTTATTCTGTAGCATACGATTATGTCCGGTTGAGAAAAAGGAAGAGGTAGAACTATCTTTAGAGTAGAAATAACTGAAATAAGACTGTGGAAGATGAAGTTTTTTGTTTATTTTTATGGATAATCTACTCACAGAATGACCCCACCCGCATGCTACATCTTTATTGGCAGACCCCTCTGTATTTCATCTTCTCTTTATTTCTGAATTCCCGACTTCTCTTCCTCTAGGAATGGAACACAACTTCGAAAAATCTGTAAAGACGATTCCTATGACTTCAACCTGCAGGAGACTCGAGATTTGCCCTCTAGAGTGGAGATCAAGCCGGTGAGAGTCTGAGGGAGGCCAGGCAGAGTTGGGGGCAGCAGCATCATACCTCATTACTGACAACCAAGAAAGTTCTCAAGCTGTACCAGTCCCTCTGTGTCTTACTCTCAGCCTTCATGTTTCACTCTGAACAGGGAGATGAATTGCTGGTAGAATGTCACTACCAGACACTGGACCGTGACTCCATGACATTTGTAAGTGACCTCTCACCCCACCATGGTCACCATGACCATAGCCCCAGTGGAGAGCCCACTCATGGCTTTGGCTACCCAGTGACCCCTGTGATTTCACTGAAGCCCCTTCCTTCCTCCAATGGCATCACACATCCACACGGGGCTTTTCATGTTCTCACACCCCATGCATCTAAGATAGGAACAGGGATTTCTCACATTATCTGCCAATAACCCACCAAGACCATGGAAATATAGTATGCTATAGCGACTAAGAGCAGAGATTCTGGGGCCTCATTGCCTGGGTTTGAATATCAGCACAATCATTTAGTACATTTCTAACTTTAGACAAGTTATTTGACTTTTTTGTATCTCAGTTTCCCAATTCACATAAGATTAATACTACTTTCTACCTCACAAGATTGTTGTGGGAGTTGGTTAACACATGCAAAACACCTAGATCATTGCCTGACTTGTAGTAGATTCTCAATTAAAGTTGGCTATTGTTTCTATGATCACAAGAAAATCCCCCGTTTTGTGCATCAGGAGTGGTTCAGTGCTTGTGGGATTCAAAAGGTGTTGCAGGCAACTGAGGAAAAAATACCGCCCTACAAATGATTATATCACAAGTTAGTAAGTGATATATACCATACAAGAAGAACGGGAATAACCCACTAGGGAAATTCACAGGAAAGAATCATGAGATCCTACTACAGTGAACTGAACATGTGACGTAGGTGAATGAGTCCTTCTTTAGACACATAGAGATGGGGAATTCTGGAGAAGGAAAAAACTGAGAAAGCCATATATAAGGAGAGCGTGGGGTGCACATGAAGAAGTTTGGTTGGCAAAAGATATCTAAAGGAATGGAATGAGGATGAGGTAGATAAAGTTGGAAACAGTCCTTGAAGCAGGGGTGATCCTGACCCACCTATATCTCCAGGACAGCAGGGCTAACTCTATAAATATTTGCCAGGTAAGTAAATGGAATGAATGAATGGGTTGGAATTTATTAGATAGAATCAAATAATTGGTTTAGTGATGACTGACTATTCCAGTGACTGGAAGCCACTGGAGGTTTCAGAACAGGCAAATGGCAGGATGCAAGACAAATTGTAAACAACTTGTCTGGTAGCTCTACAGAGGTCAGATTGCAATTAGAACAGATGAGTGACTGACAATAGTTGAGAGGCAGATAGTCTAGCCCAAATCAGGATAGTGGCAGTGAAGCTGAGGACAGGGCAGATATATGGAATGCTTTTTGGAATAACATCAATAATTGTCCACCAATGAAAATAGAGCAGCAAATAGGGCAGTGAGCTGGCTCTACCTTAAGGGAAAAGGAGAATGGCATCACTGGTAAGATAACCACTTCAACTATTTTCTGTTTGCTTTGTCCTCCTGTCTCTGCATGCCTTTGTATCTTTGTCTCTCCATCTTTGTCTGTTTCCTCCAGGGAGGCCCCAGCACCATTAATGAGATGTGCCTCATCTTCCTCTTCTACTATCCCCAAAATAACATCTCCAGCTGCATGGGGTACCCTGACATTATCTACGTGGCCCACGAGCTGGGGGAGGAGGCATCAGAGTGAGTCATCCTGAAATACAGGACCTCGTGTGTGTGGAAGGGACCTTGGGGAGGACTGGGGGAGGAAGAAAGGAAGCCCTACCCACTACCTCCTTTATTTTTCTCTCTATTGCTGGTCTCAGCATTTAGTTATCAGTAACATATTCATTGAGCACCGTCTATGTGCTTGACATCAGGTCAAAAACAGGTGCCACTGAAATAAATAGGAAATGAGACATGCATTTCTCTTCCCTTACAGAGCTGCAGTTACATGCCTACAAGCCCCTCAGCAGCCATTCTCTCCTTGAGGTCACACTGTCCCCTTCTGAGCCTTACTCCATGCCACCTAATGTTTCCTCTTCCAGTCGCCTCAAGAAATGGACTACATTTTTGTCAACCTGCAGAGAATAATGCACTTCTATAGTTAAAAGGTATGCATTCATATTACATACATATTAGACAGACAGTGCATATGAATACCGCTGGGAAAGTACTTTAAACATTCCCACAGGCGGTGGGAGCTTGAATTCGATGACTTCAGGATCCTCTCCAGATCATATGTTCTGGATGCAAGTTTCCTGACTGCGTTACATGCTGCAAAAGAAAGATACCCCAACTTCCTCTAAGAACACTCTGTCACTTGGGCCTCTCTGTCATCTCTCATCCTTCAGGGGTTTCTGAGGTCAGATTCTCTCCTAGTGACTATGAGAATGTAACTCTTTTTCTTCTTCACCTCCTCTACTCACAACTTCATATTAAATGTGGAGGATAAATAAAAGATGTATTCCTTATTTTTACTTTTCTCTGTGGTTCTATGAGGACAAGAGGACCCATGGGCTAATGTTTACTGTGACTTTGGTCTTTAGTGGCTTAAGAATATTTTGATACAATTTCAAATTCATAAAGAAGGGCAGTAATTCTTATATATTCTTTACCCAAATCTAACCATTGATTACATTTGGCTCCATTTCTCTCTCCTTCTCTTTCTCTTCCTTTTCTCTTATTTCTCCTCCTCCTTCTCCTTCTCCTCTTTCTCTCTTCCTCCCTCCCTCTCCATACCTTCATGAGTCGAATAATTTAGTTTCTTCTCCCTGTTTGCTAGGGTTTCCATCAGTATCTAAGTCCCTGCTACTACTTAGTTAGCTGACAATGAACAGGAAAGCTCTCAACTACACTAACCCAGTGGCTGTCAATCTTGACAGCATATTAGTATCACCTGATGATGAGCTACCACCCAGGCATTCGTAGGTTATTGAATTCTCCAGGCATTTCCAATATGCTATTAAGACTGAGGACCCCTGAATTAGAAGTTCAAATGTTCTTCACCAGTCTACTTCCTGGATGGAACAGGAATCACATTCTAACATCACACATTTAAGCCACAGCACAGGCACTGACCAGTCAAAATGGACATCAGTGGAAACAAATCCTGGAAGCCCCCTGATTTCCTGTAGTTAGAATTTTAGTTGCTAGATCATGAGAATATGTGGGATCTCAGAGAAGTGGCACGTTTAGAGGCCTCAGGAAGTGGCTATTACCAAACATCACTCAATAAATAAATAGCAAAGAAAGACAAGTTCTTCCCAAGCAAAATAACAAAGGCAAAAGGAATAAGGAGATACAAAATCACTGTTTAGCAAATTTGAGAGTAATAATTGATTCAGGCAGGAATCATCAATGGATGCCACAACTAACAAATGGGATGCTGCATAACTTCAAAGTATCTTCTCACAGTATATTTATTATTTATGTTGAGACAAAATAGTAGCTTTAGAAACCTGGAAGACACCACCTCAACCAAGTAACCCCACAGAACATCAGCGATAATGGACAGATGGACATTGTGTGGCTCCTGATAGGGAGCACTGAGATGGGCTCAACATCGTGCCTGTGTTATTTCCCTCAAAAATGCATAACCTCAGTGCAATCACGAGGACATATTAGGTAACCCTCAAGTATGAGGGATATTCTACAAATAACTGACTAGTAATCTTCAAATGTCAAAATTATGAAAGAAAAAAAGAAACCAAGGAATAGTTCCAGAATAGAGGGGAGTAAAAAACAAGCAAAATAAAACAATGAAACAATTAAATGCGACATGCAATTGTGCTCGCAGACTAATTTCTTTTGTGTTGCTGTTGTTTGTGCTTCCTATATTGGACATTATTGGTGCAATTGGTGAAATGTGCCTGGTGTCTGTGCATTGTGTGGTGGTAGTGTATGCATGTTAATTTCCTGGTTTGGATGATGATGTTGTAGTTATGTGAGAATACGTTCTTGTCTTTTTAGGAAATACATACTAAAGTATTTTTGTGATAACGAAACACATTGTATACAAACTGTCGAATGTTTGTGAGATAGAGAGGGGGGAAAGGAGGAGAGAAAAAGAGAAAAGTGATAAAGTAAATATAGTGAACAATTTGTAATTTACAGGAGATAACTGGGAAAAATGGATAAAGAGAATACTGGAATTTGTTACTATACTTGCAACTTTTCTCCAAGTTTGAGCTTATTTGAAAATGAAATATTAATTAAAGCAAAGAAACCAGCACAGGATCTATATAAAAACAGTATTAAAAATGTGGAAATCAGGGAGAGAAAGAGTAACCTGGAAAAAAAATTAGAAAAATGTTGTTTCTAAACAACACCTGCACGTTTTCCCAAGCAAGCATTCTTGACCAATTTTCACTCTGAGCAGAGAACTTTCCATCTCCAAGCTATAGTAGAGCCCTGGACCCTTGGACTAATTTCAGCTGTCAAGCTGTCTGGCATAACGAGTAATAACATGCATGGCTTAAGGCTGCAAAATACATATATAGGATTTTATAGACAACTACTTAAATAACCACAAGATGGTAGAATTCAAATAAATATATATATTATATATATTCTTTTTTAGCTACATGTCATGAGACAGATGTTTTAGAGGAATAAGGAGTTTTAATCTGGATGACTGGTAAGAAAATAGTAGCCATTATCTAAAAAGCGAAACAGTATCAGAGAGATGGTTTAACATGAAAAATTAAAGCTTATAGGTAGACCTCTGGGAAGCCAGAATTTATCTCAGTACCGACAAAAACGTTTTTAAAATAAGTAATGAGCAAAAATTTAATGGGCAACCTTTTGAGGATGTATAAATCACATGCTGATGAGATTGGAAAGATGTGGTGTGGACGAAACTCTTTTATGGGTGGAAATTTTAAACCACATATGCCCTAAACTCTGTTCCTACTCTGGTGTACTTTTATCTGGGCATATATTGGAGAAAAGTTTCTGTTGCATCTTATAATACACTCTGTCCTCTATATTACCAATTTTCCCTCTGACTAATCATCTACTTAAATCATCCAATAAAAGACTAAATTTCTCTCAAGCTGAAATTAGAAATATGTGTCTTCATACAGGTCACAGGAATTGTTGTAATCATAAATTATAATCTGCCAGAAAGAAAAATATAATGTCTAGTCTAATCTGAAATTAGAATAGCTTGTATTACTCTTGTAATGATCACATGGTAAAACATCTAGTATTGGGTGAAAGTAATCCCCTGGAGATCTTTAAGCATCTTTTCCTCAAATAAATCAACCCTCAACTGGATTGAAATCACCTTTTCTGAGGTTTTCCTCTGCCTAATGTGATCTAGAAAACCCTCAAGCCATGGGAAATCACTGCTTACTCTCCAACCAGAGTACCATTCCTATCTTGCTCACTACCCCATATACTAAATCACCATCCACAATATAATCCTCTGGGGTAACTCACCATCATAAGGCCCTCATCCTCACACTGCTCTGCACAGCCCCAGTCTAACCCCATCCCACACCTTCTCTCAAACCCCTCCACAATAAAAGACCTTTAGAAAGCAACAAACTCTCTGAAAGTTTCTACCATCTCTTTGTAAGAAGTGGAGGTAGATTGACATCCTCCCTGCTCCCCTCTCCAATTTCTCTCCTTCTCTCAAACCCGAGCTCCTTTGAAAAGCTTGTACTAAGAACACAGCTGCTTGCTGCTGTCATCCAATGTCCTCTGCAAGTCACACCATTCATCCCTTGATGACTACAATCAACTGTCTCTTCTTCCACCACTCCTCCTGTGTCTTTTTGGAAATATCGATATTCACAGAGTGGTTCTGTCCAGCATACCAGCCTCTCAGTTTCTTGAACTCAGTCTTTTATTGTACTAACTTCCCTTCTTTCCCAGGCCAGATTCCATGGGCCAGAACTATAACTGCTTCCTTACAAACACTCTTACCTTTATTAACTCCCTCTCTCTTTCTGTCATATTTGCATAGTAATATCTCAATTCTGGCCAAATTTTCTACCTACCTTTTTTTCCTTCAGTTGTACCCATGTAGCTGACTGTTGCAGAAGAAACAGCACTCGTGCGTTTGTGACAAACTGTCTTACAACACAGCTTTTGATCCTTGTGTAAGTAGGTCCCTTGTCTTTTAATGTTTCTGCTTTCCAGGATGGCTGTTTCACCTTCTTTCTCAAGCTTCCAACAACCACCTCCCTACATCTCTGATTCACAGCTGATGGCATCATCATGTGCTTCATAGAAAGAATAAATCATTAAGCAAGTAGTTGTTTTATGAATCTGGGTGCTTCAATGTTGAGTGTATATATACTTTAGATAGTTAAGTCTTCTTCTTGGCCAGTAATGGTCTTTCCTTTCTGTATTTGGCGCTTCCCTAAGGACCTCTTGTAAGGCAGTCTGGTGGTAAGTAATTTCCTTAGCATTTGCTTGTCTGAAAAGGAACTTATTTCTCCCTTGCATACAAAGCTTAGTTTTGCTGGATATGAAATCCTTGGTTGGAATTTCTTTTCTTTAAGAGTTCTTGACTATAGGCCCCCAGTATCTTCTGGTTTGTAGAGTTTCTGCTGAAATGTCTGCTCTTAGCATGATGGGTTTCCCTTGGTAGATTACCTGTCACTTCTCTGTAGCTGCCTTTAACATTTTTTCTTCCATTTCGACGTTGGAGAATCTGATGATTATGTGTCTTGGGAATTGTTGTCTTGTGTAATATCTCACAGAGGTTCTCCGCATTTCCTGAATTTGAATGTTGGCCTGTCTAGTGAGGTTGGGGAAATTTTCATGGACAATATTCTCAATATGCTTTCCAAGTTGCTTGCTTTTTCTCCTTCTCTTCCAGGGACACCAGTGAGTCATAGATTTCATATTTTATATAATCCCATAATTCTTGGAGGATTTGTTCACTCTTCTTTATTGTTTTTCCTTTTTTTCTGACTATTTTGGAGATCCATTCTTCAAGCTCTGAGACTCTTTCCTCAGCTTGGTCAGTTCTGCTGTTAGTACTTGTGATGGTATTCTGCAATTCTCAAAGCGAGTTTTTCAGCTCTATCAGATCAGTTTGGTTATTTCTTTACATGGCCATTTTGTCTTTTATCTCCTATATTGTTTTATTGGATACCTTAGATTCCTTGGATTGGGTTTCAACTTCCTCCTGGATATTGATGTTCTTCATTCCTAATCATATTCTGAATTCTATTTCTGACATTTCAGCCATTTCAGCCTAGCGAAAAACCATTACTGAGGAACTAGTGCAGTTATTTGCAGGTAAGAAGACACTCTGGCTTTTTGAGTTGCCAGACGTCTTGCACTGGTTCTTTCTCACTGTGTGGGCTGATGTTTCTTCAATCTTTGAAGGCACTATACTTTGGATGATTTTTTGTTTGTTTACTTGCTTTTATTTTCTTTGATGCCCTTGGGGGTTTGACTGTGGTATAAGGTGGGTTCAGTTCCCTGGGGTTGTTTCTGGAAGATTTTTGGGTCCCAAGACTCAGCTTAGCACTCCTGAGCTGTGTGCTCTAACCCTGGGGAGCTGGTTCCAGGACCCCAGCTTTCTTCTCTGGCCCCTCAAGGCTAGGAACCTACTGTGCTGAGGGGGCCGAGGTATTCCTGGTCCACTGGCCACAACACTCCGACGGGTTGTGCTGGCAGCCGTGGCACAGCACAGCAGGATGCATGCATGTTGGCTGGGGCAGGGGGATACTGGCAGAAGCGGGGCTGTGACATTCCTGCACATGCTCATGCCAGCAGTGAGTCATAGGTGGGGACAGGGTTGCCGAGGTCTGTGCTTGCATTTGCACCTGTGGCAGGGCCTGCTGCCCTCTGTGTGCATGATCACACTGGTGGCCATGGCAAAGTGAAGGGGAGGTGTGGGTAGCCAGTGTCCATGCACACATTCACACTGGCAGCAGAGTCCTGAAATCTCATCATTATGCAATTGTTCACCTATTTATTGATAGCCTACCCTAATAGAATGTATATTCTCCAAGGACAAGACTCTCTTGGCCACCACTACTTGGCTTGGACAAGTCTCTTGGCAACAGGTCAGTGCCTGGTGCAGAGGAGGAGCTGACTTCTTTAAGTTCTCAGAAATATTTTTAAACAGAGCTGGGGACCATGTGGTGGAAAGATCAATAAACTACAAAGCCATAATACTTTTGCAAATTGCTTAATCATTTAATCACTATGAACCTCACTTTCCACAGCAGTAAAATTAAGTAGTTGTATAAAGTCATCCATAATATTCCCTGCAGTTGTAAAATTATACAACTTTATAAACGGGGTTAGATTGAGTAGTGAATGATAATAATTTGAATATTAAAAATTGAATGTTAAATAGAATACATTGAAAAATACCAAGATGTTATATCTTAATAATATTCTACTTCAAATGTGAATTATTTGTATAGATTATAAAATGTTTGTAACTTATTTCAACAAATATTTTAATATTAATATCATATTTTGACAAAACATAAGTGAGTATAAGTAGAACGATGTGCAGACAAGTTGAGGGACAATTAGCATCCTGTGTACACCTCAGCTGAGGCTGGACACAAGTCTGCTTTGGAAAAACACTGTAAAACTCAACATCTCACTGCCAGAGCAGGAGACAAGCCAAAGTCTCTCTCAGCAATAATGTTCACATTTATTCTGTGGATCACCATCAAATAACAGTGTTCTTAGAAGAATATGATGGCCGGGAATGGTGGCGGTATAATCATACAGGATTACTCGCCTGTAATCCCAGCACTCTGGGAGGCCAAGGCAGGTGGATTGCAAGGTCAGGAGTTCGAGACCAGCCTGACCAACATGGTGAAACCCCGTCTCTAGTAAAAACACAAAAATTAGCCATGCCTGTAATCCTAGCTACTCAGGAGGCCGAGGCAGGAGAATTGCTTGAACCCGGGAGGCAGAGGTTTCAGTGAGCTGAGATTGCACCACTGCACTCCTGCCTGGGCAACAGAGCGAGACTCTGTCTCAAAAAAAAAGAACATGATGAAACACTATGTTCAATTTAATCACACAAACCAAAGAAAATTTTACTTGTATAAAATGTGAGTTTTGCCATATAAAGTAATGGTCAACCACACCAATACAGTCAATAGAAACCCTACTGACTGTTTCAAAATCTTTCCCGCCTGTTATTTGTTCATACATTTTGTGCTTAGCTAGAGCTTCTACAAGGCAACAAATAAATAGCAGCAAACATAAGAGGTTTAAGAAAAAAAATCATTGAAAAATAACATAAAATTGGGATAACTGTATCCATTAACTATTTTATAAAGTGAGGAAAGATGAGCATTATTTAATTTAGCAGTGAAACATTTTCTTCCAGCTCAAATAAGAGCCAATTTTACCCAGAATCACAGTTTGAGACACACTAGAGACACCTCTGGAGATAGCTTTCCCTCACAAAACTTCAATTTGAAAAAAGGACTCAGAGCAGCCTTATTATAAAGCACCAGTGATACAGACAGGAGGGGGAAATTCTGGGTAGAAGAGGGTGGTTCCCTGGAAAAGGCCCCACCCTCAAGTCTGAAGACCCATGGCCCTAAGTGAGGACAGGCAATTCTGTTTTTGTACCCTAAAAATTGCCTTTTGGCCCGCCATGCCCCCCATCCTGCCCCCATATAAACCGTAGACCTTAGTGGGCACATGCAAGCAAGCTGCTGAATGTTGGAACCAGCAGAACAGCAATGACAGAACAAGAGGCAGAGAAAGAGAGAAGAAGGAGGTCTGGATCCCTAGGGGAGTTCAGCTGGGGGCGGTTGGAGGAGAGTCTTTCTCCCACCGATGGGTGGCCCAACTCAGGGGAAGACCACCTTCCCTCTCCATCCCCCCTCTCTGGCTCCCCATTCATCTCATGAGATGCTATGCCACAGAGTTTTCCCTTATGCCTGGGAAAATTCCATAAAAATCAAGTCCAATCAAGTGAAAAGATCCCTGGATTTGTATTCAGCAGACTGAGAGTCAACATTCAACTCTGCTTTTAGGCGTCCTCTGACTATGGGAGAGTCATTGGCTAGAGATAATCTTATTTATCTCTTGTGGTCACAGCCCCCCTTCCTCATCTCTTATTCTTATTTCTTCCTTATTTCTTTTTAGCAGAGTACCTAGCTCTCCAGAAAACCTAGATTCCCATATATTTGAAGGGGCTCTTAGTTCTCTTCACACCGCAGCTCCTACCCTCTGATCCTAGTTTTGTATTAAAATTAAGTAATTACATGCGGTTGTTGACTGACTGAAACAGAGAAAACGTTTACCTCCACCACTCAATAAAATCTTGCACTCATCCTTCGAGCCCACATGTGATCTGATTCTTCCAATACACTGGGCAAGGACTTGGGATGCAGAAGGTTGTCACTCTGGCCCACTGCCCTTGGGATAAGGCAGAGGATCCACTAAGCTGATTAACACACAAGCCATCTGCAGACAGAATATCTAAAAGAGCTTAGTAAGACACGTCCACTTGGGCTTCGGGAGTCTCAGACACCGGTCCCTAGACACTGCCCTGGGGCCGGAGCCCAGAAGCGCTCATGCTGGCCTCCACGCCTGCCTGTCTGCATGCTCCCCCTACAGGGGGCTGAGCTGCAGGGCGACCAAGCAGGCCACACCCTTGTCACATGTCCTGCAGGGGGGAATCAGGGAACTCTCCTGTTTCACCAGCACTAAAGAGAAACTTCTCTGCTTCCAGAAGATCCAAGGGGAAGAAAAAGGAAGACAAAAAAAACAAAAACAAAAACAAAACTTAAAAAACAACCCGCAATAGACATCAGAACACTCAGGGAATTATAGAATAACAATAATAAATAATAGTAAACCTTTGTGCAGCATTTTACAGACTGAAAATGCATTTCCATGTACTTTATTGTAGTTCAGATGTTTGCCTCATCCTCCAGATGTGGGAACTGAGGCAAGAAAGGAAAAAAAGTGTCCACCTGAAGCAACAGCCCCTACAGGTGGTGCTCTTAGTGCAGGTCCAATGGAGTCTGCTATATGTATTGGGATCTGGCGTCTGAGCCAGCTGAACTCAGGACTCAGAAGTAGCAAGCTGCTGGCCGGGCGCGGCGGCTCATGCCTGTAATCCCAGCACTTTGGGAGGCCGAGGCAGGCAGATCATCTGAGGTCAGGAGTTCGAGACCAGCCTGTCCAACCTGGTGAAACCCCATCTCTACTAAAAATACAAAAATTAGTTGGATGTGTGGCGCATGCCTGTAATCCCAGTTACTCGGGAGGCTGAGGCAGGAGAAGCGCTTGAACCTTGGAGACAGAGGCTACAGTGAGCCGAGATGGTGCCACTGCACTCTAGCCTGGGTGACAGAGCGAAACTCTGTATCAAAAAAAACAAAAAGTACTACTAGAAATATAAAGAAATACTACATTATTTCCATCTTATAAATGAGGACATTGAAGCTTATATAAGTTAAATAATTATCACAAGATGGCAAGTTCCTAAGTAGCAGAGGTGAGATTTGAACCCTTGTCATCTGATGGCAGAGCCAGAATTATTAAATGCTATGCCACAAAGTTTTCCCTTATGTCTGGGAAAATTCCGTAAAAGCCAAGTCCAATCAAGTGAAAAGATTCCTGGACTTGTATTCAGCATATTTACTTAGATAACACATGTAATACATTTAGTACAATGCCACAAAATAATGTAAATGATAGCTATCAAGCTGACTTTTGCCTAAGACATCATTCCCCATACAATGTGATTAATTCCCTACACAACCACAAATGACAAGTTCAAAAATTCCTTGTTATAAAGAAAATTTGGTACATATACACCGTGGAATACTAAGCCATAAAAAGGATGTAATCATGTCCTCTGCAGCAGCATGGATGAAGCTGGTGGCAATAATTCTAAACAAATTAATGCAGGAACAGAAAAGCAAATGCCACATGTTCACACTTATAAGTGGGAGCTAAACATTAGCTATTCATGGGCCTAAAGATGGCAACAACAAACAATGGGGACTGCTAGAGTGGGGAGGGAAGGAGGGGGATGAGATTTGGAAAACTGTTGGGTACTATGCTCACTACTTGTGTGGTGGGATCAGTCATACACCAAACCTCAGCATCACATGATATACGAAGGTAACAAGCCTGCACATGCACACCCTGAATCTAAAATGAAATTGAAATTGTATTTTTAAATAAATGAATAAAAATAAAAAAACAAAGACTTGGAAAAAATGGAGAATACTACCTTTAAATGCATAGTTCATATTATAATCCCATTAAATGGAAAACATCATGTAATGGAAAAAAAAATCCCATGCTTCTCTGGGTTGCCATGACAGGAGAGTAACAGGTCGTAGTAAAGAGGTTATTCAAAAACAGTAGAGCTGTTTCTTCAGTCTATCCTTTGCACAACAGATGGGGCAAGTCCTAGAGGCCAAGGCAGCCTAAGTCCCAGACAAGCTCTGTAGTCTTCCCTCTCCTGAGAACCAGGTATCTCCCGCCATCATGAGGAAGAGACTTTCATTCACTTCTCCTCATCTCCCAACATTTGCTTTAAGGATTTCTTCAATTTGGCCATCTTTGTATCCTGACATAAAGTATTTAGATTACATGGAGATTGTGTTCTGATAGCTGATTTATAGGTAATATGCTTCCTACTTAGAATGCATGTTGGTTAGGTTCCTGAGCTAGCCCACAAAATACTGTCTAACTCATACAGCAGAAATTATCGAAAGTATGGCATTGTTCAGAATTGGTTTTCCTCAATTTTTTTAAGCAATGATGCCCTTTCTTCAAATAAAATCTTATGCAAAAATACAGAAGAGAAAACACAAAAAACAAAGCAATTCTGATACAACTGGGAAGGAAGAGTTTGACCTTCCCTCATCCTAAAGCAGCTTTTAGGAACCCCAAGGTTCTTCCTCAGGGGAAGTTTGAAATTATAATGCTATTTACAGGCAGGCAGATCTCATTGTAATCGTTTCTCCAACACTTAACCTGATAAACAGTATCAGACCAGTTGCTTAACTCTCTGAACAACAGTTTTGTTTTTCTGTCATTTCACATGCCTATAGAATTAAAATGTTTAGCACAGGGTCTTCAGTAGATTAAATTTAGTAGATTAAATCTTTAGTAGATTTAAGAAACTGCCCTTTTATTCAAATAACTAATTGTCGTCTTGTTGGGACTGCCCTCTGGAAAGGAAGAAGAAAGTTAGGACCTAAGAAAGAGAAAAATGGACTAATTCACAGGCAGACATAGCTCAGACATCCTTTCTCTGAGAACTCAGGAAGAAAGGATGGATTTTACCTTACAGAGAAAATGATCATAATTCTTATACTCTTGTTTCCTGTCTAGTATGCTTTCCTAAAACATTCAGTGGTTCCACCTTATCTCAACTGCACTCTAAAATAAGAGAAAGATAACAATCAGTATTGGACAGAGTATTGGAAGCAGCACTGAGGTAAGGCTTGAACTCCAGACCAGTTTGAAGACTAGCTGAAATAGTGAAGAGGCAAAAGCATCTCTCCCTGAGACACATCCACCAATGCCATGTCAGTCGACCTCTTCCCAGTTTACCATTGCCATGGCATTGCCATGGTAACAGCCAGAAGTTACAACCCTTTCCATGACAATGACCTGGAAGTTACCACCCCTTTTCTAGAAATTTCTGAATAACCTGCTCCTTAATTTACATGTGATTAAAAGTAGGTATTAATGAGGCTGCAGAACTGCCTCTGAGCTGCTACTCTGGGTGCACTGCCTACAGCATAGCCCTGTTCCACAGGAAGCACTGCCTCTGCTGCTGCTATGCACTGCCACTTCAGTAAAAGTTTCTGTTTAGCACCACCTACTTGCCCTTGAATTCTTTCCTGGGGAAAGCCAAGAACCCTGTCTGGCTGAGCCCCAATTTGGGGGCTTGCCTGTCCTGCATCAGCACTCCACTTCTGCCTGATGTCAGCATATGGAGGTGCCATTTATCAGTAAGTGACCACTAAGGAGCAATTAACCTCCCAGGGGAAGATTTAGGACCACAAGGTCTGTCAATTCTCCCTCTACTGCGACCTCTATGTCCAAACACATGCACCCTGAAGAGGCTCTTTGCATAGCTCACCCTCAAAAATTTGGGTTTTCCTCTTATTAAGAAAGATTACAATTTTATTTTTGTAGACAGTCAATAAATAAGAATCTTCATCTACAAAAACTGCCAATGCATTAGTAATTTAAGTAAAAGGAAATTTAAAAATGAATAATAAATATATTAAAATGGTGGTTTTTTTGAGAAGTCATTGAATTAGAGGGAGGCGCAAATGGCATATGGTGACCATGTTCCATGTCAAGCTTCACTCCTGTGTGGAGGCACATGACAGAGCTACTCCGCCCACACCTACTTTCTGCATGCAGAGCTGCTCTCCAGCTCCCCCTCCAAGGTGTTGTGGGCATCTAGAGCCAACTCACTATTGCTACTGTCTGACTCCACATTTCCACCCAGCAAAAGAGGGTAAGAAGGAAAGCAAAGGCAGAGTTAAAGGGTGTCAACTTCCAAGAAAAAATGTAGAGATGTTCCCAAAGCACAGAACTTTTATTTGGAATTAAAATGTGAAAACAGAACTGCAATTTGGGATACAGGCACAACAGGGTGGCCTCTGCTATATCCAGAGAACAAAGAAAAACATTAGAGTTTTATTGGGGAAAGAGAAGGTTATGCAAGTCGTTTTGAAAGAAAGTTCATTGGCACTAGCAGTGTCTTACAAGAGCTGGCGAGTTGTGATTGGCAACAGTCTATAGTTGCTAGGTGGGATTTGTAACCTGGAAGTTACTGTAGCTCCCTTGCAGGGATTAGGTTTGTGAGACAGTGTGTCAGGCAAGTATTCTTGTGTAGGCAGCTAGCTGTCTTGGCGTGACTCATGTAAAAAGCTGCAGTTTGGAAAAATGTCCTGTGATAGTTCCTGTTATCAGACAAATTGTGTGAGAGCCCTCTCTTCAGGACCTTCCCCAACTCTATTTTGCCAGGGTTTGGCACAAGTGACTCCATTTTGAATCTTACAACTTTCATAAGGGGTTCCTTTTCGTAAGTTCCACTCAATGTTTCTAACACATTGGCAACCTCACCACAACTTATCTATTTATTGTTCATTTTAAAATTATTATCAAAAAGGGAAGAATTTGGGAGAGAGGACCTAGGAAGCCAGACGTATCATCTTGGTGTATTAGCAGTAAGGAATAGAGTAGTCAGCTCTTTTTTTTTCTTCCAGCTTTATTGAGGTATAATTGACAAATGAAAATTGTATATATTCAAGGTTACAAGATGTTTTGATATGCCAAAAAGAATACCAAATTATGGGTTCTTGCTACACTAGATATTTTCCTAGGCACTCTCTCAATCCTTCCATTTTACCAATGAAGGAATTAAATAAGGCTCAGATAATTCAAGCAAGTTGATCCAGGTCACGTAAATAGATAGGAATAATATCAGGACTCTTTTACAAGACTTATTTGGTTCTAGAAGTGGGTTTTTGTTTATTTTATTTTAGTTCATCACATCATGGCAAAGATGGACTTTCCTCAGGAGATGGGACCCTGAAGCAGACGGGTAATAGGAAGTGAATCAGAAGGCCAAGCTCTACTATGTTTTAAGACTCTGTGTTCTTGAAGAAGTCATTTAACCTTTCTAAGTCTTCCTTTCTGCCTCTGAGAAAAAAAGTGTAAAGATTTCTTCCCTCTCTGCCTCACAGCAGGAGTGGAACAAAATAAAACATTTATGTGAGGCCCTTTGCAAACTATGGATTATTGTGCAAATATAAGAAGTTGTTTTTAAGTAACAAGACCCATAGGTTGTACAGACCCCTTTACTTCTTCTCTTGAGCCAAACTTTTCTCAATTACATAGTAAAAAATTTCCAAAGCCACCTTCTCTGAAGCCACCAGAGATTGGCTAAGGTGAGAAAACCTCAAACGTCCTTTGGGGCCCAGATCTAACTTTTGTACTCCAAGCCATTCTCCACTTTTCCTTGGAATAAGAGATTTATAAAGCATTACAAAGTTAAGGATGAATGTTCACCCATCATTCTAACAGGTAAGAGCAATGTGAAATGAGGCAGTGTGTGTCTTTTCAGCATTCTCAAGCTTTTCATTTTTTCTTAATCTTAGCCCCTCTTCCTCAATGCTGAGTTGAAATTCTTTTCTTATCCCGTCAACAGACCTCATCACTTTCTGGTCATTTGGAAGTTTTCAAGAATTTGTATCATCTAAATCGGTATGTCATTTTCACATCCATGTCAAGTTTTCTCCTTCCGCAGAGACCACCTCCAGCAGTGAGGAAGGGGATTACGGTCTATGCTTTTACACTTCCATATTCTCCTTCTCCTCTTCCTTGACTGTTTCTGGGTATCCTTCACAGCCAGATGGAAATTAAAGGAAAAGACAAAGGTTCCCATGTGATGGATGCTATGGCAAGGCATCCGCAGGTACCCTCAGTGTGAGAGGACCCCAGTGCTGATTTCTTCCCATGGGCACATTAGTGAGTTTTTCAGAGGCCCCTTGTGCAGCATCTAACATGAGGTGAGATGCAATCTGCATGACCTATTTTGACCTCTCCCCACTACAAACTTAGTTTCCACTCTTGGAAGTCCATCCACGACCTCTCATCACTAGAGTCCCTTCTCCACTGGACAGATTGCTTCATGACAGCCCTAGCCCAGCCATCTCCCCACACCCACCTGAGGAGCTTCAGCTTCCTTGTCCATTGAACACTGTTGAGTCCAGGATGCACCACTACTTCCCTGGCTCTGCATCCACTACTGCAGGGTCTCCAATCTCTGCCACTTTTGGAATTCTCTGGGCAAGACTCTAGCGCCATTCTTTGTGATTTCATTGGCTTCCACACTCTGGGAGATGCATGATGAGGTTTCTGAAACCTTGCCCATGCTCCATGCTCCACTGTATCATCTGATGGGGAAGAGAGGCAAGAGTTTCTCAGTTCAGCGAGTGCCCAGCTGGGAGTGAGATGCCAGTCCCAGCTCCTCACAGGCACTCTTAATCTCCATCGAGCACTTCTTCTGCAGTGCCCTTCACACAGAGCACCACTCCACTCTCCCATGGGGAAAGGGATGTGGAAACCAAAGCATTCTCTAGCCCTGTAAGTTCCTTTACTGGTATGAATGCTCTTTCAACCCTCATTTGAATGTCTAATCTCATATACACGGAAGTTTGGTGATGGAACTTGATAAACTTTAAATCTTGTCTCTTCTCACAATGCTCCTGCTGTAGAAAAGAGTGGACTATTTTATATCTCCTAATCACACCATGTAAAGTCAGTCTCTTTGTCCAGTGCATTCCCCACCTGAAAGGCTTTTCTTGACTCTTTTTTGTGCTACAGGGTACCTCCCAGCTTCCCTTACTCCTTGAAGTATTCCTAAATACCTTTAGACTCCCAGTGAGTTTCCTGTTAATCCAAAACATCTGTCATCTATATTCCTCACTGGAAAATTAATCATGCAGTATGTGTGACATCTCTTAAATAGTCAACATGAATAGTGTTTACATAGCGATGCTTGGAATACTAGAAACTGAAGTTTAAATTAATAACTAGAAATTTTAGGTGTAAAAATAATGATGTCCACAGTAATGGTAAAGGTAGGAATGTGTCAAGTACCAGAAGTGTAGAAAAGTAAATTTCTTTATACTTAGAACATAAGTTATAATCATTAGTGCAGAATTAATATCACACATGTGGGTGACCCAGCGGGGCCAGTCATTATGGAGCTTAGAAGTTTCTCTAGACCTTATAAATCAGAGTCCATGCACAGGTTTTGCTAGTGTTGTCAATGGTAGAATTAGCATGTCAACATTGCCCTCATGTTTTCTGAACCTGGTTCCAGGACCACTACTTGTGCATTGACTCCTGAGTTTCAATTCTCAAGTCTTTTCAAACATCTGACCAAAGTCAAGACTTTTGTATATTCAAAGTATTTCTTACCTTTTCAAAATTCCATGCTTTCAATTATGTTCCATTTACGTACTTAAGAGGTTGGACTTTGGTGGCTTCAGAACTATGCTTGTTCAAGCAGATTCATCTTCAGTTTTCCAAATCCCAGCTGCTTTAATGAAGTTGTTGGTCAGTGAATGAGCAATGTATGGTGGCCTGGCAGCAGAATCTCATGGTGCCCTATCACACAGAGCACTTTGTCCTGTATCAGAGTTTGTGATGCCAAGAAGACAAATGCACTAAGTCTCCCTCAGTAAAGATACAAGCGAGGGAGTCTGACCAAGCCCATAGAATTTTGAGTTTTGTTTTGAGTTGGAAGGTCAAGAGTCATGTATACACAAGAATAAGGTCTATCAACTTTGTTCAGAGGACTGTAGCTTGTGGGCAGATTCCAAAAGCAAATGTTGCTGACTGATGAATCTGTGCCCCTCATCTGGAGTACCATCAAATTGTCTGGACAATAGTACAGCTGGGCTGACAGATCAAAAAGCTGGGTAGATGTGTTTGTAGACAGTGGAAAGATATTCATGTTGAGTAAGCCACAGATGCTGGAGTACCTACATGCTGGGGAAGTTGATAATATACTTGACCAGGACATGAGAGTGGAAATACGATGTTTCTGCCCACTTAAAGGAAGTTGTTCTCAAACTCTTTAGTCTCAGAACCCCTTTACATTCAAAATTGGTGAGGGCACTGTGCTTTATTTATGTGGGTTATATCTGCTAATATTTACTGCATTAGAAATCAAAATTGAGTCATTTGTAAAATATTTTTTAAATATTTATTTTTCATTCATAAAAAATAACATATTCACTTTGTGATAACATAAATATGTTTTTAATGAAAAATAACTGTATTTCCCAAAGCAAAAAAAAATTAGAAGAATGACATTATTTTACATTTTGTAAATCTGTTTAATGTCTAGCTTAATAGAATACAGCTAGATTCTTTTTTCTTTTTCTATATTCATCTTTTATGACACAATACAGCATAGAGCATCTGGACAGTGCCACTGTATACTAATGAGACAATGAGACTGAAAAAACAAATAACTTAGCATCATTATGAAAGTAGATTTGAAGAAGCTGTGTGCTCCAGAAAGTCTTGGGGAACCCCATGGATCCCTGAACTAAACTTCGAGAATATTGCCCTAGGGTTAAACCTACAATAGTACCCAAATGACCAGATTTGGTAATGACCATGGGTCTACTCATGGGGGTTTGAGTGATCTAAGAAAACAATGGATCAAGGATGGATGATGAATTTGGATATGAAAAACCAGGAATAGACTGAAAACCCTAACACAATGAAGGGGAGTCTGAACAGTGAAATTATAAGGGAAAAGCTTGTATTAATAGAAGAAAATGCAAATAAGATTATGAACTCTGATTCCAATGTGGAGGCTGTCTTCCTCATGCTGTATATTTACATTCTCACCTCTGTCTGGATAATTTCTGATTTATACTAGAGTCAGAGCCAGTCATTGGTGGTAACAGTGAGGCTTTAAGACTATCTCATAATTTAGATTAATTCTAATTTTCTGAGAATGCTCTTCTGTCTATAAGTGGAAGTACTTATAAAATCTGTAGTAAGAGTATTAGTAGTACCTATGAATTAATGGTTGCAAAGTTCAGGAATTTATGTTTTTAGGATCTATAATCATTTTATTTTCTGTGATAGTCAAACCCACATGTAATATTTATAATTTAAATTATTTCAGTGGCTGAAGTAAGGTTATACAAGATCTTCAATGGTAGAATTTTCTATATCTGTAGCTACAGCTAGGATCTCCTCAGAAGAAATAATACTATTAGTATGTGTAATGCAAATGACTCTATTGGTAGCTATGGCATTTGGAAAAGTCCATAGGATAATAAAGTGCATTTTTTTAGCATTACTAATTACATACTCTCCTGTAATATCAATAACTGTTGGTATAGAAACCATTTGAGTGCTGGGGGTATCACCAGTACTCTCAGTTATGGTACGTCATGTGACCCAAGAAACAAGTTGGGCTATTTCAGTAACTAAATCTAAGGCAATAGTATTTACAGAGCCTAATGTGGTGTTATCTGAGATACCAAAATTACCTGTGAAATCTGTAGCAAGGATATATAGGATATATAAAACATCTGTAGTTTAACTGATGAGGTTATAGGAGTAATAACTATAATTTAAAAGAATAAGAGCACATACTATGGTTGCAAAATAAGTACCCACAGCTTCTTTGGTGAAACCTATAAGGTTTGTAAACCTTCCTAAACATGTCTGCAATGACGAGAGTGTTTGGAGTAGCTGTGTCTTTTATGGCTAGAGTACTAATATCCGTGAAAACTTAAGTAGCATAAGATAGATAGAGTGTCTCGTAACTGATTTTCTATATCTGTAATAGTTGTTTGTAGGCGTTATCTGAGGTAACTATCCTGCCTTGAGTAGTAATCATGGAACTTGAGTAGCATTTATGGCATTTGCAATATAAGTAGGTGCAGTAGCAGAGGTATGTACTGTACTATCAGGAGTGGTAGTATTTAAAGCATATTTTGTAATATTTGTAGTATCTGTGGTAGCACTAGTTGCAGTAATAGGTAAATAAGTAGCCACAGAATTTATTACCATATGGGGAGTTTGTGAATCTAGACCAGTGGCTGTTATTGTGACTGAGGCTGTTGTGAGATTTGAAACAGAAATGTGTGTCGTGTTACCTGTAACACTGCTGGAGTTATCTGCATCAGTAATATCCATGGTGCCTAGATTAGAAAGATTTGTAGGAGCTAATGAGGTGTGGCTTAAGGCCAGTGTTGTAGTAGTAGCAGAATGGGGAGTAGCGAACTGTGTGATGTGTGTGGTGAATTTGTCTATGGAAGTAACTGTTGTATCTGGACTCATGGTATTATCTTTGGTGCTGGTAGTAGTGACCGTAGCATCTATTACCATGGTACTTTTTGTATCAAGAGTGTTGAAAATAATGGTGTTTGCATTTGTAGGGGTAGTAAAATTAGTAATTTTATCAGTAGTGAATGTATTACTTGTTGGAAACATGCTCAAAATAGAAGTAATAGAGCTAGGAATAGAAGTAAGAGTATGGGTAGGAATGGTAGGAGAAGTCTGGTAATAAGTAGTCATGCCAGGATTAGTATTATTACTTGTAGTAGTAGCATCAGTACTTGGAGAAGGAGTAGTCACAAAAGGAACACTATTACCAAAAGAAGTAGTTGTTATGGAAATACTATTACTAGTTATATTACCAGCAGACATTGTAGCTAAAAGAAAATTTGTCATAGAAGCATCATTATTTGTGCTAGCAACATCAGTACTTGTAGGAGAAGTAGTTGCCATAATAACAGTAGTGTTCATAGCATTAGTACTTTCAGAGAAAGAAGTGGTCATAATGGAAAAACTGTTGCTAGTAGTGTCAACACCAGTATTTGCAAGAGAAGGAATAGCTGTAACTGGAACAGTATTATTAGGAACAGTATCATCAGTACTTGTATGAGAGGTAGCAGTTATATTAGCAACATTAGTACTAGTGCTAGCATTAGTAGTATTTGTTTGAACAGGAGTACTTATATTATTAATAGTAGTACTAGTGCTAACATCAGTAGTACCTGTTAGAGAAGAAGTAGTGGCAATAAGTACAGTAGTACTAATGGTGGCATCAGCAGTACTTGTCAGAGAAGGAGTCACTGAAATGGGAACGGTAGCAATAGTACTCACAGTAGTACTACTTGTAGGAGAAGGCATAGTGGTATTAGGAACAGTATTACTAGTGTTAGCATCAGCAGTATTTGTAGGGGAAGGTGTGGTTGTAATAGGAACAGTAGCACTAGTGCTAGTACTAGTAGTACTTGTAGGGAAAGGAGCAGTTGTATCAGGAACAGTAGTACCAGTTGTAACACCAATAGTACTTGTTGCAAAAAGTGTGGTTGTGATAGGAACAGGGGTAGCATTAGTGCTAGCACTAGTAGTACTTGTAGGGAAAGGAGCAGTTGTATCAGGAACAGTAGTACTAGTTGTAACACTAATAGTACTTGTTGCAAAAGGTGTGGTTGTGATAGGAATAGTAGCATTAGTGCTAGCAGTAGTAGTATTTGTTGGGAAAGGGGCAGTTGTATCGGGAACAGTAGCATTAGTTGTAACACCAATAGTACTTGTTGCAAAACATGTGGTTGTGATAGGAACAGTAGCATTAGTGCTAGCAGTACTAGCATTTGTTGGGAAAGGGGCAGTTGTATTGGGAACAGTAGCATTAGTTGTAACACCAATAGTACTTGTTGGGAAAGGTGTGGTTGTGATAGGAACAGTAGCATTAGTGCTAGCATTAGTAGTACTTGTAGGGAAAGGAGAAGTTGTATCAGGAACAGTAGTATTAGTTGTAACACTAGTAGTACTTGGGAAAGATGTGGTTGTGATAGGAACAGTATCAGTAGTGCCAGTGGTAGTATTTGCACTGGCAGAACTGGTGATTGTCTCAGAACTGGTGGCATTGGTAGTAGATGGAGAAGGATGAGAACTCATTGGGATGGTACTTGTCTTAGTTGGAGTAGGAAGTACAGGACCACCATCAATCCAAGTAACCTCAGTTAACTTTTCCAGGTTGATAGTCTTGTCAGTCAATTGAATAGTTAGTATCTGCCAGAAAAGAAGAGATATAAATGGGTATTTTAGAACTTCTTAAACCTCACATGTAGCTCACCTCTTAAATTACAATTTAACAAAAAATGATGGATTCATTCCTTTCCAGTAATAGGATATAAACATTCCTTTTTGGGTTAGGTCATGTTGATTTTGGTCAGATAAATACAGAGAGATGCTCTGTGTGCATAATCCCTATGCTGGAAATCTTTTCTTTTCACTTCATTTAGTCAGAACCTTATTGTTTACAAATATTTGTAGCTGTGATTAAAACCAACATTTATTAAAATCTCTTTGCTTTGCCATTGGGTTTTAGTCCTCTTGACAGCAGGTTAGTTTCATGTTTTCCTCATTTCAAACAGTATGGTGTCTGGCACATAATAGGCATCAGATATGCCATAGAGTTTTTAAAAAGAAGGTATTCAAGGATTTTCTGCACAATCTTAACTAGAAGCAATTACTTGCAAAGAGTGGTTTTGAACTCAATAGTCCAGGTAAAATGCTTTAAGGTAAATACCCAGAAGAGCCTAGAGGGAGAAGATCTATTTGAGTGCTCAGAGGGGCCATTTTCCAAAGTCCAAATACCATCAGGGCACTCATTTCACGTTTTAGAAAACAAGAACTATGGTTATCCATTTTCACTTTTCTAAACCATCCCTTTTGGGTTGCTGGTTCCGTATTTATGTTGTCTTATGTTCTAAAAGTGAGATACTTTTTTCTTTGTGGTTGCCTTTGGTAACTATTGGTATTTCATCTTCCAAAATTCTGGTTTAGTTGATTCTAGAATCCTCTAGTAGGGCCTGCTATTTATGTCCCCCTGTTTTATCAACCTTTTATCCTATACCACAGGTGGGATGTATTCATTCGAAGATTACCACAGTTTACTGCCAATTTTCGTCTACCTATAAGATCCATCAATTTGACCAGGGACATGAATAACTGCAGGAAGCATGGGGGCAACCTTCAACAGCTTTAGGGAATCACCCTTTCCTTTGTTTTAGCCTCTGCAGCAGAAATAAGTTTTATTTTGCTAATGTGGAAGACTAACCTATCAAAACATAGCACAGTCTCTTTGGTAAATACATGGAGAGGATCTCATCAGGCCAGTGATCACTGACCCCTAGGCCATACTGGAAAGACCATTAATGTTGCATATTTTACAATATGATTCAACATTTGCAACTTTTCAGGAACATATCTATTGCACGTATTTATAACCATCTAATACATGAAAATTTAACAATGATAATTTTAATTGTTAGCAAAATTATTGGTGATAATTTTGCAGAATGATAAAATTTACTTGTGATATGCTAATATTCCTTTCAGACCTACCTGATTATAAGGTTCACTCTTGAAATTTGTCTCCATAAATTGCCGGTTGTCATAGGTGAAACTGACTTGTGTCACATAGGTATTCACACCCCAGATTCTAATATACCCAACTTTTAGTGGATTCGAGTCACTCAAATACTTATTGTGTATGGTCTGGATTTGCAGGATGTTCTATAAAGAATTTATAAAGAGAAAAGAATACATAACATATTGTTGATAGACTATGGTCCATATTAAAATATTAACAAACCTAAATTTACTTTTGTTATATTAGTTTGCTATTTCTATTTATGTATTTAAATTTTTATTGATACATAATAATTATACATATTTATGGAGAACATGTGATATTTTGATACATGTATACAATGTGTAGTGATCAAATCAGGGTATTTAGGATATCCATGACCTCAAATAGTCAACATTTGTTTGTTTGTTTGTTTGTTTTGAGATGGAGTCTCACTCTGTCACCCAGGCTGGAGTGCAATGGCGTGGTCTGGGCTCACTGCAACCTCCGCCTCCTGGGTTTAAGCGATTCTCCTGCCTCAGCCTCCTAAGCAGCTGGGACTATAGGTGTGTGCCACCATACCCGGCTAATTTTTGTATTTTTAATAGAGACGGGGTTTCACTATGTTGGCCAGGCTGGTCTCAAATCCCTGACCACGTGATCCTCCTGCCTCGGCCTCCCAAAGTGATGGGATTACAGGTGTGAGCCACCACACCTAGCCACATTCATCATTTCTTCGTGTTGGAAACATTTCAAATATTCTCTTCTAGCTATTTTGAAATATACAATAAATTGTTGTTAACTATCATCACCCTAGTATGTTAGCAAACACAAGAACTCACTCCTGCTATTTAACTGTCTCTTTGTTCCCACTAACCAACCTCTCTTTATGGCCCCCACCCCTTCCCAGCCTCTGGTTACTATAATTCTACTCTCCACACACTTCATGAAGACATACTTCCTGAGTACCTGCTATAATAAATTGGGTAATGCCACAAATAAGTTTATTGTACCAGCATTATGAAAGTTATTTTCCCTATATCATAAGTATTCTTATAATCATTTTGAAAAGAAAATATCATTATTGCTATCTTAGAGATAAGGAAACTGAGGCTCTGGAAAATGAAGTGAGTAGTCCAAAGCGACAAGGCTAGATAACATAGGTAAAGTTGGAAGCGCAAGGTGCCCCTGTACATAGTACTGCACAAGTTAATTTAGAGTGAACAAAGAAGTGTGGCAAACAGTCCCTAGACTGAGGACAGTGTGCAAGAAACATAGGAAGTTAACCAAATCATGAATTGTTTAAGTATCAATACAAGGGTTAAAATAATATGACATAAATTATGAGGTGGCACATGATGAAGGCCCAAATGAAAATCATAGTGGATATTTTTCATGGATGTGAAGAGAAAGGAAAAATTACATGGGAGGAAGAGGGTCAAGAGAGAACTTAGGAAGGACATGTAACTTCGGAACTCCTGGTAAGCATGGGAAGGATTTATTATGAGACAGGAAATAGGGGTACAGGGACACATTGAACAAAGCCACATTCATGGAGGAGTGCAAGGACAACCATAGCTGGTGCTGAGCAAACAGAGACGTGAGGCCAGTTAGGTATGTAAGGAAAGATTTTGAAGATTACATGCAATAATCAAGGAGATAGTTGTAGCAGAGGGAAGCTATGCATTTCTCAATTATGATGGCTGCAGTAGGAAGAGAAAAAAGAAACATGTTCAATTGGCATCATGAAGGATGAACAAGACTTTTGCTACTGGGCAGGCAGAATCAAGGAAAAAATATACAGCTCAAAATAAATGGGTGTACTAAAGCTAGTTCTTATTGATTTGAGAGAGTTGATTTTTAAATTTCCTAGAATTTTGCAAGCCAGCTGATGCTTGAAATTGGTTAAGATGGTGGGAGAAGCTACACTACAGAAATTAGCAAATGTTACAAATCATCTCCCACCCCCACAAGCTGGTTTACCAACCAGGAAACCGCTGATAATAGTTATCCCCTAAGGAAAGTTGCGATCTTTCTTTCATTTCAGGCCCCTTATTCTTAAGGAAATAATCTATCAAACATCACAGAAATAAGAATTCATTTATCAGAAAAATGGAATTTTGAAGTTAGATGTTATTAAAGGGCAATCTAATGTTTTACAATTTTTTAAAAAACACAGATTAAACAGTGTCTCTCCGAATTTGAATAATAGCAGTAGAAATAGAACTAAAATTCAGGACTTCCAGATCATTAAAATAATATTCATTAAAATAATATTTGAGAGGAAAAAATATGTAGAGTCTTCAACCCAACTACTCTTAAGGGCAGAGAATACACAAATTTAATTAGTATACAAAGTCTAGCAGTTAGTTTCAGAGAGGCCAAATGCAGGATGGAACAATATGACCTGATAATCATGTCTATGAGAATAATTTGAAGGTCTTAGCTGACCATGAGATTTATATGTGCCAAACATCTGATACATGTGTTAAAAAATAACACAATGTAATAACAGCAGAAAAAATATAGACTCTAGCTAAAAAGAGGTAGTAGGCAACATGGAAGTCTATGCCATCTTATAGAAATATAAGGGAAACTATATATGTAATTGAATACTTTCTAGTAGTCACATTTTTTTAAAAAGTGAAAAGAAAAAGGGTACATTAATTTCAAAATATATTTTATTTACATGATATAGCCAAAATGTTATTATTACAACATTTTTCAATATAAAATTATTCATGAGGTTTTTTTTTTTTTTTTTTTGAGACAGAGTTTCGCTCTTGCTACCCAGGCTGGAGTGCAATGGCGCGATCTCGGCTCACCACAACCTCTGCCTCCCAGGTTCAAGCGATTCTCCCGCCTCAGCCTCCCAAGTAGTGGGGATTACAGGCATGCGCCACCACGCCTAATTTTTGGATTTTGAGTAGAGACAGGGTTTTCTCCATGTTGGTCAGGCTGGTCTCAAACTCCCGACCTCAGGTGATCCACCTGCCTTGGCTTCCCAAAGTGCTGGCATTACAGGCATGAGCCACCACGCTCAGCCAAATGTTTTTTTTTTTTTTTAATTATACTTTAAGTTCTGGGATACATGTGCAGAACATGCAGGTTTGTTACATAGGTATACATGTGCCATGGTGGTTTGCTGCATCCATCAACCCATCAACCCGTCATCTACATTAGGGATTTCTCCTAATGCTATCTGTCTCCTTGCCCTCCACCCCCAACAGGCCCTGGTGTGTGAAGTTCCCCTCTCTGTGCCCATATGTTCTCATTATTCAACTCCCACATATGAGTGACAACATGCAGTGTTTGGTTTTCTGTTCCTGTGTTAGTTTGCTGAGTGTGATGGTTTCCAGCTTCATCCATGAGCCTGAAAAGGGCATGAACTCATTCTTTTTTATGGCTGCATACTATTCCATGGTATATATGTGCCACATTTTCTTTATCTGGTCTAACACTGATGGGCATTTGGGTTGGTTCTAAGTCTTTGCTATTGTGAACAGTGCTGCAGTAAACAGACTTGTGCCTGTTTCTTTATAGCAGAATGATTTATAACCCTTTGGGTATATACCCAGTAATGGGATTGCTGGGTGAAATGGTATTTCTGGTTCTAGATCCTTGAGGAATCACCACACTGTCTTCCACAATGGTTGAACTAATTTACACTCCCACTGACAGTGTAAAAGCATTCCTATTTCTCCACATCCTCTCCAGCATCTGCTGTTTCCTGACTTTTTGATAATGGCCATTCTAACTGGCATGAGATGATATCTCATTGTGGTTTTGATTTGCATTGGGAAGTATGACCATTTTCACGATACTGATTCTTCCTATCCATGAGCATGGAATGTTTTTCCATTTGCTTGTGTCCTCTCTTATATCCTTGAGTAGTGGTTTGTAGTTCTCCTTGAAGAGGTCCTTCACATCCCTTGTAAGTTGTATTCCTAGGTATCTTCTTCTCTTTGTAGCAATTGTGAGTGGGAGTTTGCTCATGATTTGGCTGTCTATTATTGGTGTATCGAAATGCTTGTGATTTTTGCACATTGATTTTGTATCCTGAGACTTTGCTGAAGTTGCTTATCACCTTAATGAGATTTTCGGCTGAGACAATGGGGTTTTCTAAATATACAATCACATCATCTGCAAATAGAGATAATTTGGCTTCCTCTCTTCCTATTTGAATAAGCTTTATTTCTTTCTCTTTCCTGATTGCCCTGGCCAGAACTTCCAATACTATGCTGAATAGGAGTGGTGAGAGAGGGCATCCTTGTCTTGTGCCGGTTTTCAAAGGGAAAGCTTCCAGCTTTTTCCTATTCAATATGATATTAGCTGTTGGTTTGTCATAAATAGCTCATATTATTTTTATATTTGTTCCATCAATACCCAGTTTATTGAGTGTTTTTAGCATGAAAGGGTGTTGAATTTTATCAAAGGCCTTTTCTGAATCTATTGAGATAATCATGTGGTTTTTGTCATTGGTTCTGTTTATGTGATGGATTGCAATTATTGACTTGCATATGTTGAACCAGCCTTGCATCCCAAGGATGAAGCCAACTTGGTCATGGCTTTTTGATGTGCTGCTGGATTCGGTTTGCCAGTATTTTATGGAGGACTTTTGCATTGATGTTCATCAGGGATACTGGCCTGAAATTTTCTTTTTTTATTGTGTCTCTGCCAGGTGTTGGTATCAGGATGATGCTGACCTCATAAAATGAGTTAGGGCAGAGTCCCTCTTGTTTGGAATAGTTTCAGGAGGAACGGTACCAGTTCCTCTTTGTACTTCTGGTAGAATTCGGCTGTGAATCTGTCTGGTCCTGGGCTGTTTTGGTTGGTAGGCTCTTAATTTAGTGCCTCAATTTCAGACCTTGTTATTGGTCTACTCAGGGATTCAACTTCTCCCTGGTTTTACCTTCAGAGGGTGTATGTGTCCAGGAATTTATCAATTTCTTCTAGATTTTCTAGTTTATTTGCATAGAGGTGTTTATAGTATTCTCTGATGGTAGTTTGTATTTCTGTGGGATCAGCGGTGATCTCCTCTCTACCATTTTTTATTGTGTCTATTTGATTCTTCTCTCTTTTTTTCTTTATTAGTCTGGCTAGCGGTCTAACTATTCTGTTAATCATTTCAAAAAACCAGCTCCTGGAGTCACTGATTTTTTTGAAGGGTATTTCGTGTCTCTCTCTCCTTCAGTTCTGCTCTGATCTTAGTTATTTTTTGTCTTCTGCTAGCTTTTGAACTTGTTTGCCCTTGCTTCTCTAGCTCTTTTAACTATGATGTTAGGGTGTTGATTTTAGATCCTTCCTGTTTTCTCCTGTGGGCATTTAGTGCTATAAATTTCCCTCTGAAAACTCCCAGAGATTTTGATATGTTGTGTCTTTGTTTTTGTTGGTTTCAAAGAACTTATTTATTTCTGCCTTAATTTCATTATTTACTCAGTAGTCATCCAGGAGCAGGTTGTTCAGTTTCCCTGTAGTTGTGTGGTTTTGAGTGAGTTTCTTAATCCTGAATTCTAATTTGATTGCACTGCGGTCTGAGAGACTCTTTGTTATGATTTCTGTTCTTTTTCATTTTCTGAGGAGCGTATTACTTCCAATTATGTGGTTGATTTTCGAATAAGTGCTATTGGTGCTGAGAAGAATGTATATTCTGTTGATTTAGGGTGGAGAGTTCTGTAGATGTCTATTACATCTGCTTGGTCCAGAGCTGAGTTCAAGTTCTGAATATCCTTGCTAATTTTCTGTCTTGTTGATCTGTCTAATATTGACAGTGGGTGTTAAAATCTCCCACTATTATTGTGTGGGAGTCTAAGTCTCTTTGTAGGTCTCTAAGGACTTGCCTTATGAATGTGGGTGCTTCTGTATTGGGTGCATATATATTTATGGTAGTTAGCTCTTAACATTATGTAATGGCCTTCTTTGTCTTTTTTGATATTTGTTGGTTTAAAATCTGTTTTATCAGAGATGAAAATTGCAACCCCTGCTTTTTCTTTTTACTTCCCATTTGATGGGCAAATCTTCCTCCATCCCTTTATTTTGAGCCTAGTGTGTCTTTGCACATGAGATGGGTCTTCTGAATACAGCACACCAGTGGGTCTTGACTCTTTATCCAATTTGCCAGTCTGTGCCTTTTAATCAGAGCATTTAGCCCATTTACATTTAAGGTTAATACTGTTATTTGTGAATTTGATCCTGTCATTATGATGCTAGCTGGTTATTTTGCCCATTAGTTGATGCAGTTTCTTCATAGTGTCAATGGTCTTTACATTTTGGTTTATTTTTGCAGGAGCTGATACTCATTTTTCCTTTTCCATATTTAGTGCTTCCTTCAGGAGCTCTTGTAAGGCAGGCCTAGTGGTGACCAAATCCCTCAGCATTTGCTTGTAAATGGATTGCTTGTAAAGGATTTTATTTCCCCTTCACTTATGAAGCTTAGTTTGGCTGGATTTGAAATTCTGGGTTGAAAATTCTTTTCTTTAAGAATGTTGAATATTGGCCCCCATTCTCTTCTGGCTTGTGAGGTTTCTGCAGACAGATCTGCTGTTAGTCTGATGGGCTTCCCTTTGTGGGTAACCCAACCTTCCTCTCTGGCTGACCTTAACATTTTTTCCTTCATTTCAACCTTGGTGAATCTGACAATTATGTGTCGTGGGGTTGCTCTTCTTGAGGAATATTTTTGTGGTGTTCTCTGTATTTCCTGAATTTGAATGTTGGCCTGTCTTGCTAGGTTGGAAAATTCTCCTGGATAATACCTTGAAGTGTGCTTTACAACTTGGTTCCATTCTCCTCGTCACTTTCAGCTACACCAATCAAATGTAGGTTTGGTCTTTTCACATAGTCCCATATTTCTTGGAGGCTTTGTTTGTTCCTTTTCATTCTTTTTTCTCTAATTTTGTCTTCACGCTTTATTTCATTAAGTTGCTGTTCAATCTCTGATATCCTTTCTTTTGCTTGATCTATTCAGTGATTGATACTTGTGTTTGCTTCACGAAGTTCTCATGCTATATTTTTCAGCTCCATCAGGTCATTTATGTTCTCTCTAAACTGGTTATTCTAGTTAGCAATTCCTCTAACCTTTTATCAAGGTTCTTAGCTTCCTTGCATTGGGTTAGAACATGCTCCTTTAGCTCGGAGGAGCTTGTTATTACCCACCTTCTGAAGCCTATTTCTGTCAGTTCATCAAATTCGTTCTCTCTCCAGTTTTGTTCCCTTGCTGGTGAGGAGTTGTGATCCTTTGGAGGAGAAGGGGCATTCTGGTTTTTGGAATCTTTAGGCTTTTTGCACTGGGTTTTCCTCATCTTCGTGGATTTATCTACCTTTGGTCTTTGCTGTTGGTGACCTTCGGATGGATTTTTTGCATGGTCATCCTTTTTGTTGATGTTGATGCTATTGCTTTCTGTTTGTTAGTTTTCCTTCTAATAGTCAGGCCCCTCTTCTGCAGGTCTGCTGGAGTTTGCTGGAGGTCCACTCCAGACCATGTTTGCCTGGGTATCACCAGTGGAGACTGCAGAACAGTTAAGATTGCTGCCTGCTCCTTCCTCTGGAAGCTTCATCCCAGAGGGGCACCCACCAGATTCCAGCTGGAGCTCTCCTGTATGAGGTGTCTGTTGACCCCTGCTGGGAGGTATCTCCCTGTCAGGAGGCACGGGGGTCAGGGACCCACTTGAGGAGGCAGTCTGTCCCTTAGCAGAGCTCCAGCACTGTGCTGGGAGATCCACTGCTCTCTTCAGAGCTGGCAGGCAGGAAGGTTTAAGTCTGCTGAAGCTGCATCCACAGCAGCCCCTTCCCCCAGGTGTCTGTCCCAGAGAGATGGGAGTTTTATCTACAAGCCCCTAACTGGGGCTGCTGCCTTTTTTTCAGAGATGCCCTGCCCAGACAGGAGGAATCTAGAAAGGCAGTCTTGCTACAGCGGCTTTGTGGAGCTGTGGTGGGCTCTGCCCAGTTCGAACTTCCTGGTGGCTTTGTTTACACTGTGAGGGGAAAACCGCCTACTCAAGCCTCAGTAATGGCGGATGCCCCTCCCTCCACCAAACTCGAGCTTCCCACGTCAACTTCAGACAGCTGTGCTGGCGGCGAGTATTTCAAGCCTGTGGATCTTAGCTTGCTGGGCTCTGTGGGGTTGGGATCCGCTGAGCAAGGGCACTCGGCTCCCTGGCTTTCCAGGGGAGTGAATGGTTCTGTCTCACTGGTGTTCCAGGCACCACTAGGGTATGAAAAAAAAAAAACTCCTGAAGCTAGTTTGGTATCTGCCCAAACGGCCACTCAGTTTTGTGCTTGAAACCCAGGGTCCTGGTGGTGTAGGCACCTGAGGGAATCTCCTGCTCTGTGGGTTGCAAAGACCATGGGAAAAGTGTAGTATCTGGGCCAGATAGCACTGTCCCTCGTGGCTTCCTTTGGCTACGGGGGGAGTACCCTGACCCCTTGTGCTTCCTGGGGGAGGTGACACCACACCCTGCTTCTCCTCGCCCTCTGTGGACTTCACCCACTGTCTAATCAGTCCCAGTGAGATGAACCAGGTATCTCAGTTGGAAATGCAGAAATCACCTGCCTTCTGCATTGATCTCACTGGGAGCTGCAGGCCAGAGCTGTTCCTATTTGGCCATCTTGCCCAGGAAGCCCACAAATCATTTTTGAATTTTTTAAGCTAACTTTTGAATATTTCAAATTAGGCTGGTCACATTTCAAGTGTTCAATAGCCACATGTGGCTAGTGGCTATCATACTGGATAGACAGCTCTAAAATATGCTCTCGGTTCTGATGTTTTAAAAGAAATCTAAGTTAACTGGAGTCTAAACAGAATGATCAGACCTGGAAACCACTATAAGCAGGAAATAGAGAAAATATGAAGTTAGCCTGGTGATGTATAATTCTAAGAAGACAAAAGAAATAACTGAGAGACATCTTCAAATATGTGAATCACTGTTATAGAAAAAAAATAGATTTGTGCTATATTACTTCTTGGTTAAAGTGACTAGGTAAAAATAGAGAAGCAGAATCCAGTTTGACCTAGAATGATTCTCCTCATACTCTAATTAAAATTATGTAGATTACCAATGGGATCATTTAATATGCAAGGTGCATTGATTGCATCACTGTTATGAAATATTCAACCCTTACAAATCCATACCCCTTTCCATGCAGTTTTGCAATGCCCTCCCACTCCAGTTGAGGCATTCTGTCCCTCCTCTGTCTCTGGGCTTGACCATGTGATTTTGCTTTGGTAATGGGAAATTAGTCAACTCGATACAAAAAAATTATAAAGAACTAAGGGATCTCCACTTTTATTTTTATTTTAGCCCTCTTCCATAATTATGAAGAAGCCGTGCCTAGACCTTCCCACAAGGCCATGATAAATCATATGAGAGTCAGCTGACCCCCCAGATATGTGAATACAGCCAAGATTACCTAAACAGCCCAATAGACCCAAGACTAACTGGAGATGTATGTGAGCTAGCAAAGATCAGCCAAGACCAGACCCACATCCTCTGAGCCCTGCAAGCTCATGAGCTAAGTAAGTGCTTATTGTTAGATACCACTAAGGTTTTGAGGTCGTCTTTTATGCATTATTGCATAATAAGTAGCTTATATAGCATTTTTCTTTCAAAATTTATCAGCTAGTAAATTTCTCATCTTTGGAAAACATGTTACACATTTAAGGCCCCATTTTTTCCCCAGCATTGTATGAATTCCAAGTTTCTTTTCATGGAGATAGTATACTGGAAAACTGCCAAAGTAAGGATTGTTTCTTCCTTACTTTAATGACAACAGACCTGGATTATAAAAGTAAAGGCAAGAAGAACCTCCTATTAAGATGTGGGATATTACATTTACGCAGTTAACTGTAATGTTTAATCTGTAGACACCTGGGAAAAGATTTGTAAAATGTAGTAAATTAGTCTTACCTGAGCTGCTATAAAGTTTGCCAAAAAATAATTTCCATTTTCATAGGTATCTGCAAACAAGGAAAAGAAAAGAATAAGCAACTACTAACTGCTTCAATTGCAGCAAATAATCTTGAGCGTGGTCAGAAACCACACTCTCAATGGGGTCACAGTTACTGATGATTGTCACCTCTCTGAGGAGCACTGAAGAGAGTGGCTAAGAGACTATTTCACTGCATGTTAGTGTGGGGATGTGCAAATGCAAATGGGTACCTTGCCGGGGAGGTCAGAAGGTTACAAATGCAAGAGAATCTGGGTTGAACAAAGGATAGATTACCTGAAGTGTGGAGACTACTGTTTGGTTATTCTGTGCGAGACAGCAAGCATGTAGTCATAGGAGTTCACATAGCAGTGGTGTTAAAGACTATGATGATAAAGCAGAGGCGAGTGGTTAGGAATTTAGGCTCCCAAGTCAGGTAGACATGGGTTGAAATCCCAACTCTTGTACTTAATAGCTGTGCAAACTCAGACAAGTTACTTAACATTTTATCATCTATAGAATGGAGATAATAGTACCTAGTTAGTGGCAATAAGGTACATAATGTTCGGCTTGTGCACAATAAGTGCTTAAAATTGATTGCTCACTGTCGTCAAAGTCGTCATCAATCTTCACCTTCACCATTCTTCTCTCCCTACTCTTAGCTCATCCTCCCACAGTGCTCCAGATTCCAAGCACTTCTGCCTCTGTAGAATTTATTCCATCGATTCTTCCCTATACCTTCTCTGCTTTTTCAAGCTACATTTATGCTCCAGAGTACTCTGTTCTGATAATACTTTTACCTAATTCTATTTATATCGAGCTACTACCGCATCTCCTTTTTATTACCATACATCTTAAAAAGGTAGCCTTTGCTGGGCTGGGCGCGGTGGCTCACGACTGTAATCCCAGCATTTTGGGAGGCCGAGGCGGGCGCATCACGAGGTCAGGAGCTCGAGACCGTCCTGGCTAACATGGTGAAACCCTGTCCCTACTAAAAATACTAAAACAAAATTAGCCGGGCGTGGTGGTGGGCGCCTGTAGTCCCAGCTACTCGGGAGGCTGAGGTGGGAGAATGGCGTGAACCCAGGAGGCGGAGCTTGCAGCGAGCCAAGATCGCGCCACTGCACTCCAGCCTGGGCGACAGAGTGAGACTCCGTCTCAAAAAAATAAATAAAAATAAATAAATAAATAAATAAATAAATGTAGCCTTTACTTGTTATGTCTGTGTACCCAACTCATAATTCAATCTTACATCTCCTAAACTCCAGCTCCTGTGTTTCCTTTTTCCATGGAATCTGACCCTTTCTAAGTCACCAGTGACATAGTATATAAAATCTAAATATCTCCTCACACTGTTCAGGATTTTTAGGCCACTTTGCCCACACACCTCTCCTTTGAAATACTCCTTACTTTATGTCTCCTTCCCATATGGTTCCTATAACTCCCTGTTTCTGAAAAATCAGTTTCACTTCATGTTCTGTTCTTGGCCCTTCTCAACATTCCAACTCTTGTCAGTATTCCAACATATTCTCTCCCAAACCAACTAACTCTCGAAGTATTCTAAATTACCTCCACTTTTATGGAAGCAATTATACAACTCATATTTTAAAATTTAGTCTTGGCTAGAAAATGCAACCTGGGCAAACACTACAGCCTCTTCTAGCAGTTAATAAAAAAATTGTAAAGAATGGGATTCTGTTAACATGTTCTTTTAAGATTATCCTTGAACAGCCATTATATCACCTATGTGAGGAAAAGTTAAATAAATGGTTCCAAGTCTGCTAATAGAACATTTAAATGACACTTACACTGTATCTTAGTAGTCTGAATTTGAATTTTTAAGCATATTTGATGTTTAAAAAGGCTAAAAACCTTCTCCATAAAAATTTACAAGTTTGAAAGTTTCAGGTACTATTAATTTTTAATCTTAAGACTAAAATATACTGTAATAGAAAGTTAAAATCTTGTAGGAAATGGCTTTATTCCTTTAAATTTTTGAAACATATTGCTCATAGGGGGTTGATTTTGCATACTAATTGTGATGTTATTAACCTACTATGACATCACTCATCTAGTCCTAATTAGCTAAACCTGTATCAAAGGACTTTCTATGTTCTCTTAAAACATTGATCCTCAACCAGCAGTAATTTTGCCTCTCTGGAGACATTTTACAATATTTAGAGATCATGTAGTTATCTTGAAGATAACTTTGCTTTTGACATCAAGTGGGGAGAGGGCAGGGATGCTGCTAAACATGTATAATAACCAGCCCAGCCACCACCACAAAATAATTATTTAGCCCAAAACGTCAGTATTGCTGAGGTTGAGAAAAACCGCTTTAAAATAAGGCCCATTTTTGAAAAAGAACTAAATTGAAGAACTCATGCTTCCTGATTTTAAAACTTACTACAAATCCACTGTAATCAAGACAGTGCAGTGCTGACATAAGAATAGACATATAGATTAAGGCAATAGAAATGAAAATTCAGAAATAAATCCTCACAGTAATGGTCTATTGATTTTTAACAAAAATTCCAAAATAATTCAATGAGAAAAATAATAGACTTTTCACAGATGATTCTGGGACAACTGTAATCCACATACAAAAGAAAGAAGTTAGACCCCTGCCTCACACCATACACAAAAATTAACTCAAAAAGAATCAAAGACCTAAATGTAAGAGCTAAAACTATAAAACTCTTAGAAGAAAATCTAGTAGCAAATACTTGGGACTTTGTAATGTGCAATGGTTTCTTAGCTATAACACCAAAAGCACATTAAACGAATAGAAAAAAATAGATAAATTAGACTTCATCAAAATTTAAAAGTTTGTGCCTCAAAAGAGGCACCTGCTAAATGAGAGAGAATATTTGAAAATCCTGCATCGGATAAGGGACTTTTAGCTAAATTCTATAAAGACTGTTTATGATTCAATAATAAGGACACTTTAATTTTACAATGTGAAAAGAATATAAGCAATCATTTCTCTGAAGAAAATGTACACATGAATAATAAGTACATGTAAAGATGTTCAACAACATTAGTTATCAGAGAAATATAAATTAATCAAAACCACAAAAAACTACAGCTTTTCACCCACTGGAATGATCATAATTAAAAAAATAGATAATAAATGTTGACAAGGAAGAAGAGAGATCAGAACCCTCATACACTGCTGATTGAGATGTAAAATGGTGCTGCCTCTATAGAAAACAGTTGGATATTTTATCAACAGTTAAACATAGAGTTACCACATAAGCCAGAAATTTCACTCCCAGGTATGTATAATATACAAGAGAGTTTTTAAAAGTGTGTCTATTCAAGGACTTATATTCAGATGTTCATAGCAGCATTATTTATAATAGCCAAAAAGTGGAAACAACCCAAATGTCCATCAATTGATGAATGGATATATACCAAGCACTTGTCATGATCTGACAACAAAAACAGTCTGCAGTCCCATTGGCAAGACTCACTGAGGTACCAAAGTGTTGACTGTCTAATCATGGGCACTAACTCCTTTTATTATCATTCCTTGCTCACCTAGCAAACCCCTGATTAAACGTTCATCTTTCACAAAGGCTTAATTTGAGAAAAAATATGTACTTTCCCAAGAGACAGGAATATTAAAATGCATTTAATAAATACAGTTCTTAAATTTAAAAATTGGCACCGTAGTATGCCCTTATAAGGCTCAAGTCCTGCTACAGCTTTGAAATTCAGGATGGCTGGTCAACCTCCTCTTTTTGACTTTTGGATGCCTTATTGTCTTATTATCTTATTAACCACACTAACTTTATTTTATTTACGTATTTATTTATTTTCATTTTGTTTTCATAAGTTAGACATGCTAATTTTATGTAAAGTAGCTCATATTAAATGTTTAGAATAGAGTTTTATTTACTTTACATATTAATAACACATTTTGTTCAGAACTCATGTGCCAGGAATGTTTTATGTATGTTAAATCATTTTATCCTCATAAAATTACAACATAGGTGTATGTTGTAGATACTAAAGAAGAATAAATGGAGACAACAAAATAAGTAATTTTCCAGAAGATATACAACTAGAAAGTTACTGAGATGGTATTCAAACCTAGATCTATTTAATTTCAGAATACCACATGCCTCTCCTAGAGCTTCTTATCAGATTATGTTAAAAAGCAAGTCCAAAGACTGAACTGAGCTCTGAAGAGAGAAGTTGTTTAATTCCTTCATATTTTTTCTTTAGCAAGTTTTCACCCATAAATAGAAAATAAAACCATTTGAAAAATATCTCTCATATATCATATTAAGTGAATATAGGTTATAATATATTATCCATAAACTGTTAGGAGAAATTTAAAATATATTTAAAATACCATCAAAAACTTAAAAATACTTAGGACATATTTAACAAAATATGTACAAGAACTATACGCCAAAAATTATAAAACATTGCTAAGAGTAATTAAAGATCTAAGTAAATGGTAATTATATAGAGCTAGATAGGTAGATAAGTAGGTAAGTAGATGAGAGAAAGAGACAGAGAAAAAAAAGAGATGACAAATATTCAAAAATTGGTCTTAAGAATAAAAGCAATTACAGTCAAAATTCCAGAAGGTGGTCTTGTTGTTAAAAAGTGACAAGCTGATTTTAAAATCTGTGTGAAATACAAAAGAGCTAAAATAACCAAAGAAAAAGAAGAACATGAAGAGCATTTCCTTCTAGGATTTTTATAGTTTGAGGTCTTACATTTAAATCTTCAATCCATCTCGAGTTAATTTTTTTATACAGTGAAAGGTAAGGGTTCAGTTTCATTCTTCTGCACATGGCTAGCCAGTTGTCCCAGTACCATTTATTGAATAGAGTCTTTCCCTACTGCTTGTTTTTGTCACCTTTGTCAAAGATTAGATGGTTGTAGGTGTGTGGCTTTATTTCTGGATTTTCTATACTGTTCTATTGCTATGTGTCTGTTTTTATACCAGTACTATGCTATTTTGGTTACTATAGCCTTATAGTACAGCTTGATGTTGGGTAGTGTGATACCTCTGGTTTTCTTCTTTTTGCTTAGGATTGCTTTGGCTATTTGGGCTCTTTTTCTGGTTCCATAGGAATTTTAGAATAGTTTTTTTCTAATTCTGTGAAAAATGACATTGCTAGTTTGATAAGAATAGTGTCGAATCTGTACATTGCTTTGATTCCTCAAATCCATGAGCATGGAATGTTTTTTTCCATTTATGTGTCTTGTCTGATTTCTCAACGTTGGTCTTGGCAAAATATTTTTGGCTAAGCCCCCAAAAGCAATTACAACAAAAACAAAAATTGACAAGTTGGACTTAATTAAACTACAGAGCTTCTTCACAGTGAAAAAAGCTATCAACAGAGTAGACAACCTACAGAGTAGGAGAAAGTATTCACAAGCTATGCATCCAACAAAGGTCTAACATCCAGATTCTATAAGAAACTTAAATCAAGAAGCAAAAGTCAAATAACCCCATTAAAAAATAGCCAAAGGACATGAACAGACACTTCTCTAAAGAAGACATGTAAATGGCCAATAAACATGAAAAAATGCTTATCATCACCAATCATTACAGAAATGCAAATCAAACCCACTATTATTAAAAAGTCAAATAATAACATATGCTAGCAAGGCTGCAGAGAAAAGGAAATGCTTAAACACTGTTGGTGGAAATGTAAATTAGTTCAGCCACTATGGAAAGTAGTCTGGAGATTTATTAAAGAAATTAAAACAGGACTACAATTCAACCCAGCAATCTCATTACTTGGTATGTCCCAAAGGAAAATAAATCATTCTACCAAAAGGACCCATGTGCTCTTATGTTCCTCACAGCACTATTTACAATTACAAAGACATGGAATCAACCCAGGTGCCTATCAGCAAAGGATTGGATAAAGAAAAAGTGGTACATATACACCATGGAATACTACACAGCCATAAAAAAGAATGAAATCATGTCCTATGCAGCAGCATGGATGCAGTTAGAGGTCACAATCTTAAGAAAATTAACACAGAAAAAGAAAACCAAATAATGCATTTTCTTACTTATAAGTGGGAGCTGAACACTGAGTACACATGGACATAAAGACGAGAACAATAGACACTGCAGGCTATTAGATGGGGTAACAAGGAATGGGGGCATGGGTTGAAAAACTACCCATTAGTTACTATGCTCACTGCCTGGGTGACGGGATCCATACCCCAAACCTCAGCATCATACAATACATCCATGCAACAAACCTGCACATGTACACCCTATATCTAAAATAAAAGTTGAAATTATAAAAATATTATCATTTTATATAAGGAACTTGAGCATCTGTGGAATTTGATATCCGCAGGGGTCCTGGAACCAACCGCCTATGGATACCCAGGGACAGCAGTACTTCTTTCTAGTCAGCTTCTCCCCAGTCCTGATCCTTCCTTCCAGGATCTGGCAACTACTGTTCTGCTTTCTGTGACTATAGACTGGATTTGTATTTTCTAGATTTTATATGAATAGAATCATACAATATGTACTATTTTTGTATTTTTAGCATCTTTCACTTAGCAAAAATGCCTTTTACATTCATCCATGCTGTTGCATGTAAAAGAAATTAATTGCTTTAATTGCTTTTTATTCCTAATAATAATCCATGGTGTCTTCCATGGTAATATTCCATGACTATTGACCAATATACTTATTGATGAATATTTCAGTGGTTTCATTTTTTGACCATTAAAATGAATCTGACATTATTATTTGAATGTAAGTTATTTTGTGGTATAATATTTGCATATAACCTATACACATCCTCCCGTGTACTTTAAATAATCTCCAGGGTACTTATAAAACCTGATCCAATGTAAACATTATGTAAATCATTGGTATCCTGTATTGTTTACAAAATAGTAACAAGAAAAACATGTCTGTACATGGTCAATACAGATGCAACTATTGTAGGCTAACTGCATTTTCAAACCACAGTTGGATGAATCCGCAGGCTGACTATAAAAGGCGAACTTTCAGGGTTATAAAAATATTCCACATCTTCATTGTGGTAGTGGCTATACAACTGTACACATTTGTCAAAACCTAACTGTATTCTTAAAATGGATACATTTTATTTGTATAAATCACAACTTTTTTAAAGTTGATTAAAAGACAGTAATATCACTTCCAGGAATCTACTCTATGGACGTAATCTAAAATGGAAACAATGGTTAATACTCAAGGATGTTATATATGGGCTGGGAACGGTGGCTCATACCTGTAATCTCAGCACTTTGGGAGGCCGAGGTGGGTGAATCACTTGAGGCCAAGAGTTCGAGACCAGCCTGGCCAACATGGCGAAACCCCATCTCTACTAAAAATACAAAAATTAGTGGGTGTTGTGCCACACACCTGAAATCCCAGCTACTCGGGAAGGCTGAGCCAGGAGAATCACTTGAATTAGGGAGGAGGAGGTTGCAGTGAGCTGAGATCGTGCCACTGCAGCCTGAATGAGAGAGTGAGACTCAAAAAAAAAAAAAAAAGAAAAAAAAAAGAAAAAGGATGTTATTTATAACAATGAAAATTAAAACCAACCTGTACATATTCTCTCAATAGAATATGATCATCATACATAATGGTATTTATAAGGAACAAATAATAACATTCACACATGTTTCTGTCATTATGTTAGAGGAAAATAAACAGGATTCACAAATTAAATATGCAAAATGTTTTCAGCCATATTAAAAATTAAGCATTTTCTTAATACAAAAGCCAAAGTTAGTACAGCAAAAATATTAAAAGTGCTTGTATTTTTTTCTAATTTTCTGTCTTTAACATGTGTTGTAAAGAATATCTACTTCTTTAATGAGAATTTCTTATCTTTATAATGAAGGAACCTAAAAAAGAAGGAATCTCTAGAAATATTAGTAGTGAAAAATAAGCTATACTATAATTTCAGAAAATGTGGTATGTTGCAAGATTAGAAGGTTCTGGTCCACAGTAATAAGTAGTGAAAAGTGAGAGTCAGCTAGTAACAGTGTGTCCATATATCTATAGAAAATTCTGAGTTAGAGGGTGTTCTGATGATAATGACAAATCTCACTTACCTAAGTAGAACTAACATACTCTATCTCAACTGGGGAAAGGAAACATACAAATTAATATTTCATCGATGTAAGTATCCTTTGGGCAACACTTAATTCCCAATTTATGAGTCACCAAGAAATTTTCTAACCTCTAAATTGCCTCTTGAGCAGGCCTATTTGTGAGGAACAGGGTGCCTGGTATAGATGGCTGATCCAAATGATAGAGTCATGTTTCTGTCCCATTGAGAATGAATTAACCATCAGCCTGATATTTGCATCCACACTTCTTTTTAAATCAAGAGTGAGACAGTTATACAGAGATAGATCATCCCTGGCTGAATGCATAACAGCAAGTTTCTGAACCTACAAAGCTGGGGACTGTACCCAGTCTATACTAACTATAGTATAATATAAATGAGCAGGCAAAAGTTGGAAAAATTCTCCAAATGTTATTGCCTTATTGACAATAGGCAGAGAGAGGTTTTCAGTTCATGTTAGTTATATGCCGAGCCTCTATGGTATGATTTTTCTCAGTGATGTACAGGGACCCTGGAAAGTTTATACTCACCAATGCTTTGTCCATCATCCCAGAACACCTGGCCTTCAGCTGTCCCATTGTCATCCAAAGCAACAATCAATCCCATAAAATTTTGTCGACTACCAAAAAAAAAAAAAAGAGTTATTTTTCTCTAGATTGTAGGTTGTAAGAATAAAGAACAGACTGTGTTAAAAACATTACTTATCTAGAAATAAAAGAAATGTATTAAATATGCATATAAAGTTCTAAAAATAGGTACAATAGATAAAATATAAGACATTTAAAAGTTAATGGAAAACGTTTAAAATTTAATAAAACATTTGGTTTAGCTTCAATTTCTAAAAATCAAATATACATACAAGTAATATAATGAAATATTAATTTCATAGGAAGAAAATCCCTCAAAAGAGAATCCTCAGTAGCTTCCAGGTTGCCACAGAATAAAATCCAAAGTAGTGGCTTGGCATTCACCACCCTCCAGGATCTGATCCTAACCTGCTGGAGTTTTACTTATTTTTATCTCTTCCTTTATCTGTCCTCCAGTTAAACTGGATGGTTTATGTTCCCAAACCCAAGCCATTTTTCACCTTCAGTTCTTTAATCGACCAGGATCTCTCTTTCCCCTTTGTACATTCAAATCTAAAAGATCCAGCTCAAAGCCCTCTTTCATATAAACCATGTGTTATACCACAAGGCTGAAAGTTAACTTCTCTCCTTTTGACTTGTTATTATGTGCCTTTCTTGATGTGACGTGTTCTGTTTAATCAATGATTTTATAAATTTTTACATATTATATGTGTAATTTATATACGTGTATGTACACACACACAACACACAAGCATATCTTTCCTTGATTGACCAAAGCAGACCTAGGAATGAACATTAAGTTCTAGGATAGGACAAGGACTCAGTCCTACCTAGTTCTTGTTCAATCACAAGTCAAAGAGCTCATTAACATTCCCTATTCCTTTTTAACAGTGTGGAAAGAGAAACATTTTTCTGCCTTCAGGAAAATTTTTGCCTTTGATACAGCACTACAGACAAAAATATATGTGTGTATATATATCCCTAAGACTAACTTTATGAACTCATCTTCCTCCGAGTCCCACTCAGAAAGCACTCACAGGATCTGACCAGTAAAGCTGTTTGGCAATTTAGTTTATAATCCACATATCCCTGGCGAAGGTGGGACAGCCTCCTGTAAGGCTTCCTCATTACGGTATAGCAAGAGGCTGTTAGACATTGCCTCTTCTCCTCACCTGGAGTGAGTGTTCATAGCAGGCTCTTGCCAGGGCAGGATGTAGCCTCCTCTGACATGAAGGTTGATGTGGTCAAGGGGAGCCTTCAGGATTTTCCTCTGACCTGTTGATGTGCTGCTAGTTCCCTAGAAAGGAGAATACAGGCAAAAAATGGCGAGAGATAAATATATTAAATGAGAGCATGTTTTAATTACAAGTCCTTCCTTTCCTGGGAAGCATGTTAGAAAGTCAGCAAAAGACTGCAAACCTAAAGAGAAAATCTCTGATCTTTCAGTTTTGCTTAAGACTGAAAATCTAGACTTGTCTTTGTTTCTCCAGAAAAGTTGAGAGGCAAGGGCAAGGGTGAGGGGGGAGCTTCAATGAGATGTAGGTGCTTAGATTTCGTCTATGCTCTTATACATGCTTTCATTTAAACAAGCCTTGCCAAGGCTAAAAAGGTCAAAATTATTGCCTTAGGAAATATGTGCTTGGAAATAGAAGGCTCTATCCACCTCTCCACCCTGCATAGACCAAACTGGTTCTTCACAAATATATTAGTTCTTACCGTGCTATAGTCATACCAACGGGCTCTCGGAAAATAAGCAGAGATCTCAAATGTGCTCTGAAACATAAAATTGACATGTCATTATGAATATTTCAAAAAATATTTTTCATTTTCATTTTCAAAACACTGTAGAATTAAGATAAAAAATGAAAATTGTATTAGTGATTGCAATAATTTGAGGGATTTTATTAAGAAAAATCCTGAAAAATTATTCCTCAGAACTACAGAAAAAACTATTTTTAAAAAGTAAATGACAAAATTTTAAAATGAGAAATCAGTCAGTGTAGTAAAGCTTTCATTAACAGAGAGATCTTTTAAATAAAAGAAAAAGATCTCCTGTAGATGTTCTAGAAAGGCATTCGCCTGAAAATAGTGAGCTGGACAAAATAAGATGATCTTTAAAATGCTTTTCCCATGATTTTAGATCATGTGATTGAAGGTTTTCTGACCTACAATGAAGAACTCACAGTTTCCAACACAGGGCTGATTAAGATAGCAGGGCCCAACATGAACTGACGGTCTATATCCCATGTTGTCCTGTCATCCGTAAACCTTAAAAAAATAAACAGGAAAAATTCACCTATCCTCTTATGACTGCTACAGAGGATTATTTGCAAGACATGCTTGGGGAAAGAGGCTGTACTCACTCATGGAGAAGGGGCCGGACAACTGTGCTGCCCTCAACGTGAGCTTTATGCATCAGAGTATAGAGATAAGGAAGCAGGGTATATCTGGTCTCTAGGACTTTTCTGGACAACATCTCAAAGGTTGAATTCCAGGCCACAGGATCTTGTCTCTGTAAGGATAAAGAAGCATATAATGGATCACCTCTTCTTCATTCCATCCCAGTGGCATCAGAAAAGAATCAATGGGCATTTATTCAAAATGTAGGTTACAAGCCACTTACCCTTTCATTCCTGGCCTACCCTTTCCCCCATCTCTGCCACCCTACAAAATTAGAATTTCTTGCTTTCTCCTCTTTATCACTGATTCCTAAGTCCCTGGAATAGGTCCAGCTCTGGCCCTCTACATGTGTACAGAGAGAGGTTTCCGTGCAGCACCAACATATCTTCGATGAATTTGAGTAAAATACAAATTCAATATTCTTAAAAGCAAAGGGATCTTCTTTCATTTTAGCCCCATGTGGAACTATAAAAACCTTTCCTCATGGGTAGTAATTCTCCAGGAGATGAGAAAAGGTATATTTCTAAAAATTACTGATAATTCCAGAGTTCTGAACTCTGTGGATTTTCCAAGAAATTAAGATTCTGGTGATGTTTTTTGATTTTTCTCAGGAAATGAGTATAATAGTCCTGGGGGTTAAAAAGAAGTTATGATTTGAGGGTACACAACACCTGGAGCACGAACTACTGCCTCACCCTTGTCCCGATGTTGTTGTGGTTTCTGGAAAATGGATAAAATGCCCCCAGTTGCATCCAGCGAACACACATCTCATATTCAGCATCTCCAAAGAACCCACAGATATCTGCTCCTGTCTGAGAAGATGCATAATGAGAGCATGAGGTGGGAATTTCATGAGGCGCTGACTCACTAAAATCTGACTGGGCAATTAGTAATGGTCTGAATGTGACTTACATAAGGTATTCCAAAGAGACTGAACTCCATCATGCCTGCAAAGAGAAGACACAGCTGTGTTGGAGGAAGGAGCACTTTGGGAGGAGAGTGAAGGCTTGGCCTGATTTTTCCTTACCCCATTAGAAAGCCCTGGACCATGATGAAAATATTAAAAGATGGGTGTAAATTAAAATCCACGCCCAGAGAGAACTCAGTTCTTGTTAATTTTACCACCCACCTAGATGATGATAGAGACATAACCAGTGCTGTTGAACAGCACAAACTCCAGTGCCCTCCCTGCCAGCACAGGCCCCTGGGAATGAGCCCACACACCAATGATAGATTTCCCCAGCTGGTCCCATGCAGCTGTGTTGTTTCCCAACCGGTGTCCTCCCCAGCGTCCAGAAGAGGGAAATGTGGAGCGGGTGATGATGACCCCTCGCTGTCCTGTCACCTCCTGCACAGCTCTGGTGGGAGGGGAATAAAGAGGTGAGTTGAAGAAACAAACTCCTTTACAGAGAATAACTGCAGCTTGGAGCATGAGAGGGTGAGGGTACTTCGGTCCGAGTCAGATAACTTCTTCCCTGAAAGAATCTGCTGTCTCAAAGCCATGCTAAAGATCCCAACAAACTTCACAGCAAGACTAGAGGTATATCTGCACGTAGAATGTGGGTTTCATTTTTGAAAAATCTGGTTAATTAACTATCACCCTGGAGTAAGAGAAAGGGGTGGGAGTGAGGCGTAATATAGCTATTTATGGAACAATTCCTCTATTCCAGTATTATACCGGTCACTTTCCTATGTGGTGTCTCATAACATCATGAAAAGGTTTCCTTGCACTCCTTTTACTGTTAGGAAGCTAAGATTCAGAGAAGTTAGAAAGGCATTCGCCTGAAAATAGTGAGCTGGACAAAATAAGATGATCTTTAAAATGCTTACCAAAGGTCATTTAAAGGGTAAAGAGGTCTGGGTGTGGTGGCTCACACCTGTAATCCCAGCATTTTGGGAGGTCAAGGTGGGTGGATCACTTGAGGTCAGGAATTCAAGACCAGCCTGGCCAACATGGTGAAACCCTGTCTCTACTAAAAAAAAAAAAAATTAGCCGGGTGTGGTGTGCATACCTCTAATCCCAGCTACCCAGGAGGCTGAGGTAGGAGAATCACTTGAACCTGAGGAGATGGAGGTTGCAGTGAGCTGAGATCGTGCCACTGCCCTTCAGCCTAGGTGATAGAGCAAGACTCTGTCTCAAAAAAAAAAAAAAAAAAAAAAAAAAAAGAGTAAAAAGGAGGCCAGGCACAGAAACTCACACATGTAATCCCAGCACCTTGGGAGGCCAAGGCAGAAGGACTGCTTGAGGCCAGAAGTTCAAGACCAGCCTAGGCAACACATTGAGACCCTGTCTCTACAAAAAAATAAAATTAGCTGGGCAGGGTGGTGCACGTGTGTCTGTAGTCACATGGCAGACAGGGGAAGAGGGAAAAAAAGAATAAGGAGGCAGATCTGGGATCCAAATAAAAGCTACAGCATTTTGGAAATATTCACTCTGCTTTTCTGTACCTCAAAAAGCGAGACATGTTTTGCACACAGAGGCAAATATACATAAAAGATGTTTATCTTTCAGTGGAAGATGGATCATCTGCACGCACCCTTAGAAAATAACAACAACTGTGTGAGGGAAAAATCAACTGAACAAAAGAGAAAGTCTACTAATAGATCCTAGTATGTATACAATCCAAGTATTTGCTTAAAAAAGCATCACAGATCAATAGACACAGATGAATTAGTCAATAAATGATGTCAGGAAAAGTAGCTGACTACTGTTGTGTAAACTAATCCATTTGGGTTATTTCCAATTTTTCACACCAAAACAAATCCAAAAATGAATGGAAATACACACACACACACACACACACACACACACACATACACACATGTTCTATTAAAACTGAAAGAATATATAAACCACCTGATTTCTACAAGAGAAAGGAATTTCAAATAAAAACAATGGACAAAACATAATGAAGTAAAAGGTATAGATTTAACCATACACAAATTGGAAGAATGCATATGTATGTATGTGTGATAAAGAAATGGGGGTGAGGATAGCTTAGATTTTTATAACAGTCTAGATGAGAGATAATGAAGGCCTGGAATAAGGCAGGAAGATAGAGTAGTGACTGATGCAAAGAACTGAGTCACCAACTGAAAGCAGGAAAAGAAAGAGAATCTAGGATGACCTAATGACTAGTTAAACTTGGTTCCTTTCACTAAAATAAAGAATGCTGGAGGGGCCGGGCGCAGTGGCTCACGCCTGTATTCCCAACTCTTTGGGAGGCCCAGGCAGATGGATCACCTGAAGTCAGCAGTTCGAGACTAGCCTGGCCAACATGGCAAAACCCTGTCTTTAATAAAAATGCAAAATTAGCTGGGCATGGTGGCATGCAACTCTAATTGCAGCTACTAGGGAGGCTGAGGCAGGAGAATTGCTTGAACCCAGGAGATGGAGGTTGCAGTGAGTCGAAATCGTGCCACTGCACTCCAGCCTGGGTGACAGAGCGAGACTCCATCTTAAAAAAAAAAAAAAGAAGAAGAAAGAAAAGACTGCAGGAGGACAGGTTTAAGGGAGAGATAAATAGTTCAACATTTTAAGTATTAGATTTGAAGTGCCTATGGGACATCATAAATGAGACAGCTATGGGCAATTCTAGGTTTGAGGCTCAAGAGAGGTTTGGGTTGGGAACAAAGATTTGGGGGCCATCTGAATCCAGAGTGTATTTAAAGCCAGTAGTATGTGTTTGTGCTTATCCAAGGGAAAAGCTACATGGTGTGAAGAAAAAAAAAGATGACTGAACCCAGGTGTGGAAGGAGCATAGGCTTGGAAAGACTGGGAAGGGAAACCTGCAAAGGAGTTTGTGGAACTGTGGCCAGAGAGGTAAATGCATAAATATCTGGAATCTAGGTTGGAAAGCACAGTCAAGATCCTGAGAAACTAGCAAAAGCACACAGAGCATATGCAGCAGGGCATATTATGAACCTCAATATTGTGAACCTCAAGGTCAGCAGAGGATGTAGCATGAAGGTCAGCAGGGAAGAGTCAGTGAACAAAACTGACCACTGATGCCACAAACGCTGAGCTCTCCCATCAATGCAGGCACTCAGGGCTGACAAACAAAGGCATTTTCATAAAAAGAAATAAAAATGGTTCAGTGCTTGGACAGAAAAGAGCAAAGAAGACATGGTCTTCTCCCCAGGTGTGTAGAGGAAATAACTTAAAATGTAGAACATACTGTCAGGTTAGTAGTTAAGAGAAGGAGGGAATTAGGAGGGATGGAGTAATCTGAGCAGGTTTCATGAAGGAAATAGATGTAAGTTGGTCTTTAGATTGTATGTGCTAAGAGATTAGCCTGATCAAGGTCAGAATGACCAGCATTTGTGATTGGTAAAGGGAGAAACATCAAGGTGTATGGGAATTAAAAAATATATATATCATGTATGGAAAGAGTTCCTTCAAACAGCTTGAATATGAGAGGGAGTTGAAAGATTAGATGATGGTTGGAGGAGGATATAGGCAAAAGCAAGAACAACTGGGGCATTTTCAAATATTGATGAAAAGGAATTAAAAAATATTGCTAATGTTTGTTGAGTGCTTACAATATGCCAAGTACTTGTGGATTCATTATATCATTTAATTTTTATATTAACAATAGATGCCATGATTTTTCCAATTTGAAAGATGAGAAAGTTTAGTTAGAAGATTTCACAGCCTAAATCCTAAAGCAATATACCAGCAGTGAGGAAGAAGATAAAAAATAATTCATGAAGAAACGAGCACCCATGGAAAAGTATAATTTGTGGAGCAAGCTTCTCTGAAGAGAAAGATGGCGATGGGATGCAGATGTGTGAAAAGCAAATTTCCCTGAAGAGAGAGGAGGGGATGGTGCATGGGAAAGTTGAGCTTTTGGTAGAAACTTTATCAAGTTTTCACATCTTCTTATTGCTGCTTTCTTTGCCCTGAAAGCCCCTTCTTTGCCAAAAGAAAATTTCTACTCTTCTTTTAACCAACATTCAAACATCACTTCTTCTATGAAGACTTTCTGGATTATCCCAGTAGAGTTAATTGATTTTCCCTCTCATGTTTGACTCCTATAATTAGACAATGAGGTCCTTGAAAGCAGGGACTGTGACTTATTCATCCTTGTACTCTTCCAAGGTAAGGTTATCTCTGAGGTTGCAAAACACCTATTTGTTTTGTGTGTATTTCATATAATGACATGGGTGTTTTCCTGAAGAACTAGTTTTTCCTTGGTTGGAAAAGCCTCAAGCTAGGTGTGGAAAGCAAGACTGTGAAAGAGCAACTGAAAGATGAAGATGTAAAGAAAGTGGGAAAGGGAAGAAGAATTTCTGTTTGGAAGACCATGTTGCCCCTGATTGTGGAACACCAGGGGCAACATGATACATCACCTGTTGATAGCCCAAAATCAAATAGTATGAGGTTCTTGTAAACTCTGGGGACAGAAGGCAGAGAGCTCAGATACTTGAGCAGAAAGGGGCAGTTGAACAGAAAAGATCACACTCTGTCCTGGGAAGAACTAAAGAACAAGTCTGAAATTTCCCAACGACATTGGAAAGTGGCAAAATCTCAGAAGGATAAAAGAAAAGACAAAGGGACAGATAAATATTTATAGAAATAATGGCCAAAAACATATACATTAAAAACTAAAAATAATTGTTGAAAAAATTAAAGATCTAAATAAGTGGAAAGACACCTCATGCTAATGAATCAAAAGAGACTTAATATTGTTAACATGGTAATACTCACCAAACTGATTTATAGACTCAATGTAAAAACTATCAAAATCCCTGTTGCTATTTTGTCAAAACTGACAAAGTGATTACAAAATTCATATCAAATGCAAGGGACCCATAGTAGCTAAAACAATCTTGAAAAAAAAATTGGAAGAGTCACACTTCATCAATTAAGACAGTGTGGTACTGGCATAAGGATATATATATATATAGAGAGAGAGAGATCAATGAAATAGAGTTGAGAAGGCAAAAATAAGCCTTCTCATTTACTGTCAATTGATTTTTGACAAGGTGTCAAGATAATAAAATGAAGGAAAGAATAACATTGAACCACTACCTCACACCATACACAAAAATAAACTTAAAATGGATGACAGATCTTGGTGTAATACCTAAAACTATAAAGCTCTTAGAAGAAGACATAGGAATAAATCTTCATGACCTTGAATTAGGTAATAGTTCCTTGAATATGACACCAAAAGCACAAGTGACAAATGAATAAGTAAGTAAATGAATAAATAGGACTTTATAAAAACTTTTAAAAATGTGCTCCAAAAGGCATGGTTATGGAAGTGAAAAGTTTACAAAATGAGAGAAAATATCCTCAAACTATATATCTCATGAGAAGCTTGAATTTAGAATATTTAAAGAATTCTTACGATCCAATAATTTTTTTTTTTCTGTAGAGATAGTCTTACTTTGTTGCCCAGGCTGAAGTGCAGTGCCATCATAGTTCACTGCAGCCTCAAACTCCTAGGCTCAAGAGATCCTCCTACCTTAGCCTCTCGAGTAGCTGGGACTACAGGCATGCACCATTCTGCCTGGCTAGTTTGTTTGTTTTTTGTAGAGACAGGGTCTCATTATGTTGCCCAAGCTGCCCTCGGACTCCTGGACTCAAGCAATCCTCCCACTTCGGCCTCCCAAAGTACTGAGATTACAGGTGTGAGCCACCACGCCTGGCCACAACTCAATAATAATTAAAAAAAATGATTCTATCAAAAATGAGCAAAGGATTTGAATAGATATTTGAATATATACAAATAGCCAATAGCATATGAAAACATGCTCAATAACATTAGTATTAGTGAAATAAAGTGAAAACAACAATTAGATATCACTTTACCCCCATTAGAATGTCTATAATTTAAAAAGATGAATACCACCGAGTGTTGGCAAGGATGTGGAGGAACTGCAACTCTTATACATTTTATCATACATGCAGGTAAGAATGTAAAATGGTAGGCTGGGTGCGATGGCTCATGCCTATAATCCCAGCACTTTGGGAGGCCGAGGCAGGTGGATCACCTGGGGTCAGGAGCTCGAGACCAGCCTGGCCAACATGGCGAAACCCGTCTCTACTAAAAAATACAAAAAAATTAGCCAGGCATGGTGACTTATGCCTGTAATCCCAGCTACTCGGGAGTCTGAGGCTGGAGAATCACCTGAACCCAGGAGGAGGAGGTTGCAGTGAGCCGAGATTGCACCACTGCACTCCAGCCTGGGCGACAGAGCCAGACTCCATCAAAAAAAAAAAAAAAAAAAAAAAAGTAAAATGGTACAGCCTTTTTAGAAAACAGCTTGATATTTCTTCAAAATATTAAAAATACAGTTCCTATATGACACAGAAGTTCCACTCTTAGATACATATTCAAAACAAAGAAAACATGTCTACTCCAAATCTTGCACATAAATATTCACATAATCACTACTCATAATAGCCAAAAAAAAAATGGAAACAATTTAGATGTTCACTCATTGGTAGATAGGCAAGCAAAATATGGTGTATCTATATAATGAAATTTTATTAGTCAAAAGAAATCAAGTACTGATACATGCTACAACATAGATAATCATTGAAAACATTATGCCAAGTGAAAGTACCCATATACAAAAGAGCACATATTGTGTGATTCCATTTTATGAAATGTCCAGAATAGGCAATCCACATAGACAGAAAATAGATGAGTAATGGCTAGGGCTCAGGAGGTAGGAACAAGGTAGAAATGATTGCTAATGGGCAAAGGTTTTCCTTTTCGAGTTCTGAAAATGTTCGAAAATTTAATTTTTGTGATAGTTGCACAACTCTATGAATATACTAAACATTACCTAATTGCTCACTTTAAATAGGTGAATTTAGTAACCCACTTGATAAATGCGCTCAGAGGTGGTTGCTTGGGCAACCGTGCCTGAAATTTTGACTTTAACCCATTTAACTCGGATCACGTAGATACATGCACAATGCAAATATGAAATGGCAAAAGGAATGATGTGGAAAATTATCTTTGCTGCTGTGACAAAAAGACACTCACTCGTATGTGGGTCTGGTCTGGGACCACCCGTACAGGTTGTGCACGTTGTAGTGCTCCACGGGGGAGCTGTCCGGCAGGATCTGCTGACTCTCCATGCACAGAGTCTTGCTGCTCAGGCCCTTGTCCCTAGATTCCAAATCTGAGGGGAAATGTTGAGTTATTTCCTAAACAACATGATTTGCACATTCACTAGAAATGCCCATCATTTTGGCATTTCTTTACTTCAATCAACAACTTTGTTACCAGTAACAGACCCAATTTTATGAGGTTTTAGTCTATAGAAAACAATGTTCTGTGTCTTTATAACTAATGAAGGGTAAGGATAAAATATGGAGCTGGGAAAAGCAGCTCCCCTTCTTTTTGCACCAACTCTGATTTAATTTATAGAGTGTTGTCATAGCCCTTTTGCCAACATAATAAACTCCTTCATTGTTAGGACTGTTTCTTCCACTAGATGGTAATGTTCTCCAGGGAATAAATCTATTTCAATCATTTTTGTATTTGTGTCTCTAAATCTTTCTGATTTGACAGCATTTGCTTGATACATAAGTACAGATGATCCTTAACTTACAATGTGATTATATCCCCATGAACCCATCACAAGTTGAAAATACTGTAACTTGAAAATGCATTGAATGGACCTAACCTACCTTAAATGTGCTCAGACACTTACATTAGCCTAAGTTGGGCAAAATTATCTAATACAAGGCCTATTTTAAAACAAAGTGTTGAATATCTCTTGTAACTTATTGAACACTATAGTGAAAGTGAAAAATAGAATGGTTATTTGGGCTCTCAAAGTTCGGTTTCTACTGAATGCATGTCACTTTCTTACCATTGTAAGGTTGAAAATCATAAGTCAGACCATTGCAAGTCAAACACCCCCTGCATTAAATTAATGAAGGAGAAAATGAATGAATGAGTGAGTGAGTGAGAAATGGGCAGCATAACAGTGATGTAGACATCAAGAAACTTGAATTCTAGATTCTGTCCCATAGATTACTGGTATAATGCCTTTTGTTGTTGTTGTTTTTCTGGTTTTTGGTGTTTGTTTGTTTTTTTTTATGGGTCTCACTATGTTGCCCAGGCTGGTCTCAAGACTCAAACTCCTGGTCTTAAACAATCCTCCCACCTCAGCCGTGGTACAGTACTTTTAGAAGTGAGTCATTTCCTTCCTTGTTTCTCTGCAACACGAGAAGATTCAACTTTCTGAGATCCTTTTGATACCAACATTCTATTTTTGTTTGTACCACAGAATGACCAAAAAGTATCCTTCATCAAATGTCTGTTTACATGGGCAGAGAGACTTCAGAAACTAGGTTTTAATTCTTTAATCAAAAGAACATCTCTCCACGTGTGTGTGTGTGTGTGTGTGTGTGTGTGTGTGTGTGTGTGTTTAAGGGTTTATTTAAAATTTTAGCAATCTGTTCATAGTTATCAATGGAATCAAATGTACCATGCATCGTTTGGTTTCTTTCACACCACATCATGTCATTATTTCTTGCTTGATTAGTTTAGCTGCACTTATTCAAGGTTATCTTACTTGGGATTTCATGTCATGTTGGAGAATGGTTTCTGTCTTCAACATTAGGCTTCACTTTGACAGTAAAAGGAAAACTTTTGGAGTCTTTGAGTAGGAAAGTAAGTTGATGAAGTAATTATTTTACATACATGGCATATAGGGTGGGTTATTTAGCATTTCATTGCTGCAGCCCCTGACAGATCCATCCACAAAATTTGATGGCTCATTCATATCCTGAAATGAGTTAACAAAAAAAGATCTCGTCATGTCAGGGGCAGGATGGCCTTGGCTATAGAGGACACTAACTCAGGGAGATGACTTTTGAAGCCCTCAGCTCAGCTGGTGGTTTAGTTCACTGTGTTTAATTCCTGGCACTGACCCAAATGGACTCTAAAAATGTGTAGTGTAATCCCTGGCATTGACCCAAATGGACTCTAAAAATTTATATCGGCCAAAGTGGAGTGCTAAACTCCTTGCTTACCTGGCATTTTAAAACTTACAAGGATTGTTTTACAGTGGCAAAAATAGTGAGGTAATGCTGGACACAGGACCTAAGGAAATCTCTTGATACAACTCCCCTTGATACAACTCCCCAACAGAGGTAGCCCATCTTGTTTTACTACGCATGGATTATTCACTTTTTAGTCTATGGCCAGAGGTTACTATTATCTTCCTCTATTTTTTCTTAGTCCAGTTGCTTGGACTAATTCTGATATTGGCATAGGCCAAACACAAGGAGAGTTATCTCACTTTCTGCTATAAATATATTTCTAAAAAGTTATATGTAACTCAGAAACAAGTTTGGAAATAAAAACATACTTTGGGGAATTTGTTACTTAAATGCAAGGAGTAGGGGCTCCTAAGGGAATGTTCACTGTGCACTCTGACAATGGAAAAGTTAAATTTTCGAAAGCCAGACTATTTTAAATAGGACATACTAAAGGCAAATGAAAGTACTTGAGGAACTATTCATTACTTTGAATTACCCAGCTACAGCTTTCCCTCCATTGGAAAAAAAAAAAAAATACTACCCCAGAGCTATCAGCATCTCTTATTCTCAAAGCTGCCCACAACTCTCCACTGTCTGATTTGCCTGTTTGAGTTAATTTGTGTCCTTTCACATGTCTATTCTGTGCCTAACTATCTCAAAGGTGCGGGTGGTCAGGGAGGCCCCTGTGTTTTCAGTGGACTTTTGTCTCTGGAGTGAATCACAGACTTCTTCCAGTCTGACCCAGAGCTGAATAGCTCTTCAGAGCTGGCCTAGAGCTTGCTTAAGATTTCAGGCCACTGGACAGTGGGGAAGGAAATCAGGACAGAGGAAAACATAGATAGAGCTGCCCTTGGACATATATCCCAGGGACATCTCAGGAAGTCCTGCTTTTAAGGCCAACTGGCATTTACAGCAAACATCTGAACAGGCCCTTTAAGCCATTCCCTCAGAGTTGTCTGCCCCAGTACTATGGCAAACGTCTACTTGCTCTCAACTCCATGCCTCACCCACTCCCAGCTCTGCCCTGTAAGACTCCCTTACAATAAGCTTTCAGGTAGATTTGGCCAGTGGGTGATATTGGCAAGAGATTGGAGATGGGAGGTGATTTCTCCCTTTCTCTTTTGCTCTGGCATCTCCAGCAGTAGCAGTCTCCTCTGTGGGCTCCAACATCCACCAGACAATATGTCCCTGGGCAGATCAGCAATGATCTCTGCTTCTCTTGGTCCTAGCACCTAGATTCTGTAACAGCACCTAGATTCTCCCTTTCATCTCTTCAGCCCTATGTCTCTGCTTTGCTAGTCTCTCCTCCCCATGTTTTGACTTGCTAACATTTCCAAAAAAAAAAAAAAGACAACCAAGGGTGCACTTACAATCCACAATCCATCAAACTTCAAGCTCTTCTCTGGCTCTCGAGGGTTTGCATAGAGCTCTTCTATCTCTTTCTTCCACCACGCAGCTGTGCTATTACGAAAGAAGTCAGGAAAGGCAACGTAGGCCCTGTAAAGCTGTAAGAATAACACACACTCTCATTGTCGGGGTCTCAGCCTATACAGGAGACCACAAATGGGAGATGAACAGGAATTTGTGCCTGCCCAGATCAGTCTCTGCTCTAATCTCAGATCTGCTGCTGTTGCAGAGTTTACAACAGAAGCAGAGATTGGGGAAGGCTGACTTCATTCTTTATTTTCTTAGAAGAAGGTTAGATAGCTTTATAATCCCTTTCAAATACAGGATTTGTTTAATAACTGGACATGTAATCACAAGACTGGAAAATTAACAGTGTCTGAACAATTGAACTTTAGAGATGCAAATACTTTTTCTTTTTTTTTTTTACTTAAATATCAGTGTGATATTAGCAAAAGCTTTTTCCAGACTATTCAAATGAGATGAAGGAGGACTGTCATCCAGGGGCAAGTGAACTCCAGAGTAGAGGGGATGCTAGATGACCAGGCTGAGATTAACAACTTTCCTTCATTCAGCTGACTTGTATTTTCTTTTGTATGCAGATAATTTATTAAAATCCAGTCTGTTCATAATGGATTCCCCTCTAGTGAGAAAATGCTAGACTTTGGTTCATTATTTTTCAAGCGTCATAAAGTTCAAACAAATCACAGCCCATTAAAATCACACTTATGAGAGGATTTCATTGATGATTTCCTTCTACACATTTCCATGTTCGCTGTTTGTTGAGCTTTCCACTCGAGGATCTCTTTCTGCCAAGAAACTAACAGTGGATAAGCACCCTCAAGTTAGGGCTACTTAACTGAAGGGTTAGCTACTTATTCATCAGGATAAAAAATGTAAATATCCAGATGTTTAGGGCAATGTTGACAAAAATCTATATACAACTGTACCTTAACCTGAGTTTCATGGTCAAGGGATCCATCTACAATTACATTAGGCAGATCTGGCCAAACCTAGAGAAAAAGAAGGGCAATTAAAACCTTTACAGATCCTTGCATACAGACTATGAGATATTTCATGTGTTAGACTCTGATGACAGGCATCTCCATGAAACGCTTGGGAATCTTTGCCATAAATTAAACTGTAAAGGCTGAATCTACAAAATTACATTAGGTGAAAGTAGGCTGGGTCTCTTGATTCATTCTATGTTTTCAAAATTCTATTTTTGAATTTAATAATTAACTGAATTTCTTTTAAACATATCCTCTGAACAACCAACTTTCGAGTGATTTCTCAGATCTCTGATCTCCTTGTCACAGACCTATAACAAAATTCATAATAAGTATGAAGTGTGACTCTAAAGAAATAAGATTGATTTCCATTCATAACCCATACACCTCACCTCAATACTTTTAAGCACTATCGTGACTTATAGCGGACTCCAAGTATATGTAGCATTAAAAAATCCATAGTACCAACTAATTTTAGCTGTAACTACCAGGACATTAAGTATATACACACTGATTAATTGATTCAATCAACAGACACTTACTAAGTACTTCCTATATGACAAGCACTCTTCCAGGATCTGTATTTACTGAGATTTAAGTAAGAAATAGTACTTGTTTCCTAAGAGTTCACAGATAGTACATAAATGCTACACTGTATGCTATACTGAAGGCAATATTACAGACAAGGGAAAATAGGAAAAACTAAAATAGTTACTAACTGCTTCAAACGAGGTAAGATTTGAGTTGATCTTGAAGTGAAGATATTATCTGGGTAAGTTGAGAAGGTAATATTCAAAGTGAGCACAGGGCCAGGCACAGTGGCTTACGCCTGTAATCCCAGCGCTTTGGGAGGCCGAGGCAGGTGGATCACCAGAAGTCATGAGTTCGAGACCAGCCTGGCCAACATGGTGAAACCCCATCTCTACTAAAAATACAAAAATTAATCAGGAGTGTTGGCACACACATGTAATCCCAGCTACTCAGGAGGCTGAGGCAGGAGAATCGCTTGAACCTGGGAAGAGGAGGTTGCAGACAGCCAAGATCATACCACTGCACTCCAGCCTGGGTAACAGAGTGACACTCCATCTCAAAAAAAAAAAAAAAAAAAAAAAAAAAAAAAAAAAAAAAAGGAGCCTGGAATACATCCAGAGCAGTAGGAAGTAGCATAGTATAATTAAGGAAGAATTCGAACCTAGGCTAAAAGCTATTATCACCTGAAGTCCACCTAAAATGCTATTGCCAAAAATCAGACATATAAAGATGAAGATTGAAGCCATAAAGACGAATTAAAGGAAACAAGAGAAAGAGGAGAATCTATAGGACTTAATGATTCATTTAGATATGAAGGCAGATTAAGCATGATAGGTCAAAGGTGAACGCATGTTTTGCATGCAGGTGTCTGGGAGACACAGATTTCAGTGTCATTCTCAAAGGGATTCTTAATGTTTGTTAATGACCATGTGGAATAAATAAAGAGTGGGGACATCAGAGTATTTCCAGGCAATAGACAGTGCTCAATAATAATAGAGGATGAGATTTGTAACCTTGGTCTTATTAATGCTTATTGAGCTAATCAGCATCGGACAGATTTCTACTCATTCATAATTTATTGATTGTCCAATATATTTTCCAATGTGTATTGAGAGCTGTTTTATTTCAAGACATTGTAATGTTAATTAACTGTAAGCATCTTCCCCAAGCCTTACCTTTCCCCAGACAATGTCATTGGTGTCAGGCCATTTGATGAACACGTTATTTTCCTGTCCTCTAATGAATGGGAGATACTGTGTCTCATTGCCAGAAATGGCTGGGTCCTGCAGTAAAAGAATTTCAAACAGCAAATGTGAGGAAAACATCTCTAAGAAAATTTCTCTCCAAAAATTTAGTAGTTCATAGTGCAGAAGGAAATGGTGAATCTCAATACCAAAAATAAAATGAAATAAAATAAAAATCATTGATAATTTGCCTTATGTCTTACTGCATATATTACCATAGCCAATTGAAAAGGGATGGTGCCATGAGTACTCAAAGTAAGATATAAAACCCTTATGAGGGGTAATCTCTTTCAAAGGGTATAAGAATCTGTGCCAACAAATGAAGGAGCCTTTCTATACTACAAAAAGTTACCACCCCAACCTGTAAGTAATAAAATGAGAGGAAAGGGGACAATATGGCCAGCTAGATGCGGCTGGGAAGCACCTCTCCCATGGAGAAAAACCAAAATACTGAGTAAACCATTACACTTCAAACAGAGCTTTTGAAAGATAACACTGCCAGTCTATAGAGAGGCAATGCAAACACTGAGGTGTAAGAGGGAGAAAGCTGGAAATCCCACATAGAGTTGCTGAGTGCCGGGACCAGCTCCTGGCACTGAACAGGTCCCAAGGAAGGAGTGAGTGAAGGGAAACTTGCACTGCAGACATCTGGGATCCTAGCTACAACAGACCCCACAAACACCATAGACATTTGAATTGGCAAGAGAAACTGCCTGGAGAGTAGGCAGAGGCAGAGCTCAAGCCTGTGCGGAGACGAGAAGGTTCTGCATACAGGGCATCTGCAGCAAAACACGACCATGAGGACCCATCTGCAAAGGCTCTCCATCTTGCTCTGAGTGGCTCTAGCCCCTGCTGACAGCTGAGCTGGGAGACAGCAGCGTTGTCTTTCCTACAGAACAAGGGTGCATCTGATCTGCATGCCACCCGTCTGCCAGCCCCTTCCAAGGCCACTGCTTGGCTGCTCCCAAAAGAGAATGCACACAGCACAGCCTCCACTGCCCCACCTGAGTGCTTTGCTGGTGGCCTGGAAGTACTCTGACCCCCAGCAGAGCCAGTGCTGGACCCTAAGGCCAGAAAACAAAGCTGCAGGCCCAGTACCAACCCACCAGGGTTTAAGCACACAAATCAGGATTATCTAGCTGAGATCTGCGGCTGAGGCTTGAGTAGGGGAGGAGCCCCACTCTCAGAACACTGAGAAGAGTGAGGTATGGGCTTGTGTGCTGGTGTGGGAGTTGGGCATGCCTCCCTCTGCCAGACTGGTCTGGGAAGGATGTAGCCTGTTTACCAGCCACAGACTCTGCCCAAGGGAGCTCCATAGCTCAGAACATCCAACAGACCAACAATCTGGGTGCAAAAGGTTTGGGACAAAACTAGCTTGTCAGGGCAGCTACTAGAGCAGACATTGGAAGGAGACTCAGTTGGGGGAGAGCAAGCTGAGAGGGCCCCAAAGCCATTTGCTGTGCAGAAAATACTGGATCATGGCACCATATCAGCTGCACCCCTACGGCAACACTGCAGTGCCTGGGGATCTTCTGCCCTTGACCCACTGCGTCAACAGATCACCCCCAGACATACCCCACAACCCACTCTGACTCTGCCAAGTACAGAGGACCAACAGGGAGCTGCAGGTCTCATGGTGACTTGACCTTTGGCTCAGGCTGTCCCTAAGAGGGAAGAGCACAGCCTGTCAGGGACGCCCTTGGGGCTAAGGAAACATAGGCATGATATCAGTGATTAGAGGAGGCTCCCTCAAGCACCAAAAATGGACTTGGGAAGGGGGCCATCTCTGGATCCCCCATCTCCCCCACCCCATAGCACTACTGCAACTGTGCTGAAATATGAAAGAGGCCTGCAGCTGAATAAGAGGCTATCTTCTGGCCCTTACTCTTAAACACCATCTACTGTATCGCAGCCTAAATTACACCACCAAACAAAAAGGGTGCCTGTGAAACCCAATGCAGGAATTCAGCCACAGATAAATATCTCTTAAAGAGCCTTGGGCCTCTGAAAGCACCCAGAAATGAAGCCAATCAACTATACTCAACATACACCACAGTCAAACCCTCAAGGAAAATAAAGACTATAAAAACAAAAAGCCATATCCAAAAGACAGCGACTTCAAAAAGATAAAGGAACATCTGCCCTCTCAGATGAGAAAGAATCAGCACAAGAACCCTAGCAATTCAAAAAGTCAGAGTATCTTCTGACTGCCAAACAATTTTACTAGCTCCCCAGCAATGGTTTCTAACCAGACTGAAGTGGCCTAAGTGACAGATACAGAATTCAAAACCTGTATGACAAGGACACTCAACAAGATTCAGGAGAATGTTGAAACTCAATTCAAAGAAGCCAGTAAAATGATCCAAGAGGTGAAAGATAACACAGCCATTTTAACTGAATGGCTAAACTGAACTTCCTAAACTCAACTTCTGGGATTAAAACAAAAAATTATAACACAATTGCAAGTATTAACAACAGAATAGACCAAGCTGAGGAAAGAATCTCAGAACTCAAAGACAAGTCCCTTCTAAACAACCCAGTCAGAAAAAAATTTTTTAAAAATAATTTTTAAAAATGAACAAAACCTCTGAGAAATATAGAATTATGTAAAGAGGCCAAATCTATGACTCATTGGCATTCCTGAGAGAGAAGGGGAAACAAAAAATTATTTGGAAAGCATATTTGAAGATATTGTCCATGAAAATTTCCCCATTCTTGCTAGAGAGTTCAACATGTGAATTTAAGAAATTCAGAGAATCCCTATGAAATATTATGCAAGATAATCATCCCTAAGACACACTAGGAAAGTTTATAGCCATAAGTGCCTACATCGAGAAGTTAGAAAGATCTCAAATTAACAATCCAACTTCACATCTAGAAGAACTATAAAAACAGGAACAAACTTACCCCAAAGATCGCAGAAGAAAATAAATGATCATAATCAGAGCAGAGCTAAACAAAATTGAGATTCAAAAATCCATACAACAGATCAACAAAAGCAAAAGCTGTTTTTTTGAAAGGATAAACAAGATTATAGGCCATCTGCTAGATTGAGAAAAAAAGAAAGATACAAATAAGTATAATCATAAATGACAAAGATGACATTACACCCAATCACACAAATATACAGAATATCCTTAGAGATTTTTATGAACATTTCTATGCACACAAACTAGAAAATCTAGAGGAAATGAATAAATTCCTAGAAACACACAACCTCCCAAGACTGAACCAGAAAGGAAATAACACCATAAACAGATCAATAATAAATTCTAAAATTGTATCAGCAATAAAAAGCCCACCAACCAAAAAAAAGTCCTTAACCAAATGGATTCATAATAAAATCCTACTAGATGTACAAAGAGCTGGTTCCAATCCTACTGAAATTATTCCAAAAGACTTGAGGAGGGATGCCTCCCTAACTGATTATACAAAGCCAACATCATCCTGATATCAATATCTGGCAGAGACAATAAAGAAAGAAAACTTCAGGCTGATATCCCTGATGAACATAGATGCAAAAATCCTCAACAAAAGACTAACAAACCAAACCCAGGAGCACATCAAAAAGTTAACTGACCATGTTCAAGTAGGCTTTCCTCCATAACCCTGAGACGCAAGGTTGGCTCAACATAGGCAAATCAATAAATGTGATTCGCCATATAAACAGAATTAAAAACAAAAGCCATATGATAATTTCAATAGATGTAGAAAGAGCTTTTGATAAAATCCAACATCCTTCATGATAAAACCCTTAAGAAATTAGGCATCAAAGGGAAGTACCTCAAAATAATAAGAGCTATCTCTGACAAACCCACAGCCAACATCATACTGAATGGGAAAAAGCTGGAAGCATTCTTCTTGAGAACTGGAGCATGGCAAGGATGCCCCCTCTCATCACTCCTATTTAACATAGTACTGAAAGTCCTAGCCAGAGCAATCAGGCAAGAGAAAAAAATTAAATGCATCCACACAGGAAAAGAAGAAGTCAAACTCTCTCTCTCCAAGGATGACATGATTCCATACCTAGAAAACCCTAAACACTTTGCCAACAGGCTCCTAGAACCGATAAACAACTTCAGTAAAGTTTCAAGATACAAAATTAATGTACAAAAATTAGTAGCATTTCTATACATCAATAACGTTCAAGCTGAGAAATCTCAAATTAGAAATCTCAAGTTAGTAAGATCTCAAATTAACGATCCAACTTCACACCTAGAAGAACTATAAAAACAAGAATGTTTTTATAGTTCATCAGGAATGCAATCCCATTTACGACAACAACAGAAAGGATAGAATACCTAGGAAAACATCTAACCAAGCAGGTGAAAGAACTTTACAAGAAGTGCAAAACACTGTTGAAGGAAATCAGAGATGACACAAACAAATGAAAAAACATTTCATGCTCATGGACTGGAAGAATTAACATCATTACAATGGCCACGCTAACCAAAGCAATTCATAGATTCAATGCTATATCTATTAAACTACAAATGTCATTTTTCACATAATTAGAAAAACTATTCTAAAATTCACATGGAACCAAAAAACAGCCTGAATAGCCAAAGCAATTCTAAGCAAGAAGAACAAAACTACAGATATCACATTACCCAACCTCAACGTATACTATCACACACCTACAATTATTATCTGATCTTCAGAAAAACTGACAAAAATGAGCAAGAAGGAAAGAATTCTTTATTAATAAATGGTGCTGGGATAACTGGCTCACCATATGCAAGAGAATGGTACTGGACTCCTACCTTTCACTATATACAAAAATTAACTCAAGATAGATTAAAGACTTAAATGTCAGACTTCAAATTATTAAAATCCTAGAAGAAAATCTAGGAAATGTTCTTGACATTGGCCTTAGCAAATAATTCATGGCAAAGTCCTCAAAAGCAATTGCAATGAAACCAAAAATTGACAATGGATCCAATTAAAATAAACAGCTTCTGCACAGCAAGAGAAACTGTCAACAGAGTAATGAGACAACCTACCAAATGGGAGGAAATATTAGCAAGTTGTGAATCTGACAAAGGCCTAAAATCCAGAATATATAAGGAACTTAAATCAACAAGCCAAAAACAAACCATCCCATTAAAAAGTAGGCAGAGGACATGAACAGACACTGCTCAAAAGAAGACATACAAGTGGCTAACAAACATTTGAAAAAATGCTGAGCATAACTAATAGAGAAATGCAAATCAAACCACAAAGAGATACCATCTCACATGAGTCAGAATGGCTTTTGTTGGAAAGTCAAAAAATAGATGTTGGTGGGGCTGTGGAGAAAAGAGAACACTTACACACTGTTGGTGGGAATGTAAATTAGTTCAGGCACAGTGGAAAGCAATTTGGAGATTTCTCAAATAACTAAGAATTGATCTACCATACCACCCAGCAACCCCATTACTGGGTATATACCCTAAGGAAAATAAATTATTCTCTCAAAAAACACAGGTACTTCTATGTCTATCACAGCACTATCTGCAATAGCAGAGATGTGAAGTCAACCCAGGAGCCCATCTATGGTGGATTGGATAAAGAAAATATGGTACATATATATCATGGAATAATACACAGCCATAAAAAGAATGAAATTATGCTCTTTGCAGCAACATGGATGTAGCTGGAGGCCATTATTCTAAGTGAATTAATGCAGGAACAGACATGCAAATACCACATGTTCTCACTTATAAGTGGGAGCTAAGTACTGGGTACACATAGATATAAAGGTGGGAATAACAGAAACTAGAGACTACAAGAGAGGAGAGGGAGGGAGTGGGGCAAGGGTTGAAAAACTACCTGTTTGGTGCTATGTTCACTATCTGGGTAATGGATTCCATCATACTCTGTCATACTCTGATATGGTTTGGGTCTGTCCCTACCCAAATCTCATCCTGAATTCTCATGTGTTGTAAGAGGGACATGGTAGGAGGTAATTGAATCACGGGGGCAGGTCTTTCCCTGCTCTTCTCATGATAGCAAATAAGTCTCATGAGATCTGATGGTTTTAAAAAGGGGAGTTTCCCTGAACAAACTCTCTTCTCTTGTCTGCCACCATGAGAGACATGCCTTTCACCTTCTGCCATGATTGTGAGGCCTCTCCAGCCATATGGAACTGTGAGTCCATTAAACATCTTTCTTTTGTAAATTGCCCAATCTCAAGTATGTCTTTATTGGCAGCGTGAAAACAGACTAATACATACTCCAAACCTCAGCATTACACAATACACTTTTGTAACAAACCTACATATGTACACACTGAATCTAAAATAGAAGTTAAAAAAAGTTTAACCCTGAAATATTTAAATAAACAAATAAATAAGATGTTAAAAAATCCTGTAGGAATTTAAATATGACATAAGTGATTTTTTCCAATGACATAGAAATCTATTTTTACAAAGACAGTTGAGAAGAAAAAGAATGCATTGGTGTTTCTCCATAAAATTCTTGAGAAAAACTTTTGCTAGTGTTTGGAAACAACTCCTGGAGATAAACCAGATTGATAAGACTTAATCCTCAAGCAGAGAGAGCCAATTTATCATGTTTCCAGAGTATAATAGCAATGTTCCTCAAAAACAAGAAACTTCTTTATTGCTCTCTGTGTCCCAATCTGTCTATTTAAAATATCTTCCCCTGTTCACTCCATCCCATACCTGCCCCAATTATTCTCTATAATATTATGCTGTTTCACAATTGTCATATAAATCACTACTGTCTGAAATTATCTTTTCAGATGTTTATTGGCTGTCTCCCTCCATTAGAATAAAAACTTTATAAGAAAAAGAGCACTGCCTTGCTAATTTAGACTATGCATGCACCCTCACACACACACACACAACTTGTAGAAGAGTGGTTTTCAAATACTGTGTTCAATAAATACGTGAATTAGTAAGTGAGCAAAAGTCACCAAATAATGCTGTAAGTTTTGGAAGCTAGAAGAGAGAATCATTTGCAGGTAATTGCCTCTGCATTTGTCAAGATGTGGCTTCCTAGTAATATAATAAATTGGTATTCTGGATCTTAACTCAATTGTTTGTAAGTTTAGGAAGAAATGTCATCTGAGCCTTACCATTTCTGAGTGATGATACAACATAAGAGATTTTTGAACCTCCTGACGTAAAGATGAGATTAAGATACAGCTATTTCTCCTGAGACATAGCCTGAAACAGTGAGATGCCCCCCCCTTTTTTTTTTTTTGCTATCTTCAGTGCTTCAGCCCACAGTTGTTCTAACTTTACCAAGAGAATAATAATTATATTCCAGTGACAGTTATGGAAAATAAATATTATAAAGTATCATCTTTTAAAAGCCCCTTTTCATTTCTTTCTTTCATTTGCTTTTAAATTAAAAAATAATAATTATAGATTCACCACAAGAAGTTGCAAAACAAAACAAAAAGTACAGAGTACAGGAACATTTCTGGTACCCTTCATCCAGTTTCCCACAATGGTGCTATTTTTGAACCATGAATATGGAAACAGAAAGTAGGATCTGATCTGTCTCAATACATACCAAAATGAGAATAAATCTCATGCCATTTTTCTTCATTTGCTCAATCAGAAGACTGAGGTTTTGAAAGTTGGCACTGAGGGTGAAATCCAGCTTCCGGTTCATGTAATCGATGTCTACATGCTGGACGTCCTGCAGAAAGAAGCAGCAAGGCTCTTGGAACCCTGCAGTAGGTGCCCTGCAGGGCACATTAACTGCTCTGCCAGGCCCCTGGTCCTGCTGCCTGCCTGCCCCATTCCAGGCCCCTCTTCATTCCTCATCTCATTACTTCCCTCTGCTGACTTTTCAATTCTGCAGATTGAAATTGCTTTCTGATGCCTGCATGCAGTTCACCTGTGCCCACTCCTTCTCCTTCTGTTTCCCCAATTGGAACTCTATCCCCTTTCCTTTCCTCAATTCATGTCTTTCCCACTCTTCAAATCTCAAACTCAGTCTATCAAACAAAGTTCTAATTGAAATGTTCAAGGGTAGAAACTGGGACTTTCCTAGGAAACAAACAGGATTGTATATCTGGGGTTTTTTTCTACAGTAAATCTGGCTGATTTTTAAAAACTCTCAATAAACTAGGTACTAAAGGAACATATCTCACAATAATAAGAGCCATAGATGACAAACCCACAGCCAATATCATACTGAATGAGCAAAAGCTGAAAGCATTCCCCTTGAAAACCAGCACAAGACAAGGATGTCCTCTCTCACCACTCCTATTCAATGTAGTATTGGAAGTTCTGGCCAGGGCAATCAGGCAAGAGAAATAAATAAACGGGCTAGGCACGGTGGCTCACGCCTGTAATCTCAGCACTTCGGGAGGCCGAGGCAGGTGGATCACCTGAGATCAGGAGTTCAAGACCAGCCTGGCCAATACAGTGAAACCCCGTCCCTACTAAAAATATTTAAAAAATTAGCCAAGCTTGGTGGCCCACACCTGTAGTCCTAGCTACTGAGGAGGCTGAGGCAGGAGAATCACTTGAACCCAGGAGGCAGAGGTTGCAGTGAGCCGAGATTGCTCCATGGCACTCCAGCCTGGGCAGCAGAGGGAGACTCCAACTCAAAAAAAAAAAAAAAAAAGAGAGAGAGAGAGAAATAAAGGGCATTTAGATAGGAAAAGAGGAAGTCAAACTATTCATATTCGCAGATGACATAATCCTGTATCTAGATACTAGATCTTGTCATATAGACAAGATCCTATATCTAGAAAACTCCATCATCTCAACCCAAAAGTTTCTTAACCTGATAAGCAACTTCAGCAAAGTCTCAGGATACAAAATCAATGTACAAAAATCTCTAGCATTTCTATGCACCACCAACAGTCAAGCCTAGAGCCAAACCACAAATGAACTCCCATTCATAATTGCCACAAATAAAATACCTAGGAATACAGCTAACCAGGGAGGTGAAAGATCTCTACAAGGAGAACTACAAACCACTGTTCAAAGAAATCAGAGATGATACAAACAAATGGAAAAACATGCTCATAGATAGGAAGAATCAGTATCATTAAAATGACCATACTGCCCAGAGCAATTTATAGATTCAATGTTATTCCCATTAATCTACCATTGACATTCTTCACAAACTAGAGAAAACTATTTTAAAATTCATATATGTAACCAAAAATGAGCCCGAATAGCCAACGCAATCCTAAGCAAAAAGAACAAAGCTGGAGGCATCAGGTGATCCCCCTTTAAACTATGCTACAGGGCTACAGTAATCAAAACAGCATGGTACTGGTACAAGAACAGACACATAAATCAATGGCAAATAATAGAGAACCCAGAAACAAGACCATACACCTACAACTATCTGATCTTCTACAAACCTGACAAAAACAAGCAATGGGGAAAGGACTCCCTTATTCAATAAATGGTGCAGGGAAAACTGGCTAGCCATATGTAGAATGGAAACTGGACCCCTTCCTTACACCAACATACAAGAACTACATTATTCTATAGCTTTCTTGAATGTCTACCCTCTCTATGCAGTACCAACCCAGGTTTCTGCACATGAAACTTACTCAAACCATGATTGTTGAATAATAACTAAAGTGATTAATATTTAGTTGAAAAAAAGAACTTGCTTCTTTTTAGCCCAAAGGGATAGTCCCCTGCATTGCCATATGACCCTAGGTGAAACTTGTTTGGTAAAACAGAGACTTGTGCATAAGCCAAAATTTGGAAAAGAATAAACCAGCAAATTATTAACGTTGATTACTTTGGTAAGGTAGATTTGTGGATTTTTTCATCTTGTAATTTTCCTATTTTCTAATTTCTGTTTAATAAGTACATAGTATTATAGTATATACAAAGAAAAAAAATTCAGCCTGAATGTATCAAGTTATCTTTGATAAGAACATCATAGCACTTCTAATATAAAATTAGCCACAAATTCCTGTAACTAATTACACCTTGGGCTGAGTGAGGGTTTCATACATAGGGAATCTGGGCTGCCACCATTGCATCATACAAACTGGAGATTTCAGCATCATTCTGGTATCCATAGCGACTCAGATGGAATCCCAAGGCCCAGTATGGAATCATTGCTGGCCGACCAATCAACTAGAATAAAAAGAAAAATGCATCCAGAAAGATTTCTTAGGGAAGACAAGGTGATTGACTTATACTTGAATCAACTTGAGTGTTTCTGCTAAGTACTGTATAAGAGGCCTCACCCAAGAAAGATAAGAAAGTCCAACAAATGTGGAGCAACTACAGACATGCAAAATGATAGAAACGTAATTGAAGTTTTTCTGTATTCCAGAGTTTTCATTCTAGGAAACCTGAGAATTTGCCGGTTATTACTGATTAGCAATTCTTAGGCTGTTTAGCAAGTGAGGGACACATGGGATATTAATATGGCTTTATAGAACCATAATACTAAAATATGATTTCAGCAAAGGCAGTAATAATCTAGTAGTGACACTCAAGAGTCAAAAGAAAAAACTGCCCTATCTCAGTGCTAATAATGTGGTAATAGCCAATAAATATTTGACAATATATTGATGGACAGAATGGCTTCTAACCTCTGTGTATTGCTGAGTTACAAGTTCAGGGGTTGGCCCCAAAACAATGTAGAAGTCCAAAATCCCTCCTGTGGTGCGGTATGTCAGAGCAGGAGTGGGCTGTAATGTCACATCTGTAAGAAAAACAACACACATGAGGCACATCCTTGGAGTTGTAAATTGCCCAGATAGAAAACCTGCTCTAAGATTTGCTTTCTTCATACTCTGTCTTTGATACATGCCTTCTCTAGAAAGTCTTCTCTCATCCATTAGAATCAGAGGTGTATTTGCAGGTACCCCAAATGTAATATGCAATCTCAACAACTTTTATAACTCTGTGAATGGGAGCCAAAGTGTCACAGTAAAATAGGCTATGCCAGAGTAGGAGCCATAACTGATCAAAATTCCATGCCTAACACCTGATCCAGAGTTCTTAATAAATCTTGAATAAATAGGTGAATAAATGGAAAGTCAGTTTATTTGTTCCATTTCCCTTGCCCCCTGAATGTCTCTATTTCTATTGATACCAGGTCAAAATAGAGCGGTCACAGCTGTTTCTGGTGGTGCATGGGAGCTGTGCCTATGCCTTACCCATGGCATTGCTATTTAGCAGGAGCACTCCATGGGCACTACCATCCTCCTCCAGTGCCATGTAGTAAGGGTGGACACCATAGGAATTCTTCTTGTACTGGGAGTCACGAGGGTAATAAACAAAAAGAAAATGCAAGATATTGTTTTCATACCATAACCCAAACAGCAAACTCTTACTCATCATTAAAGATTCAGCTCAATGTCATGTCCTTTGTTGGGCCTTCATTGACTCTCCCTTCTACTCCAAGTTAAAAGCTGTGTCTTCCCCACTTCATGCCTTCCTCATTTATTATTATATAATTCAATTATGTATTATTACATAATTCAGTGATTCCACTGTGCTATCACAATTTCTGCGTCTATTTCTCTCACTAGCCTATAAGTCTCTGGAGAGCAAAGACAGTGTCTTATTAAATGTACAGATAAGCACTTAGCAATGTGCCTGACAAGTAGAATATATTAACTAAAAGTTTGTGAGATAAATAAAATCCATAACTGACAGAGGGAAATATATACATATTTCCCTCTGTCAGTTGTGGATATATATATATATATATATATATATATATATATATATATATATATATATGCCTTTTAGGGACAAAAGAATGTGACACGTGCTCTATTACAACTGAGAGCGGAATTTATCAATATAAGATGAGGTTGATGAGCAAGGTATCATATATAAGCATAAGGATTAAAAGAGATTTACATAAAGAGAAACTGATTGCTAAACTTATTCCTTTGTCCCTACCGCAGGTGGCTCATCATGAGCAAACATTCCCCATGTGTTCCAGTTCATGTTTCTTCTGAAAGTCGTGTGCTCAGTTTCCCCAAAGCCATAGATGTACTGGGACGGCAGACGCGTAGAAATGGAGAGAAACATGTCATTGAAGATGAAGCCAGGGAGTTGAGAATCCCAACTGCAACACAAAAGCAGATCACGCTGAGCTGGAGACCACTGGCCAGAGCTACTTGGAACGTGTTTGGAATGTCTAGTTGATTCCAAAGCCTCCTTAATTATTGCACATTTAGATCCAGGTTCAAATACTGTGACATGACCCAGGTCATAACAATGGCCCTGACTCAGGACCAAAGTTCCATGTTAGATTTCTGTTCTGTGGTTTGTCAGACTGAGAGCTCCTTTTCTGGGTCCTTGTGGGCAAGGGCCATAACTCATTCTTCTATTTATTTCAAGTTCTCAGTGCCTGGAATATCAGCTTGAGTAAATATATAAATAAACAAATAGAGTTTAAGCAAACTTTCCAATAGAAAAGCATGAAACTCTTAGAACAACTTCTCTTGAGTTGGCCAAAGGACTTCTTACCAAAGAGGGCAACAGAGAGGAAATCACTCACACAGCCCAAGAGAGAAGACATACACAGGAAGGCAAAGGTGCACACACAGGTGACAGCTTCTACTGGGATAGGGAACCTCACCCCAGGCAAAATCCAGACTTTCACTTCATTCTATTCAGCAGCAGGACAAGAGATGGGAGATGACAATTCCTTTTATGCTTAACATTGTGAAAAGGCTTGAAGGCTTCTGTGTCCACAGAAGCAAACGTTACAAGAAGCTATTTCTTTCTCCTTTTTAACCTTTGCCCCTCTCTCCTGCCTCTTATTATTTCTTAATGAGACATAATATGGAACTCATTTGTATCTTAGGTTATCTGCTGTACTTATTAGAGTTTTCTGTTCTACTTAAGAACAGTAAGTAGAACATGTATTTTTCTTTCTCTGAAATCAAACAATACTTCATTTCTTTAAACTTTGATTGATTATTTTTGTTAATGACTAACCAAAAACAAATTATCCATTAAAGCATGGGAAAAATAGATATACTCTAACAAATGCACACCTATTTCCATAGAGTCTCTGAGATTAATATTTCACTTGAATTAATTGTAACTGCTGTAATTAAATCTAGAACTACTCTAATTAGAATCAAATAAATAGTGCTTACATCACAGTGCTGGAGTTTTTGCGTTGAATCTGGATTCCAAAAGGATTGTTCTGAATCCTGACATCATACAGACGGTTTTCAGGGTCACCAACTGGTTGGGGAGGGGTGTTCAGTGGTACTGGAACCTCATACCTTTTATTAGTGGGGTCATAGATCTGGCAAGAAGAGAGAAGAAAACTTTCTGTTAGGGTCTCAGACCTAAAACCCCTCATGCCACCCCATATAATTCAGTTTCCATGTTTTTGACCAGTTTGCACCATATCAGTAGGCATCAAACATCCCCAAGCGAATGGATGTGAGGCCTGCCTGCCCACTGTGCCCCATACAGATGCTGAAGTTCAAAAATTGCCTCAGTAAAACCCATTCAAAGCCAAGGAGGGCTCTTCTTCTAAAGAATCTGTGATAGAAGGGGATAGAATTTCATAAATAGAATGTGTGTGTATATGTTTGTAAGTGTGTGGCATGCAGACATGTATGTGCATAGAAATGTGTAAATTTGTGTGTGTGTGTGTGCATGCATGTTAGGAATTAGGGAATTGAGTTTTCATATGGACTCTGAGATCTCCTCACTGTTTGAGCTTCCAGATGTTGTACAGCTTTCCCATTCCTAAAGTTTCTCTTCTGTATCCACCCCTTGTTCCTACTTATGTAACAGGACTGAAGTGTGGGAAGAATAAAAGGAGTGAAAAATGTTATGGAAGGACAAGGAGTTACAACATTATGAGTGACTATCCTCTTTGTCATATTATTAGTCCCAAATTTGTGCTTAGGTGAAGGTTTTCTTCTTTCTTTTTTTTTATTTTTATTTTTAGATGGATTCTCACTCTGTCGCCAGCTCGGAGTGCAGTGGTGCGATCTCGGCTTACTGCGATCTCCACCACCCAGGTTCAAGTGATTCCCATGCTTCAGCCTCCTGAGTAGCTAGAACTACAGGTGCGCACCACCAGGCCTGGCTAATTTTTTGTATTTTAGTAGGGACGGGGTTTTACCATGTTGGCCAGGATGGTTTTGATCTCCTGACCTCACCTGCCTCGGCCTCCCATAGTGTTGGGATTACAGGTGTGAGCCACCACACCTTGCCAGGTGAAGGTTTTCTAAAGTCCTGCTTGGAAATTATGTTTCTTAGACCCAAAGCAGCAGCATTGCCTGGGAGCTTGTTAGGAACGCAGAACCTCAGGCCCCAACCCAGATTTTCTGAATTAGAACTTATATTTTCACAAGCTGCCCCAGTGATTCATGATACATTAAAATGTGGAAAGCAATGGCTACAGCTGAGCTGTCCAAGGTGCTGTCCACAAGCCACACATGGCCTTTGAGTGCCTGACATGGGCTAGTCTGAATTGAGATTCACTAGAAATGCAAAATATACACCAGATTTTGAAGACTTAGAATAATTAGAAGATGGCAAAGTAACTCCATTAAATTTTGATTTCAAGGTGAAATGATAATATTTTAGCGCATTGGTTAAAATATTATTAAAATTAATTTCCCTTTTAAAATATACATTTAAAAATGCATCTACTGGAAGATATGTGTGGCTCACATTATGTTTCCAGTAGACGTATTTTTTAAATGTGCATAGCGGTAGATCTCAAAGTTTGGTCTCTTGACCTGCAGCATCAGCCTTACCTGGGAGCTTGTTAGAAATGCAGATTCTCGAGGCCGGGCGTGGTGGCTCACGCCTGTAATCCCAGCATTTTGGGAGGCCAAGGTGGGTGGATTACCTGAGGTCAGGAGTTCGAGACCAGCCTGGCCAACATGGTGAAATCCTATCTCTACTAAAATACAAAAAATTAGCTGGGCGTGGAGGCGGGTGCCTGTAATCCCAGTTACTTGGGAGGCTGATGCAGGAGAATCGCTTGAACTCGGGAGGCAGAGGTTCCAGTGAGCCAAGATCGCACCACTACACTCCAGCCTGGGCAACAAGAGCAAAACTCTGTCTCAAAAAAAAAAAAAAAGAAAGAAATGCAAATCCTCAGGCTAGGCCCCAGCCCAGGTCTACTGAATTGGAAACCCTAGGGGTGAGGGCAAGAAATCTGGGTTTTAAAATGATCTGAAGGTGATTCTGATGCATGCTGCAGTTTGAGAACTACTGCTAGAGAAAATAATTCTAATATTAGAATTAAGTTAATGCCTCTCATGTGAGTTTGCCACAAAGCAGATCCATTTTTCTCAGGGCTAAATGATGATTCTTTGATGATGTTTATGACCTAGAATACTCATCATTATAGGGAATTCATGGTCCTCATAGATCTAAGGCCACATCCTGGCTTTACCGTCTACTTTCCGACCTTTACCTCTCTACAGGCCTTAGCTCCCTCATCCATAACATGAGGGATTTGGATGAAAAGCTGTTTCAGCGAGGCACAGTGGCTCATGCCTGTAACCCCAGCACTTTGGGAGGCAGAGGGAGGTGGATTGCTTGAGGTTAGACATTTGAGACCGCCTGGGAAACAAGGCAAAACCCCGTCTCTACAAAAAATACAAAAATTAGCCAGGTGTGTCGGAGCACACCTATAGTCCTGGCTACTTGGGAGGCTGAGGTGGGAAGATGGCTTGAGCCAGGGAGGTGGAAGTTACAGTGACCTGAGATTGTGCCCCTGCATTCCAGCCTGGGTGTCAGTGGGAGATCCTGTCTTGAAAAGAAAAAAAATGTTTTAATTGTTTCAATGACTTCTATCCATACAGCACTGTAAATTAAAAACTCCATCTTGAGAACCAGAATCTGCAACATGGGCCTTACCTTGACCTGCAGCATGGTTGCTGTGTGATAGATCACTTTCAGGTGGAGGAAGCTGATCTTTGCAGAGAGAGAATCAGAGGCGGCAGCAGCAGCTGACTCAGGGGCCATCGGGAGGGAAAGGTCTGCAGTGATGCTGGTGTTCAGGTACTGAATATCACTAGCAACATAATTAGGGATGGTGTCATAGTAACAGGTGGGCACTCCAGGAGTAGATGTGTCCTGGAATAACAGGAGAAAGTCTTGCTCAGCCTCTGATACAACACTAAGGCTCTCATTACTGAAGAAGTTGGTTAACACAGACTAAGTCTCTAATACCATGTCCATGGTTATGGGTTGAATTGTGTCCCCTAAAAAAGATGTTAAGTCCTAACCCCTGATACCTGTAAATGTGACTATTTGGAAGTAGGGTTTCTGCAATGAACAAATTAAGATGAGGTCATTGGGATAGGCCTTGATCCGGTATTACTGGTATCCTTATTAATAAGGAAAATTTGGACACAGAGATAGACATGTACACATGTGACTATGAAGACAGAGAGTGGGATGATGCATCTACAAGCAAAGAAATACCCTCAAGGTCCTCAGAAGGAACCAGCTCCACTGACACCATGATCCCACTTCTAGACTCCAGAATTTTGAAGGAATAAATTCCTGTCATTCTATGCCACTCAGTTTGTGGTACTCTGTTATGGTAACCCTAGCAAATGAACACATCCATTTTTTTAAACACACACACTGACCTTCTATAATGAGTGAACCGTGACAGAGCACCAGGAAGTTTGATAGGGAGACAGGAGCCTCCAGGCAGGGTTCTACTCCCAGTGTTCTTATTGCCTCCCATGTAATCTAGAGGAAATCACTTGGCTTCCTAGTTTCCATTTTCTCTGTTGTTCAAATAGACAGGAACAGCCTGACCTTACCCTTCCTGCTTGTGTTCTCCAACAGACAAAACAAGATTGGTTAAAATAGACAATGCATAATGCATACCCAATGTACATTATTATGTTTAAAATTGGGTTTTTAATGATATGGTTGGAGTGGCAATGAGAATGGCAATAAGTTTCTTCTGATTTGGGATGTCTGAGGAAAATACTGATGACCTATCATGTAGAGTTGGCAAAAGGCGTGTTGCACAGGGTCCTGGTTTTCTTCAAGCCACAGACATTTGAAAAGTGTTTTCTAGGTGCCTAATTACTTCCTAATCAATGAGGTAATCTGTTTCTGGTCATTTACCTCCCAAAGACACCCCCGCTGCCTACAACTCTCCTCAGAGGCTGTTGGATCATCAGGGTAGCAGTTGAACTTCTCCAGGTCACTGACAGGAAGATTCCACCTAATAGAGAATTCTTGTCCCAGTACCAGTCCTTGGAGATCAGTGATGGTTACCACCTGGGGAAAGAGACAGTCACAGTGACAAAGGAAGGGAGGGAAAGCCACCCAGAAAGAGTTCTTGGCTGGAAGTCTGGAAGTCAGGACAAGGGCATCTATTCCTTCCTCCAAAACCATTTTGCCATGAGATATTCAGAACTTGGCTGATTCCTGGGTTTTCTCACTTCATGGAGTCATTGTGGAAGTGTTGGATGGGAAGAGTTTTCATCATGCTAATGAGTGCAGATCACAGGCAGGACTGTCATGGTTAGGCTTACTGTCCTCTGGGTGTGATGCTTACCAATTTAATAAAAGTAGTAATAACAACAATAGCTAAAGTTTATGGAGCATTCATACAAGCCAAGCACTGTGATAACCACTTTATAAGCATGATCTCCATTAATCCTAGACAGCAGTTCCATGCTGTGAATGTTTTGACTATCTCCATTTTACAGAACAGAAAACTAAGATACAGAGACACCTAATACCCTAAGAGCTGAGATTGGAGCCCCATTCTGCCTAACTCTAGAAATCAAACTCTTATTCTATGCTATAGGTCTTGTCAACATGGAAGGGGGCTGATCTAAGAAATAACAAATTTCCCAGAACTTGAAATATTCAACTAACAGTGTAAGGGAATCATTCAGTAAGAGCAAAACTGGATTTCTCCTTGCGTTACTCCACTCACATTTTATTAATGGTATGAAAATAGCCTAAAACGGTAAGGACAAATATCAACTGTTTCTCAAAGAGATTCTCCCTTCAATGAGAGGACCAATGTGTAAATACCCATTGCACAATCTATTCACTATGTCACAGCTGGGATCAGAGTGTCTCATTTTAACTGCGCCCAGAGAAGAACTTCCTTCTCTCGGGGTTCCGACTCCCGCTATTTTCTTCAGAGCCCTGATACAAACAAAGCAGAGAGGTCTTTCTTTAGCATGCACACGTTTCTCCTGCATCCTTTCTGTGATGTGTTGGACCTCCCAGCAAGTCAGTTGTGTCTGACTGCCCACAGTTAAAAGAGCAAAGTAGGGCTGGCTGTCAGAGCCAAGGCCTCTGGAAAGGGCCCTGCAGAATGGAAGGATCTCTTACCTTTGTGGAAGCATTGTAGACAACGCTTGGACTGGAGGTGGCAACATTATTCAGTAGGACGATAAAATTAGCTGGCTGTTTGTCCATTCCCAAGATTGTGATATCTGTGAACATGAGGTTGTCAGTGTCCATATAATTATTATTTATAATCTTTGCTTGTAGATGGTTCTGGGAGGGGAAAAAAAAGTCAGATTGGAAACCAGGTACTTCAGACCCTTATTATCCCCAAATACCAGTCAATGTCTCAATTTCTGTGATCCAAGCTGTTTCCTTTTCTCTGCAGTTTCAAATGTTGCTAGGTCATCATCCCTAGGGAACTCGTTCACTCAGACTCTTATCAATCTTAAATTTTTAAGTAATATTTCATCTTTGCTTTTGTTCACTGGTTCTTTACTGATTCTATTAATCGGAAAATACGTCCCTGACACTGTAGAATTTTCAAGCAGACGAGATAGGTACTCACACAGTAAACAAAAAGATAAGAGCCTCATTGGCACACAAAGATAAAGACATACACATATACACCAAAAGGGCCCAAGTAATTTTCTTCCTTTTATTTTACTAATAATGATGATAAGAGCTAAGAATAATCTGAGTGTGTATTATGTGACAGGCACTGTGCTAAGCATTTGACATGTATTACTTCATTCAGTTTTCACGGCAGGCTATGAGGTTGAAGCTATAATTACCCTCGTTTTTCAGATGAGGAGACTGAAACACAGAAAATTAAATAACTTATTTAGGGAACAAAGGTGACACAGTTGAGCTATGACAAAGAAGAAGGTAGAAATTAAGACTGAAGAAAAAAGTAGCAGTTTGATAACTTAAAAAATTAGAAGTCGCATACATATATGCCCAAATGATTTTTTACAAAGACAGATTTTTTTCAACAAAGGTGCTGGGGCAACTGGACATACACAGGTCAAAGGTTGAACCCCAACCTAAATCTTACATATTATATAAAAATTAACTCAAAATAGATCACGACTTAAATGTAAAAGGTAAGACTATATTTTTTTAAATGGGAGATAATATTCAGAATCTAGGACTTGGCGAAGAGATCTTAAGCTTGACATCAAAAAGCACAATCTATAAGGAAAATAATGATAAATTAGATTCATCAAAATTAAAAATGTAAATATATAGATGGTAAATAGACATATGAAAAGATGTTAAACATCATTAGCCATCAGAGAAATACAAATTAAAAACACAATGAGCTGTAACTACACACCAATCAGAAAAGCCTAAAAAAATAGTGACAACATCAGATGCTGGCCATGATGCAAAGAAATTAGATCACTCATATGTTGCTGGTGGAAGTGAAAATGGTACAGCCATTCTGGAAAACAGTTTGGAAGATTATTATAAAACTAAACATGCATTACCATAAGACCCAGCAACTGCACTCTTAGGCACTTATTAAAGAGAAATAAAAACTTATGGCCAGGCACGGTGGCTCACGCCTGTAACCCCAGCACTTTGGGAAGGTGAGGCGGGCGGATCATGAGGTCAGGAGTTCGAGACCAGCCTGACCAACACGGTGAAACCTCATCTGTACTAAAAATACAAAAATTAGCCGGGCATGGTGGTGCATGCCTGTAATCCCAGCTACTCAGGAGGCTCAGGTAAGAGAATCTCTTGAACGCAGGAGGCGGAGGTTGCAGTGGGCTGAGATCGTGCCCTTGCACTCCAGCCTGGGCAACACAGTGAGACTCCCTCTCAAAGCAAAACAAAACAAAAAAACAAACTTATGTTCACACCAAAACCTATACATGAGTGTTAGTAGCAATTTTAATTTATTTGTAACAGCTCATGACTGGAGCCATCCCAGATACTATTAATCAAGTGAGTGATTTTTAAAAGGTTCCATAACTTGGAACACCACTCAGCAATGAAAAGGAGCAAGCTGTTGTCACACACAACTTGGATGGGTTTTGAGGGAACTATGCTGAATGAAAAAGCCAATCCCAAAGGTTGCAAGCAGTTTAGTTCTCTTTACAGAACACTGTTGAAAGGACAAAATTATAGAAATGGCGAACAGATGATTGGTTGCCAGGGGCTGAGGAGGGATTGGGGAAGAAGCAAGTGGACATGCTATTAAAGGGCAGCAGGAAAGATCTTTGTGCTAATGAAATATTCTGTATCTCGATAGCATCAATGCCGGCATTCTGCTTGTGAAATTGTGCTATAGGTTTATAAGATGTTACCATAGGAGAAACTGGGCAAAGGGGTATATGGGAACTCTGTGCTAGTTCTTACAATTGCATGGGGATCTTTAATTATCTCAAAATAAAAGAGTTACTTTAAGATATATATTTTTTATACCTTATATATAAATTATATATATTCTATATCTTAAAGTAGATCCATTTTTATATGTATAGGTACAGATACATATATACACATTTAAAAGAAAGGAGAAAAAAGAAAGAGAGAGAGACCGCCTCAAAAGAAAGTTCTGCCCATATATGATCAGGCTTCTAAGAAAATCAAGTCAGAATTCCCTCATTTTCTGCTGGCCTTGCTGCTTTTTCTTCTCTCAGTCCCCTTGGGAAATAGATATGAGGCAAGTGATGTTCTGTATCTTCCAGCCTTTAAAAGCCGCTACTTTATACCCGTGCCAAAGGCCAAGTTTTACGTGCTACAAAGGACAGCCATTATGGAAGAACCTTAAAAATGTGCCATACCACTCACTAACCCACTCACACCTCATATACACTTGCAAACCTCAAAAAAGGCACATCTTGGAAGCCAGCACCCATCACATAAAACTCAAAGGTAATGTTTTTTTTTCCAGGAAAAAAAAAGTTCTGCACAGAACTCATATTGGTTTTGTAGCAGCTTATAAGCCTGACACACATTAAACACTTTCATGTTCATTTGATTCCTTTTTGGAATCATGACAGTAAAACCCTGTCTCTGCTGCACATAACCATGTGTCTATATTAAACTAAAAACTCAAAGAGCCTTCCCAGCAAGGAACATATGCTGTGTGTTCCTCAAACAAAATACTTACAGAGGTAACAGAGAAATCATATAGAATATACTTCTTTTCAGTCACAGCATCTAAAAAAGAAAGAGGAGTACCGGTTACTATGGGAAGCCAATCAGCCAGGGAGTCCTGCTCTTCTCTTCATTTCATCTGGAATTCCTTTACCAACCATCTAGTTCTGCTCATCTGAGTTCTGTGCATTTTTTTCAAACTTCTGCAAATATTTCCTGGACCATTTTCTCTAAATTCACATGTCAGTCTGTGGTACCATTTCGCTGGCATGTAAAACATTTTGATTTGCATTGTATTTATCTATGTGTGCATTGTATCTATCCTGCTGGATCATGAGTTCCTCAAGGCCTACACAATACATACTAATTCCATGTAGGACAGGATTTTTATATAATCACATAAGTTCATGTGAGGTGTTTACATGGAAACCTTACAGTGAAAAGACATACAATACAAATTAGATATTTCTTCCACAAACCAAAGCAGTATTTTCCAAAGCTATTAAAAAGTGTATTATCTGTTATTAATAATTAATATCCAAGGAAGAGAATAATTAAGCTAAATGAAATAATGCCAGTTGCTTTGGTAGAGTCAGTAACACATAATTTGTGCATTTGAAGTCTATTTTAATGCATTGTGCCTGGCTAATGGAATTTTCAGAATGGATTTTAACCCGTTGATTCTCAGCTACAGATGTAAACGACAGTGCTAATAGGGTTAGTGCCATATTGGGCAGCCTATGATGACTAATTTTCAGGGAGAACCACAGTGATCCACAGGGATGGTGCCTTGAGAAAGTCTACCTTTAGATACACCGTCATCCCAGTACAGCTCCCCCTTTGCTTCTCTCTTATAGTCCAAGGCGATGATGAGTCCCAGGGAATTCCTCCGGCTGTAAAAGAGTACTTCCCAGTTTCAGAGAATGTAGATGAGATGGAACTATGTGAAACCAGCCACCTTCATCCCCCAGGGACAGATAATCCAAGAGTCTATACCAGAAACTGAGTAGATGTTGATATTGGGTGGACACATGGGAGCTGGGTGTGGGCAGGCAGCAGGGGTTGATAGTGAGTGGACATAAAGGGAAGGGTGGACAGAGGCAGTTCCTACAGGCAACTGTTTGGGTTGCAATACATAATACCAACAATTAGCCTCATTAGGTGTTTACCATGTGCCAGGCACTCTTCTAAGTGTCCCGCACACATTATCATTTATATTAATTCATTTAACCCTCATAATAACTCTACAAAGTTAAACTATCATCATCTCCAGTTTACCAATAATAAGCAGAAGCACAGAGAAGTAAGTTACCCAAGGTAAACACATCTAGTATGTAGCCCAAACCAAGGCTTGAACCCAGGTTCTGTAGAATCTGAGCTCTTGACCCCCAAACGGTGTTGGCTTCCACGTGATAACCTTTATCTCCTATTTAACTCAAATTCTCTCACACGGTAGGGAATATACCTAAGGACAATTTCTGGCCATAGGGAAATCCTCCTCAGTGATTACTTTGACTAGTCCTATAATCTGATTCAATCCCAAAGTGAAACACTCTGCAGATGTCCTTAGCAGACTACCATCTACTAAATAGGGACTAAGATGCCAATTTTGGATCAATTTTGAAAGGAGTGGGGGAAGATTACTGATGGGTGACTTATCCCTTGGCTCATCCACAAAAATCCCTATTTGTCTTTCTCATAATGCCCTGCTCCATTAGAGCACCAGAATAGTCATACCTTAGAAGAGTAAGGAGCTTACCTGGCTTCTGTGGTTGTGTTTGGCTTCTGAGTGGGAAATATGTAGCCCCCTCGCAGATGAAGTCCTATCTTGTCACCTGGGAGAAGCATATTCACCAACTGTTTCCTCCATGAGATGGCCACTCCCTAATCAGCAACAACAACAAAAGATAGATCAGGTAATAAGCTGTTTCAGCTAGGAGGGGCCTTAGGTATCATCTCATTCAGTTGACATATTTTAAAGAAGAGACAAACAGAGAACCCCAAAGTGAAGTGACTTGCTGAAAGCATATGGGTAGTAGAGGGCAGAGCTGACACTCCAATCCCCTTTATTTATTTACATTACATCAAGCTGTCATTCCACACCTGGGCTTCAATTGCTAGGCTACCACAGCCAAATGACAAAGCCCAGTCTTGATAGCTACACAATAGCCAGGTTGATATAATGAATTTCCATAAACCTACTCCAGTTATTCAAATTATTTCATTGTACATTTGGAAAGGCCTTCTGCTATGGTCTGAATGCTGGTGTACCCTCAAAATTTATATGTTGAAACTTAATACCCAGAGTGATAGTATTAAGGGGTGGGGAGACTTTTGTGAGGTGATTAAGTCATGAGGGAGGAGCAAGGAGGTGCCATCAGTGAAGCAGAGAGGGCCTTCACCAGACACGGAATCTGCCAGCACCTTGATCTTGGACTTGCCAGCCTCCAAAACCGTGAGCAATAAATTTGTGTTGTTTATAAATTACCCAGTGTAAGGTGTTTTGTTGCACCATCCTGAACCAACTAAGATGCCTTTCTCACAGAAAAAGGACCACAATCAACTAACTATAAATCTTGTACTATTATTCTATGGCAAGCTCCCAAGACTGCTGCTTTAGAATTGCCCTCTGCTAGAGGCAGGTCTGTGAGCCAACCAGGGCTGCCTTACTTACTGTCTCATAGTCATACCAGGTGGCATCAGGTATGTATGCTTTCACTTCGTCCACACCCTAGGTAAACAACAATAATGAGTAGCATTAGCATACCCCTCTCTACAGTTTACAAAACACCTCCAGGCATCATTACATGTGCCTATCTGAACAATCCTGAGAGATGGTTGAGATCATCCCATTCTACAAAGGAAAACACAGACACATAAAGGTTGAGCAATTTACCCAAAGCAGAATGTAGCTAAAAATGATTTGTTTTGCTCAATGCTGCTGCACTTTCTAAGAGAAGCAGAGAAAGTCCATTCACTGAGTTAGTCACATAATTTGACAGTTGGGAGGACAGTGAGCCAGCCAGGCCCCAGGAAAGCCTCCCAGCAGGGCCACTGGTTGGTTAGCAGGACCTGTCATCAGATAGTGTGGCTATAACAACAGCTCAAAGGGCCTTTGACATGGCTACACTGGCAATATTTCATGTTTACAAGCAGATCAGCATAATCCTTCCTGATCCTTGTCCCACACTTTGCCACTTACCCCTGCTCCCAATCACACTTAATAGGATACACATGGTCCTTCATAGTTGGACTTCAGAGCATCGCCTTCCCTTTGCCCAGCACTCCTCTCTCCCTCCCTTTTCTTCTCCACAGGTATTCTCTCTTCGCAGCCCAGCCTAACCCAATCCAAGAGCACACCCGCTCTGGACAAAGGAAACTATAGACAGATGTTCAGCACATACACCCCAAAGTATTTAAAGCCATTGTCAATGCTGCAGCCATATGCCTAAGGACTTAGGCTTTAATTTTAAGGCAATTTTACAACATGAAAATTGTTTTGTTTGGTGGGGCAATGGGACCAAGATTTACTACTTTTTAAAAAATTTCTAAACTTTCATGAGCTCTCTCATTTATATTCATATTTTGATATAAATGCAGTCATAGATAGGAACCAACTTATCCAGCTATAGAACCATGAGGACAAGTGCAATACCCCCTTTCATTGTTTAGATGATAAACATACTTCATATAAAACAGGCGTGATGAGGAGTCCAGGTCCCCATAAGAACTGCTCATGCACATCCCACGTGGCTGAGTCCTGGTAGAACCTAGTAAAGAGGTAGCACAGTGAAGGCAGGTGAAGTCTCTAATACAGGACAATGGCACATTATGTAACAACAAGATCCTAACTAACCTTGCTACCACAAACAAAGTCAAGTGAAACTACAATCAGAAAGGGAGTCTTTGAGAATCAGGAAACTCACTCATGTACAAGGGGCCTTGCTACCGTCTCTCCCCGGGTGTGAGCATGGTAGAAAAGGGTATAGAGATAGGGCAGCAAGGTGTAGCGGATGTTCAGATAATGTCTGGAGGATTTCAGCAGCAGGGAATCAACACCAAAGGCAGCGGGATCCTGGTCCTAGGAGAAAATGGAAGGAATGGCTGAATATTTCTTTCCATCATAGTTCAGAAGTTCTCTTACAATAAGTTTCCCAGATGAAACTAGCCACTTCCTCCAACTTGGAGAATATCAAAGCATTTCTAGAACTGAAAAGATACTAATCCTACTCCTTCATTTTATACATGAGAAAACAATATCAAGGATTATATGACTTTCCCAATGTAGAATTGCAAACAAGTGGCAGAGTTTAAATTTGGTGTCTATCGGCCAGGCGCAATGGCTCACACCTGTAATCCTAGCACTTTGGGAGGCCGAGCCAGGCAGATCACGAGGTCAGGAGATGGAGACCATCCTGGCCAACATGGTGAAATCCTGTCTCTACTAAAAATACAAAAATTAGCTGGGTGTGGTGGCACGTGCCTGTAATTCCAGCTACTCGGGAGGCTGAGGCAGGAGAATTGCTTGAACCAGGGAGTTGGAGGTTGCAGTGAGCTGAGATCGTGCCACTGCACTCCAAACTGGCAACAGAATGAGACTCTGTCTCAAAAAAAAAAAAAAAAATTGGTGTCTGTCTTCTGAGGCAGTTTGTAGCAGCCCCAGAGTGAAATGGAAGTCCCACAGGGGTTGCCATGGAGATAAAGTGGGACTTGCTCCCTCCAGGGTTGCTCCAATTTATTTTACATATTGAGGTTTCTCATATTTTATTTGGGAAATAATATAAGTTGTACTACTACTAAAAAAAAATCCATTGCCTTATAAGCCACATTGCCTGCCACCATGGTCTGTAATCCATCATTTCCTTTCCATGTGCTTGTATGAATTTTAATTTTAACATTTTTTGTCCAGTTTTATCTGTAATGTTTCCACCATCAACATTTGTTTTATTTTCCCTATCCCAAAGATTAGTGACCTCTATTTGTTCTTTGACATACATTGTGCAAATAAATTATGACGATGGTTTTTAGCAGATTTTATCCAAGAGTAAAAAAATAACCCATTAGAAGAAAAATCTAATTTTCCATGGACCCAGAGATGAAAATTTTCCGTCAATGGTCGGCATTCATTTTGTTCATTTTCCATATAATTTGGAAGATGTGAAAGACATACACGTCATCTTTTGACTTGTCATCCTATACTGCGTTACTGAGACTGAGTTTTGGATAAAGTTACCTGAACTTTTTTTTCTTTTGCTCCCTAAGAGGCCCATTTCTCCCCCTCTAAATAGAATGACTCCATGAGACCACTCTATGCACCCAGTGTAGGGCTCATGAAAACTCTGAGGCCAAACATTAAAGAGAGTAACACTCCACAGCCTCCATCACCCTGGTTGTCAACTGACAAAAGCCCAGAGCTGTGCTGTCCACTATGGTGGCCATGAACCACATGAAGCTATTGAACACTTGAACTATGTTTATTGAGACTGAGGAAGTAAACTTTCCATTTTATTTGATGATAGTTACTTTAAATATAAATCTTAAAACTGAATCAACGTAAATTTTTTTTCCATTAAACCAACTTTATTGCTTTGGTAGAATTGCATTTTACTTCAACTGCATACAAAAAATCTTAGCATACAAATTGCGATATGCTACAAGTGTAAAATGCATACCAAATTTTGAAGACCTAGTAGAATGAAAAGGATATAAAATAGCTCATTAATAATATTTTGTATTAAACACAGGTTGAAATGATAATGCTATGTAATATACAGACACACACACACATATAGATACACATTGAGCTATATAAAGTATTTTTAAAACAATGTCCCTGTTTCTTTGTACTTTGTTTTTTTTTTTGTTTTGTTTTGAGACGGAATTTTGCTCTCGTTGCCCAGGCTGAAGTGCAATGGCGCGATCCCAGCACACCACAACCTCTGCCTCCCCGGTTCAAGAGATTCTCCTGCCTCAGCCTCCCAAGTAGCTGGGATTACAGGCATGCGCCACCACACCCAGCTAATTTTGTATTTTTAGTAGAGATAGAGTTTCTCCATGTTGGTCAGGCTGGTCTCAAACTCCGGACCTCAGGTGATCCTCCCACCTTGGCCTCCCAAAGTGCTGGGATTACAGGTGTGAGCCACCGTGCCCAGCCTTTTTGTACTTTTCAAATTTAAACTGACATATGTGGCTCTCCTTATAATTTTATTGAATAGAGCTAGTTTAATCAAAAGGACATACGTGCTTAAACCTAGCTTCCTGGGTTATCTGAGTGTTCTTACCTATGTAAGTCTTCCAGGACACAGCTTCATGAAGAGCACCCACCCACCTGCTCCCAGCCACCTGCTTAAGACATTTAGAAATAGTTCATCTCTCTCTAGATCACAAGTGGCCAGAAAAGCCCAGGGATAAAATACTTTGAAGGTTTGACTGTTAATCCTTCCTGGGTTAAAGACAAAGTCAAGAATTGGAGCTAAAATTATCATTAGGAAGTTATTCTAATGAACCTATTAAGAGCTAAACCACTCAATTGGAAATATTTCAACTTAAGATTACTTTATTAAAAGAAAGGACATCTCACCCTACTTGCTTCTGCTACCATCATAAACACCTCCTTAGGGGGGACTTTGAACCCACTTCCATGTACTTGCCCATCGAAAATACTATTTTGGGTAGACGAGCCTAAAGGTGGAATGAGTCATGAGAAGTAGTTGGCAAGTCCTCCAAACTCTTCATAGAAAGGTAGAATGTTGTAACAAGGGGAAAGAAATGTTGAGATCACTGGCCTAAGCCTCTTTAAATTCTTTCTCCTTGTTCCTCCATACCTATGAGGGATTTCCCTTGTATTAACTGAAATAAAATACCAACAAATTCCAATTGTCCTATCCTATATAGGATAGAACAGAAGTCATGGCAGCACCATAGAAACTTTAACAAATCTTCTCACTTTGTTGGTGAGTTTCCAAGAATAAAATCTTTCAGTATATACATATCCCTTCCAATGCACCCTCACCTTGATTGATACCCTGCTTTTTAAGGCTATGATACAAGACTTTTTTATCCTTCTGCTGCAGTTAGTGCCAACCTGTAGTACTATTTTCCTCAAATCCCCTTTAAGAGCCAGTAGATTAGCTAATCCAAAAAGTTTCCATCACTTCTTTTGGTGACCTTACCCTGAACCCAGGCCCATTGTGATTCCTTGGTAGTGGATAAAATGCTCCAAGCTGCATCCACCTTCTGCAGAGCTCCTCTGTGACATTGTTGTTATAACCACAGATGTTGGCACCTACCTGGAGAATTAGCACACATACAAGCACTGTGGTCAATGAGAGGCGAAAGCATGTAGTGAAGATTTATATGATAAGGGAAAAGAGAACCTCTTTGTCACATCATCCCATGCTTAAGGAGATCCCAGAGTCACAGGGCACACTCCCAGCCAAAGGAGAGAAACAAGATAGAATCCATCACGGACTTACTGATAGTGCAAACAATGGTCCTTGTGTTGAGGCTGTTCCTTAATATTCAGTTCCCAATTTCATACTTTCTTATTTACTAATGCTCTCTTGATGGAATTTTCCTGTGATACTAATACATTTTATTCATGCTGTCTCCTTCCTATCTTCAGAGATTCCATGGATGACAACTCAGTGATAAAGTACTACCATTCTATCTTCAGAAGGCAGCTCACGTAACACATAAAAATTGATCTTTCCAATACATATCACCTTGGAACATGATCCTTGGTTTTTCAGATAATCTCTAAGACTGCTAATTAAAAGAATGTCAACAGACAAAGGGTTAAAGTTCCCTGGTTGGAAATAAGGCTCACCATGGGGATGCCAAACAGGTTGAACTCAAGGATAGTGGGGATAGACCATCGGAGGTCATCCCATGTGGCCGCATTGTCCCCCAGCCAATGAGCAGCAAATTTGCCAGATCCAGCAAAAGTAGAACGGGATAAGATGAAGCTCCTATTATTCATGAAGATGGTCTCCAGGGCTCTGGAAAGGAATACATCCAGTGGAGTGTGAGGTGGGCTGTGAATGTCTAGGACTCACCTTACAATAAGAGCAGCAATGGACTTTCTAACCAAACTGAGAAAACAACATGAGGGTGTCATAAACCAGGTGTCATAAACTTAGTACTATCTAAGAGCTTCTTTCCCATTTTGGGGTAAGATTTCAGATCTCATATAAGACAGTACAAACCTCTATATTCTAGCCCCCATAGCAATTTCTCTAGGCTTCCGTTCCCCGATTTTGTTTTCTCTGTCTAGTTGGATCTGGTTGTGGTCTGGTCCTTTTGGTCAACAGTATATTGGAACCATGATTTGAGTTCCTTGTCCCATCTTTTTTCTAATGTCCTTTGGTTCCATGAATTTCTGCCATGCATAATCCTGTACAGCACAGCACCTGCTCCGATGGGAGCTCTGCACCCTCTGCTGGACTAAGAGGAGAGTTCATGCACCAGCTGGTACACCTCTGAAACTTCAGAACTTATCCCTGGCTTCCTCTGAAACTTCAGACTTATTCTTAGCAATTCTCAATGTTAGCAAATTTTAATCTATGCAAAATAAGAGTCATTGAAATGAGTAAGTCTCAAAAGATCGCATCTGATACTTTCTATAAAGTTAAAAACAACTAACATAGAAAATATTATTTTCATTGTATTATAAATAAAATATTACATGTTACGTAAAACAATATAGAAATGAAAGCAGGCCGGGCGCGGTGGCTCACGCCTATAATCCCAGCACTTTGGGAGGCTGAGGCGGGTGGATCACGAGGTCAGGAGATCGAGACCAACCTGGCCAACATGGTGAAACCCCATCTCTACTAAAAATACAGAAGTTAGCTGGACATGGTGGTGTGCGCCTGTAGCTCCAGCTACTCATACTCAGAAGACTGAGGCAGCAGAATCGTTTGAACCCAAGAGGCAGAGGTTGCAGTGAGCCAAGATCGTGCCACTGCACTCCAGCCTGGGCGACAGAGCAAGGCTCTGTCTCAGACAAAAAAAAAAAAAAAAAGGAATAAAAGCAAAGAAATTAAAAGCACAGAATTCAGAATGGTAATTACTTCAGGGGCACAGATGAACATACAGTGGGGTGACCTATGGTTGGATGTGGGCTGTTTGCCTAGCTTTTATTCTGGACACCTTTTGAATAGGCATTTTATTGAAATGACTCTCCTCTTTTCTTTTTTCCCCCCTGTGGTAAAAAGCCCACATCTTCCATTAGAATTATAAAATTGAACAATAATACAATTAAAGGACAGTAAGACCTGAGCCACGCCACAGTTTCTGCCAGCTCTTCGCAGGCAAGCTCTTCTTTCCCGCTTTCTAATACATGGTCTGAGACAAGTGTATCTTTTCCTAAAACCTCTCTCTGCAAGTCTTTATCACCAGGCACCAGGCAATTCCTCAATACACTATCACAGTCACCAAGGCCTCCTCACTTCATTTTCCTGGGAAGTTTGGAGAGTCTATAAATACTGAATGGCTTATAATGGCAAAAGGGAGAAAATTTTGAAACGGAAAACTGCTTTAAGAAAGTAAAGGGCTTCATTCTGACAATTTACTGTCAAAAATAGGGGTAGGTTGGAGGAGAGGACTCACTCAACTCCTATCCCCACTTCTACTTTAATGTAGACTGGCCGACACTTTGCTTTTATTACCACTGGCTGCAGGTTTATTATACTCTGCAGTAATCAATCATGAAAGAAACACATTCAGCTTACACAGAGTGAAACCAAAACAGGGTTGAAGATATCTGTGGTTCCAGTTTATTTAGAGGCAGGCTGGTACTGTGGTAAAACAGATTAGATAACTGCTGGGTTTTTTTTTTTTTTTAAACATCTTAAAGGAACAGTCTTACTCAGAGGCTTTGTATTTTCTGTCTTTTAGTTTTCTCTTTTCTATCCCCCAGGTCTGGCCAATTTATAATCAGGTTGTGATCACTGAAAGACTCTAGTCTCCTTCGGCTTTCAGCCTAGAGGTGGGGATAATTTTATTCCTGGTTGGCCCACTGTCCCCAGACTATACTTCCATTTAAGGTTGAGCCAAATATTTATCAGACCAATTACTTTAGTTCTTCTGATGTCCAGATCCCATTGAATGAAAATGTTATCCATTTTTTGATCCACTCTGCCTCATGCCCAAAGACCAAGTTCCACTTATCTCCACTGTCCTCTGGGAGCGTAGGCCATTATGCCTGGCCAGAGAAATTAGAAAGACACCTACTATTTGCTCAATCACAATTACCTTTTAACTATTAACCATAACTATTAGAATATATTAACCAACCCATTCTTGATTTATAGCACTTTTACCACATGGAGTCACGGGCAAAAAAGTAATTTGAAACTTTCTTCCCCTCCTCCAACCCTTTCTTACTCTTTCTTACCCTGACTACTCACTCTGTTTCCCATTTCTCATTCTTAGATAGAAGCATCTAAGAATAAAACTATATCAGAACAGGAGATTATGGGAATACCAATCCGAGTCTCATTTCAGAGATGAGGAAATTGAGTCTTATTTATCCAGTTTATTTCTCAGGAAAAATAGAATGAGAGAGAAAAGACAAAGAGAAGATAATGAATCAGAAATATATGTCATTCTTCCTAGAGGTTTTCTTTTTTTAACCAAAATACAAACTTTTACATTTTCTGGACAAGAACTCTCATCTGGATAATCTAATGTAATGCAAAGTCATGAGGACAAAATAGTGCTGGAAAATAACACCGACCCAGTCTCTGCCTCGAAGTCATCAGGTCCCCTAGGTGCTGGGTCCTGCCCTTCCTCTCTCTCTCAGGCCAGGCATTTATCCAACAAAGTGTCTTCAGTACACACTCTATTGATAAGGCTAAGGATATGGGCTGACTTTGCCCTCAAAAAGCTTACAGTCCAGCAGAGAGAAAATTAGCATCTAAAATTTGATACCATGTTTTTTGCATACTAAGCATATTGGAATATGAACAAATGTGGCACAGAAAATGGGAAATAATCTTTTCCTAGAACTGTCAGGAAAGTTCCCAGCATTGAGATTGGAGATGAGGTTTTATAGATAAGCATATTTTGCAAAATGGACAGGGTAAGGAAGGCCATCTTGTGCACGGCAAATAGCACATGAAAGGCATGGAAGAATGAATAGCACTTGGATTTGGGAACAAGAAGATGCAAAGGTGAGAGAAAAATTGTAAGAAAGGGTTCGATTATAAAGTACCTTATAGGTTATGCTAAGAATTTCACTGTATAAAAAATAGCAAGGCACAAATAATTTTACACTGGGGAGAGAAATGAGCAAACAGTGCTTTAGAAAGGTCACTTTCTCAGGAATGTACAGCAGTGCTTTCTAGATTTTAACATACGTTCAATACACCCAGGGATCTTGATAAAATGCAGGTTTTGATTACTAAGTTCAGGGTTGAGGTCCAAGATGCTAATGTTTTCTGGTGATGCTGATGCAGCTGTTCCTTGGACTATGCTTCAAGTAGAAAGGGTAGAGGGTAGGTTACTGGGAGATAAGGGTAAAGTCAGGGAGATTAGTTCTGGGCCTAGTGTAATGATTTGTGTGAGGGATGATGATAACCTAATTAAGAAGTATTAAGGGGGGAAAATGGAGGTGGTTACAGAAATGTTTCAAAAGTAACATCAAAAGGATCAAGGACTGATCGTATGTGAGGGCACAAAAGGCATAAAAGATGGCTTCATGCTTCTCACTTGAGAGTCTGGGATATAGGGATGCTGTTGCTACCAACCAAGATACAGAATTTAAGAGTTTCAGCCAGGCGTGGTGGCTCATGCCTGCAATTCCAGCACTTTGGGAAGCCGAGGTGGGCGGATCACCAGAGGTCGGGAGTTTGAGACTAGCCTGACCAACATGGAGAAACCCCGTCTCTACTAAAAATACAAAATTAGCTGGGCGTGGTGGCGCATGCCTGTAATCCTAGCTACTCAGGAGCCTGAGGCAGGAAAATCGCTTGAACCCGGGAGGCGGAGGTTTCATTGTGCTGAGATCGCGCCATTGCACTCCAGCCTGGGCAACAAGAGCGAAACTCTGTCTCAAAAAAAAAAAAGAATTTAACAGCTTCAAAAATGATCAGCTACAGTGGGAAGATTAGGTGAAAACAGGTAACAGAGCAAGGTGAATGCTATTTGAGGTACTACAAAACATCCAAGTAAGGCCGGGCGCGGTGGCTCACGCCTGTAATCCCAGCACTTTGGGAGGCCAAGGCGGGTGAATCATGAGGTCAGGAGATGGAGACCATCCTGGCTAACGCTGTGAAACCCCGTCTCTACTAAAAAATACAAACAATTAGCCGGGCGTGGTGGCAGCTGCCTGTAGTCCCAGCTACTTGGGAGGCTGAGGCAGGAGAATGGCGTGAACCCAGGAGGCGGAGCTTGCAGTGAGCCGAGATCGCACCACTGCACTCCAGCCTGGGCGACAGAGCGAGACTCCGTCTCAAAAAAAAAACAAAACATCCAAGTAGACAACGTCAGAAGATTGTTTTGGATATTTGTGTCTAAAAATTAGGTAAACATCTCAGGTATAATTATAGATTTTAAAATCATTAGAATTAATTACAGTGAAAACCATGAAAAGAAATAAATTACTTATAAATTACCTATGTGTTGGCATAGACTGTAAAGAGAAGAGGCCAGAGGATGGATTCCTAAGAATCATCAATAGTGAAAGAGCTGATGGAAAAGATCCAGGCACACAGATGAGAGGGAACAGCTGGAAAGAGAGCAGAGGCACCAGGCAGAGAAGTATCTTTTTTTATTTTTTTTTTGAGACGGAGTTTCACTCTTGTTGCCCAGGCTGGAGTGCAATAGCGTGATCTCGGCTCACTGCAACCTCCGTCTCCCGGGTTCAAGCGATCCTCCTGCCTCAGCCTCCAAAATAGCTGGGATTACAGGTGCGCCTGCCACCACACCCGACTAATTTTTCTATTTTTAGTAAAGACGAGGTTTCACTATGATGGCCAGGCTGGTCTCAAACTCCTGAACTCAGGTGATCTGCCCACCTCAGCCTCCCAAAGTGCTTGGATTACAGACGTAAGCCACCGCACCAAGCCAGCAGAGCAGTATCTTAAGGACTGAAGGAGCTAAGTTTAAAGGAGTGGTTATGGCCTTGAGTACCAAGGAGAAAGAGAAGTCAAGTAAGAAAAGGACTGAGACAGGCCCCATAAACCCATCAAAGTCTCCCTGTCTTGTAGAGCACAACAGTGCTCTAGAAACACCAAAACAGGGGGAAAGAAGCCGAGAAAGACAAAGATGCTCTTTCCTAAGCCACTGGAGGATCCACAGCAGCTCTTTAGTTTCCGCATCTGTGCTGCAAATTCAAATTAAAATCTTAAGCCTGGCCCCAAATTTTCTTGCTCTCTTAGGTATAATGATTGTATTGTACCATCTTCCACAGAAGAAACTACACAGTGAGAAGAGGAGTTATTTCTCAATTTACTAAGTCACAAGTAAACAATCTACATGACAAGATATAAAGGATGTTATGATTTGCAGAACACATTTGTCTCCTTGGTAGACTTTCATAATGGGTGGTGGTGGCAACAGCAGTAAAGGTGATGGTGATAGTCATGGTGGTGATGGGGATAGTGATGATGGTGATGGTGGTGGTAGGGATGGTGGTGGTGGTCATGGTAGTGGTGGTGGTGATGGTAGTGGTAGCGGTTATGATGGTGATGGTGAATGGTGGTCATGGTGGGTGGTGGTGATGGTGATAGTGATTGTGGTGGTGGGGGGGATGGTGGTGATAACTGTGGTGGTGGTGATGGTGATAGTAGTGGTAGTGATGGTGGTGGTGATGGCAATAATGGTGGTAGTAATGGTGTGGTTATGACAATGGTGATGGTGTTAGGTAATGGTGGTGGTGATGGTGATAGTTGTGTGTGCACGTGTGTGTGCATGTGTGTGTGTCTTAGGGCAGAAGGGAGAATTATGAGGTAGACAAGCAGGACATTGGGAAGGAAATAGAAGGATATGGTGTAGCATTTCCAGATAAATAAAGGAAATACAGGTAAATTCAAATTCCAAATAAACAACAAGTAATTTTTAGTATGAGAATGTCCCACACAAATTTAATTTGGTGTCCTGTATTTTTATTTGCTAAAATCAAGCAATCCTAGTGCATTCAGTAAAAGGATCCAAGCAAGAGCTGACTTCTAGCTGAGGACTCTAAATGCCTTACATAGTATTGCCTGCTAGTATCCTTGAAATAAGCTCCTTAGCCATAAGCTAATCAAAGATAATCCTGTACAGAAACCAGGGTGTATATGAGAGGAACTCTTAAATACTCTGTAAGAACAGTTTTTCTATTTCTATAAATGCAAAAAATATTTGAACAATATATTACATATAGAACAGAAGAAAAACCTCCACCTCCACCTCCCACCTCCACATATCTGGAATTAGGGTGAAAACCAAGTCCTTACAAGTTTGTGGTTCTTGCCATGGAGTGGCCATACAAGCTGTGGATGTCATAATGAAGGCCCCCATGAAACTCCGTGTCCATGCAGAGAGTTCTTGCAAAAAGTAAGTGATCCAGAACTCCTGGAGGGAAATACTCATTAGTGAGGCACTTCCTCATTAACCATCTTTAACAAATTAGCGGCCCAACTATTTTCTTCCTGATTACTGTACCTTCCCCACCAATCTCCACCTGACCAAATCCATTCCAGATTTTAAATTCTATCCTAAATGCTATTTCCTGCCTGGGGCTAACATTGAGACCTCCAAGGAGATGGATTATTAAAATTAATCTGCATTCCCTTGAGCTCACAAAGAATCCTGGTGAGGGGAGGCAACTGAGAAACATGCTCAGAGCAAACGCAGTGGATCTGAGCCTAAGTATAAAGCATATAGTGTTTATCTACATAAATTTAATCAAGAGAAATTGAGTGTACAATGTATAGGTATGAAGGCAGAGAAAGGGAACTTTTTCTTTTTTATAATACAGTCACACTTAAAAGAAAAATAGAGGCTGGGCACAGTGGCTCATACCTGTAATCCCAGCACTTTGGGAGGCCGAGGCAGGTGGATCACCTGAGGTCAAGAGCTCAAGACAAGCCTGACCAATATGGTGAAACCCCGTCTTTACTAAAATTACAAAAATTAGCCAGGCATGGTGGTGTGCGCCTACAGTCCCAGCTACTTGGGAGGCTGAGGCAGGAGAATCACTTGAGCCCGGGAGGCGGAGGTGGCAATGAGCCGAGATCGTGCCACTGCACTCCAGACTGGGTGACAGAGCGAGACTACATCTCAAAAAAAAAAAAAATAAGATGTGACATTTGGACATTTGGGTAGTTTGACAGTTTGATGTGTAAGTACTCAAATCCTACCTCTGAGAATTATTGTTTGCATTTTCCCTTCCTCAAGCCTGAAATGGCCAGTCTTCTCTGCCACTTCCTCTCCTTGTGAACTCTTCACTGGGGCCGTATCTACCTTCCTTCACAAAGTCTTGCCCATACCTAGGACCTGAGTGTGAGGCACAATTCCAGAAAGTGGTGGGACCAGGAAAGACTGAGGTTGAGTTTTTCCTACGCAGTATAACAGAATCAAGGTTTGGAGCTGGAAATTAAGTTGAAATGTAAGATGGGAAGAAAATTCTATTTCTTGCACAGCTTGGTGTGTGGCATGAGATTCACAACCACTTCAGTGCTCTTTCTCATGCTAATTAATGTGCACTATGCAATCCTGGAAAGGGGAGGGGCTGCCTGGCTATGAGCAAAAGTGGCCGTGTCCACCACAAGCAAGCAGAAAGTGATAGGATTGAGGTTTTCCATAGGGAAAAAAAAAAATCAAAAACAAAATTTAGTTTTGGCCAAAAAGAGGATTGAGAAATTAAGAAAAAAAAAAAAAAAAAACATGATAAACTAATCCAGAGTGGAAAAAAAATGGGGGAATCCAGACAGAGCAGAGAAGAACAAAGAGTAAGTCGAAAAAGCAAACAGTAGATGTTGCAAGAGGTAAAGACTTCCTCCAAAAAATTATTTACTCCTTAAGTGACCAAAAGGAGTTAAAGAAACAGCTGTACCTTGGTCTCAGGGGTATAAGTAAAGTGGGCAAATCAGAATACACTGACTGTTCGGGTGCCCAACATGTCAGTGTTCTCTTTCTGGAAATATAAGAAGATTATACCTTCCCTTGAGGTTAAGCTGAGGCTACATGACCAGATTCTAGCAAAGAAATGTGGGCCAATTGGGTACACCTTCCTTCTAGGCCTGCGCATAAAATCTTCTCCACCCTCTCTCTCCCTCACCCAGGAAGCCAGAAACAAAGGTCTCTGAGGAGATGGGAGAACCAGACATAGATCCGAGTCACCACTTGGATTCAAGTCACCCATCCCTCATCAGAGTATGATGTGAGCAAAAAGTAAACGATTATTGTGTTAATCCACTGAGATATTGGGGTTTATATGTTGCCAGAGCATAGTGTATTCTATACTGCCACTGCCACCCGCCACCTCCACACATATTCTTTCAAAATCAGAAACTGGAAAATTGACCTTGACTAGAAATGGGACCTATAAATGGGACCTTGAAGGCACCACTGATGCTTTAAACTGTTGTAAATGATCAGAGAGAGAGGGAGGAAGGGAGGGAAAAAAGAAAAAGGAAAAAGGGAAGAAGGAAGGAAGGGAGGGTAAGGAGGAAAGAAGGAAGTAAAGAATAAAGAAAACAGTTAAGAAGATTACAGGTTTACTTCAGTTTAAGGTAGTCTGTATCCTGAAGTGTCCTGAAATTCTCATAGATTTTAAAATTGACACCTGAGGGATTTGGGGGAAATGAACAGGATGAAAGCATTTTGAATTCTAGACTGGAAGGGCAGCCAGGGGAGGTAGGCAGGCTCAGACTTTGTCACATGCTTGCCCTGGAGTTATGACAGCAAAAGGGTAATCAGAGACCCAACACTGCTGCAGAGACTTCGGCAGAGGAGTGCTCAGGATGTTTAGGAGACCCCTTGGACTAGGAAGTGAAATTGCTCCCGACCACACTGAGTATTACTGAGGGTGTTTTAAACATGGCTTATTCCTACGTCATAGCAAACAGGTGAAAACTTACTAGGAAGAAAAGGAGGAAAGTTCAAGTTGTTGGATTCACACTGGTTATTAGAAGCTTGGAGTAAGCTAGATACTTCATTCATTTCCTTCAAAGACACAAAACACACAAAGTGTAAAATGCGATTGAGCTACATTTAGCTGTTGAGAAACGCTTACTGAACTAGGAGCCAGGATATCTGGGTCCCTTATCAACTGCTTTTTGGATTTTAAATAATCTCCCTAATTTTTCTTACCCTCTGTTTCATCTTTTATAAAATTGAGTCATTGGATTAGGTTATATATTTTTAAGGTATGTTCCACTTCTAAATGACAGTGGGCACATTTTTACTTTTTATAAATTGATTTCAATCAGCTAATTCAGAAATACCATTTCAAAGGTTGATCCTTGCCTTACAAATTGTAAATATTTATTGTTATTGTTAAGAACCTAAGATAAACTAACATTTCTATTGTTAACTGTCCCTATCCTTTATTCCTCTGAGTGAGGAACAGTAAGAGAATATAATTAAGATCAAATCTATTTTCTTACATGAATTAAAAATAAGTGATGTCTAATCTTGGCAACAAACAAATATTCTTTATCATTGCACATCTTATTCATCAGAGTGCTTCCCAAATGGCTGCTCCAATGCCTTGCACATTGGCACTCAGAGAACATTTGTTGAAGAAATTCCTATTGTTCTTCCATAAAAATACGAGACCCTCATTAAATTATTCTCTAATGATTAATTTAAATTTTTATGAATCAATGCTACAAATAGTAGCAATTATAATACTGTTTTAATAAAACAGTATTTTTAAGCTGACAACCAGTTAATGGAGAAAGCAAAAACTTTATCAAAATGAAATAACCAGTTGATGAAAGATGCAGGATAAGAACCTAAGGCTCTTAGGAGCCTAATTCACTGGATATAGACTCAGCCTTAAGTAAAATAATTTTGAATACTACTACATAAAGCAAACTATTTTTTATTGACATTTATTTGACATCAAGGTCAAAACTCATCTGAAAATTTGGCGTTATCTGTTTCCAAAGGAAATTTGAGTCAGGAATAATAACTTACAATCCACACTCCATCAAACTCCAGATGATCATGAAATTTAGCGACCTGATCTGTCCACCACTCAGTGCATACTGGATTGGTATAATCGGGAAAGACTGTCGGTCCCGGATATCCCTAGGACACAGAGGAAGGCAGTGGCAATCAGCTTGGTTGAAGGTTTTTCATTTTGACCGACAGTGATTTCTTCTACTAGGAGCCTCATTTTGCTGTCATTTTAGAAATAAAATGTGTGACTACCCCAACAAAAACTAAACAATAAAATGCATACAAGGAACAAGAGGAAAAAACAATAAAAGGAAAAGCAACAGAGTAGATCAATGAAAAGCCACCATAAGTCCTTTTCTGTGCAAAAGAAAATTTAAAAAGTACAACTGCATTATGTCAGGCCAGTTGGGAGACAAATTGTTTAAAATACTAGAAAGTCTATATATTATTTTTCAAGAGAATGAACTTTTTTCAAGTGTTGTTAATTAAAGGTCACATAAAGTCTACTTTGAATAAGTATGATTATAAATAATGTGTTGATATTTTTGGCATATAAGCAATATTTTATAAATGGTTGAATGAAGTTTGCGCTTCTTACTCAGGTCATTTTTTAAATTCTACCTCCCTTTTCTGTCTATGCCTATCAAACAATAGCTTTAAAGATTGTCCACAACAAAGATATAACCATAGCCAAATTTTTGAAAATTCTTAATTAAAAGGATACCAGTTTTTGTAAAAAATTTTTGCTCATTTTCCCTATAAATTTATAGATTGTAATTTAGGAACAACTTTACACTCCGGGAACATAATGAATACATATTTTGAAATGTGGATACTTCTCAAAACTCAAGATGGGAGCTTGAAATACCCACAGTAAATGGATTGAGCTCCTGGCTCTTTGTTTTAGGCGATGGGCATCAACTAACAATTAGATGTTAACTCTGCACCCCAGGAAACAGGTGGTGTCACAAAACAGTCACCTACAGCAACATTCAACCTAGAGCGAGCCAGCAAATTTTATTCAACTAAGTGCATTTAAAACAAACCACTGGACTGGCATGGTGGCTCACGCCTGTAATCCCAACACTTTGGGAGGCTGAGGCAGGTGGATCACGAGGTCAGGAGTTCGAGACCAGTCTGGCCGAGAGAGTGAAATTCCGTCTCTACTAAAAATACAAAAATCAGCCAGGCATGGTGGCAGGCACCTGTAATTCCAGCTACCTGGGAGGCTAAGGCAGGAGAATCGCTTGAACCTGGGAGGCAGAGGTTGCAGTGAGCTGAGATCGTTGCAGTGAGCTGAGATCGTGCCACTGCACTCTAGCCTGGGCAACAGAGCAAGACTCCATCTCAAAAAAAAAAAAAAAAAAAAAAAACACACACCACTATGCACCTCCACTACTGCTATCTCTGCCAACATCTTAGATTAAATGATTCATGCCATTTATTGGTCAATGAAGTCAACTATCTAATTCATTATTTGTAATTATATGCAAATTCTTAATTATATATCACTCAAATATGAGTACTATTGAAATGACTCATAAGTGTGGATAAAATTTTAGGTGAGCAAAATAATTTTTATTTGACTATGGACTCTAAATGCAGTATATAAATATGGGCTTATCTAATATTTTAGAAACTAGCTTCTAACGAAACAGTAAAAGCAAAGACTTGGTGTGCAGAAGGAAGAAAACTTTCCTACTGCTTCATGAAAAGTTAGAATCAATGAAAAAAAAGTAAATAGAATTAAGCATCGAAAGAGTCAATGAAAGGAATTAAGTGGGCAGATTTTGGTAAGGGATCATCCATAACCCTGAAAAGACAGTTTCGCAAAATAAACTACTCAGGAGCAACAAGATCTGCAGTCACGTGAACTCTCTAGATGAAGCAACAATTTGAGTAAATCTTACAGAATCCAATCATCTAGGGCTGACCCTACATATAATTGAAATTGCCTATGTGATTTGATTTAAAGTACTCTCAGAAATTTAATTATCCTGAATATAGGCCCCAGCTCAGCCTATTCCACTGCCTGAGTCTGCTACCTCAGAATCAAAACTATGCTCTATCTATAAGTCTTGTGTAAATTTAAAATATAGGTTAGGCATGGTGGCTCACACCTGTAATCCCAGCAGTTTGGGAGGCTGAGGCAGGCAAATCACCTGAGGTCAGGAGTTCGAGATCAACCTGGCCAATATGGAGAAACCCCGTCTCTACTAAAAATACAAAAATTAGTCAGGCATGGTGGCGTGTGCCTGTAATCCCAGCTACTCGGGAGGCTGAGGTAGGAGAATCACTTGAACCCAGGAGTCAGAGGTTGCAGTGAGTCAAGATCATGCCATTACACTCAGCCAGGGTGACAAAAGTGAAACTCCATCTCAAAAAAATAAAAATTAAAACTTAAAAAAAATAAAATATATTAGCTGAGATCAGTTCCACATTAATCTATGAGCATCTTGCTATATTTTTGTAGTTGAATTTATTGTCTTGGGAAAGAGAAATTTGGAGGTGGGAGGGCTTTAGGTAACTGATTTTTCTTCTAGTTATATATTGCTTCTCAATTATCTATGGTATTAGAGGATCAAGGCTAGCTTTTTAAATTCTTCAGGTTTTTAATCATTCTATTATTATATCTACTGGTTTAAAATAGTAATAAAAGAAACCTCTAAAGCCATGAAAACAGTAACAATATTGTAACTTGCCTTTCACTCATCTTCGTACCAAAAGTACAACTCCCCAAAACAATCATAATTTACTTTGATTTTCTTAAGAAATTACCTCCCCAACAGCAAAGCCATTGCTCCCCAAGATCCACACTCTCTTTAGGCTTCCATTATTATAGGGCTCGTAGTTAGAGTTTTTGGAGATGCCAGGATTCTAATAAAGAAATACGATATAAATATTATTTTCATAAATTTTTTGCACTACAAAGGAAAAAATAAGGTAACAAGTGTTTGAACATACCATAATAATAAGATATTTCTGTCCATTGTCATGTAACTCCTTGACAAAATCTGGGAGACCAGAGTAAGCGACTTCATCAACAGTGAAATCCTTCTTTCCATCCATGTAGTCTATGTCAGAGTACTGGACATCCTGAAAGAGAGCTCTGGTCAATCAGAACCTAGGAAACAGCACTGTGCTGATGGAAAGTATTACAGCTCTGGTTCCTGACCATTGAAAATGAAACCATATTTTCTAATGATCCTGGAATTTCCAGGGCTTGGCTACTTCTTAGGAGAAAATAAGCTATCTTTGAAAGACATGATTGCTGTTTGGTTGCTGTTTTACCTCCTTGTCCTGACAGGTGCATGTCATAAGGTATTGGGAGGGACTTGAGAGCAGGAATTGCATCTTGTTCATCTCTTTAACTTGAGAGCTTGGATGCTTGACATAAAACAGACGCTCTTTAAATGGTTGTTTGAATGAATCATATTATTAATGTTATAACCATGTACTAACTTAACCCAAGCATCAAGCCAGAATATATCATATGAGGAGAAAATGATCTTTTGCCCTACGAAAGTGCTAGAGTAATGATTAACACAGATCAATGACAAAAAGATAAAGCCTTATCAACTAAACTCTCATGCACACATTTTTCCTTGTGTTTGCATATCAGCCTAGGGAGCAGGTGTTATTCTTAGTGAGCAAATTGAAATGTAGGGGAGTTCAGTGACATTTCCCAAAATACATGCACTGGGAGGTAGGGGGGCTGATGAGGGCTTTGGGGACAGGCTCTTTGGCTTCAGATGCTCTTTTTTTCCCCAATCTGCCACCTTCCTCAAAGACAAAGGAAGTGTTCTTCTAAGTGTTCCTCAAGTATCATACAGTAGGAGTCTCGACCTTACAGGCCTGAAGGAAAATGTGGCTTATGGCCTGTTGCCCAAAGTGGCATCAACTGTTCTAATACTGAGCAGTCATTTAGGACCCACGTGTCCTCCACAAACAAATGTAGGGAAAGATTCTATTTGCGGAAGAAAATTCTTCCTGGAATTGGATGTTTGCAGATAATAGATATGGGAGAAGTAAAATTAAACACAATCAATTCCCCTTTGACACCAAAACACATTGACCATCTGTTTTTTTTTTTACAGGAAAAATTGATCCCCCTGCCTGCCCTCATCACTACTCTGAGAGGGCATTGAAGAACCCTGAAAGCAGGCCAAAGCCATGTCCATATGTTCAGTCTTCCTTCAGATGTTAACATCATATTCTTTTTTTTTTTTTTTTTTTTTGAGATAGAGCCTCACTCTGTCACCCAGGCTGGAGTGTAGTGGCGCGATCTCAGCTCACTACAACCTCTGCCTCCAGGTTCAAGTGATTCTCCTGCCTCAGCCTGCTTTGTAGCTGGGATTACAGGCATGTGCCACCACACCTGGGTAATTTTTTTGTATTTTTAATAGAGACGGGGTTTCACCATGTTGACCAGGCTAGTCCGAACTCCTGACCTCAAGTGATCTGCCCGCCTCAGCCTCCCAAAGTGCTGAGATTACAGGCATGAGCCACCGCACTGGGCCAACACTATATTCTTACATCAAAGTTTCAAAATCCCAAAGAGCTACCCCCAATAAGTTGTTTTGATAAATTCATTAGCCACATGTTATGCATCTCCTGGAGAAGATCATCAAATATTACACACTTAATAATTATCTTGACTTACTGGTGGACATTGAACATCATAAACACTGATGCAACCATGAAGCTTCAAAATTAGAGTTTATCAGATCTGGGAGGAGTATATGAGGTCACCGTGAGAAACTCATTTACTGTAAGTCATTATAATCATCAGCTCTTGTTCCTCATGTCACCTCCAGTGTTGCTTTCTCTAATAACATAATAGCTAACTTTGATGATGTTCACCATCAGTGCTAGATGCTTCAACATGCACAGTATAAGGCATTCCTTACTACCAGCCCACCAAAGTAAGTCTTACATCCTCATTCTATAAAGGTGGAAACTAAGGCTCAGAGATGTTAATTAACTGGCGCAACATTGCACAGAGCTATGAAGAGGTAAAGCTAAAATTCAAAGCCACCTCTATCAGGCTTCATTAACAGTATACTTTTCATGCTCAGATACATAACTTAACATGCAAATTTCTGCCAGCAAGTGTGCCTGTCTATCAATCTAATGATTTATCTACATTTTTCCTAATACATTGAATTTAATGCAAAAAATAAAAATGGGAATTGGTGTCAACTGCATGGTAAAAGAAGTTTCGACTTACATATGGTATCTCAGCTAAACGATTTCGGCTTACAACTTCTTTCAATTTATTGATGCCACCATAGTCCCTGCGACTAAGCTGGAACCCAAGACTCCAATAGGGAGGGAAGAATGGCCGTCCAACAAGCTGAAAAGATAAGTAAGTGTGTAGGCTTTGAGAATAACATTAGCCCCATTTCATTTTCTGTGAAGTTCCCAGAGCTGAAAACGTCAGAGCTAAGAGTAATCTGCTAGAATAATTTGTGAAATTCCACAATCACATCCTTCTTTACTAAGTACATAAATGTATTCCCAACATCAGATCAGACACTAATAAAATTTGCAGAAAATGTTTCAGTAATGGTGTCATCTTAGGGGAAACTGGTGACATTCATTATTCTATAAGTGTTTTTCTGAATATTTGTTCACAGTGTGGCAAGGGCTAATATGGGCACTTGGAATATAGTGGCACAGAGCAAACATAGCTCCTGCCCTCAGAGAGCTTAGAGGAAATAAATAAATGCCTAATATAATTTCAGATAGTGGTGTGTGCAAAGGGTAAAGGAATAAGAATGGATGGGATTAGGAGTGAGATTACAGGCACACGCCACCATGCCCAGCTAATTTTTGTATTTTTAGTAGAGACAGGGCTCTGCCATGTTGGCCAGGCTGGTCTCAACCTCCTGACCTCAAGTGATTCGCCCACCTTGGCCTCCCAAAGTGGTGGAATTACAAGCATGAGCCACTGCAGCCAACCTCAAGCGTCTTCCTTTTCTATAATTTGAGTCAAATGTGAATAGCTAGCAAAGTTTATTCAGGTAGTTCCTTTTCACTGAATTTTAACTTATTGAATGAATAAGCTTTGCTGATTTGTGGGATACATGAATGGACTATGAGTTACTTGAAAGCAGGATGGTGTCTGACTTCTTTTTGCATTTCTCAAGCCTTGCACAGTGTCTCTTTGGAATGCAGAAAGCACCCAATAAAGGTCATCAAAATAAATAAACAATAGATGAAAGACTCACTATCCCAGCATTTATAATCCATACAGTTTACTAATACCTTTTATTTTTCTTTTATTAATTTATAATGAGTATATGAGATAACAGCAGTAAATAATGACTATCTAAATGCAAAGACATACCTCCAAGTATTCCTGAACCACTTGTTCTGGAGTGTTTCCTAGGAATACGTAAAAGTCAAGAATGCCTCCAATCGTGCGATAAGTGATCGCAGGAGCTGGCTGAAGGGTAACCTCTGAAAAAATTATAATGAGATTAATTAGAATCTTATGGTTGGAAGTAAACTCTTCTCTGCAGTAGAAATAGTTGAGCCACCTAAAAGAGTCTCAGTCTCATTTTGAAAGGGATGAAAATCACACTGTCTTTTTATCAGAGGATCGTTGTTGGAGTTTATCAAAGTATTGAATGTGTAAGACACCAATGAAGAATTGAGTTTTGTTTTTTTTTTTTTAAGATAAAGAAGAACAAATTGTATTTTAACCTGGCCACATAAAAATACAAGCTTCTGGGTTTTGCGAGTAGCTTCACTCAAAAAACGTTATAAAAATTTTATTAGATGAGTTTGACTACAATTAAATATTTAAAAATAAATAAAAATGCTTATGAGAGTACCATTAATCCAGAAGCTGGAGAAGGAAGATTTGGAGTGGGGAAAGTGTGGGTGGGCTGTGAGAAACAGCCTACAAAACACAGCCTTGTTGCCTACAGACAGAAAGCACAATTTACACGTTGAAATCTACAGATATTTTTGGAATGCGTCTATCAGTGGATCCTATTTTCTACAGACTATGAGGGGAAACATTATACCAAAGAAGACCCCTGAAGTGGTTTTCAATGAAAACAATGTCAAGTATCACCTGGATTTGTAGACAGATTAACCTACTTTCAGGTTCCAGTTTCAATAAAAGTATTGTAGGTTCAAAATGCCTTCTGTTCAACAGTTGATCTCACCATAAAAGTAATTTTTTATAAAAGCAGAATCCTAAAACGTATTCCTACCTACAGAAGATAAAAAGATGCTTCCTACCCATGGCATTACTGTTCATCAGAAATACTCCAAAAGAGGAGCCCCTGGCATCTTCAAGGCACAAGAAGAATGTATGAGCTCCATACAGATTAATCATGCCCTATCAGCAAAACAGAAGAAAAGTCATAGTGTTATGTGTTGAGAAAGTTTTCATTCACCCTAAAATAAATTCAAAAGCCATCTATAACATATACTTGGTCAACACTTCATGTAGTTTAACATTGTATCAAAAAGGCATTGTAATGATATTATCAACTGGAAAATGAATAAACAAAATATGGTATTATCTATACAAAAGAATTCCATTCAACAACAGTAAAATAATCATACACACTGCAATATAAATAAACCTTGAAAGTGTTATGCTAAGGGAAAGAAACAGACACAAACAACCATATATTGTATGATTTCATTGATATGAAATATCTAGAAAAGTCAAATCTATAGGGACAGAAAGTAGGTTAGTAATTGGTTAGGGCTGAAGCAAGCTCTGGAGTTTAAGTCTCAAAGGGCAGAAGGGATCCTATTGCGGTGATGTCAAAGCTATAGAACTGGATTATGACGATGCTTGTCTAACTCAGTATATGTGCTCAAAGTCATTGAATTGCACACTTAAAACAGATGAATTTTTTGGCCTATGAATTATAACTCAATCAAGTTATTTTGTAAACATATTTGCTATGATGTATACCAAAATATTAGCAGAAAGTGATGGTATTATGAGTAATTTTGAATTTTTTACACCTAGTTGTATTTTCTAATGTTTCTGTAGTTACCATATAATACTTAAGTGGTTAAAAAAAAGCTTAAAACTGATAGAAAGAGAAAGAAAAAATATTGAAATCTGTGACGAAGCTGTGATGAGCACTGACCTAAGAAGAGATAATGTGTGTGTGTGTGTGTGTGTGTGTGTGTGTAACTCTAAGTGCTGTAAGAATAAAAGAAGTTGAGATTAGAATACGGAGAACGTTTTACAAGTTCCCTGTGTGACAGTATCATCATCTTAGCCAAAGCATAAGGCAATAATACTGATAATGGTAAATACCAGGAGAGGGAAAAGAAAGAATCAACATAATTTGCAAAATTGAGAAGATCAATAAGCCTCAGCTAGATGTAAAATTATAGCCAGGAAAACTAATGGCATCACACTTGGATAGCATACAGACAAAATTTTTAAAATACATTTTAAAGAAAGAAAAAAACAGGGGAGAAAGGCAAGAAAAAAGAAAGGAAGAAAAACAGGAAGGCATTACATCTAATTTGTGACTATACAATTTAGGAATGTCAGCTATAGAAAGTCAAACGTAGTACGATTCATAGTATTCAATATTTGCCAGGGTCCTTGACCAAACATTTATTACATGCGTTAGCTATTGCTTTTTTGTCTTTGCTCTGCTCAGCAAGTTCACTCCCTCCATTGTATCCGATGCTGGTAGCTGGGCTACAGGTTAATGTGCTACTTGCTTTGTTCATCTCCTGCCAAATACGAATTGCAAAATGTCAGCTCTCTCCCTTGCACCATACTTCAACTTGCAGTTCTTGCATGGATCCAAGAAATATCATCAGCACAATGGAGGCTTCAAGACATGCTCTACAAACCTATGTGACTCAAAGCTTTGTCCATGGAACAATACTTCCTCAAACCCTTTGTTATCAGTCAGCCACAAGACAAGTGCAAAAACCAAAAGTCAAAGTTTAGAAATTCTTTTATAGCAATTGAAAAGGGTAATATTTTATGTCTGTTCAACTGAAAATTTAGGTTTTTTTGGTATGTCTTTGAGTTTTTTTATTTCATTTTTTCAGTAATATATTTTAATTGTATTTTACAAAATTATTGCCAGTGCTAGATTTTTTTTTTTTTTTTAAGAAACTAGTCCTTCACTCCAGATAAGCTGAGAGGCATTAATCCAGAGCAGTCTTTCTCCCACTTTCATATGAATGTGAGTCACCTGGGGATCTTGCAAAAATGCATATTTGGATCCAGTGGGTCTGGGCTATGGCCTGAGATTCTGCATTTTTAACAACCTCCCAGGTAATGCCAACGCTGACGTTTCTGAAACACACTTTCACTAGCAAACACCTAGAACAGTATGAAAGCTGTCAAAAGAGACATTTTTAGTCCACCAAGTTCTACTGAGCTTGGCTCCTACTGAAGCCTTCCTTTCCTCAGTTATTAAACCAAGACATAGTAATTTGGCAGAAGTATATACTAGGTTCTAATATAATCATGAAATTGTATTTCCCATTAAAAGTGAAATTTGTTTAAAAAATGCTGCATTTCGAATTGCTAGAAAATTTCTAATTTAATTTTTTTTATTTTTAATATTGCTATATTCCTGAATTTATAGGCCTCAAGAACAAATATTCCTCAACACTAACACATCTAAAGTGAGCAAAGTAAAATAGATGTATTCCTGCAGGCTACTTTTAGGAAAGGAAGGAGGGTATCCCTTACTGTGGGCGATACTCAGGAGGAAAGCCACCTCACCTCGGTGGGGGTAGCGTCCCGGGTGAAGATGGGCCAAGTCTTCCAGGTCATATTGTGGCGGTACTGCTGGTGCACATGCTCTCCCAGCCCATACACATTGGCACTGGGCAGTCGGAAAGACAGTTGCAGGTACTGCTGGGCAAACTGGAGGGGCCCGATGCTCGTGTCCAACCTGGGCCATGGGGTAAGTAGAGCAAGAATCACCGAAAAACACTCTTTCCTCTGCCAGGAAGCTATCTTCTCCTTTCCACATACACTTAGACCTCTGTTGTTTCAGGCGTTAGCAATTTTCTTGCTACCTTTGAAGGCCTTTCTAGGGCACCTCTGGTTCTTTAATTCTAGAGGAAGACAGCATTAGGGCCAGGATGCCAGGAGCTCAGGTTGGACAATTGGGGAAAGAGAGCAGAGTTGACTTCATGTTTAATGTGCATCTACTACATACCAGGCACCGCTCTGGGTGTTTTATAAACAAAGTCTCATTGCCCCTAGGAAAAGTGGATATTTTGAGTCCCTTTTTTTGGACAAGGAAACTGATACTGTTGAGGATAGGTATTTTGCCTGATATATAACACAGCTGACTGTTGATCTGCTGGTACCGGGATGTGAATACTGGTTTTACAGACACTAATACTTCTGTTTACTCCAGTACAGTTTGTGAATTAAGCTGAAACTGTTGGTCACTGCTTGATAGTAAAATTCACAGTAAATAATAATTTAAAATGATAGACAATGAAGTTTGAGTTCCAGTATGAATAATAATTTAAAACAATAAAATCCCCTATTTTACAATATATGTAAACCACAAGTATATTTCTGTGTATAAATATATTATACAAATAAACATATTAAATATACTATATATTTAAATATATAAATATATATTATTAAATTTTATATAAATATTTTATATTAAAAAATTATCTTATGTAAAATATATATTTATATATTTATATTTAATATATTAATGTATATTAACATGTATTAAATATTTATATTAAATATAAATTAACATTTATTAAATATGTTAAATATTTATATTAAATATAAATTAATGTCTATTAAATAAATATTAAATATAAATTAAATATAATTAAACTGATTAAATTAAAACTAAATATAATTAAATGAAAATATAAATTAAATATAAATATAAATTAATATATATTAAATATATGTTAAATATTTTAATATAAATGCATATATAATATGTAAATATATTTAACGTATAAATATGACATATTTGTATATTAAATACATATGTTATATATTATATATTATATTTAATTTAATATATAATATCTATATATTTATATAATTATATTACTTATAATTATATATTATATTATACATAATTATATGACATGTAATTATATATTATATTATATAATTATATATTATATATTATATGTTATTACATATTTCTATTAATATTATTAATATTAATTATATTAATTAATATTATTAATTATATTATAATTAATATATTTATTATATTTTAATTATAACTATATTCTTCATTTTTATAATTTAATTTTAAATTATGTATTAAATATATAAATTATATAGTTGATTAAATTATATAAAGTATATGGAATGTATAATTAAATTATATATTTTATATATTTTAAATTACATTTAAATTTTTATAATTTAATTTAATTTTAAATTATGAAATTTATAATTTTATAATTTAAATATAATTATAATATTATTAATTATATTAATAGTAATAATATATTATTATTATATTATATAATTATATATTATATAAATTATATATGTAATTATATATTATATAAATTATATTAAATTACATATAATTATGTATTATATAATTATATAAAATTATATAACTTAGCAAACATTTTAGTATTACCTTTTAGTATTCTCTGTTTTACGAGCATGATAGGCTAACACTGTTATTTTACAGCAAACCCTTGGACATTTTTCTAATATTCAAACATTTTCTCTAGTTGTACTGATTTCACTGCCCACCCCCAGTAAATCAGAATGAGTAATATTAGAACTGTGTGTTCAAAGATGCACCAAGAGGGTTGAAAAGCTCACAAGACTCTTCTGTTGCTTGTCCTCATTATTTTGATGCTGAAAGGTTTATCAGTAACCTCCACGTAATAGCTCAAATTGGAGGCATCAGCAATCCCATCAACCAGGTTAATATTTTCATGGGAAACTTCATAGCGTATGTTATTAAAGTCAGTGATCTGTCAAAAGAAAAACAGAAGGGACAACTGCAGATAAGACCACTTCCTTGTAGACAGAGCTACAAAAGATGTTCCATCTCAAATGACACCCCATGAGAATAGCTTCTAATTCTTCACCTTGTGGCTTCTGATTTGTGAAATCACCCAATTACATGTGCCCCATCAAATAAAAATTAGCCTGCCCATGCCATCCAGAGATTCCTGCAGAGAGGGAGAGAGGTACCTTCTGCCTCCACACTTCAAGCCCAATGTGAGCACACTGCTTTCTTCAGAAATGTATTTAGCAGTCACTCCCAAACCAACCTTAAAATGAAACCGATTGGATGTCTGATATTCAGCTGTGAAAAGGGTGGTGGCGACATCATTTCCAAACAGAGATGGTGATGGCAACCTTTTCAACTGGGCAGTAAATCCTAGGGGTGGCAAGATATGGAGAGAGAGAAAAGGAGACTAACTTTTAGTGTTTGGTTTTGTTTTGTTTTTGTTTTTGTTTTGAGATGGAGTCTTGCCCTGTGGCCCAGGCTGGAGTGCAAGACGTGATCTCGGCTCACTGCAACCTCCACCTCCCAGGTTCAAATGATTCTCCTGCCTCTGCCTCCTGAGTAGCTGGGATTACAGGCAGCTGCCACCACACCCAGCTAATTTTTGTATTTTTAGTAGAGACGGGGTTTCACCACATTGGTCAGGCTGGTCTTGAACTCCTGACCTCATGATCCACCCACGTCAGCCTCTCGAAGTGCTGGGATTACAGACGTGAGCCACCACGCCTGCCTGACTTTTAGCTTTTATTTTATTTTGCAGTTAACGTATCTGGGCCATAAGGAGTTGTTCCCAGGCGCAACATCAGGGCAGTGCTCACCTGTGCTTGTATTTGTATGGCCATTGCTGGCTTCATAGCCCCAGTTCCAGGGGAAGAAGCACCTAGGGACATTGGCATCTGCCACAGGCGACCAGCAGCACTTATATTGCCATCTGCAGATATCCTGTAACAATGACACAGAGTTAGCAGTATATAAACTGAGGGAAGGAAAGTATTATCTGTCTATTTATTTATAACCCATTTTATTCCAAGGAGAATTTAAGATAGGTTATAATTACATTCATTAATTTATTTGTTCTTTATTTATTCATGAATCTATCCAACTGTCCAATATGTATTTATTATCTACCAGACATGGAACTGATAATACAGATAAATAAGACATAGCTTGTGCCTTCAGCAAACTACTGTCTAGTGGCAAATCCATACAATTAGGAAAGCAATTACATACAGTATGATGATATGAGGGCTCCACCAAGTGTGTCCAGGAGCTGAGGGAACACACAGTCACTGTACCCAGCCTAGTAGGCGTGGAGTGGGGTAGGGAGAGCTTCCAGGTAAGTGAAAGGTAAGTCCCATCATGAAGCACCAGGGGAGGTTAGACAGAGGAACAGTATTCCTGGCGGAGAAAGCAGCAGTGCATGACAGACTCAGAAAAACCACACATTTCTTGTGCCAAAAACATTAAGTATGAGAATGAAGCTGGAAATCACATAGTATTTTTACCAAGAGTGGGCTGGAAGCCAGTCCAAGAAGTTTGGACTTTCCCATGAGAAAGAGTCATGCAAGTGGCTAACAATACAGCAAAAGAAGAAATGCATTTCCAAAAAGTAAGCAAAGTGAAGCTAAGAAAACTAGAGACGATTAAAATAAAACTAGGACAGAGGGTAACATAGAAATTCACAATATCTCTGCTATGTCCAAGGCAAAAACAAATCACATGTGGTTCTTTCTCAGAGTGGTTTGATTATAAATATTCTTTTGGTGTTATTTAGCAAGATTTATTTTGTAAAGGTCTTATAATTTTCAGGTTAATTTACATAAAATTATTTTGTTATGATAAATAAAACAAATGGCAACTGAGACCACTGTGTTAGAATAAACACAGGCATTCACCTTCCTCACCTAACTAAATTTACATGAAATGACAGAAATGATTTTAAGAAAAAAATTACAAATCTGTTTATAAAACAGCAAAATAAAATGCAATGTGGCAGGTGAGAAATTCAATTACAACTGAATTTCTTTTTTTTTTTTTTTTTTTTTTTTTTTTTTTTTTTTTTTTGAGACAGAGTTTTGTTCTTGTTGCCCAGTCTGGAGTGCAATGGTGCAGTCTCGGCTCACTGTAATCTCTGCCTCCTGGGTTCAAGTTATTCTACTGCCTCAGCCTCCTGAGTAGCTAGGATTACAGGCTCCCACCACCACACCTGGCTAATTTTTGTATTTTTAGTAGAGACAGGGTTTCACCATGTTGGCCAGGCTAGTCTCGAACTCCTGACCTCAGGTGATCCACCCACCTCAGCCTCCCAAAGTGCTGGGATTACAGGCATGAGCCACCGCGCCTGGCCTACAATTGAAATTTCAATTACAATTACAACTACAATTGAAATTCAATTACAATTCAAGGTGCGATTTAGGTGGGGACACAGAGTCAAACCATGTCATTCTGCACCGGGCCCCTCTCAAATCTCATGGCCTCGCGTTTCAAAACATAATCATGCCCTTCCAATAGTCCCTTAAAGTTTTAACTCATTCCAGCATTAATCCAAAAGTACAAGTCCAAAGTCTCATCTGAGACAAGGCAAGTCCCTTTAGCCTATGAGCCTGTAAAATCAAAAGCAAGTTAGTTACTTCCTAGATACAATGGGGTACAGGCATTGGGTAAATATACCCATTCCAAATGGGAGAAATTGGTCAAAATGAAGGGGCTACAGGCCCCATGCAAGTCTGAAATCCAATGAGGCTGTCAAATCCTAAAGCTCTGAAATAATCTCCTTTGACTCCATGTCTCACATCCAGGTCATGCTGATGTGAGAGGTGGGCTCCCACAGCCTTGAGCAGCTCTGCCTCTGTGGCTCTGCATGTACAGCCCCCCTCTTGGCTGCTTTCATGGGCTGGCATTGAGTGTCTGCGGCTTTTCCGGGCATGCAGTGCAAGCCATCAGTGGATCTACCATTCTGGGGGCTGGAGGACAGTGGCCCTCTTCTCCCAACTTCACTAGGCTGCGCCCCAGTGGGGACTTTTTGTTGGGGCTCTGACCCCACATTTCCCTTCCGCACTGCCCTAGCAGAGGATCTCCATAAGGACTCCACCTATGCAGAAAACTTGTGCCTGGCCATCCAGGCATTTCCATACGTCCTCTGAAATCTAGGTAGAGGTTCCTATACCTCGGTGCTTGACTTCTATGCACCCACAGGCTCAACAACATGTAGAAGCAGCCAAGACTTGGGGCTTATACACTCTGAAGCCATGGCCCGAGCTGTACTTTTGTCCCTTTTAGCCATGTCTGGAGCTGCTGGGACACAGGACCCCAAGTCCCTAGGCTGCACAGAGCAGGGGAGACCCTGGGCCTGGCCCATGGAACCATTTTTCTGTCCGAGGCTTCCTGGCCTGTGATGGGAGGTACTGCTCTGAAGACCTCTGACGCCCTGGAGCCATTTTTCCCGTTGTCTTGGCAATTACCATTTGACTCCTTGTTACTTATGTAAATTTCTGCAGCTGGCTTGAATTTCTCCTCAGAAAATGGGTTTTTCTTTTCTATTGCATCATCAGGCTGCAAATTTTCTGAACTTTTATACTCTACTTCCCTTTTAAACATAAGTTCCAATTCCAAACCATATCTTCATGAATACATAAGCTGAACGCCTTTAACAGCACCCAAGTTACCTCTTGAACACTTTGCTGCTTACAAATTTCTTCTGCCAGATACCCTAAATCATCTCTCTCAAGTTCAAAGTTCCACAGATCTCTAGGGTAGGGGTAAAATGCCACCAGTCTCTTTGCTAAAACATAGCAAGAGTCACCTTTATTCCAGTTCCCAACAAGTTCCTCATCTCCATCTGAGAAAAGCCATTCAACAAGTCTCAAGGAAGTTCCAAACTTTCCTACATCTTCCTGTCCTCTTCTGAGCCTTTCAAACTGTTCCAACCTCAGCCTGTTACCCAATTCCAAAGTCGCTTCCACATTTTCAGGTATCTTTACAGCAGCACCCCACTACCTGGTACCAATTTACTGTATTAGTCAGTTCTCATGCTGCTAACAGAGACATACCCAAGACTGTGTAATTTATAAAGGAAAGACATTTAATGGACTCACAGTTCCACATGGCTGGGGAGGCCTCACAGTCATGGTGGAAGATGAAGGAAGTGCAAAGGGATGTCTTACATGGCGGCAGGCAAGAGAGCTTGTGCAGGGGAACTCCCCTTTATAAAACCATCAGATCTCATGAGACTTATTCACTACCATAAGAACAGTATGGGGGAAAGTGCCCCATGATTCAATTATCTCCACCTGGCCCACCCTTGACACACTGGGAGTATTAAAATTCAAGGTGAGATTTGGGTGGGGACACAGGATCAAACCATATCACTTCCATTAAAAAAATGAGGAATGTGTACTGTTAAGATTTAGAACAAGATTTAAAGCTCCTGAATATTTAAACTGAATTACAAAAGAAAACAACCAAAGAGAAGTGTTATGAAAAAAACTTTAAAAATCAAATTCAATTATCCCAGAAAATAATATAAAAAAAATGGAAAATATGAAAGAAAGAGTAGATGAAGTGACTGACAGACTCAGATAGCAGCACTCAACTAAGAAGACTCCAGAAAGAGAAAGGAGAAGACAAATTAGGGAAAGAAAAGCAAATAAAATGTCATGGATCATTAACAACTCAATGTACAACCCAAGACACTAGAAAAGTACAAAATACACCCACAAAAGTGTGTAAAATAATAAAAACTAAAACAGTAATTATAAAGAAGCAAGTAACTACATTCATCAATTCAAAACATCCATTGAGTGCCTGCTCTGTTTAAAGAATTCATCCAGATTCCAGTGGCACAGAGTTGTCTGCAAGGACAGGAAGACAGATACCACCATTAATCATATCCAGCTTGTTTCCACCACTGATTTGCAGTGTCATTTTCATTATAAACTAAATTTAAGTGCATACATATAAGCATGTGAATATGCATTTTGGGACTTCTTATTATATTCAAATGGCTTATATGTCAATTCCTGTTATAACTCCACACTGATATTACTATAGTGTGAGGATAAGTTTTGTTATTAGTCTGGCAAATCAATCAATCTAAGGGTTTCTTTGGAAAGATCAAGGAAATAGAAATATCTTAAAGTCTTATTTTGACAAAAAAGGGAAACAAACAAGGCTTAACACAAGAATAAAAAATGACAACAGATATAAAGAATGAGTAAGAATCATGAGAAAACTTATTCATAACAAATATTAGCCAATGAATGTGAAACTCTAAATTAAATAAATCTTTACACAGTAAAATTTAAATAATCAAAATTGTCTAAGAGGAGATAGAAAACCTGAAATGTCCAGTGACCATGAAAAATTGTGAAAGATAGTTAAGAATCTTTCCCTAAAAAAAAAAAATTGCCCAAATGATTTGAGGAATAAAATATCCTCATATTATATATACTGTATTTTCAGAATATAGAAAAAGGTGAAAAGTTTCCTAATTCATTTTATAAAACTAGAATAGTTCTGGTAACAAACTGAAAAAGGACAGTCCAAATAAACAAGTAAATAAAAATACATAGGCCCATTTCATTTAAAAAACATAGATGTGCGAAATATCAATAAAATATTAGCAATTTGAATTCGTTCATATATTAAAAGAATTAATACACAATATATGAATAGGTCTCATTAAGCAAAAGTGAAAATGGTTCCAAATTAAAAAATATTTTAACATAATTCACAACACTGACAAAAGAAAATCATATGGTAATCTCAACTGAAGCAACCTATTTTAAAAATATAATGTGGTAAATTCAAATGCCTTAAATTTAAAAAGCAAGTTGGAAAAATATATAGTATAATCAAATTTTCGTTAAAACAAAATAAATATATAGATGCAAAAGCTTATAAAGATCAAGAGAAGGATATACACTAAGCCATTGATTTGATTCTGGGTGATTCTGGGGGGAGTAATTTGGAGATAGACAGGAAACATTAATACTTTCTCATTTTGTTCTGTACATAACTATAATGTCTGAATCTTTCCTGTTAAAGGACTGTGTTCAGTGTGGATTGTGACACCAAAAACAAGAATATGTCACAACACTACTCATTTGAAAAAGGCGTAGTGCTGACAAGTATTTCAGATGCTAACATCTGATGTCATTTTCCTGAAAAGCCACAATGTAAATACAACTTAAGTCAGTGCTTCATACCTATTATAAACAAAGTAATTATATTATAACCATACAATCTTTTTAAATATACTTATTAACTCTCCATAAATCTAATTGACATTCCTGTCTCATTGTCTTCAGATAACAAAAAAGGCTGGAAGGGATCAGTGAAGAAAGAATTTGGGGGTCTGGGTGGCCTGTAGATAATTGATTTTCCTAAGGCAGACATTAAGTAGCTCTGCTCCCTCTGAAACTGGGGTCAGTCTAATTCAAAAGGTCAGTTTCATTGTCATAAATTGTTTCAAAGTCCACAGACCTCTATAAAAAGCAATAAACATTTAAGTAAGTGGTCTGCTCTAACATCCCTACTTCAGTTTTCAACCATTACCAATATCCCAGACCCCAAATTATCTACTACAACTTTCATTTGATGCAGGGATTTCTTCAATAGAGTCTCTGATAGATGCTGAAAATCTGTAAATGATATGTAACCAACTTCTTCCAAAACCAGGAAATTCCTCTTCTATAATTAGTATTTTATTCAATGTTATTTATTAGGTTTAGTTAAAATCAGTCTCCAGGAAGTTCCATTTTCTAAAACCTACCATAGCTGCATGTTGCCTTTCAGATAAACTGTCTCAAACTATATTGACAATTTAGAAAGAAAAGAGAATCTTGTAACCTATGAGTTAAAAGACATGGAAGAAAATGGAATGCACATTGGAAAAAACTTCCAACTGTTATTATTTGCAGGTAACATTATCATGTCAGAAAAAAACAAGAGTCTACAAACTAGGACAATTAATAAGTAAATTTAAGATTTCTAGTTACAAGATCAGTATTCAAAAATCAATTTTAAATCTATATATATAAGAGAAACAGAAAATTAAAATTTAAGAATAAGATTTGAATAGAATCAAATAGGAAAAAAGTAGCAAAACCATGTGCAAAAGCTCTATATCAAAAATTTCAAAACTAAAATCTCAGTACATAGAAAGATATATACCATGTTTAGGAATTGAAATATTCACCCTTGTAAAGATGGTAATTTTCCCAAATTTAACCTGTAAATTTTATGTAATCACAATAAAATTTCTAGTAAGTTTTGTGAGAAAACTGGCAGGCTGGTATGAGAGACATTAAAATTAAAATGTATTCAGAAACCTAAAGGGCAAAGAATAAGCTAGGCAATCTTGAAGAAAAGTAAGAATGATTTGGAGGACTTCTACAACCACACATTAAGACCTATCATAAAGCAATAGTTATTAAGGCTGTATGGTATTGGCAAAAGAACAAACTAGTAACTCAACAAAATACATTCCAGAAGCAGATCCATACCTATAAAGACATAATTTACAGGAAAGGTGTCACTAAAATGCAGAGGGAAAAAGATGGTCAGTTCAATAAGTGGTGATGGATCGATTAAAAATTCAAGAAAAAAAACGTTTCTGGGCCAGGTGTGGTGGCTCATGCCTGTAATCCCAGCACTTTGGGAGGCTGAGGTGGGCGGATCACAAGGTCAGGAGTTCGAGAACAGCCTGACAAAAATGGTGAAACCTCATCTCTACTAAAAATACAAAAAATTAGCCAGGCATGATAGCGGGTGCCTATAATCCCAGCTACTCAGGAAGCTGAGGTGTGAGAATCACCTGAACCTGGGAGGTGGAGGTTGCAGTGAGCCAAGATTGCGCCTCTGCGCTCCAGCCTGGGAGACAGAGCAAGACTCCGTCTCAAAAAAAAAAAAAAAAAAAAAAAAAAAGTTTCTGGACTCTTACCTGATACCATATACAAAAATCAGTACTATATTCATAAAAGACCTACATTTGAAGGATAAAACAATAATGCTTTTAAGGGAAAGATAGTAATATATTTTTCTGACCTCGGAGTAGGCAAGAATTACTAAATAGAATATGAAATGAACCAACCATTGAAAAAGTGATAAAGTGAACTATTTTAAAATTGTGAGCTATTTGTCATCAACAGTCGCCATTAAGAGAGTTAAAAGACAAACCATAGACTAAGATATATATCTAACAAAGGATTTGTATCCAGAATACATAAGTAACTACTACAAAGCAATAAAAAAGATGAACAGTTCAGTAGAAAAAAAGGCAAAAAGTTAAAAAGACATTCCATAAATATGATTACCAACTAGCCAATAAGCATTTCTAAAGATATTTAACCTTATTAGTCATGAGAAACATGAAAATTAAAACCATAGAATGGTTAAATTGAAAAAGGAGAAAACACCAAGCGTTGATTAGGATGTAGAGCAAATGAACTCCTGTATACTACTAAAAGAAATGCAAATTGATACAAATACTTTGAAAAATGATTTTGCAGTGTCAGCTAAAGTTAAACATGTACATATCCTATAGACTGAAAGTTCCATCCTTAGGTATAGAGCCAATAAAAATTATTCCAACTGTTCACCCGAAGATACCCAAAAATTTGATGCAAATTTTTTTGAATCGTGCTGTAAAAAAAAAATCTCTAGATGAAAACTCACAATTGCCTATCAAGAGTAGGGTGGATACAGAAAAAAAAAAAAGAATATAACTATACCTAACAATAGGCTAAATCTCATAAAAATAATTTTGAGGTCGGGCGCGGTGGCTCACCCCTGTAATTCCAGCACTTTGGGAGGCTGAAGGGGGTGGATTACAAGGTCAAGAGACCATCCTGGCCAATATGGTGAAACCCCGTCTCTACTAAAAATACAAAAATTAGCTGGGCATGGTGGTGCATGCCTGTAGTCCCAGCTACTCAGAAGGCTGAGGCAGGAGAATTGCTTGAACCGGGGAGGCAGAGGTTGCAGTGAGCCGAGATCGCCCCAGTGCACTCCAGTCTGGCGACAGAACGAGATTTCATCCAACAACAACAACAACAACAAAAACATATTTAATAGAACTCAAAGTTTATAAATTTGAAAATATGGATGAAGTGGACAACATCCTACTATATGCCAAGGGAAGAATGGTTAAACTATGGCATACTCATACAATGGAATATCACTCAGTGGTACAAAGAATTATCTAATATTTGCAACAATAAAGATGAATCTCAAAAATGTGCTGAATGAAAGAGGCTTTACACTACGCTATGTGATTCCATTCATATGAAGTTCTGCAACAAGCAAAACTAAACTAAGGTGGAGATAAATCATATCAGTGATTACCTGTTAAGGGGTACAAGTCGGAATAACTATTGGGAAATGTCATAAGATAACTTTCTGAAGTGATGGTAACATTCTGTATCTTTGGGTATAGAATGGTTTGGCTTACACATGTGTAGTCATTTGCCATAATTCAACAAATGTGTGCCAAAGAATCGTGCAAAATGTATTAATAACAACTCTTTGTATTTGCATTGTATATAAGTGTAATATCTGAAGATAAATAACTATAATCAAACTTTGGACTGTAGCTAATAATATACTTGGTGAGAAATTTATGAAAAAGTGAACTGGTTTCTAGAACTTACTTTCAAATCCATAGAAATCAGATAGATTAATAGATGAATGAAGTGTGGGATAAGTGATAAATACGAGAAGGCAAAGTAAAATATTAATGGTGAAATTTAAGTGGGAGGTAATGAGTATTATTGTAAACTTGTTTGCAAAGTTCAATACTAAATTGTTGGAAAAAATCCATTTTCCATTTCTTTTAAAAAAAAGTTAAAATAAGAATATAAAGATGGTTCCTAACATATATCAATAAAACAATTCTCTTAAGCCAATAGCTAACTTTGTGCTTGATACTTTGCCCAAATTTCCATTAAAGTCAAGCATAAAATAAGGGTTGCCAACCATCATCACTTTAATTACATTATTCTGGAAGAAATAGACAATACGATTAGACATATGAATGTATAAGATAATATTAATACAAAGAAAAATTATCCTTATTTTCCTATAATATAATTCTATACTTAATATCCAGAGGAGGGACTACAAAACATTTTTTATAAACAATATGAGATTTAACTTGATCAATTATATAATAAATAGAATATAAATATACTGTGTAAACATAATATAAAGTAAAAATAATAAATATAAAAATAAAATAATAGTAAGAAAAGAAGCATTATAATAAAAGAAGCACAACTTACAAAATATAATGGATTATATTTACAGTAGAAACCAAGGATGTGAAATACGTAGGGAAAACATCATAATTCACATGCAATAAAACATATAAGAGAAACATAAAACTCAGTTAAGAAATAAATATATGCATATATGGGCCGGGCGTAGTGGCTCACACCTGTAAGCCCAGCATTTTGGGAGGCTGAGGCAGGTGGATCACCTGGGGTCAGGAGTTTGAGGCCTCCTGGCCAACACGGTGAAACCCTGCCTCTACTAAAAATACAAAATTTAGCTGGGCATGGTGGCAGGTGCCTGTAATCCCAGCTCCTCGGGAGGCTGAGGCACAAGAATTGCTTGAACCTGGGAGGCAGAGGTTGCAGTGAGCCAAGATCCGCGCCACTGCACTCCAGCCAGGAGACAAGGTGAGACTCTGTCTCAAAAAAAAGAAAAGAAAGAAATATATGTATATATGAAAAGAACTGAAATGGAGACACTTTCTATGTTTTTATAACAAGAAGATTCAAAACTATCAAAATGTGAATATTGTTTAAACTTTAACCTAAAATTCAATACTGTCCTAATTAATATCTCAAGAAGATATAGAATTTAGAATATGGGGCCAAGAAATAAAATTTAAATATATAAATACATACAACCTTTATGAAAAAGTCCTAAGTCACAACTAATCAGGGTTCAAGTCGCTGATATTTTATGGAAGCTACTCTGGGAGAAAACCTGTGTTCCTTAGCACGTATCCATTGGGACCTCTATTGCCAATAACATAATCCAGAGGGCTCTTGTAACAATTTGCCTGAGTTCCGTAGGTGACTCAGCCAGTGACTCAGGTAAATGCTAATCTATTTTCTATCACTATGGATTTCCCTATTTGCATGTGCTTAATGGCCTCTATTCTCAAAGAATACATAGTCTAGCCCACAAACATTTAACCTTTCTACCACTATCCTTGGAATCACACCTAAGGTACATTTAGTAACACCTGTAATCGCCCTCCACCTTGGACTTTATAATCCACAGATTAACATTCTTGTTAGCTTTTCCTACTCTTCCTTTTTTTCAACCCTGCTTCCCTCACGATCTTAATATTGTTATTTCAATAAGATAAGAAAGAAAGAACTCCAAACAAATCAGAGGCCCAGAAGCCATGCCACCCCCACCCTTTCCCCACTTCACATATTCATTTCTTTTCAATAACACCCTGTAGGCCACCAAAAGGGACCTTATTTCTCTGACCTCGGTCACCTCCTGGTCAGGTGTGCAGTCTATCCTTTCCGACTGGGGAATCTCTGGGCACTCTGGAGTAAATGAAGTATCTGCATAGGAATTAAAGGATAAAGTTGAAAATGTGTAGTGTAATCACAGCTCCAGGAAGGAAGCCAGCAAAGTTACAGACTTTTGGCCAATTCTCCACACAACAGATCACCGGTAGCTGGTATCTACATTTGCATACAATGTTTAACACTTCTCCAAACTGGTATCTATATTTGCACATGATGTTTAACACTTCTCCAAGTTTAAACACGTTTATTTCTACTTTGTTTGCTTTTTAAACAGATACAATTTATATACCACAAAATTCATCCTCTTAAAGTATATGTCAATGGTTTTTAGTTATGAAGTTGTACAACCTGTGACCGCTGTCGAATTCCAGAACGATTTCATCACTCCAAAAAGAAATAACATACACTTTAGCAGCTATCTTCTATTCCCCTGTTCTCCCAATCCCTGGCAAACACTCATCTATTTTCTATCACTATGGATTTGCCTATTCTGAACATTTCCTATAAAAAGAATCATAAAATGTGTGGCCTTTTGTGCCTGGCTCCTTTCACCTGGCATAAGGTTTTGCAGGTTAATCCATGTTGTAGTATGTATCAGTGCTTCATTGCTTTTAATGGCTGAATCACATTTTTTGTGTGTGGATATACCACATTTTGTTTATCTATTCATCGGTTCATGTACATTTGGGTTGTTTCTACTTTTTGACCATTATACATAATCCTGCTATGAGCATTCGCGTAAGTTTCTCTGTGAGCTATGTTTTCAGTTTTCTTGGTTATATACCTAGAAGTGGAATTGTTAGGTCATGTGGTTAACTCTATCTGTAGCTTTTCGAGGAACTGGCAAAGTTTTCCAAAGTAACCACACCATCTTAGCCATGTAGAAGCCAGTTTCTCTGTAACCTCAACAACACTTGTTTTTATCTGTTTTTAATTATAGTCATCATAGTGGGTGTGAAAGTGATATGTTATTGTTTTGACTTGCGCTTCCCAAATAACCAATGATGTTGAATATACTTTCATGGGTTTAGTGGCCATTTATAGATTTCCTTGGGAGAAATGTCTATTTAAATGTTTTACTCATTTAGAAACCTTTTTTTTTTAAATTTGGATTTGTAGTATTTCTTTATACATCCTAAGAGAATATATTCTCTTATATTCCAATGTATTATCTTAGGATGTAAAAAGAAATATATCTGCAAATGATATATCTGATAAGGGCCTAACATCGGATACATCATCTGCAGGTATGTTCCCTGAATCTGTGGATTGTTTTTCACATTCTTGATAGTTTTCTTCAAAGTGTGCTTCAAAGCACAAAGTTTTTTTCAATTTTGATGAAGTCCAATTTGCCTATTTTTTTCTTTGTTTGCTGTGCTTTGGGTATCATCTAAGAAACTGTTATCTAATCCAAGGTCACAGACATTTTTATTTACATGTTCCTAGAGTTTTATAGTTTTAGCTCTTATATTAAGTCTTTGATCAATTTTGAGTCAATGTTTATATATGTTGTCAGGTAGAGATCCAACATTTTTTTGTTGTTGTTACCAGGGAAGCCCTGAATAAATCGCTGGGAAAGTCTTTTTTCTTACTGTTTTTTCTTTAGTCTCTTATTTGTAGGCACAGCTGCTTAAAGACACCAGAGGGCTCAGGCTACATATCAGGAAGATATTATTGGCCCCATTGGAAATACACATCTTCACTCAACATTGGCTATTCTTACTTTAGGCTTTATCAACTTTGTGGAATCTTCTCCCCATGACAACAGCAGAAGTAGGACTGGTTCATGGACTCCATGAACCATCTAAAATCCAGAATTTCAGCAGAATTTGGAGGAAACAGTTACCGTGGGTATTAGCAGGTGCCCCTTAGTGCTTTCGTTTTGATTCAAAACAAAGCCCCCAAATATATTCACTATCACTATCTTTACGGCTCTACATTTGTTTGTGTACATATATATATATTTCAATAAAAAATTGTCTTAAAACTGGATTCCTGCAATATGCAACAACATGGATGAACCTTGAGGACATTATGCAAAGTGAATTAAGCCAGTCACAAAAGGATAAATACTCTGGGAGTCCACTTACATAAATTATTTAAAATAGTCAAATTCACAGAAGCAAAGAAGAGAATGGTAGTTGTCAGGAGTTAGGGGGAAGAGGGAGTGCGGAGTTGCTAATCCCCAGTATAACATTTCAGTTATGCGAGATGAATAAGTTCCAGAAATCTGATGTACAACATTGTTTCAATAGATAACAATACTGTATTATACACTTAAAAATCCAGTAAGAGGGTAGATGTTCTGTTCTGTTCTTACCACAATAAAAACAAATTGATTTTAAAGCCCCCCTTTCAACCCATGGAAATACATCTTCAAAAAAAAAACAGAAGAAAAAAAAACAGTTGAAAGCAGAACTACTCTGCATAAATCAGAATGTGGTTTAAGGTGAATGCAGGTGTGAAGATCTAGTTTTATATCAAATAAAATAAACCAATTAGTCATATACACTGGATAGCAATCTCAGGAGACTTGTTACCCGAAAAATGTGTTAGAGGGGAGAAGTAGGAATAATCTCAAAATGGCTTATATCAATGGTTTTCAGATCATCTTTCAAAGTTGTAATAGTTCCTAGAAAGTGTCTTAATGTTTACTGTGGAGAGAGGTGAAAAGAGATGGAGCAGGTAGGGTTCTGCCATCAGGACAGCTTCTTTTCACTGTAGGTTCAATTCACATCTGTAAAGTGAGCTTGTCAAGCAGAACAAAGCCCAAATTCAGCTTTAACTGAAAATACATTTTTGAACTACACACATTTTATTATTTAAATTATAATATGTGCGTGAAAGAGAAGGCATTCTGTTTGATGCTTCTGGGTGCCTGAGAGAGAGACAGACAGACAGAACGGTTTCAAAGGCACCTATGAAGAAACTATAGCTATGTATGTTGGTATAACCAGGCCAACTTAATCATCCCACCACCTCCCTGTAACCTTAGTTTCCTTTTCCATAATATAATGGGGCTGGGCACTGTTAGCTTAACAGTCCTTTCTCATTGAAGGCAGTACGACTTCATGACTCTGGGTTGAAGGGCAGGCATCTGGTGAGCCTAATTTTGCATCTTGTTAAAATTGCACTAAATGGGGCTTGGGAGACCCTAAATGTCACTAACATTCAAGGTTTCAGTGCAGAAAAAGAACACTTATCTTTTGGAGTTGAACTTAAACTAATCATGGAAGTGAATTTTGAATACTGCAATGTAGTGGCATATTGAAAAGTAAAAGAATAAAATAATCTCTTTGGCGTTTACAGGAGACTTCCTTTACCCAGCCTTCCAACCTACAAGCATCTCCCTTACCTGAAGTTTCCTCCAACACAAGAAGCAGCAAGAGGATATCTATGGTCACCACAATTAAGCAGAAGATGATCAGAAGGACTTCCAATACACTGAGCTTCCTCGCCATCTAGATAGACACAGATAATTGGGTTAAAACAAATCACAAGGCCCCACCAATCTAAGAGGATACATAATCATTGTATCCAAATGTGGAATTGTTTGCAAGATGACCTTGATTATCAGCATCCTCTTTACATAATCTAAAGAATATTTGTTTCCACTTATCAGTGTCCCTAATTAACTCTAGCTTTACATCCAACACCTGTAGAGCTCTTGCCTTTTTTGCATGTAGAGGAACTGAGGATTGTCCAAGGAAAAGTATATCAGACATGAAGAACTGAAGGGAAAATGTTGTGGAATAACACACAGAAGAGAGATGAGGGGCTGAGGTAGCTCACAAAACCCTTTAGATTTCACTTTGATCTTCACATCCACCTAATGTAGTAGACAGGAAGGTATGCTCAGGGAGAGAGAAAGTAGCAAAACTGGAATCCAAGTCTTCTTCTTTCAACTGCCCTGGACATGATGCTGAAGTCACTGTTGAGACTGTTTAAACGTCACTGACACTCTCAAGGATCTGGTAACAAAAATGATCCTGATACCCAGCATAAGTCTTGCTGGGAGGTTCACAGCAAACAACTCACATAAATTTCGTGGCTCCCAGTAACCCCGAAGATCATTTATTGACCCAAGATTTAAAATATTTTCTATATTGGAGGATGTACTGAACTGGGAATCAAAGGGGTTGAATTCTTGTCCTGATTTTCTTACTAACAGATGGGCTATTTACCTATTTGGACCTGTATTTCTTCATCTACAAAAATGACATCAGACACTGGATGTGTTCTCATTTTTCTGCTCTAATTATAGTAAATCTAACATTATTACATGTCTACAGATCCATGACAGCCCTCAGCTGCAATGCCTTCTTCGCCATTCCATCTCCATCATCCTCAAATGTTTGCTAGCCCCTGGAATTTATCATCCCCAGAACTGTTACACTTTTGAAATTGTAAATCCATATGCAAATGAGCAATGTCCTTTTACTGTCTCATTGTCTGACTTTATTTTATTTATTTATTTATTTATATATTTTGAGATGGAGTTTCACTCTTGTTGCCCAGCTGGAGTGCAATGGCACGATCTCGCCTCACCGAAACATCTGCCTCCTGGGTTCACCCAATTCTCCTGCCTCAGCCTCCCGAGTAGCTGGGATTACAGGCATGCGTCACCATGCCCTGCTAATTTTGTATCTTTAGTAGAGACAAGGTTTCTTCATGTTGGTCAGGCTGGTCTCGAACTCCTGATCTCAGCTGATCTGCCCACCTTGGCCTCCCAAAGTGCTGGGATTACAGGCATGAGCCACAGCACCCAGCCTGCCTTACTTTATTTTAAAAAAGTATCTTATCACATCAAGGCAGCTGTTATCTTTCCATTTCCTTTTAATCTCTTAGCCCTTCCTAGCTGTTAACCCTAACTGACCTAGGCCTCAGTATTGATTATTTAACTTGCCATTGCTCTCATCTTCCTCGCTCTCTATCTGCTAACAGAATCTGCAGGATGAAACTATCCATCCAAACATCTGCCTTCTGTGCTGCCGCACGTAACTCAAGGGAGATGCCACCGAGGCTCATAATCTCCTAAATAAACTGGGCCTGCAAGCCGACTGATGGTCTTGACAGTGCCTCTCACTTTTCGCAGCAGTAATTTTATTTTTATTTTATTTTATTTTTTTGCAGACGGAGTGTCACCCTGGAGTGCAGTGGCGCAATCTCAACTCACTGCAACCTCCACCTCCCAGGTTCAAGGGATTATCCTGCCTCAGCTTCCTGAGTAGCTGGGACTACAAGTGCATGCCACTACGTGTGGCTAACTTTTTGTATTTTTAGTAGAGATAGGATTTCACCACGTTGGCCAGGCTAGTCTCGAACTCCTGACCTTAAATGATCCACTTACCTCGGCCTCCCAAAGTGCTGGGATTACAGCATGAGCCACCGTGCCTGTAATTTAAAAAATTGTTCCTTCTATCCTTCTTTTCAGGCCTGACTCTATTACCTACACTCTTATTCTCATGCAGTATCATCTCTGATATCACCCAAAAAATAATGATTTTGCAGAAACTATTCTCTCTCTCTGCTTCTCAACCCAAGCGTTTCCACAAAGGTTATTCACATCTAGGTAAATTCTTATTTTTCCCCCTCTATTCTCAATGAAACAGTTTTTCCTCTTCTTGTTTAAGCATAATCCTTGTATCTGTTATCTAGATCTCACAGCTGTTGAATTTCTCAAAAATTTCATTCCACCAATTATCTCTTATTGTCTTGCATTATCAAATTCACTCTCTGAATATCTTTCCTTCATAAATATACCCCAAGTCACCCCAAACTCTGTTAATGACTCTGTGTGCTTCTGCAGGTAGCATAATAACATTCTTTTTCTTTCCAGTGCCAATCTTCCAAAACGATAGTTCCACACTTTCTGTATTCCCTTCCTCATGTGTTATTGGCTTGGCTGTGTTTTCTGCATTCCACTGGAAATGCTCCCACCGAGGTTACTAGTGACATAGTGGCTGAATACAATGGGCGCTGTCTTAATCACTTAACCACTTTCTCCTCCATGAAACTTTCCACATATGGATTCCTTGATAGGAATCTTGGCTTTCCACCTCTATTTCTGGCTTATCTTCAATATTCTTTGTAGTCTCCTATTTCTTTCTTTCTTTCTCTCTTTCTTTCTTTCTTTCTTTCTTTCTTTCTTTCTTTCTTTCTTTCTTTCTTTCTTTCTTTCCTTCTTTCTTTCTTTCTTTTTTTGAGATGGAGTCTCGCTCTGTTGCCCTGGCTGGAGTGCAGTGGCGCGATCTCGGCTCACCGCAACCTCCGCCACCCAGGTTCAAGTGATTCTCCCGCCTCAGCCCCGCGAGTAGCTAGGACTACAGGCACCCGCCATCATGCCCAGCTAATTTTTATATTTTTGTAGAGACAGGGTTTCACCATGTTGGCCAGGTTGGTCTTGAACTCCTAACCTCAGGTGATCCGCCCGCCTTGGCCTCCCAAAATGCTAGGATTACCTGCGTGAGGCACCACGCTCAGCCCTATTTCATTAAATGTTGATGCCCCCCAAATTCTGGTATAGGCTTCTTTTTTAAACTACGCAGACACGTTGGGTAATCTCCACCACTCATGTGACTTTATATGACATGTGATGGCAATCCAACCTGTATTTCTAGCCCAGGGATTTAGATTCATATATTCAACTGCCTATTGGATGTCCCACAGATTCAATAAGATTTAACATGTTTAAACATGAAATCATCTCTCCCCACACCTCACTCCCAGTTCCTGCCAATTTGGCCAAATTATCTGTTCTTCAAATAATTAATAACTTGAGGAATAGAATCACATTATAAAAAAAAAACCTAGGAATCTTTTTTTAATTCCTCTCATTCTGTTAGTTCTCACAGCCAGTTAACAGTTCAGTCAGACTACTTTCCCGGTATCTTTGGGTCATTACCCAAGTGACCAGCACAAACAGGGTCATTTGGATCTCCTATATTCAAGCCTTTAATGGATCTCTGAATAAACCAAAAACCCTTTAGCTTTGTGATCAAAGGTCTTCATGGCACGTCCTAACCCCAGCTGCTCAGCGTCTCCTCTCCCCATATTCCCACCATACTAAACCAGCACTTATGCAGCAACAAGCTATTAAATATAAGTCAGCAGGGACAAAGACTGTTCTCTCTCTTATTTTTATGTTGATTTTGCATCTCCTCTTACTTTTCATTTCCCTGCCTCCCTGCTCTTCTCAACTCCTCCCCAATGCCACGACCATTTCTACAAATATTTTTATATAGGTATATAGCTTCAATTTTTAATTACAGTAGCCTTTAGGTTAATGTGTAATAATTCCATAAAAGAAGCACTTTAATATTGAAATAGAGGTAAGGAACTAGGACCTACAGGTAATTTGCCAACAGGCATTTAGGAAGAACCCTTAGCCCTTGGAGACACGAGGTTTGGGATTAAAATTGAGGTTTATTAACTATTCTTTACTATTTACCTAAATTAATCAGTTGTCTCTCTTTTAGTCTAAATTATTTAAAAGATATACTCTAATCCCTATAAAATATATATCATATGACTGTATTCTCATAAAATCCCTGCATTGAAGCTGATCAGACAGATATCATGATTTCCATTTTATAGATGAATATTAAGAAATTTTGTCTAGTCACGGTTAGTGGTGGAACTGAGACAAACACCGAGAGCCGCTACTTTTTAAAATAGTACTTGAATACTCTCTCGACAATGTATCCTAGGCTGCAGAGCTTAAAGACTTAGAGGATCGGTCTCCAATGGTGGAATTTCAGGTAGAGAAAGAAGTAGGAAGGACCTACCCTAAGAGTGCTATGGTATCAAACTTCGTTTCTTATACATACAGCCCACAACTCAATACCACAGCAAAGGCATTATTCATCAATTGGTCTCTTTCTGCAAGTATTATTTCTCTCCACAGGGAGACTTTTTTCTTTCTAGCTTCTAAAAATCAGCAGCAGGGACCTACTCCACAGCTCCTCAATCCTCCTGAGGGAGCAGGTTCAGCACCTTAGCTCAGGAAGTACAGGAACGCTCTGGGAATAACCCTGGGTATTTTCCTGCCTTAGGAGCTATTGTCATTCAGGCAGAGGACAGGATGGGGATTCCTAAAGGTAGAAATTCTTGCCTACTTAGAAACCCTTCCTGCCCAAAGCTGGGAGGAATTCACCTTCCTCCAAATCCATGCCATCTTGAGATAGTTTCCAGAAGGATCCCATCTGTTTCCTCTGTCCTTAATTTCTCCCAGTGAGAGAGGAGGATCTCACACCAGACCTCCCCCAACCTGTCCTCCAAACACTGACACCACACACACACACACACACACACACACACACACACACACACACACAGTCTCTCCTCTCCATCAACTATCTCATCCTCACTCCTCATATTTTATGGAAAAGGAAGAAAATATTAAGTCCAGAAGGAAAACATGGGCATCCAGATCACTTAACAGAGCAGCAGACAGAAAATCACACAAAAAGAAAGGGACCTTCCTGCCCTTGTTCAAAGCCCTGCTTGCATGGAGAAGCGTACTCACCGCATCACCTTGTTTTTTTCTATGCTGTATCTCTCCCTCAGCAATTCATAGGGAGCACTGAGCAAAGGTAACTGGGCTGAGGTAGCCAGCTTCTGCCACAATTAATTTATTGCCTTATAAAGTTGACAGCAACTGGAGGAGGGGAGTGCATATTCCAATAGGTCATAAAAGAACGCTTGTTCTCCATGTGACACAGAATGAAAGCTCCTTTTGTTAATAAAAGGGGAAGGTGGTTTTTTTTCTACTCATTGTCCCTCTTCTGTATCCCTGTTCATATCTGATTACTTGTCACGTTATGTTTCCTCATCTATACATGTAGCCTAAAGGGCTCAAGAGCTAGGGTCTTGTCTATCTTCTTCACTGTTGTATCTCCTGTGCTTAGCACTCTGCCCAATATCCATAGTTCTTTTTAAATATATAGCTATTTATTTAATAAGTAAGTGAAAGAAGGATTAGCTCTTAGTTCATCACTTTGTTCTTTTCTCCATTTTCATCCTCCAGAGTTCTCTTGGTATAACTCAGCTTTTCATTAATTCAAATGATCCTTTCCACCAATTATTCTAAATAGTGAAGTACCATTAAAGTAGCAATTATACAAACCCGTCCAGGTGCAGTGGCTCACACCTGTAATCCCAGCACGTTGGGAGGCCGAGGTGGGCGGATCACCTGAGGTCAGGAGTTTGAGACCAGCCTGGCCAACGTGGTGAAACCCCATCTGCACAGCCAGGCATGGTGGCAGGCGGCTGTAATCCCAGCTACCCAGGAGGCTGAGGCAGGAGAATCGCTTGAACTCAGGAGGTGGAGCTGGCAGTGAGTTGAGATTGCCCTATTGCACTCCAGCCTGGACAACGAGAGCAAAACTCCATCTCAAAAAAAATAAAAGAGAAAGAATGTATACAAACCTAAAGTGGGAAGATGCCTCTAGTGGACATTTGTCATGTTCTTCGATGGCTCAGCATCTTTCAAAACCTCTTGCTAAGATGGGGGAGGTGGGGAGGGAGACAAAGGTAGTAACACTACCTATTGGGTACTATACTCACTACCTAGGTGACAGGTTCAATCACACCCCAAACCTCAGCATCACACAATATACCCTTGAAATGAACCTGTATATGCACCCTGAATCTTAGACCCTGAATCTAAAATAAAAGTTGAAAAAAATTTAAAAACGGAGGATCTTTCTTTAAAAAGAAAAAGAAAACCTCTTACTTAAATCAACTTAAGGACTTTTTCTCCAAATTCTGCCTCCCCAAAGAAACAGCTAGAAATTCTCTTTCACAGCCTTTCTTTCATCCAAGGTAGAGGCAAGTGGCTGGAGCTTTGTGAATGAGATATTCCTGTGAGTGACTTACATCCAGAAGAAGGTGTAGATAAGGAGGTACCATGTAAAATCCAGGATGTTGGAAGCATAGCTCGTTTCAGAGGCAGCAGGGACAAGAGACCTAGTGGCATCCTATGCTCAGTATTTGGGGTTGCGAGCTGCCAGATATGTGCTCAGGGCAGTGGCAGTAGAAACCGCTACAGGGTAACCTGGGGCTTGTCCCTAGCCACATGGCCTACAAACCTGACTCTCTAGTCCTACCGGAGTTTCAATGAGTCACCAATATCTTTTTAAAATTTTTCTTAAGCCAGCTAAAGTGGATTTTTAAATTGACATATAATTTCCAAACCATAAGATTCACTCTTTTAAAGTATACAATTCAGTGTTTTTAAAAATATATTTACAAAATTCTGAAACTATCACCACTATCTAATTCCAGAACATTTTTGCCACCCCCAAAAATAATTAGTGGTCACTCCCCATTCCCATCTCCCCCTGTTTCTGCAGCCACTAACCTACTTTCTGTCCTTATGGATTTGCCTATTGTGAACATTTCATATAAATGCAGTAATACAATATGTGGCCATCTGTGTCTGGCTTCTTTTACTTGGCATGATATTTTCAAAGTTCATCCACACCATTTCAGGTATCAGTGTCTGTTCCTTTCCATGTCTGGATAGTATCCACTGCGTGGATAGACCACATTTTGTTTAGGCATGTATCAGCTGATATACATCTAGGTTGTTGATACTTTTTGCCTGTTATGAACGATGCTGCTATGAGCTGACACGTTTTAAAATTCTGCCTGGAATATACCTAGGAGTGGAATCATGGGTCATGTGACAAGTCTTTAACTTTTTGAAGAACTGCAAAACTGCTTTCTAATGTGGCAGCACCATTTTACACCCCCATTCCTGCCAGTAATATATGAGGGTACAGAGAGCTCTTTTGGTGGCACCTAAGAACTGTAAATAACAGTGTTCACAGTAGTGAATCTTTTGTGTTTGCTTCAAATGCTCAGTATGTGGAAAAGCACACATACACACACACACGGAGAGAGAGAGAGAAAGTGAGAGAGAGAGAGGGAGGGACAGAGAGAGAGAGAGAGAAAGAGAGACTCGGTTTCTGCATTTATGAACTGCTGGAATGACATATTCAGCTTTTCATTTGCCCCAGTACAAGGTGGCCTTTGTTAGAGGGGAAATGTACCAAGATCTCATTTCAAATTGGGAAGACATCCTGGCAAAAGGTCAAGAAGGGAGATTTTATTGTTACATAAGATCTATTTTTTGTGTGATATTTTACCTTTAACTCCCCACATGCCATGCACATTTGTGACTTCATTTATGTTAATAGTGGTAACCAACAGGCCCAGCTAATCTATAACCTGTTTCCTAAAGTGCAGAAAATAGCTACCTTCACCTTCCATTCTTGCTAACTAGTAACTGGAAGATATTGAATCACCATACTGGTGTTGACCAATGAGAAAATAACAGAGCCACTTTGAAGGGTAGAGACAGGCACGTGACCCGACATCTTCCAGTTGTCTATCGGTAACAAGGCACGGCAAAGTTAGCTATTGGCGGAACTCAAACAGTTGTCACAGCAAGCTGCTGGTTGGAATCATCAGATCAGAAACTAGTAATATGAGTCACCCTTAACTTCCAGAACACCTTTCTCCAAGGCCAGATGCAAAACTCTCAGTGACTCTGCCGCTATGACAAGAACAAAGAAATATTGATGAGATCTTGAAGACATCTGCCACGGCCAACATAACCTTATCTTTGCAGGTATATATGACATTTAATGTTATAACATTAATAAGAAAGGAATAGATGTCTTCCTATTTAAGTGAAAGAGTTTGAGAGTGTTTTTTTTTTTATTTTGGCACACCTATGAAGAAAGCAAAATTATGTGATCTAAAAAACAGAGCATATGTGGAAAAGGAAGGCCCCCAGCCTCTTCCTGAATAGCTGGCCAGGAGTTGTAAGCATAGGTCCATGTTGTAGGGGCTGCTCTGGGATGGCCACAAATGGATATGGTTCCATGAGAGGTGGTTCTCAGACTGTGATCTGAGGAACAACCTCTGGGGGTATTATTGAGCGAAAGGGCTCACTCTTCGATGCGCTAGAAGCCAATACTCTGATAAAGGGTTTCGAAGAAAAGCTTTTATTGCAAAGTCGACTCACAGGACACAGGAGTCCAGCTCAAACCTGTCTTCCTGTGCTGGCTTTAAGGAAGTATTTTTATCAGAAAAGACTTAGGGGGTGGATTCTGGGATTAGCAGGTGATTGGTAAAAGAAAGAGGAAATCTAGAAAGTCCTCAGGCATGCACAGTTATCTCTTCATGCCTCATCATGGGTCTCATGTGCAAATTTGGGAGGGAGTTAGTAAGAACCTGTGGTGGAAATTCAGGCTGTGACGTCAGCAAGCTCTTTCTGCGTTAACTCCGGTAAGCCATATTGGTTCCAACAGATAATCTCTTTTTCACACATTTCTGGCTGAAATTTAGCATTTTGTTAGGTTATGAATGTAGACAACAAAACACAGTAGTTTTCATAGCACATGAGTTTGTCAATAATGCAATCACAGATCTTTCCATATTACATTATGAAATTGTAGTGGATATCTCAAAATATTGTTGATGTTGATCATTACATTGAAATTATAGCATTGTTACTTCCACTGTTGGATCTTTTCATTTAATTTGATAATGAAAAAAACACATCTCATGGGTTACTATATCATCTTTAATATTTGGATAAGTGTATCGTAATATGATAAGTTTTCTTTGAAATAGCATGCATTTTGCTTGATGCATTTAAAAACAATGTTGTGAGGAAGAATTCCGTAGGTTTCACTAGGCTGTCAGTGGGGTCCCTGACACTTCGTGTGCTCCAAAACCCCACTGGCCTCACTAGGGCCTTAGCCATCAGAATTATATAGTCAGAATGCCTCTCCTTAAGCATTCTGTGGCAGCCAGAGCCAAATTCCACCAACATATCCTTGATGGTAACATTAAATATTTTTTAAATATCAAGTAAATAACGTTTTCATCTTTGTGGCCTTCCTGAGTTTGTTAGAGGAAAGCTGACAAGTTTCCCACCTTTTTGATCAAAGGATTCCCATGGCTGCTTTTCCATATTTCACCAGTTTCCTAGTTAGCTCAGGCCCTCATCCAAATGCCCCGTATTGTGATAATTAGATGATTTAACAATATTGTTTGTCTCTAGCCTTATGCAGGTGCTGACACATGAGTGTGCAGGGAGAATGAATGGCTTCCTGGTTATAAGAAAAGAAGAAAACACAGAGAAGTAGGTTCATTCATTCCACACACATTCATTTTCAACTCATTTTCAGGTAACATCAAAAGTTAATATTCCTGTTGAACATTAATATATAATTTCCTTATCTCACATTTTAACCCTATAGAATTTTAAGCAAGAAGGTTGCAACTCCTATTTTTACTGGAGTTGGTATTTTCCTAAATATAGCAACTGCTATGATGATTAAAATAGTAATCAATAGACCCTTCCACAAACCCACATCTTATAAAAGACTCCTTGCAGAGATGTAAGAAAAAGGATAATTATAAAGGTTATCATCCTATTGGTGGATTTGGCTGTAGGTTCTGTGATGCCGAAGAGAACCAGAAAGACAAATTCATAAGAGTTTGCTAAACAAGAACCTTAACCCCAAACAGAGATTACTCATGGTCAAAATAGCACAAAATTCAAAATCACTTGCAAATTCACTTGTTTTATTTTTATCTGGCATATAAATTGCATATTTTTATGTGAAATGTGGTTGTATACATTAGAAATAAGATTTACACATTTCAAAGCACACTACTGCAAAAATAAATTATTTTTAACCTCCAAACTCTCTTTTGAGCTTTGCCTGCTCAGATCTCAATCTCACCAGTAGCCCTTTATGCTAAGGATTTCTCAAGACCCTCTTCTTCAAGTGAGTTGACTCTTCCTTTTTCCTCCCCATGAGGCTGCTGACAATTTTACATTATGTTCTTACTTAGGATCACTTTTACTATCATCTTCTGTTTCATCTGATCTTTCCTTGTGTTTGCCTTTTCTTTGCTTATCATGCTCCCCCCACCTATAACCAATTAGGTATATTATTCCTCCCACCGCCTATAACCAACTAGCAGATGTTCTTTCTGGATACTTTCTTGAGATGCTGATTAGCTTCAAGACCTGGAACTGTCACAGAAAGCTTTCTCTTGTGTATTTAACAAAAGAATGGGGTCCATTCTATGATTACAAACGTGGACATACACACACTTCATCATGGACCCAGTTCATCTTCAGTAAATGTCATATGATGAACAGTCACTACCATACTAACCACACAGAGACATTAAGGTAATGCATAGATTTTCCACACCTCCCTAACTGCCTATCCCACAGGGCTAAGGTTTAACCTTTAGGGTTCACACAAAAAACATATAACAAAATTAACAGAAATATTTCACCAATAGTGGGTATGAACAAATTAGCAACACACAATAATTTTTATGAGTATGAAGTATAAGTAGTTTCAAAGTCATTCATAGTTAGTTAGAATCTTGCTGTAAAAATTCACAGAGTGCTTATCCACGTCAATGAAGTAAAATTATGTAGGCTGATGTTTCTGTCAGTCACATCGATGCTTAATACCTGTTAGGAACCAAAGGAAAAGAATTGGGCATCCGGTGTTGAAATTTCCTGCATGCAAATAAATCAGGTGCAAGTATCCAGTCCAAATAACCCCCTAATACTTCTACATTGTATTGTCTAGTTAAAAGACTGCCTTCAAAGTTTCAGATGAGAAGGGTGTTTTCTAATTTTTTAGAGTACAAAGATTATTCAGTGGTAGAGATGGGCCTTTAAATAATTCAATATGGGCCGGGTGCGGTGGCTCACGCCGGTAATCCCAACACTCCGGGAGGCCCAGGTGGGTGGATCATTTGAGGTCAGGAGTTTGAGACCAGCCTGGCCAACATGGTGAAACCCCAGCTCTAATAAAAATACAAAAATTAGCCAGGCGTGGTGGCAGGTGCCTGTAATCCCAGCTACTAGGGAGGCTAAGCCAGGAGAATCACTTGAACTTGGGAGGCGGAGACTGCAGTGAGCTAAGATTGCACCAGTGTACTTCAGCCTAGGCAACAGAGTGAGACTCAGTCAAAAAAAAAAAAAATGTTCAATATGCAACCGCTGAAGAGAAACAACTGCACAAACTGGAGAGAATGCCCTCTTTTCCATTCTACTGAGGTGTTGATTTTCCTTGGCACCATCCTTCTGTTTCCTCCTTCTCCTATTCCACTATAGCACCCCAGTGTTTGCCCAGCAAGAGTCCACTATTCCTGCTTCTTCCTAGGCAGATGCTGTCAAGAAGCTTTCACTGCATGTGCCCTCATCAGCTTGCATGTCTGTCCCTGAGCTGGTCAGCAACAGGATTGGGCAAAGTCCTTTATGGTATAGTTGGGGAAGTTGTTGACAAGAAAACCACAAGTATGAGGAAATAACTGTAAAGAATGCAAAACTGAAAGAAAACTTTTGTTTCAGGCTTAATCATCAGGAAGGATTATGAAAGAAAAAAGTTCAGGAAAAAAAATAATAAGTAAGCACACAAGGAAGAAAGTTTCATTTACCATCGGGATGATAAGTGTCAGGACCACTACACAGCATTAATCCCAAGGTACAGATTTTTCACATATTTAACATTCATCTGACAAGAGCGTGTCTTGTAATCGACAACCATAGAATTACTGTGAGCCAAGCAGCACTCATGGCATAATTGTTATTGTCTGTGCCTGTGTAAGCTTCATTGCTATTACTGTGTTATGAATGGATGGGCTGAAAACATTTAAGGATTATTACAGGAAGGAATATTTAGTAAGATCAAGAAAGCACTAGGATGAAAATGTATATAAAGTGTGTTAGTGGCTCAGGAAAAAAACTTCATAGACACTAGTGGAAGAATTTTTATAAAATGCTGAATCACCAACACCTTTTGCAGTACAGAGGAAATATCTTAACCAATTTGTAACACATATTTTTCTTCTAAATAATAATAAATACAATAAACTAAATAATAAAACAGTTTAATATGAATTTAAATAGTACAATTTAAATACGATACAAGTTGGTTAAGCTATTTCTAGTGCTTCTTCACATTTAGGGTCTACCTCTTTTAAATTACGTTGAGGCAGAATCATCAATGTATCTCCACTCAACATTTTCCTCCATATTATCACTTACAATATTGAAATATATAGGTAAAACTTTATGGCTAAAGAAGTTTCAAAAACTTTCTATAAGTTTATTATAAAAATCTGAGGCTGGGCACAGTGGCTCACGCCTGTAATCTCAGCACTTTGGGAGGCCAAGGCAGGCGGATCACAGGGTCAGGAGATCGAGACCATCCTGGCTAACACAGTGAAAACCTGTCTCTACTAAAAATACAAAAAATTAGCCGGGCATAGTGGCAGACGCCTGCAGTCACAGCTACTTGGGAGGCAGAAGAATGGCATGAACCTGGGAGGCAGAGCTTGCAGTGAGCTGAGATCACATGCCACTGCACTCCAGCCTGGGCAACAGAGTGAGACTCCGTCTCAAAAAAAAAAAAAAAATTGAGTGATAAGGAAGCATTCTATCATAGTTTTGTCATCCTTTTTTCTTTCTTTGTGGCACATGAAATAATGAAGCAATTTTCACTGATGGTATCATATTTGATAAAATATGATAGTTCCAACCTGTTTGGGAAGTTGATCTCTGAGGCAGAGGTGAGGGAGTCAAGACAAAGTTTTACATAGGTTTGCAGACAAGAAGACAAACATGGAAAGTAAGAATCCAGGCCATGGATTCCAAATGATGATAAACCATGATTTTTCATTCATCTCCACGTGGTCCATTCCTAACACATGGAAAACTCAGGGATTCCCGGAGGGCCTGGCAGGAGAGGGCATCATTTGGAAGGGAAGCAGTCAGGCACTGCACTAGGCATATTAAGGGTGGAGAATACCATTCGCACTTTTTGCTGGTCACAAACCTGTGTCGTGGGGTCATTGTTGAAGGAGGGTGTTATGACCATGCCACTCACAGAGATGCTGACACTGGTAACGGGGACACTGCCCACTCCCCAGATTTCAATGTAGCCCAGTTTCAAAGGATTTGTACCAGTGATGTAATTGTTGAAAATTATATGGCTTTGCATCGTATTCTGTTGAATTGGAGATAAAAGAAAAATATAATAGCAGAATTAGTTCAAATTTTTCTAACCTCTTTTTAGGCACAAATGTAGGTCATAAAGTAAGACAACTTCAGAGTCACCATCTTGTAACTTTGGATCATGGAAATCATGATTTCATCACTCTATGGCCTATTGCCAACTCCCATCCACTTTGCATTGACAAGCAGCTACAGGGTCTTTCGCACTGCCCTGAACTCTACAGGAGACAAAAAGTCTCAGCTGTTAAGATACTTATATTCTACAGGTGGAGGAATCCCAAAATGTGCAGACCATTCCAAGGCAACTCAGGAACAAGGGCTAGATAACAGAAACTGCCCGTCCACCTGTAACATGGTAAACTAGAATAATGATCATTACTGATGAGATGTGGATAGGTTTAATTGCAGAAAGCCTCCTGGGAGCATAGTAAATTTCCACCGGAAGTCTAGAGAAGTAGAAGAATGTGAATTAGCAAGATGAGCAATGAAGAAATTCTAGGTGGTATTTTATGCCCTTACGATATTCAGCACCCTCCTAAGCCAGTGGAACCCTATTCTCACTTCATATCAATCACACTCACCTGGCTGGCAGAAAAGCTGGCCAAGTAATAGAGTCCTTTCCCATAGGTATCTGCAAACAAAAAACAAGATAAACATGGCCTGGACCTGTGCTGTAGAACTCTATGCTATAGAATATATAAATGCTGTTCTAATTGCCTACTTGTCTTGTTTGAGAGAGTAAGGCTTATCTTTGTTTTTATTTCTGTCTTTTGAGTGTTCTATTTTAAAATGTAAGTGCTCTTTATGGAGACTAATCAAACCCTGCACCCACACTCAGTTTACACAAAATGCTTGAAATGAATGTGTATAGACACATCTGTCTGACAGAGTCACTTCATATAACACAGTTTCCTGACACCATTTTTAAGTCACTTCTCTTCCTTGTGGTCTACCATCCCAGCATCTTCCTAACCAGCTCAGAATTTCCAGGTTTCTTTTGCTGTATGTACACATCTCCACACACACATTTATATGCATATACATATGCAAACACCAACACTGGTGTCTTGGTGGGTTTATCTTGAGGTATTAGGCAAATTTAAAAATGTGATCTCCAGAGAACAAAGATGATCAAAGAAAAGCCTTCTTTGTCCTTTATCCTAAATGTGTGCCACAGGCCTAGGAAGAATATGAAGTTCAGCACAGCCGGTGAAGGTGAACTAGTCAATAGCTTGGTTTCAAGTATTCCCATCCTACACCCTGCCCTCGTGGCTGTCACACTCTTTCCTGTGTGCTGGCCCCTTTCTTTTTCTTTCACTTTTCTTTTCTTTCTTTCTTTCTTTTTTTTTTTTGAGACAGAGTTTCGCTCTTGTTGCCCAGGCTGGAGTGCAATGGCATGATCTCGGCTCACTGCAACCTCCGCCTCCCGGGTACAAGCAATTCTCCTACCTCAGCCTCCCAAGTAGCTGGGATTACAGGCATGTGCCACCATGCCCAGCTAATTTTTTTGTATTTTTAGTAGAGAGGGGGTTTCTGCATGTTGGTCAGGCTGATCTCGAACTCCCAACCTCAGGTGATCCGGCTGCCTCGGCCTCTCAAAGTGCTGGGATTACAGGCGTGAGGCACTGAGCTCGACTGTGCTGGCCCTTTTCTAAATGACTCACCACTCAGTCAGTTGCCACTGGCTATCCCTTAGAACTGTGCTGTCTAAGATAGCAGTCACTAGTAAAATGTAACACGTTTAAATTTAAGCTTGTTAAGATTGAATAAAATTAAAAATATAATTCTTCAGATGCACTTGTCACACATTTCAAATGCTCGATAGCCTCATATGCCTACTAGATACAATATTGAACAGCAGAAGATATAGAACATTGTCATCACTGCAGAAAGTTCTATTGGATAGCACTTGTCTAGAAATAGCTAATAATTTCTTGAGCAATCCTCCTGAGAGTTTACCAATTCCTATAAACTCCTAATAGAAAATATCCCATAAATAATACAACGGATAGAGGTATTACCCCTCTTACTGGGACAGTAAACCATGTAATTCGGGAATGTGTCCTTGACCATAAATCCTATGAAAGTTTATCTCCGCTGGCTACAAATAAACTTTCCCCATGGCTCCCATATTGCTACCTTCTATAGTGGATTACAAAGGTTGCATAATGGGAGGTGATTCAGAACTGAGCTTCATTTACATGAGGAATAAAGATCATGTCCAATATGGATTATACCCTTGAATTAACAAATGATTATATTTTAAAATGCAAAATTGTTATAATAGGGAAAAGGTGAAAGCAGGCCTGTAAGATAATCCAGGAATGTAGTCAGTGCCATCAGCATGAATCTCAGGCAACCTCTACTCACCAATGCTTTGCCCATCATCCCAGAAGAGCCAGCCCCCAGCAGTTCCTTCATCATCCAAGGCAATTTTGAAGCCCATGAATTTCTGGCGGCTGCAGTGAGCAGGCAGAGAGGCATTAGCTAAAAGTAAAGCCACAGCCACAAACCAAGACTTTACATACAAACATAAAGCAGCAAAGGGAAGTGCTTTGGGGGATAAAGACTGCATACTAGAATTCAAGAGACTTGTGTCTTAGTTCTAATTCTGTCTCTGTCTGGCTCTATGACTTCATATCATGAACAAATGAATTAGTGAATGAATCAAGAGGATTCTGCTTTAAGGCTCTTAAAATAATGACAACCAGACTAACTGGGTTCTTTCTTTTCCTTTTGAAAGGAAAATCCTGATGCTGAAAATCTGTTTTCGTGACCTAATATCTGAAACATATACAGGGAGTTCTATTTTCAAATGTCCTAAGTTCTTCATTTTTATTTAAATCTTTAGAATCAAATGAATAGGGAGTCTAAGAATGTTAGTATTGATACCAGAGAGATGTGAATTTTAGTCCGCATTCATGTACTTAGTAGCTGTGTGACTCTGAGCAAATCACTTAGCCTTTTTGCTCATCTATGAAATGGTGGTAACAGTACTAACCTCACAGAATTTATGTTTTCCTTTTGCTAAGAAAAAATAGATAATTTCCACATGGAAATGCCCATATTCATATAGTTCTAGGCACAGGGCAAGCACTCACTGGATGTTAGCTATGGTTAATTTATACATAGACTTTGATCTAGAATTTTAACATCTTGTAGAGGAATAAACAATTTTTCAGCAATAGTTTTATTAGGAAATATTCAATCAGACCCAATAGTATACTAAAACTATTATGAATCGTGGTGGCTCCTATTTTGACTTCCATTTCAATTGTGAGATTGAAAGATGACACTCTTAGACCTATCAACTCACCCACTTAGACATAAAAGAGCTGTTAATAATTAGTCGAAGAGTATAGAGTCTGAAAAAGGTTAAAATACAAACAAGCAAACAAAGAAAAAACAAGTGTTGAGTAGAATTGCATGTGGGTTTGAGAGTGATGCTTACATTTTGGTGGACTTCATTACAAATTGTTGAGCTAACTGACATGTAAAGGAAAACCTGAGTCCTGTCACTTACCTTAAGTGGGTGTTCAGTGCAGGCTCTTGCCAGGGCAGGATGTAGCCCCCACGGACATGAAGATTAATGTGGTCAAGAGGGGCTGGCAAGGTCTTCCACTCTCCTCTTGCATTAATATCCACACCCTGGAGGCAGAAGAAGGTAAGAGATGACTAAGGAGAGGACAGGCCCCTCCCTGAACAATGCATCCTGCCAGACATCTCATCCTCCCTTCTGAACTTATGCCTGCTCATCACCCTTTGCAACATACCTGCCATTACCCATTCTGCATTCACCCAGTGCTGCAAGAAATCTTGCAAGGCTGCTATAATATCTTGTTAGGGTCTCTTGCCTTTGCTTCCACTGTACAAACTACATTTGCCTGATGTGTGACAGGAAGAGGTGCTACTCTCTCACCTGTATCAGAACCTAAGGGACCATGCTTCCATCCTACATGTTCTCAACTAGAGCAGGGCTTTTCAGTCTCAGCACTATTGAGATTTGGGGCCAGACAATTCTCTGGCGATGGGGCTATCCTGTGCCTTTTGATATTTAGCAGAATCCTCGGATGTCAGCCGCATCACCTCCTCACCCCCACTCTGTTGTGACAACCAAAAATATCTCCAGGCATTGCCAAATGTCCCCTGGTAGGCAAAATCCTCTCATTTCAGAGCTGCTACTTTACAGGTAAGAAGCAGTTATTGTTGACAACAAGCGAACAAATATGCATGGCTGTGTTCCAATAAAACTTTATTTGCAAATCAGCTAACAACCAGATTTGGCTGTGGGCCATAGTTTTTGCCAGCTTGTGCTCTAGAATGAGTAATAGTTACCCAAACTTGGGAAGATTAATTAAGGTGACACTTCTTCATTAATATTAACTATGAAATTCATCTTCATTTTAATTAAACATCAAAATTTCATCTTTTTCTAAATAGCTTGCTCCATGATTTCTTTTGTCTTTTCCTCTTCAACCAAAGACATCTTCTGTTAGTGAATGGGAGACTCAACATGCACACTCAGGACAAAGGCCAGTCTCACGTAAAGAAAGCTGGCCACCTCTTCCTGGGAAACGCCTGGCTGGGACACACATAGCAGAGCCTTAACATGTTACCACCCTAAGGGCAGATCCAGACTAGCAGCAGGAAGAGGAGTCTGGGGCTGTGGAGAGGACTTGGGCTCCAATGGACTGAGAAGAGAAGGAACAAAATGCACATCCTTCTCCAGTTTTCACCTAATCTCACTGCAATCCCCTTGGATGAAAGGGGCCAGCACATGCTCTGCTTCCTGTATCCCTGCTTGTACCCCTTTGCTGTATTTCCAGCCCTCAACGATGTTCTCCTCAGAAAGTCAGAAGAGGCCCCATTAGAGACCAAGGAAATGCCTTCTTTGATTCTTCCCCAAGAATCAGGGTCTGACTTGTCAGGGTCCCAGCAAGAGCCCACCACCCCAGAGCTGCCCGGGAAGACCCTGGCTTCCCAGATAAGTCTTTGGGGAACATAATAGCACAGAAACTATGCGGCAAGGAGCTCTTCATTGCTTCCTCATTTCTAAATGCACTTGCACTGCTTAGACTCACAAGGGTTGGGTCCCATACCTCTGTGTGTGTTTTGCACATTGCCTAATCACTTGCTTACCTTAGGTAATTATGTGCAGTGCCCTTCTTTGAGCATCTATGCTATGGAAGGAGATATTTAATAAAAAGACAGAGACAAAAAGGCCTCTATGCTTACAAACTTACAGCAGGTAAAGATATAAACATTAAAAACAAAAACTATAGTTTGCAACACAATCTCAAAAGCATCTGCCTTTACAAAACATTGTAAATAGCAGTGATATAAGAAAATATTAAAAATTAACACAAAGAGAACACCCACGAAAAACCTGAGTGAGATGCTTTATGTGTCATTTCACAACAGTTCTATGAGGGAAGTGGTCTTACTCCACTTGGAGGTGAGAAAACCGAGGTTACAAGGGTTAAAGTGGCTTCTCTAAGACCACACAGCAGGTGGGTTACAGAGCCAGCATTTGACCTAAGGTCTATCAGATCTAAAGCCTTTGTACTCTCTACCATTTTCCCGTGTTGTATAAACATTCAGAAAAACTTACCGTGTAGTAATCATACCAGCGGGCTCTAGGGAAATATGCAGTGACATTTCTGGCATTCTAAAATGAAACATAAACAAGGTGTGGCAGTGGCACCATTTTCCAGGACAGAGAAACCAAAATACTTAGGAAAGAGGTTAAATAATTGTGATGGCCTTGGGCCCACTTGCCTCATGTCCCAGGAGGTCACCTATTGAGGAAACCTTCCATCCCTTTTCCTTTTTCAAACAGGAGAGATCTGTCTACCCCAAAACAAGTGGCTTTCATAAAGCACTTTGGTACCCAGGACTTCGGGAAAAAAAAAAATTCACTATTTGCTTATAGAAATAGGCTTACGCCATTCCCTCTTAAAGAGACAAACAACTGAGGTTGTGTCTGGGGCAGAAAAAAATTCTGTGGGTACCATAAGATTTGCGGGCTGGACACGGTGGCTCACGTCTGTCATCTCAGCACTTTGGGAGGCCGAGTCAGGCGGATCATGAGGTCAGGAGATCAAGACCATCCTGACTAACATGGTGGAATGCTGTTTCTACTAAAAATAAAAAAAAAAATTTAAATTGGCCGGGCCTGGTGGCACGTGCCTGTAGTCCTAGCTACTCGGCAGGTTGAGGCAGGAGAATCACTTGAACCTGGGAGGCAGAGGTTGCACTGAGCTGACATAGCACCACTGCACTCCAGCCTGGATGACAGAGTGAGACTCTGTCTCAAAAAAAAAAAAAAAAAGATTTTGGGAAGGTGCAATTAACTGGTATTTTAATCAGAAGCCTAATCAACAATAGAAGTAAAGAAATGGCTTTTACTGCTGGGAGGAGCTCCTGCAGAGGAAGGGAAGGGTTAGCCAGCAGCAATACAAGTACACACACATTGCCAAGCAATCCTTCTGAAAAGTTGTAATAGTGCTAGAGGACTGTTATGAATTCTTTACAATACTGCCCCCATCTGATCTTCTATTCCTTATTTTAGTTAACGAAGAAACGATTGTGTCATTGAATATACCATGAGGTGTTTTCTTCTTGATCATCCTATGAACCAGAATTGTTAGGCTCATTTTAAAGATGAAGGAGCTGAGGCCAAGAACACCTAAGTGATGGACTTCAGCTCAGAAAGAGAGGAAGAGACACAGGTAGAATAAGAAACCATGTCTTAGGACCCCCACCAGCTCAGGCCTCTTCTCCTCGTCCTTTTCCCCAAGCCTCACAGCTGGGATCCTCCCCTCATCGGAGGCCTCCATACTCACACGCTCCAGGACAGGGCTGACCAGGAAGGCTGGGCCCAGCAGGAACTGACTGTCTATGTCCCATGTCACCTGGTCTGACACAAACCTGGAAAGGGAAATGAAGGTGCCCAACAGAGCCCAACAGAGCCCCAGCCCGACACTCTGAAGAAGCTCCTCAAGTTCAGATCCAAGTCGGAAATACAGCTGCCCCTGAGCCATCCTTGCCTTTTTCCTAGGCCTAGCTTCATCAGGAGCACCCAGCCTCTGCTTTCCCCATGGGATGTGCCTCAAACTTCAGAAATGCTGGGATGTAGATGTATTCTCTCTTGTAAAATACTTGCCCCATTTCTCAACCATGGCAAACTTCAAATGCAAGGATGGCCCTTTTCCCTCAAATCTCTTCCTGAAATCCTTCTCCTGTGATCTGGCTACATATAACCAAACTGCTACAAAAGATAGATAGGCCTTTGCACAGCCAAATTAGAAAGAAATTATTCTATGCTATACTGCATCATTTCAGTTTTGCTCATTCAATCAATAACCTTTTATTAATGACCTAAGGCATGTATAGCACTGTGCTAAAGAGAGTAATAAAGTATGGTCTGCACCTGAAGAGCTCATGTCAAAAGGCAATCATGTCTTTAATTTGGAAGAATTCAACTGTCACCATATAGAATGCAATAAGTCATCCATTAGGCATTGGGATCCCTGCTGGACACTCACTCATGGAGCAGAGGCCGCACAACAGTGACGCCCTCCGTGTGGGCCTTATGCATCAAGGTATACAGATATGGCAACAGGGTGTATCTGGTCTGCAGGACAGTTCTGGAAATATTCACAAAAGCAACATCCCAGGACACAGGGTCTTGTCTCTAAAGGAGAAAGAGAACAGTGTTGGGAGCTTGCCCTGGAATTTCTAGGGGATTTAAGAAGGTCACTGAAAGCATACTCCAATTGAAGATCACTCACAGCTAAACAAAAGAAAACTACACATGAGGCCCAGAGAATATTCTTAATAGACTGGAAAAGTTCACTGATGCTCTCCTAGGACAGCTGATGAAATTTCACTGTAAGACATTCTTTTTGGTATATTTTTTACAATTCTGCCCAAACAAGAAGAACAAAACATAATAATAACCTAAAGAACACTGAGGAATATGGCTCACTGAGACCCATGGGCTTAACAATTTATAAGGGTGCAGTGGCTCACGCCTGTAATCCCAGCACTTTCGGGGACTGAGGCCACGAGTTCGAGACAAGCTTGGGAAATATGGCAAGATCCCATCTCTACAAAACACAAAAATTAGCTGGGCACGTTGGTATGTGCCTGTAGTCCCAGCTATTCAAGAGGCTGAGGTAGGTGAGTCGCTTGAGCCCCAGAGGTCAAGGCTGCAGTCAGCCATGATTGGGACACTGCAAGATCCAGCTTAGGCAATAGAATGAGTCTTTGTCTCAAAAGAAAAAAAAAAAAAATTTTAAAGATATCACAGGAAATACAGACTGCATTAACTTTAGGTCAGAAATGGAGGCTGTGTTTCAAGTGAAACACTGGAGGTAGGGGCCACTGTCCTACCCTGGTCCCAATGGTGTTGTGGTTTCTTGAGAAGGGGTAAAAGGCCCCCAGCTGCATCCAGCGAACACACATCTCATATTCAGCATCTTGAAAGAACCCACAGATATCTGCTCCCGTCTGAAACAAGAGGAAATAAAAGGAGCCTGCTGATGATTTCTGAAAGATGTCCCCACCTTCTTGGTGCTTAGGAGGATCCCAAGGACACTCACATAGGATATGCCGAAGAGGCTGAACTCCATCATGCCTGCAACGAGAAGCACAGCTGTGTCACACCAGGCTCGCTCTCACGACCTGCCTCCTCACCTCTTCCCCAAGGATCCCAACTCCCTGCCCTACCGGCACAGGCCCTGGGAAGGACCCACGCACCAATGATAGACTTCTTCAGCTGATCCCACGCGGCTGTGTTGTCTCCCAGCCAATGTCCTGCCCAGCGGCCAGAAGAGGGAAATGTGGAGCGGGTGATGACGACCCCTCGCTGTCCTGTCACCTCCTGCACGGCTCTGGTTGGAGGGGAAAAGGAGGTGAACTGAGGGCACCGCCAGGAAGCAAAGGCCATAGAGCATCTGCTCCCAGAGCCCTTGAGCCTAGTCAATGTTTGCTGCGTGATTGGAGGGAACACGGGACTCTGAGCTGTAATGGGGGCTCCACTGATCCCAGATGATGGAGATAACGAGTCACGTGTTCTCACAGTGCTTTACAAAGAACTTCACTGTAGCAAACTCACTGGAGTGCCCCAAAAATAGTAAGGAATTACTAAATCTTGCTATTGGTTTCCCCAAAACTTAGTTTTCTATATTTGAGGAGGAACACAGTGAAGATTATAAGATCGTCCTTAGAAGAATTCACACTATTAATTGAGCTTACAAAGCAGGACTGTGCTAATTCAGTGGAATACCAATTAGCCTCCACCAAGAATGGTGAAAAACAAAAAAGAACTCCAAAGATGATTCACTTTGAAATAAAGGGGAGAGATGCCCAGTCCTCTGTGTTCCCTTCACCTCCTGTAACTGAAGCTGTTGTACCACCGGCTGCCCTCTGTGATCATTATGATGTCTCCATGTGAGTCTTTCCCACTAGGATCATTAAGCTTTTCACTGGTGGGACCATGCCTTATTTAAATCTGTCCTCCTCCTTTTAATCACAGGGCCTGGCTCCATGTCACTAAGTGTTTATCTAATAAGAATCATTACACAGTTGTCATGAGAATCTTCTTAACCCTTAGAATGGGAATGAAAAGAAAAGTAGGGTAGCTATGTCAGTCACTGGCAATCCCTACAGGTTGTGACAGCTGGAGAAGGGAGACAGAGACTCACTCGTATGTGGGTCTGGTCTGGGACCACCCGTACAGGTTGTGCACATTGTAGTGCTGCACCGGGGAGCCGTCTGGGAGGATCTGCTGACTCTCCATGCACAGGGTCTTGCTGCTCAGGCCCCTGTCCCTGGACTCCAAATCTGAGGAGGAAGAACTGGTGAGGTGAAATCCAGCCCTGATTCTGTTTCTCCCTGACTTCTCTTCAAGGGACTGGGCCCTGGATCTTAAGACTAACTTCAGTCCTGCCTGTGTCACTCTCCGTCTTCCCAGAGACATGAGCACAGCGCCCCCAGCTCTGAGCTGCAACGGCGGCTCCAGTGTTTCCAACATCAAGTTCACTGAAGAAAGCAGAGGTGTCAGGAAGAATGTACAGCTGTCAAACACTATATGACAGGCTCTTATTTAGGCTTTTGACTTGCCAATTATTTCCATAATTCTATGAAGAAGATCTCATTACCTGTCTTTTACAGTTTAGCAGACTGAGATTTGGACATATCGCATAATCTGTGAAAAGTCACAAAACTCCTAGAGAGAACAATTTCTGGAACCAAGATATGAACCCAAGTGTAACTCCAAAGTCCATCAGCTCCACAATAAAGGCAAGCCAATAATTTCCACCCATTGATGACACCAAAAAATTCCTGTGATGGAATTCACATAAGCCTAAAAAACTAACAAGCCTAGCTGTGAGAACCCTTTGGTGGCATGACCACTCGTAAGTGTTTTCTAGACAAATTCAAAAAATTTGTGCAATGAGTCTAGTCACTTGCACATGCCCAGCTGGGTAAAGCGCGTGCAGAGCTTTTGTCTCTGGTCCCCAGTAAACCACAGCAGCCATGAGGATGTGCCCTGAGCTGTGCGGCCACCCCTGGCCTCGGGCTCCTCCAGTGTAATCCTTCTTTCAATCATGGCTCTGCCAATCAAGAAGGCCAAGGATTCTTACACGGCATGTAGGGAGGGTGGTTCAGAGAGGCATCCCTGCAGCCTGGAGAAACTGCCCCATTCACGAAGCTTGATGGTTCATTCATATCCTAGAAATGCCAAACACAGACATACCTCACTTTTTAAGATAATTACGTCCTGCCAATTCTGAGCCAAGGAAGCAGTGAATACATTGTTCAACATCCAGTAATCCCTATAGATGCCAGCCCTGGGAGCTTCATCAAATCCTGGTGAGAACTGGCTAGAAAGATGAATTCACCCCTACAGAACAACTGGCTAGAGGGTTAAAAAAAAATCTCTCTCAAGGTGGGCGTGAGGCAGTGAAAGTTCCAAGAAATTCCTAGTCAATTGCCTCAGAGGTTTTATAGTAGTAATGTCAGGTCTGGTAGAAGGTGTGAGGGCTATCAGGGCTGTTCCTCTCCTGAGAGGAGGAAGTGTCTGATATGTCCAAAGTCTTCCTTGGACAATGACTATCCTCTTGACTGAAGGTCAGTGGTACATACACGTAGGCACACAAAGATAGACAAGTGTCACTGGTACACAGAGACACACACACACTTACAATCCACATGCCATCAAACTTCAAGCTCCTCTCTGGATTCTGTGGATTGTTGTATAGTTCTTCTATTTCCCTCTTCCACCACTTGGCAGTTGAATTACGGAAAAAGTCTGGGAAGGCCACATAAGCTCGATATAGCTATAAAAAAGAAATATAATTTCTTTGTCCCACACAAATATAGAAGACAGCAAACAGGCACTTACTGAGAATGCAACTCGCACAAATACTTCAACTGCATGGTGACAGACGGCCTGAACAGGGCCTAAATAATGTTATTAACTTATTAGAGAAATGTAGAATGAGAGGAGAAATTAGTGCAATTTGCACACCTTCCCGGCATTTGGAAAACATCCAAAAACTGTTCTCTTCATATATACATGGATGATGACAATCAATGACCCGAACTAGTGACCTCATGCATTCGATGCCCAACCCTCAATGTCAGTCCTGCCATTTCCTATGCACTCCTCAAAGACAAAGCCAGGGAGAGACTGCAGACATGAGATGCATGGTAATAGGTTAGGAAGAAACACCCAGGGACTCCCTCCTATGTCATTCCCACTGCGAGAGGGGAGGAAGGAATAAGATTACATTTCAGGATATAAGACCAGTACACCTCAGTGTTTTCTACAATTTCAGAATCACATGACAACTACAGCTGTGTGGAAGATAAATTGAGAGGACTTAAAGAGGACATTTCAACTTCCCCTTATTTTCATCTTTCTTCAGATAATAACAGGTGTGTTTTTGTTTTAACCTGCAAGATGGGTTAAAGGTACAACTTCTTTTTTTTTTTTTTTGAGACAGAGTCTTGCTCTGTCACCCACCCAGGCTAGAGTGCAGTGGTGCTACCTCGGCTCACTGAAACCTCTGCCTTCCAGGTTCTCGCGATTCTTTTGCCTCAGCCTCCTGAGTAGCTGGGATTACAGGCACACACCACTACACCTGGCTAATTTTTGTATTTCTAGTAGAGACGTAGTTTCCTCATGTTGTTCAGGCTGGTCTCAAATTCCTGACCTAAAGTGATCCACACACCTCAGCCTCCCAAAGTGATAGGATAACAGGCATGAGACACCATGCCCAGCCAGATACAACTTCTTAACTACATTGTAGACTTTTGAGAGCAAGAAGCTTGTTTTATATTCATCTGAGTGACATTTATATTTTGCACAATGCTTAGCTTAGAACTTGACACAAAATATATACTCACTGTTTAATGGTGGGTTCACACCACTTCGAAGCAGCAAATAAATGTTGCTTGTTACGGAACATTATGGTCCTTTGTATGTCTCAGTAAATAGCCTCCTTTATGACAATCACACCATTGTAAGAGTTAAAGAGCTAAAGAATGCTGGTGAGGAGGTTCGGGGAGGCAACAGAATGAGGACTTGGTCTGGGGAACTCCAGTTCTTACACACAATAGACAAAAGGCAGGTAGGAACCCATATGTCTACATAAAGGGCAAGAAAAGGAACATGAGAAAACAGAAACAGACCAGCCTACATGGGTCTGGCTGTCAAGGATGTGAGAAGACAGTGGGTCACATCACGGAGAATCTTGACAGAAGTGGGCATGCCAGGGATGCCTTTTGTTAGGAAATGGAGGTAGAAGCTAGGAAACCTGACAAAGAGAATCTTTCACCAGAAACAGAGAGCTCCAGATCAGGAAGGGTTAGAAACGACGGGATGGGTGGGGGATGGAGAATTAGAATAAAGAGATTATCAGCCACAGCTGAGTCAGAATTGTATCCCATATGGGGTACACGTGGTGAACTTGGCCAGCCATGATGTAGGAACTTCCCTAAGTACTGCTCGGATGACCCCTTCCAACTTCATAAAAATGTTCTGCCGTTCTCCAACGTGCTGGCTCTACCTTACACCTGTGCATATTCAAGTCTTGCCTTTGTGGCTTCTGCCTTCACTTTCTCCAGTCTTCAAACAGTGATATAACCACCCACACACTGGGCCTCAGGATCACCTAGCACTCTTTTTGTGGCACATTGCATGCTACAAAATGCAATTCCTAGATCCCATCAGACTTATTGAATTAAATTGCTGGAGCTTTGGACTCAGAAATCTGCTTTTCATGGGGCTGTTGGCTGTTTGTTTTATATTCAGTAAAGCCAGACCTGGACATCAGTGGCTTCATCCTCACCAGCTTCATCGAGTGGGTCTTTATTAATAATATAAATATTAGGTTGGTGCAAAGGTAATTGAAGTTTTTGTCATTACTTTTAATAACTTTCCTTCCTTTTTTTTTCTTCTGAGACGGAGTCTCGCTGTGTCACCCAGGCTGGAGTGCAGTGGCTCAATCCTGGCTCACTGCAACCTCTGCCTCCCGGGTTCAAGCGATTCTCCTACCTCAGCCTCCTAAGTGGGATTACAGGCGCGTGCCACCACGCCTGGCTAACTTTTGTATTTTTAGTAAAGATGGGGTTTCACCATGGTGGTCAGGTTGATCTTGAACTCCTGACCTCGTGATCAGCCTCCCAAAGTGCTGGGATTGCAGGCATGAGCCACCATGCCCGGCCTACTTTTAATAACTTTCAATGGCAAAAACTACAATTACCTTTGTACCAACCAATAGTTATAATTATCCTATCTACCAAGAATTTCTTATGAGCTAACAGATTCTGTGACTCCCTAATGAAGTGTTTCTCATCAGGGGTATAACTGGCGTTTGAGGTGAGAGATATTTTGTGGAGAATTCCCTGAAATCAGAGCTATGGGCATCCCTGCCCACTGCCCACTGAATGCCTCTGGTGTCCCTGTGATAACCAACACTGCCCTCAGATTTCCAAATTGCCTCAGGATGGCAGTGTTGCCCCTACTGGCTGATGAACTGTGGGGTTCTGATACTGACTACTTGATAAAAGTCAGGAAGCCCATGACCCAGAACTTCTCTGGCTGGGCAGGTTCCTGTGTCCATGTGGGCTGCTTGGACCACTAAGCTTCAAGTGATTCTCTGTGAGAGGTGACGAGAGGACAGGAAGCTAGGTCTTCTCCCTTGAACAGTATAGATAGATAGATAGATAGATAGATAGATAGATAGATACATACATACATACATACATACATACATACATAGAGATAGATGATATATAAATAGGTAGATAAATGATAGACAGAAGAGGGATTTGGATAGATAGGGTGAGTGGATGAATAGAGGTGGAGATAGATTAGATAGATAGATAGATAGATAGATAGATAGATAGATAGATAGATAGATGGTACATAGATAGGATAGAATGATAGATAGATAGATAGATAGATAGATAGATAGATAGATAGATAGATAGATAGACAGACAGACAGACAGACAGACAGACATAAATGAATAGGGTGGCTGGATGGATAGATAGATAGATAGATAGATAGATAGATAGATAGATAGACAGACAGATAGAAAGATAGATATAACCTGAGTAGATAGAGTGGATAGATAGATAGATAGATATAGATAGATGAGGTAGATGATAGATAGATAGATAGAGGATGGATGGATAGATAGAGTGGGTGGATGAATTAATACATTGATCGGTAGATACATAGATATGATAGACTGAGATAGGTAGATAGATAGATACGTACATACATACATACATACATACATAGATGGGTACATGGATATACATAGATAGATAGATAGATACTTGTTCAGTAGTAGACATAAGGAAAACAGCCTTGAACTGAGTCTGACTCGTTCTTGCCAATCTTCAAAACCAGCCCCAGCTTCTGTTTTGTTTGTTTTGTTTTACTGCATCTACTGACAGTAAATAAAGACATGCAGTCCAATAGCCAAGCAGCCTGGTGCCAAGTGTGTCTCATTTTAAATCAATAGTGCTACTGCTGCCAACTGGCTCTGGGATCCAGGAGGCCAGAGACTGACAACAGAGAAGTATGCATCACGTGTTTGCAGTACCATCTGTTCTCCCTACCCTATCAGAGCTGTGCCAGGCCTCAGTCCCTGGCTCCAGATTGTGTGGTTCTGTCTAATATCTGCCTTTCCCTCTAGGACTCACCACTTGCCCTGAAAACCAGCTTATCTGGATAAGGCATGAATATTTGGCCTAACTCCAATATTCCTGGTGATCACCAGTCACATTCCTGGTGATCAATGTTTCTCCTGCACCTCTGTCCATGGGATACAATCTTACATTACGTAGAAAGAACTCCCAAAAGAGGTCTTTGCCCCTGGACTTCTGAGTGGCTGCTAACAGAATTACAGCTGCTGGGATTTGTGCCCACAACATGGATATTTGTCTGATTAATACTTGATCCTGAGAGAGTATCTAGACACTACAACATATACCGCATTGCTGACTGCACAAGTCAGCTTCTTTGTCCCTTCAATTCCTGGCAGATGTTCTAGAAAAGAGGCCTTTTCCTTGTCTCCCCAGCTTTTCTGTGGGGGTCACATAGGCTACACATGCCCTGCTACAATTCCTGCCCAGAAAGAATAGGCATTATTGAAGAACAGCTCCAGAGGTAGGGCAAGGTACTTGGTCTCCAGGAAGCCCTTGGACCCGCACTAAGAATCCTGCCTGTGGGTACTGTCACAACAATTGATAGTAAAGCACACAGGCTGCCTCAGTTCAGGAGACACACATCTTGGCCAGAGGATGGGGCCGTAGCCTTCCTAGACCTGTAAGGAGCCATGTATCATTCAAGCAAGAAACGCTTAGTGAATCTGGAAAAAAATTCAGGTACAGAAGCATGGGCTACTTGGATCCATTACAAGCAACAAACCATCCCCAGAAGAGAGCAAGTTTTACAGTAAGGCTGGAAACTGAGAGGTAAAAGCAAAGTTGAGAAACCCAAGGAAGGATTGGGCTCAGAGGAGGAATTATAAGTGTGGAAAGGGAGAAACGTGTTCATGGAAAAAAAAAAGATACACCAAAAAAAGACCTAAACAGTCTTTGAGGTTAGAAGACTGTTTAAAAGGGATAACCAAGGCAACAACAGTTAAGTATACCAGTTCAGAGAAAAGATGGCACTGCTAGGAGGTATCGCCCAGTGGGAATTTCTTGGGCCTTTGTAATCTGACAGCCTTGGAATTGAAATCAACACTCTGTCACCTAAAACCGTGGACAAGTCATCTGAGCTCTCTGGTCTTAAATCCCAAGGATAATAATACATGTCTACATCCCAGTGGCCAGTAAAGTATGACTACCTATAAAGTAATGGGCACACAGACTGACATCCAACACACATGCCCTAAGTGTTTCTCCCTTGCCAAGCCCATGTCCACAGTACAGGCATGTCCACATTCCCAGGAACGGCTGCCCCTTCCTAGAAACCCTGACTCCACCCAAATTTACAAAGACCCTTTACCTCCACTTGACTGTCCCAGTCTAGAGACCCATTCACAACAACATCAGGAAAATCAGGCCAGACCTATGGAGAGAAACATGTTCAGTAGCGATGCACTAGACAATTTCCCTTACATAGTATTTCCAAAGAAATTATTATATAAACCATGTTCCTAGGAGCAATACTTTGATTATCATGTAGGATTGATGTAAAAGAGAAGTGAATTCCGTAACACATTATATTACTTAAAAGTTATTAACTGTATCAACAAATATTGATTGAGAAAAGGAGAGCTTCTGACCTCAGAGCCCAAATAGAAAAGGCCAAAAATAACATACACAGGCGTGTGACCCTCTAACAGTGACCCACCCTCAGGCTAGGGACTACTGGATCATCGCTTAGGATTATACCTTTCCCCAGACAATGTCTCCATCATTTGGGTACTTGATGAAGACGTCATCCTCCACGCCCCGAGTGAAGGCAGGATAGGGCTGTGTCTCATTGCCAGAAATGGCTGGATCCTGAAATCAAAGCATAAGTCAGTTGGGAAAAATCAAAGCCACAGAATGAAGAGAAACAGAATGAAGGAGAACTCCTCCAGGGCGAACTTGTTGGCTTCTACCTGAACTGTAGAGTTTCTGTGAGTCCAGGGAAATACACATTTCTTACTACACTTCAATTTATCTACTTGCAACATGGAAATAAAGTATAACACTTTCTCCAACAAAACCCATACCTGCTCCCAAACAGACCGCACACATTCACATCAGGACTAACCAGAATGAGGATGACCCGCATCCCATCAGCCTTCATGCGATTGATCAGAGCTGGAAACCCGGCAAACTTGGGGCTGAGGGTGAAGTCCAGCTGCCGCTCCATGTAGTCGATGTCTGAGTACTGCACGTCCTGCGGGAGGACATGGGGAGCTGAGAGGCTGCTGCTGTACACGCCCAAGCTTTATAGGAGAACAAGCCTCCACCACCCATGGTGGAATTCCAGATAGCTTCTTGTTGATGCTTTCAAGTCCGAGCTCTGCCATTTGTTAGGTACAGGTGCTGGGAAATTCACTTAATTTCTCAAACGTTCAGTGATAAGATAGAAAAAAATCAAAGTCAGCATAAAATAGGATGAGAATGCCTCTCTAAGATGGCTATTCTGAGGATAAATACGAACACTGGAATGGACAGTGCTTTGTAAACTGCCACTATCAGGAGTGACTGTGATGACCTCCCTCAAGAGGCTGCCCCTGGTATCAGTGGTTCATGCTTAGAAAAAATAATATTAACTACCCAGGGCTAATACAATGTGGATGGTAAATCTACTGCAAAACAAGTCAAAACAAAGCAACAATGTACAGTTGCTTTGGAATACCCAATCTTGAGGGAAATCAGACACTACATTCTTCTGGAGAATGAAATATTGCATTTCACTATCCACTAATGGAAACGCTATGTTCCACTAATGGAGCTACTGTAAAACAAGAGAAATGTAGAATACAATTAGATATGCGATGGTACATTGGATCAGTTGCCTGATGACTGGGTCCCCTCCCATCCTCCAGTGAAGGATAAGCTTTATTTCCATGTGTACATCCTCTGGAACCCATTCCAGGATCCGTGTATTCCATCAGTGATTAGCTCAGAGCTCATGGGACACTGTGCTACAGCACCAGGGCTGCGGGAACTGAGGTCGTATCCACATATACAATGGTCTGATGGTTTGGGGTTAGTTTTTTTCAGGAATTAAGTAAAAGAACTGTGGATATTATTTATTCTTATGGAACCAAGGACATTTTGACTACATGTTTTGAAGTCATGTGAAAGAAATGGAAGGAAGCATGAGATAGTAGAAAGAGCCCTGGAGCCAGCTTATCTCCCCCTCTGGGAAATCACAGTAAGTCTTGAGCTATCATCTCTAGAAGATGGAAACAAGGGCCCTTACCTCTATTACTGTGCTGGGGTGAGGCTAACTGTGATATTGTCTGAAAAAGAACATTATGTCTTTATAGAATCTCACAAACATTAGACAAATGAAGCCAGACACAGAGGCACCTGGGTTAGTTTTCAAACTCCAGAGCCATGACTGAGAACGTACATAAGGGATCTGGGCAGCCACCATCTCATCATACAAGCTGGAGATCTCAGAGTCGTTCTGGTAGCCATAGCGACACAGCTGGAACCCCAAAGACCAGTAAGGTACCATCACAGGCCGGCCAATCAACTAGAAAATAGACAGAAAATATTAGTCCTCAGAACAGAGACACCAGATTGAAGTTTTACATCAAGTAATAAGAATATTTTTCTGTGCCCCAAGCTAGACAACTAACTAATTGAATTCCACATCAAAACTGACAGGATATAGAGCCACTAGGATACTTGGAGAAAGCTTTCTGCTAGACTTGAGCTCCTTCTTAAAAATTATGGAAAAGCTGATTTCACTCCATTCCTAGAGACACTGTAGGTAACTGGTTAAGAAACCCAGAATCAGAGGCAAAATGCCTGGCTTAGATACAGGCTCCAGTCCTGCTAGCTGTGAGACCTTAGGCAAAAATTAAGTAATCTCTTAGTGCTTCAGTTTCTTCATCTGTAAATAAGGGTATAATAATAGCATCTCCCTCACAGTCCTTTTGTGAAGACTGAATGAGTTACTATGTGCAAAGTGCTCTAACATGCAGCAAGTAATAAATCAGTGATGTGCAGTAGGTAGTACATAAGTGTTTGCTGCTGCTGCCACAACAACCATGGTCACCACCATCATCACTATTTTCACCATCACCACCACTACCACCACCATATTCTTCACACCACCCCACTGTCACCACCACTACCACCACCATAGCCACCACCACCATCACTATCAAACACCAACCATCACCACCCCATCATCGTCACCATCACCACCACTATCACCACCATCACCAACACTCCCATCAACACCACCCCCACCACTATCATCACCATCACCAACACCACTACTACTACCACCATCATTATCACCATTCCCACATCACTATCACCACCATCATCCCCTACCACCATCATCACCATCACCACCACCATATAACCACAAATACCACCACCACCATACTACTATCACTACCATCACCACCACTAGTACCACTGTAACTTCTGCTATTCTGCAATGCTTACAGAGGCTATAAATTTAATGGTGATTAGAATGTATTTATTTTTCCTTATTCTATAATCTCTTTCCAAGTAATACCAATAATTCCAGTTATCATCTGAGAGTTATACTAATGAATGTGGGCTCTGGCACCCAGAATGTGCTATATAAGTACTTGATAAACAATTGGATTTCTCCCTACCTCAGTGTACTGCTGGGTGACAAGCTCTGGAGTTGGCCCCAAGAACACATAAAAGTCCAGAACTCCCCCTGTGGTACGGTATGTCAAGGCAGGCAGGGGCTGGAACGTCACATCTGAAAATGAAGAAAAATGCTAATCAAGCTGGAAACTTTCCACGTCATGAATCACCCCTGAAATCCACACATTCTCTATTTCCTGCACCCTCCCTATCGTAGAGTAGTAAGAGCCAGTATTTTCTATCATAATCACATAGAACTGAAGAAGTTCAGTGGAAGTCTAAATGTCCCATTCCTGGGTTTGCTTCCTTTGGTGTATTTTACTATATTTTGTCGTTCTACTCTTAAAATTATGTTTACATTTCAACTTTTATTTTGGATAAGGAGGTACATGTTCACATTTGTTACATGGGAATATTGCACGATGCTGAAGTTTGGGGTATGAATCCTGTCATCCAGATAGCAAACGTAGTACCCGATAGGTAACTTTTCAACATACCATACACCCTCACAATCCCCAGACTAACTTCTCTGACCCATAGTTTTACCCTAATTCAAATTTTATAACTGGCTCTCACGAGCTGACCTCCAAGACATTTGGGACCCATGTGGTTTTACTATCCCTTCTTATGTGATTTTTACCAAAATAAGAGTTGGGTTAAATCTTCTTATCACATGATATTAGACTGAAATGAACAGAAAGGCTAAACACAAAGAAAAAATAAACAGCAGTGCCCGTAAAATGAAGATTTTGACTTCAAGGAACAGTTAGGCTAAACACATTCTAAACTGACTCAGGCATGACTGGTATCCCCCCAAAATAAGGGAGGCGCTGGATGGCCTTACCCATGGCATTGCTGTTCAGCAGGAGCACTCCATGGGCACTGCCATCCTCCTCTAGCCCCATGTAGTAGGGGTGGACACCATAGGAATTCTTCTTGTACTGGAGAGTCATGGGGAGAAGCAGTAGGAGTTTAAAAGACATTATGCCTGAGAAAGAAACTCAACAAAAATATGCTTGCTAAGATGGGTCTAGTTTTCTCCATGAAATCAATTAAACACATGAAACAAAGGAGCCTGAGAATTGGCCCACTCGCCTAAAAGCAGAATGTGACGACCAAGTGGAGTTTGGGAAGATGAAGCCCAAAGCCTGAGCAGTGTGGGTGGAGAGAAGCAGAGACACAGATCTCAAATGCTCTGTCCTTACCCCTGGGGGCTGGTCTCGGGAGAACATCCCCCAAGTGTGCCACTCCAAGTCTCTCCTGTAGGACGTGTGCTCAGTCTCCCCAAAGCCATAGAGGTACTTGGAGGGAAGGCGGGTGGAGATGCGGATAAACATGTCATTGAAGGTGAAGCCAAGGAGCTGAGAGTCCCAACTGAAACACAAAAAGGCAGATTTGAAACAGAAAATGGGCTTTTCTCTCTGCTTCCAGCAGCTGACTTTTCAAGGACAACAGAACACTTGATTCCTACCCAGAAGCTGTTCATCTCCCAAACAAAACTGAAACTCAATTTGATTAAAATATCATAGATATCCCCACTAAAAGCCCAGGAGTTCTTCATTCATCTGTTTCCCACTCTCACTGCCTCCTTTCAGTGGTCCTCTACAATACAAATACAAGCTCCCCTCACCATCACAGCTGGGAACACTCCACACCAGCACTGCCTTCCACCCTTGCACCCCTCAGCGCATTTTCTACGTAGCACTCAAAGCGATATTCCTACGAGGATCTCACCTCATGTCACTCCCATTTGTGCTTCTTCCATGGCTTCTCATGCAAACATCTTATGAAGCCTTCAAGGCTGAAGCTGCCCCCTCAACCGGCGTTGCAGCTTCCTCTCCCAGCACTCACCTGCTTACTTCCTCCATTGCTCCAACCACACTAGACTTCTTTTCTTTAGCATGCCAGCTTCGCTTCATCTCCTGGCCTACCCACTTCCTATTCCCTCTGTCTGAAATGCTCTTTCCCTTCGCCCTGTCTCATGTGGGTGGCTCCTTCTCATCCAGGTCCTATTAAAATATCACCTTCTTGGCGAGATCTACTCTGACCCCAATATCAGAAGCAGTAACCACACCATAACCCTCAATTACCCTGCTCTTTTGGCTACACAGCAATTATCACTATCACAATCTCCTTTTTATACTATAACTTAAATTATCTCTGTTATTTACTTATTATTTGTTGTCATGAGAAGAGAAACCTCAGTTGTCTATAAGGAGCAGCACCTAATCTAGAGAAGGCACCCCATAAACATTTGTTGGATGAATCCTCAGGCACGCTCAACTGCCTCAGTAATTATTTCCAGAATGCTAAAGATTTCCTGTAAGAATAGGTCTGAAGGAAACAACTCATCCATGGATCTGGAAGTGGACAATGTGATGTTTTGAACCAGGATACATCCAAGGACAATGGACCTGGCAGCGAAGGCGCAGGTAGCCATCAACTCTGAGTCACACTAGAAGCCACTCACATTATAGTGCCTGTACTCTTCCGGCGAATTTCAATCCCAAATGGATTCTTCTTAATGAGGACATCATAGAGTTGACCCTCAGGGGTGCTGGATGGCACGCTGGGTATGTTCAGAGGGACTGGAACTTCATACCGATTGTTGTTGGGATCATAAATCTAGGCCAGAGGAAAACGATTTTAGGCAAGAATACTACTCTTGAAACCTATACCCTTAGCAGAACCTTTTTGATTTTTGGACAAAAGTTCAGATGCTATGTTTCTGTCTTCTTTAAGTTTATGATGTCTGAGATTTAATTAACACATCAAATAACAATGTCAGATTTAATATGTTTGTCTGTCATTTCTCATTACTAAGGCCTCTACTGCATCAATATAAGCATTGTGACATTGGTGCTAACGTAGAAAATCATTCTGGAATCAGCGTGGTATTTATGAATATGTTACTTGTTATTTTCTGTGGGTATATGAGAATATATAAATACCTTAAAACTTTTCTGAATTGAAAAATAACGTGTCTCCCCAAAGTGAAATCTATTTGATTAAAATAATCAGAATGTCCTTGCTGAAGGTGGTATCTAAACTGATTCATGAGTACCTACTACATCCCTGCCTGACACTGCACAAGACACTAGGGATGTGAGCTCAATAAGGCAGTGTTATGGTTTTATGAAATTCACAAGCAAATGAGAAGTGTAAGAGAGCAGCTCACAACACCTGGGTGATGTGTGCTAAGGGAGAGCTATGTAGAAGTGCTGTGAGACTCTAGAGAAGGAAATGCCTAACATTGTTTCTGGGAGACTGAGATGGTCTCCCAGGAGAAATACAATCTAGAGTATTAGAAACTTGGTAGTCATTAACCAAACACAGAAAAGAGATCAAGTCATTCTGGTGAAGAATAACAACCACGAAGGCAGAGAGAATTAAAGTGGGCCAGAAAGAGGCAAATATTTTGGAAAGAGCTACTGTATGGTCAAGAGGTAGAGTAGTCAATGGTTAAGGCTAGAACTCCAAGGAAGTTCATTCACTTCAAACCCATTAGGTGCCTACAACATGCTAGTGCTATGATGAGGGTACAAACATACAACAGCATCATCCCTGCATTAGACGATGTACAAAAACTCAGAATTCGGGTTGATGTCAGATTGTAAAGAAATTTTCAGGCAATGTGACAATGTCCTGATCACTTTCACTTACTCTGTCAATTACATTACAGCACTAACTATCTGCCAGGCTCTGTATTAGACTTCAGAAGCACAAAGAGGAAAGGGCACATTCCTATCCTTGAGAAGATTAGTTTAATAGAGAAGCAGACGTAACAGCTAGTCCATCCCTAGTCTTTAAATGCAATTAAATTCTGGAAAGAAATGAAATCGCTGCAGGTTGGTGGCTATTTTATACGTATCTCAAATTCAGTATCCCAAACTGAACATATCATCTTACATTGATCAAGCACAAACCTTTTCAGTATTCCCATTCTGGTTGATGTCAGCACCATCCATATTAAGATGCAAGATACCAACGCGGTCATCATTCTTGATGCTTCCCTCTCCATTGTCGCCTGCTTTCAATCAAGCACCAGACCCTGTAACCCAACTTCCTGAATCTCAACTAGGTGCACTGTTCTCCACCTTCATTCCAGTATTTAGTCCAAACCTAAGCCCTCACTTGACCTGCCTAACTGGCAGCCTCCCAACTTGTCTCTCCGTACCCACTCTTGCTCTCCCAACCATTTTCCTAACAGTAGCCACAGTAATCTTTTCCAAATGAAAATTAGGGCAGGTCTCATTGTTCCCTCAATGATTTCTCAATGTTCTCTGGATAATGACATAGTCTAATGTAGCATGATTAACTTATTTTAGGGTTGTGTGACCTGAACCAGAAAAAGATAATGGAACTGAAAAGGGTCTTATCACTGCCTGATATATGTACCGTGTTTACCTTGAACTGTAGCATTTCATTCTTATGGTAAGTGACATCCAGGCGAAGGGGGTTCACGGGTGTGGAAGGGAAGGCATTGGCATGAACAGAAGACTTTAAGGAGATGTCAGCTGTGGCCCCATGGGAGTTATACTGAACATCACTGACAGAGTATAGGTCGTTGACAAAATAGCAAAAAGGGACTCCAGAAGAATTGGATGCCTGAAAAGTAAGGCCAAAGTCATAGATCAGCACAGCATGTGGTCTTAAAGTTCTCTAACCTAAACAGGGTTAGAAAAGTCATTTTATATGACAATAAAACCAGCCTATCACTTATCACTTGGCAATAACATAAATTTAATTTCCTGGTCTCCAAGCAAAATATTTATTTTAAAAAGTTTTCCACATGTCCCCACCTACTTGTCACATCCAGATCATGTCCCTTAGGAAGTCCTTTCTATGGATTTTAAGTAGTTATATAAGTGCCACTGCTATGCTTAAGAAACTATAGATTAGGTGTGGAGATTTTCATGCACATGAACCCCATCAGCATGGTTACCTCCCAGATACAGCCACGGGCAGTGCAGTTTTCTGCAGAATCACCATTCTCATCAGGGTAACAGTCTATTTTTTCTTCATCCCTTATCTTTATGCTCCACTCCACTGTGTATGCTTCTCCCAGGAAAAGATTGATGTCTGTGATAATGGCGACCTGTAGGAATGCAGAAATCACAAGGAAATTCATCTTTGGGAGAAAGGCCTTGCAAAATCTAAGACTTTATTTATTTATTTATTTTGGAAAAACAAATAGACATCAGTCCAGACTTTCAACCATCCAAGCAACATATCACTTTAGCTTATAAGAAGAGAACTGTACAGTGGGGGAATCTATTTAGCAGTAACAGGGCATATGACTCCCCTCTAGCAGAATCTTGTACATAGCATAATGAAAACAATTAGGTCAAATAAAACCTGTCGCGATCACCCCTTATTCTTTTCTACCCTAACTCCTCTTAGCCCTCTGTGTCTTGTCTGGAAGGGTGTCTTCTGCACTTCCTCTTTAGCATGACACATGGTGTCATCTCAAAGTGAGCTGATCCTCTTGCTCTCCAGTCCCCAAACCAGCATCCCCCATTGGCGTGGAGTGGTAGAAAGAACACAGCAATAAGAATCATATGACCTGGTTATCATGCTCGCATTTATGTAGTATATTGGACAAATGATTTCTTTTTTTAATTTTTAATTTTAATGAGTATATAGTAGGTATACATATTTATGGAGTATATGAAATATTTTGATTCAGGCATACAATGAATAATAATCACATCAGGGCAAATTGGGAATTCTAATTCATTTCTTTGAATTTCAATTTTGGCAACAGCAAAATTGAGAGGTGGAAATAAAATCATCTTTCTTTCCACTTCTAACATCCCAGCATCTTTATTTTTCTAAGCATAAAGGCTGCAAATTTGAAACCTTCCTTGAATCCTATTAATTCAAATATTTAATATTTTCCATATATTTTTCTTATCTTTGATGCTTCTCTAGACAGCACTTCCCAAGTTAAAGTTCTCACACGTCTGGAGTAATAAAATCACATTCTAAAGATTATCATCCTTCTCCCAGTCTCCTCTAAATCTAAACCATCTTGTACTTCCCTGTTCTACTAGTCCCCAGCCCCCACTCCCACTCCCAACAATGCTCACACACAGTAGCACAGCCTTCATTCAAGGATCAATATGAGACTGCTTGAGAATTAATTCAAGTTGGTAACTAAGACCTCCAAAGCCTGACCACAAGTTTCCTATCCAAGCTGGCCTTTTTCAAATACCAATTCTTATTTGTGCTAGTCATACAAAATTCACAGTCTAATAATGTCAGGCTATTCCCCACTTTCCAACTTTGCTGTTCCTGGGTCTCATCATAATTATTCTATTTTTGGGAAAAGCAAGTGAAACCAGCTAGAGAGATGGGAACACTGATAGGCAGAGAAGGGAATAAGAAGAAAAATACCCAACTCATTCTAGCTCTGGCCACCTCATTTTTTTCCCCAAAAAAGGCATCAAAGGTGCCCTCTCAATTCCCCAAAACATGCATCAAAGGTGCCCTGGTACTTCAGGGACCCATGCAAACTTGGCAAGAAGAAACATCATGGTGCTATGGAGAATTCTCAATGTACCATCTCAACAAAATGGGTTTTTACCTTCAGGTTAGAATCATAAGTGACTGTAGGAGAAGTCTGACTTGGGACACCATTGTGTTTCACCGTAACATTGCTAGGTTCCTCCATCCCAAGAATTTTAATCTCATTGAATGCTAAATTATTGGGGTCCTTGTAGGTTGATTGTGAAATAGTCACCTCCAAGTGGTTCTGCAAAACAATTAACTCCAATTATGCATAAAGGTATGCCTGTAATACACAGATTCTCAAGTCACTCATATATTCTATTCCAGACTGGATACCCCCCACTGCCATGAATGCCTCTCTGCTTTCTCTACTAGTGTCTGCTCAAGAAGTACAACATTAGTTTGATAATCCTCTAATTTGATACAATCATAAAAACACACAGATAATTAAAAACTATATTTAGAAACACTACTTGCTATATTAATGCCTCCTTTTGAAAACATCGATGAAATCATAAATAGAAATGTGCTCACCTATAGCCAATAATGCATATAAAGTTACAAATATAATCACACATATACACAAGCACAGATGTGCTAATGGTCAGTCCAAAGCCCACACCTAAGATTCATAAAAATATGCTACTCACTTGAGTGACAGAAAACTCACATAAAAGATATACTTTCTTGGCCACAGTATCTGAAAGTGACAGAAAGACAAGTCAGACTCCGGCTTGCCCACCACAGAAGAACAGATTTCACACTCCCACTCTTTTCAGTTACATCCTGATGTCACAAATGGCAGTATTTCCTTTACCTTATGGATGAATAATATTCCATTGTATTCATTCATCAATGTATACTTAGAATGTTTCCATATCTTGGCTGTTGCAAGTAATGCTGTAATGAATATGGGAGGAGTGAGTATATCTCTTAAAGATACTGGTTTCATGTCCTCTGGATATACACCCAGAAGTGGGAATTCATGGGATTGTATGGAAGTTCTGTTTTTAATTTTTTGAGGAACCTCCATTCTATTTTCCATAATGGTTGTAACAATTTACAGTCCCACCAACAGTCTAAAAAATTCTATTTTCTCCACACCCTCACCAGCACTTCTCTCCTTTCTTTTTTATGATTTCCATGCTAACAGGTGTGAGGTGACATCTCGCTGTGATTTTTGACTTGCATACCTGTGTCATTTACTGATGCTGAGCATCTTTTCACATACCAGTTAGCCACTTGTATGTCTTCCTTGGAAAAACATCTGTTCAGGTCCTTCACCCACTTTTTAATTGGGTCATTTGATCTTTTGCTACTGAGTTGCATATGTTCCTTATTTTTTGATATTAATCTCTTCTGAGATATATGGTTTGCAAACATTTTTATCCATTCTGTAGTTTGCCTTTTCATGTTGTTGATTGTTTCTTTTGCTGTGCAGGAGCCTTTTAGTTTGATGTAGTCACGCCTGTTTACTTTTTGGCATTTTGCCTTTGCTTTTGGTATCATATCCAAAAAGTCATTGCCAAGACTACGTCAAGGAGGTTTTTTGCTATGTTTTCTTCTAGGAGCTTTACAATTTTAGCCCTTACATTTCAATTTTTAATTTCTTTCTTCACAGTAGCCAAGATATGAAAACAACCTAAGTGTCTATCAGTGGATGAATAGATAAAGATGTTCTGGTACATATATACAGTAGAATATTTTTCAGACATAGAAAGAAGAATATTCTGCCATTCGCAACAGCATGAATGACTTAGGAGGACATTATACTAAGTGAAATAAGCCAGAGACAGAAAGTCCAATACTGCGTGGTCTCACTCATATGTGGAATCTAAAAAAGTTCATCTCTTAGAAGCAGAGCCTACAACAGTTGTTCTTAGAGCCTGCAGAAGTGGAAAATGGGGAGATGATGGTCAAGGGTACAAACTTTCAGTTCTTAGATGAATAAGTTCTGGGGATCCAGTCTGCAGCATTGGTAGTGATGGATGTGTTCATTAAAATAGCTGTGGTAATCATTATACTATGCCTACATATATTAAATCCTCACATCGTCCACCTTAAATATATTCAATCTTTATTTGCCAACAAAATATTTGACTACCAAATAAATAATTAATTTTTAATCTACATATTGGATTAGAGGGACAAGAGTCTCCAAGGCCAAGCCATTGTTTTTCCTTCTCTTTTCTACCAGAACATTGCAAAGATTCCCTTCCAAGGGCTTCCAAGGCATATGCTTCAAAGGAATCTATTTCCTAAACTTGAAGAACAAGAATTGTTAGTATACTGGACCCACAAATATGCTAAAACGTATGGCTAGCTGAGTACACACTAGAACAGTATATTCTCACTGCCTCACTGGCAGGTGCATGATTTTTATATCGTCAACATTTGCTCATAAGAATTTTCGGAGGAAGACATTAACATAGAATTAGGGAACAGTCTTGAAACCTTCTCATCTAAGCACCCATTGACAATAAAATAAGAGCCATTATAGGTATCACTGGCGAATGGGAGAACTGTCAGAGATACAAATGCATTTTTCTTTCGTCAGTAGTTCGTCCACCACTATCCCTGAATGGTGCAACCAGAAACAAAATACTTAAGTGACTCTTGCTACTGTGCCTGCTGAGATTTCTCCCACAGCTGAATGACCAGCAGGAGTGAAGGACCATAAGTCACAGGCGCAGGTTGGGAAACAGCAACATTATTGTAACAGCGCTCACCCTTTGTTTGCCCATCATCCCAGAAAAGTTCTCCTTTTGCTTCTTTGTTTTCATCTAGGGCAATAATAAGACCAAGAGGGTTCTTTCGACTGTGGGGAACAAGATTCAAGAGACAAAGACAGGAGTCAGACAATTTTGCCAACTGGGCTGAGAATATTTCCATCAAATTTCAAACTGGAAAAGATACTAGCAGCAGATGGTTCTGTTTCTTGAGGTACAAACACAAAATCGACAGATGCATTTTTCTATAATATCAACAGTGTCACAGGAGATAGAAACACCCCAAACATTAACAATAACATCTACGTTGGAGGCAAGAATTTAAGCACCAGAGGCACTGCAATAGCTCAAATAAAAGCTGCTTCTGCAACCACTGTTCGGAATACAGAGTATGAGAAGAGAAAGAAATCTTAGGCAATAACTGGTTCAGTCAGATCACTTTAGCAATGATGCCCTCAGGAGAAGTGTCCAGTGCTGTGAGGAAGATACATTTTCGCCTGCCTAAGGACCATTTATACTCAGAAAGCAACAACATACACTAAGGTCCATCTACTAAATGGTAATGTATCTGATTATTTATTATTAGTTTGTTTTGAAAGAAAAATAAATCATTCTAATGATCTACTTTAGAATTTAGAATAGGAAACACAACACATTACTTAAAGACATGGTAGAGTAGATGGACATAGAGGAAGAAGAGGATAGAGAGCAATTTTTATTTGGAATCTCTCCTCACTCTGTCACTCTCTAGGCAACCTCTCAGTTTCCTGCTCTTCCTATTCCTCCTCTGTCTCTCACTGGACTCACATTCTCCACTGTATTCTTCCACAGTTCAGCCTTTCACTATGCAAGAGAGTTAGTTTCCATTATCAACAAAATCATCTGCTTTCTTTAAATATTCATGTATTGAGTAGCAGTCATTTCTAGGAAGTCAATGAGATACAAAAATTAATAAATCACAACCCCTGACCTGAACGACCTTCAATATTATAGGAAAAATTAGGCACATTCACTAAAAAATGAACGCAGACAGTGAAAACAACACAAATTTAAGATATTCTAGGAGTCCAGAAACACAGTTCTACAAATATGGTAGACTGTATATTCTTCTGGAGACTTACCCAGTAAAATATTACCTGATCCTAGATAAATTATAACATATATTCCTGCTAAAATGTTCTTGGATTTGCAAGACAGTAAGGAATATACTCAAGAGACCAAAACAATAACAGGATAGCAAAACACTGAGCTAGAACTCAAAGGGTGCTTAGTAAGCAAAACCTAGAATCTCCATGTGGCAAATTCCCACAGCAAGGTTAAAATTGGGCTATTAAGCCTAGTAATCCAAGGTACAGAATGTGAACCTCTGATTCCCACATGAAGCCGGGATCCTTGATGGAAGTTAACGTGATGTCAGATGGAAGGAATTCCTGGCTTGCAAATAGAGGAGAAGGCAAATCATCTCTGGAGGAAGGAGACCCACATTTAGATGCTTAAGATTATCACAGTATGAAACAAAAAATCACCAAGCACACAAGGTAATAAGTCAACATAAAGGAAAGTCAGCAACAAAGAACTAACAATAGATTTAGATGGTCCTAAACACTTCAGATACTACAATTTTCATGCACAGAGTATGCAACTACTATTGAAATGCTAACACTGCTAAAGAAGAAAGACAAAATCATCTAAGGAGCAAATAAATATATATTACAAATGACCAGAAACTTGGAAGTGGCAGTGCTTCCTCTGCTGGAAGATTAGGGAAAGACTTCTTGCTGCTGAAACGTAAAGTTTCATTTGGATCATTAAGAATACACCAGGCACAGATGTTGGAAAGGATAAATTCAAAAGCCCACATGCAGTAAAATACATGGGTATGTTTGGGAAATCGCCAGTTTTTTGGCATACCTGGTCTGTATGTACATGGAGGTATGGCAGGAGATAAGAGTTGTTAAGGTAACGTGGAACCAGGTTGTGATTGGTTTTGAATACCCTATTAATGAAAGACTTTGGACTTCAAGCCTGGGAGCAACCAGTTGAGATTTTCATTTTGGAAAAATCAATTTGGTATCACTGTACAGAACAGCTTGAAGGTGAACAGTTAGAAAATGGAAGCCAACTGGTATTGGATTTAGGGATATTTCCCATTAGTATCATAAAAAAGTCTAGAATTTGAAAAATTAAAGCAGTAAGAGAGGTTCAAAAGAAAAGACAGGTTTCTGGCTTCCAAAGAACTCCTAGTCTATTAAAGACAAATAGGTTAATACTCTCAAAGGCATGAAGATATAAATGCACACCTCTTTAGTACAGATGGAATCTATAATTTTGGAATCAATTACGTATAAAGCAAAATTCAGTGACATAGACTTTTGAGGGTTTTTTTGAATCCACTTTTGAATCACAAGAAAGAAATCTCTTAGCGGGAGAAAAGAAAGAGGAAGTTGAGATTCTAGGAGGGTGGAAAGTGGATCCTGACCCTCCTAAAATGAGAATAAGTGATTCAAGAGTAAAGAAACATGGGTGAGCAGTGTGGCCAAGGCAGATAGAGGCATCAACTGACCTGGTTTACCCAGAATTGAGAAGCATCTCAAGAGAGGAGAGTTCTGGTGCTAAAATGCATCAGTCCTGGCAAACCAAGGAGGCTGACCACCTGGCTGTTAGCGTGTTTGAAAAGAAATTCAAAGGGTTTAAGGAAGGACATGAATTACAGTCTTTCAAAATCTACTGGATACAGTTCTAAAACAACAGCTTCTGAAAAGCTCTTGTGAATTGTGGTTGCTCTTATTTTGACTTCCATGTCAGATGTGAGATTTAAAAAATGACATTCTTAGACCTTTCATCTCACTCCCTTAGACTTAAAAGAGTTGTTAATAATTAGACAAAAAGTATAGAGTCTGAAAAAGATTAACACACAAACAACAAAACAAAGAAAAAACAAGTGTTGAGTAGAATTGCATGTGGGTTTGAAAGTGATGCTTACATTTTGGTAGACTTCATCACAAATTGTTGAGCTAACTGAAATGTAAAGGAAAACCTGAGTCCTGTCATTCACCTTAAGTGGGTGTTCAGTGCAGGCTCTTGCCAGGGCAGGATGTAGCCCCCACGGACATGAAGATTAATGTGGTCAAGAGGGGCTGGCAAGGTCTTCCACTCTCCTCTTGCATTAATATCCACACCCTGGGGGCAGAAGAAGGTAAAAGATGATGAAGGAGAGGACAGGCCCCTCCCTGAACAATGCATCCTGCCAGACATCTCATCCTCCCCTCTGAACTTATGCCTGTTCATCACCCTTTGCAACATACCTGCTATTACCCATTCTGCATTCGCACAGTGCTGCATAAAACCTCGCAAGGCTGCTATAATATCTTGTTAGGGTCTCTTACCTTTGCTTCCACCATACAAACTACATTTGCCTGATGTGTAACAGGAAGAACTGCTACACTCTCACCTGTATCAGAACCTAAGGGACCATCCTTCCATCCTACATGTTCTCAACTAGAGCAGGGCTTTTCAGTCTCAGCACTATTGAGATTTGGGGCCAGACAATTCTCTGGCGATGGGGCTATCCTGTGCCTTTTGATATTTAGCAGAATCCTCAGATGTCAGCCGCATAGCCTCCTCACCCCCAGCCTGTTGTGACAACCAAAAATATCTCCAGGCATTGCCAAATGTCCCCTGGTAGGCAAAATCCTCTCATTTCAGAGCTGCTACTTTACAGGTAAGAAGCAGTTATTGTTGACAACAAGCAAACAAATATGCATGGCTGTGTTCCACTAAAACTTTATTTGCAAATCAGCTAACAACCAGATTTGGCTGTGGGCCATAGTTTGCCAGCTTGTGCTCTAGAATGAGTAATAGTTACCCAAACTTGGGAAGATTAATTAAGGTGACACTTCTTCATTAATCCTAATTATGAGATTCATCTTCATTTTAATTAAACATTAAAAATTTCATCTCTTTCTTTTTTTTTTTTTTCTTGAGACAAAGTCTGGTTCCGTCACCCAGGCTGGAGTGCAGTGGCACAATCTCAGCTCACTGCAACCTCCGCCTCCCAGGTTCAAACAATTGTCATGCCTCAGCCTCCCGAGTAGCTGGGACTACAGGTGCATGCCCCTACACCCGGCTAATTGTTTTTATTTTTCATAGAGATGGGGTTTCACCGTGTTAGCTAGGATGGTCTCGATCTCCTGACCTTGTGATCTGTCCATCTCGGCCTCCCAAAGTCCTGGGATTACAGGTGTGAGCCACCACACCTGGCCCAATTTCATCTTTTTCTAAACAGCTTGCTCCATGACTTCTTTTGTCTTTCCCTCTTCCATCAAAGATATCTTCTGGTAGTGAATGGGAGACTCAACATGCACACTCAGGACAAAGGCCAGTCTCACGTAAAGAAAGCTGGCCACCTCTTCCTGGGAAACGCCTGGCTGGGACACACATAGCAGAGCCTTAACATGTTACCACCCTAAGGGCAGATCCAGACTAGCAGCAGGAAGAGGAGTCTGGGGCTGTGGAGAGGACTTGGGCTCCAATGGACTGAGAAGAGAAGGAACAAAATTGCACATCCTTCTCCACTTTTCACTTAATCTCACTGAAATCTCCTTGGATGAAAGGGGCCAGCACATGCTCTGCTTCCTGTATCCCTGCTTGTACCCCTTTGTTGTATTTCCAGCCCTCAACTATGTTCTCCTCAGAAAGTCAGAAGAAGAGGCCTAGTTAGAAACGAAGGAAATACCTCCTTTGATTCTTCCCCAAGAATCAGGGTCTGATTTGTCAGGGTCCCAGCAAGAGCCCACCACCCCAGAGCTGCCCGGGAAGACCCTGGCTTCCCAGCTGAGTCTTTGGGAATCATACTAGCAATGAAACTATGCGGCAAGGAGCTCTTCATTGCTTCCTCATTTCTAAATGCACTTGCACTACTTAGACACACAAGGGTTGGGTCCCATACCTCTGTGTGTGTTTTGCACATTGCCTAATCACTTGTGTGCCTTATGTAATTATGTGCAGCGCCCCTCTTTGAGCATCTATGCTATGGAAGGAGGTATTTAATCAAAAGAGACAAAACGGCCTCTATGCTTACAAACTTACAGCAGGCAAAGATATCAACAATAAAAACAAAAACTATAGTTTGCAACACAATCTCAGATGTTGGCTAGCATCTGCCTTTACACAACATTGTAAATAGCAGTGATATAAAGAAATATTAAAAACTAACACAAAGAGAACACCCACAAAAAAACAGACCCTGAGTGAGATGCTTTATGTGTTATTTCACAATGGTTCTATGAGGAAAGTGGTCTTACCCCACTTGGAGGTGAGAAAACTGAGATTACAAGGGTTAAAGTGGCTTCTCTAAGACCACACAGCAGGTGGGTTACAGAGCCAGCATTTGACCTAAGGTCTATCGGACCTAAAGCCTTTGTACTCTCTACCACATTCCCGTGTTATATAAACATTCAGAAAAACTTACCGTGTAGTAATCGTACCAACGGGCTCTAGGGAAATATGCAGTGACATTTCTGGCATTCTAAAATGAAACACAAACAAGGTGAGGCAGTGCCACCATTTTCCAGGACAGAGTAACCAAACTGCTTAGGAAAGAGGTGAAATAATTGTGATGGCTTTGGACCCAGCTGCCTCATGTCCCAAGAGGTTAACAACTGGGGCAACCTTCTTCCTGTTTTCTTTTTTAAACCAGAGATTTGTCTACCCAAAACAAGTGGCTTTCATAAAGCACTTTGATATCCAGGACTTCGGGAAAAAATAAATCACTGTTTGCTTATAGACATAGACTTACCCCTTTGACTCTTAAAGAGACAAACAAGGGAGGTTGTGTCTGGGGCAGAAGAAAATTTTGTGGGTATAATGAGATTTTGGGGCCGGGCGCGATGGCTCATGCCTGTAATCCCAGCTCTTTGGGAGTCCAAGTCAGGCAGATCATGAGGTCAGGATATTGAGACCATCCTGGCTAATACAGTGAAACCCCATCTCTACTAAACATACAAAAAAAGAAAAAAAAATTAGCCGGGAATGGTGGCACATGCCTGTAGTCTCAGCTACTCAAGAGGCTAAGGCAAGAGAATCACTAGAACCCAGGAGGCAGAGGTTGAATGAGCCAAGATCATGCCACTGCACTCCAGCCTGGGCAACAGAGTGAGACTCTGTCTCAAAAAAAAAAAAAAAAAAATATATATATATATATATATATTTATATATATATATATATATATATATATATTTGAGGGAGGTACAATTAATTGATATTTTAATCAGAAGCCTAATCAACAACAGAAGTAAAGAAATGGCTTTTACTGCTGGGAGGAGCTCCTGTAGAGGAAGGGAAGGGTTAGCCAGCAGCAATACAAGTACACACATTGCCAAGTCATCCTTCTGAAAAGTTGTAATAGTGCTAGAGGACTGTTATAAATTTTTTACAATACTGCCCCCATCTGACCTTCTATTAATTATTTTAGTTAACGAAGAAATGATTGTGTCATTGACTATTCCATGAGGTGTTTTCTTCTTGATCATCCTACGAACCAGAATTGTTAGGCTCATTTTAAAGATGAAGGAGCTGAGTGCCAAGAACACCTAAGTGATGGACTTCAGCTCAGAAAGAGAGGAAGAGACACAGGTAGAATAAGAAACCATGTCTCAGGACCCCCACCAGCTCAGGCCTCTTCTCCTCGTCCTTTTCCCCAAGCCTCACAGCTGGGATCCTCCCCTCATCGGAGGCCTCCATACTCACGCGCTCCAGGACAGGGCTGACCAGGAAGGCTGGGCCCAGCAGGAACTGACTGTCTATGTCCCATGTCACCTGGTCTGACACAAACCTGGAAAGGGAAATGAAGGTGCCCAACAGAGCCCAACAGAGCCCCAGCCCGACACTCTGAAGAAGCTCCTCAAGTTCAGATCCAAGTCGGAAATACAGCTGCCCCTGAGCCATCCTTGCTTTGTTCCTAGGCCTAGCTTCATCAGGAGCACCCAGCCTCTGCTTTCCCCATGGGATGTGCCTCAAACTTCAGAAATGCTGGGATGTAGATGTGTTCTCTCCTGTAAAATATTACCTCATTTCTTAACCATGGCACATTTTAAATGTGAGGATGGCCCTCGTCCCTCAATTCTCTTGCTGAAATCCTTCTTTTGTGACCTGGGTCCATATAACAAAACTGCTACATAAGATAGGCCTTTGCACAACCAAATTAGAATGAAACTATTCTATGCTGTACTGCATCATTTCAATTTTCGTCATTCAATAAATACCCTTTTTTTATGACCTACGGTATGTATAACACTGTGCTAAAGACAGTAATCAGGTATACTTTGTGTCTGAAGAGCTCATGTCAAAAGGCCATCATGTCTTTAATTTGGAAGCGTTGTGTATATCAACTGCTACCACATAGAATGCAATAAGTCATCCATTAGTCATCGGGATCCCTGCTGGACACTCACTCATGGAGCAGAGGCCGCACAACAGTGACGCCCTCCGTGTGGGCCTTTTGCATCAAGGTATACAGATATGGCAACAGGGTGTATCTGGTCTGCAGGACATTTCTGGAAATATTCACAAAAGCAGCATCCCAGGACACAGGGTCTTGTCTCTAAAGGAGAAAGAGAACAGTGTTGGGAGCTCGCCCTGGAATTTCTAGGGGATTTAAGAAGGTCACTAAAAGCATACTCCAATTGAAGATCACTCACAGCTAAACAAAAGAAAACTATACATGAGGCCCAGAGAATATTCTTAATAGACCGGAAAGAGTCACCAAAGCTCTCCTAAGACAGCTGATAAAATTTCACTGTAAGACATTCTTTTTGGAACATTTGGTAAAATTCTGCCTGAAATACAGGAAAAAAATAATAATCTAAAGCACAATGAGGAATATGGTTCATTGAGACACCAGGTCTTCACAATTTTTAAGGGTGCAGTGGCTCACGCCTGTAATCCCAGCACTTTTGGAGGCTGTCGAGTGGATCGCTTGAGCCCAGGAGTTCGAGACCATCCTGTGAAATATGGCAAGATCCCATTTCTACAAAAAATCAAAAATTAGGTAGCCACGCTGGGATGTGCCTTTATCCCAGCTATTCAGAAGGCTGACGTGGGACAATCGCTTTAGCCCCAGAGGTGGAGGCTGCAGTCAGCCATGATTGGGACACTGCACGATTCAGCCTGGCCAACAGAGTAAATCCCTGTTTCAAAAAAAAAAACAAAACAAAACAAAACAAAAAAAAACACCTTTTTTTAAAGATATCCCAGGAAATAGAGACTGCATTACTTTTAGCACAGAAATGGAGACTGTCTTTCAAGTGACATAAAACAGTGGAGGTAGAAGCCACTGTCCTACCCTGGTCCCAATGGTATTGTGGTTTCTTGAGAAGGGGTAAAAGGCCCCCAGCTGCATCCAGCGAACACACATCTCGTACTCAGCGTCTTGAAAGAACCCACAGATATCTGCTCCCGTCTGAAACAAGAGGAAATAAAAGGAGCCTGCTGATGATTTCTGAAAGATGTCCCCACCTTCTTGGTGCTTAGGAGGATCCCAAGGACACTCACATAGGATATGCCAAAGAGGCTGAACTCCATCATGCCTGCAACGAGAAGCACAGCTGTGTCACACCAGGCTCTCATGATCTGCCTCCTCACCTCTTCCCTAAGGATCCCAACTCCCTGCCCTGTCGGCAAAGGCCCTGGGGAAGGACCCACGCACCAATGATAGACTTCTTCAGCTGATCCCATGCGGCCGTGTTGTCTCCCAGCCAATGTCCTGCCCAGCGGCCAGAAGAGGGAAATGTGGAGCGGGTGATGACGACCCCTCGCTGTCCCGTCACCTCCTGCACGGCTCTGCTTGGAAGGGAACAGGAGGTGAACTGAGGCAACAGCCAGGGAGTAAAGGCCATAGAGCTTCTGCTCCCAGAGCCCTTGAGCCTAGTCAATGTTTGCTGCGTGACTGGAGGGAACATGGGACTCTGAGCTGTAATAGGAGTTCCACTGATCCCAGATGATGGAGATAATGAGTCACGTGTTCTCACAGTGCTTTACAAAGAACTTCACTGTAGCAGCCTCACTGGAGTACTCCCAAAATACTAAGGAATTACTATGTCTTGCTAATGGTTTCCTCAATACTTAGTTTTCTATATTTGAGAAGGAACACAGTGAAGGTTATAAGATCCTCTTAGAAGAATTCATACTATTCATTGAGCTTGCAAAGCAGGACTGTGCTAATTCAGTACAATACCAGTTACCCTCCACCAAGAATGGCCAAAAATACAAACATCTCCAAAGATGATTCACTTTGAAATGAACGGGAGAGATGCCCAGTCCTCTGTGTTCCCTTCACCTCCTGTAACTAAAGCTATTGTTCCACTGGCTGCCCTGTGTGACCATTATGGTGTCTCCATGTGAGTCTTTCCCACTAGGATCATTAAGTTTTTCACTGGTGGGACCATGCCTTATTTAAATCTGTCCTCCTACTTTTAATCACAGGGCCTGGCTCCATGTCAATGAGCATTTGTTTAATAAATAAGAATCATTACAGAGTTATGAGAATCTTCTTAATCCTTAGAAATGGAATGAAAGGAAAACTAGGGTAGCTATGTCAGTCACTGGCAATCGCTATAGGTTGTGACAGCTGGAGAAGGGAGACGGAGACTCACTCGTATGTGGGTCTGGTCTGGGACCACCCATACAGGTTGTGCACGTTGTAGTGCTGCACCAGGGAGCCGTCTGGGAGGATCTGCTGACTCTCCATACAAAGGGTCTTGCTGCTCAGGCCCCTGTCCCTGGACTCCAAATCTGAGGAGGAAGAACTGGCGAGGTGAAACCCAGCCCTGATTCTGTTTCTCCCTGACTTCTCTTCAAGGGACTGGGCCCTGGATCTTAAGACTAACTTCAGTCCTGCCTGTGTCGCTCTCCATCTCCCCAGAGACATGAGCACAGCGCCCCCAGCTCTGAGCTGCATTGGCGCCTGCTGTGTTTCCAACATCAAGTTCACTGAAGGAAGCAGAGGTGTCAGGAAGAACGTACAGCTGTCAAACACTACATGACGGGCTCTGATTTAGGCTTTTGACTTCCAATTATTTCCATAATTCTATGAAGAAGATCTCATTATCCGTCTTTTACAATTTAGCAAACTGAGATTTGGAAATATCACATAATCTGTGAAAAGTCACAAAACTCCTAGAGAGAACAATTTCTGGAGCCAAGATATGAACCCAAGTGTAACTCCAAAGTCCATCAGCTCCATGATAAGGGGAAGCCAGTAATTTCCACTCACTGATGACACAAGAAATTCCTGTGATGGAATTCACACAAGCCTAAAAACTAAGAAACTCAGCTGTGAGAACCCTTTGTGCCATGAGCTCTGCTAAGTGCTTTCTGGACAAATTTCAAGAAATTTGCTCAATGAGTCTAGTCACTTGCCCATGCCCGGCTGGGTAAAGCACGTGCAGAGCTTTTGTCTCTGGTCCCCAGTAAACCACAGCAGCCATGAGGATGTGCCCTCAGCTGTGGGGCTGCCCCTGGCCTCGGGCTCCTCCAGTGTAATCCTTCCAGTCATGGCTCTGCCAGTCAAGGAGGCCAAGGCTTCTTACGTGGCATGTAGGGAGGGTGGTTCAGAGAGGCGTCCCTGCAGCCTGGAGAAACTGCCCCATTCACGAAGCTTGATGGTTCATTCATATCCTAGAAATGCCAAACACAGACATACCTCACTTTTTAAGATAATTACGTCCTGCCAATTCTGAGCCAAGGAAGTAGTGAATAAATTGTTCAACATCCAGTAATCTCTGTAGATGCCAGCCCTGGGAGCTTCATCAAATCCTGGTGAGAACTGGCTAGAAAGATTAATTCACTCCTACAGAACGACTGGCTAGAGGGGTAAAAAAATAGATCTCTTTCAGGGTGGCTGTGAGGCAATCAAATTTCCAGAAATTCCTAGTAAATTGCCTCCCAGGTTTTTTTTTTGGTTTTGTTTTTCATTCTTTGAGATGGAGTTATGCTTGTTTCCCAGGCTGGAGTGCAATGGTGCGATCCTGGCTCACTGCAAACTCTGCCTCCTATGTTCAAGCGATTCTCCTCCCTCAGCTACCCAAATAGCTGGGATTATAGGCATGTGCCACCACACCCAACTAATTTTGTATTTTTAGTAGAGACGGAGTTTCTCCATGTTGGTCAGGCTGGTCTCAAACTCCCAACCTCAGGTGATCTGCCCACCTCAGCCTCCCAAAGTGCTGGGATTACAGGCGTGAACCACCACGCCTGGTCCCGCCTCACAGGTTTTACAGTAGGAGCGTCAGGTCTGGTAGAAGGTGTGAGGGCTACCAGGGCAGTTCCTCTCCTGAGAGGAAGAAGTGTCTGCTATGTCCAAAGTCTTCTTTGGACAATGACTATCCTCTTGATTGAAGGTCAGTGGTACATATACTTAGGCACACAAAGATAGACAAGAGCCACTGGTACACAGAGACACACACACACTTACAATCCACATGCCATCAAACTTCAAGCTCCTCTCTGGATTCTGTGGATTGTTGTATAGTTCTTCTATTTCCCTCTTCCACCACTTGGCAGTTGAATTACGGAAAAAGTCTGGGAAGGCCACATAAGCTCGATATAGCTATAAAAAAGAAATATAATTTCTTTGTCCCACACAAATATAGAAGACAGCAAACAGGCACTTACTGAGAATGCAACTCACACAAATACTTCAACTGCATGGTGACAGACAGCCTGAACAGGGCCTAAATAATGTTATTAACTTCTTAGAGAAATGTAGAATGAGAGGAGAAATTAGTGCAATTTGCACACCTTCCCAGCATTTGGAAAACATCCAAAAACTGTTCTCTTCCTATACACGTGGATGATGACAATCAATGACCCGAACTAGTGACCTCATGCACTCGATGCCCAACCCTCAACGTCAGTCCTGCCATTTCCTATGCACTCCTCAAAGACAAAGCCAGGGAGAGACTGCAGACATGAGATGCATGGTAATAGGTTAGGAAGAAACACCCAGGGACTCCCTCCTATGTCATTCCCACTGAGAGAGGGGAGGAAGGAATAAGATTACATTTCTGGATATTAGACAAGTACGCCTCAGTGTTTTCTACGATTTCAGAATCACATGACAACTACAGCTGTGTGTAACATAAATTGAGAGGACTTAAAGAGGATGCATCAACTTCCCTTTATTTTCCTCTACCCTCACATAATAAAAGCAGTGTTTTTACCTTAACCTGAAAGAAAGATTCAAGATACAACTTTTTAACTACATTGTAGATTTTTGAGAGTAAGAAGTTTGTTTTATATCCTTCTGAGTGATATTTATATTGCCCACAATGCTGAGCTTAGAACCTGGGATAAAATACATACTCAGTGTTTAACAGTGGGTTCACACCACTTAGAAGCAGCAAGTAAATGTCCTTCAATTTTAATATACTCATGTTGTTTGTTATAGAACATTACAGTCCTTTGTTTGTCTCAGTAAATAGCCTCCTCTATGATAATCACACCATTGTAAGAGTGAAAGAGCTAAAGAATGCTGGTGAGGAGGGTGGGGAAGGCAACAAAAACAGGACTTGGTCTAGGGGAGCTCCAGTTCTTATACACCACAGATAAAGGGCAGGTAGGAACCCAGATGTCTAGAAAAAGGGCAGAAAAGGGAACATAAGAAAACAGAAACAGATCAGCCTATATGGGTCTGGCAGTCAAGGATGTGAGAAGACAGTGGGTCACATCACAGAGAATCTTGAGAGACGTGGGCATGCCAGGGATGCCTTTTGTTAGGAAATGGAGGTAGGAACCAGGAAACCCGACAAAGAGAACCTTTCACCAGAAACTGAGAGCTCCAGATCAGGCAGGGTTAGAAACGACGGGATGGGTGGGGGATGGAGAATTAGAATAAAGAGATTATCAGCCACAGCTGAGTCAGAATTCTATCCCATACGGGGTACACGTAGGGAACCTGGCCAGCCGTGAGGTAGGAACTTCCCTAAGTACTGCTCGGATGACCCTTTCCAACTTCATAAAAATGTTCTGCCGTTCTCCAAGGTGCTGGCTTTGCCTGTCCATATTCAACTCTTGCCTTGTGGCTTCTGCCTTCACTTTCTCCACTCTCCTGTAAGGAGCCATGTATTCATTCAAGCAAGAAATGCTTAGTCAATCGGGAAAAAAATTCAGGTCCAGAAGCATGGACTACTTGGATCCATTACAAGCAACAAACCGTCCCCAGGAGAGAGCAAGTTTTACAATAAGGCTGGAAACTGACAGGTAAAAGCAAAGTTGAGAAACCCAAGGAATGGTGGGGCTCGGGGCAGGACTCGTAAGTATGAAGATGGAGACACCTGTTCATGGGGAAAAAAAGAAAGATATACAAAGAAAATGACCTAGTCAGTCTTCGAGGGTTGAAGACTGTTTAAAAGGGATAACCGAGGCAACAACAGTAAGTATGCCAGTTCAGAGAAAAGATGGCACTGCTAGGAGGTATCGCCCAGTGGGAATTTCTTGGGCCTTTGGAATCTGACAGCCTTGGAATTGAAATCACCACTCTGTCACCTAAAACTGTGAACAAATAATTTAAGCTCTCTGGTCTTAAATTCCAAGGATAATAATACATATCTACATCCCAGTGGCCAGTAAAGTATGACTACCTATAAAGTAATAGGCATACAGAATGACACCCAAGACACATCACCTAAGTGTTTCTCCCTTGCCAAGCCCATGTCCACGGTACAGGCATGTCCACAATCCCAGGAACAGCTGCCCCTGCCTACAAACCCTGACTCCACCCAAATTTACAAACACCCTTTTACCTCCACTTGGCTGTCCCAGTCTAGAGACCCATTCACAACAACATCAGGAAAATCAGGCCAGACCTATGGAGAGAAATACGTTCAGTAGCGATGCACTAGACAATTTCCCTTACATAGTATTTCCTAATAAATTGTTATACAAACCGTGCTCCTAGGAGCAATAATACTTTGACTATCACATAGGATTGACATAAAAGAAAAGTGAACTCCATAACACGTTACATTACCTTAAAAGTCGTTAATTGTATCAACAAATATTGATTGAGAAAAGGAGAGCTTCTGACCTCAGAGCCCAAATAGAAAAGGCCAAAAATAACATACACAGGCGTGTGACCCACTAACAGTGACCCACCAACAGTGACCCACCCTCAGGCTGGGGACTAGTGGATCATCGCTTAGGATTATACCTTTCCCCAGACAATGTCTCCATCATTTGGGTATTTGATGAAGACGTCATCCTCCACGCCCCGAGTGAAGGCAGGATAAGGCTGTGTCTCATTGCCAGAAATGGCTGGATCCTGAAATCAAAGCATAAGTCAGTTGGGAAAACCAAAGCCAGAGAATGAGGAGAAACAGAATGAAGGAGAACTCCTCAAGGGTGAACTCGCTGGCTTCTACCTGCACAGTAGAGTTTCTGTGAGTCCTGGGAAATACACCTTTCTTACTGCACTTCAATTTATCTACTTGCAACATGGAAATAAAGTATAACTCTGACTCCACCAAAGCCCATACCTGCTCCCAAACAGACCGCACACATTCACATCAGGACTAACCAGAATGAGGATGACCCGCATCCCATCAGCCTTCATGCGATTGATCAGAGCTGGAAACCCAGCAAACTTGGGGCTGAGGGTGAAGTCCAGCTGCCGCTCCATGTAGTCGATGTCTGAGTACTGCACATCCTGCGGGAGGACATGGGGAGCTGAGAGGCTGCTGCTGTACACGCCCAAGCTTTATAGGAGAACAACCCTCCACCACCCATGGTGGAATTCCAGACAGCTTCTTGTTGATGCATTCAAATCCCAGCTCTGCCATTTGTTAGGTACAGGTGCTGGGAAATACACTTAATTTTTAAAATGTTCAGTGATAAGATAGAAAAAAAATCGAAGTCAGCACAAGCTAGGATGAGAATGCGTCTCTAGCATGGCTATTCTGAGGATAAGAGAAAACACTGGTTTGGAAAGTGCTTTGTAAACTGCCACTATCAGGAGTGATGGTGATGACCTACCCCAAGAGGCTGCCCCTGGTATCAGTGGTTCATGTTTAGGAAAAATACTGTTAATTATCCAGGACTAATAGTAAATCTACTACAAAACAAAGCAAAGATGTATAGTTGCTTTGGAATACCGAATCTTGAGGGTAATCATACACAACATTCTTCCTGAGACTGTAATATTGCATTTCACTATCCACTAATGGAAACACTACATTCCACTAATGGAACAACTGTAAACAATAGAAAAGTGGGATAAAATTAAATATGTGATGGTTCATGGGATCAATTCTCTGATGACTGGGTCCCCTCCCATCCTCCACTGAAGGATAAGGTTTCTTTCCATATGTATGTCCTCTGGAAACCCATCCCAGGATCTGTTTAATCCATCTGTTATTAGCTCAGAGCTGATGCAGGAACTGAGGTTGTATTCACATATACAATTGTCTGATTGATTTGTGGTTAGTCTTTTCAAGAATTAAGTAAAAGAACTGTGGGATATACTTTATTCTTATGAAACCAAGGACTTTTTTGACTACATGTTTTGAAGCCAAGTGAAAGAAATGGAAGGAAGCACGGGAGAGCAGAAAGAGCCCTGGAGCCAGCCTATCTCCCACTCTGGCGAGTCATGCTGGGTCTTGAGCTGTCATCTCTGGAAGACGGAAACAAGTGCCCTTACCTATATTACTGTGCTGGGGTGAGGCTAACTGTGATATTGTCTGAAAAAGAACTTTATGTCTTTATGGAATCCAACAAACATTAGACAAATGAACCCAGACACAGAGGCACCTGGGTTAGTTTTGAAACTCCAGAGCCATGACTGAGAACGTACATAAGGGATCTGGGCAGCCACCATCTCATCATACAAGCTGGCGATCTCAGAGTCATTCTGGTAGCCATAGCGACACAGCTGGAACCCCAAAGACCAGTAAGGTACCATCACAGGCCGGCCAATCAACTAGAAAATAGACAGAAAATATTAGTCTTCAGAACAGAGGCACCACATTGAAGTTTTACATCAAGTAATAAGAATATTTTTCTGTGCCCCAAGCTAGACAACTAACTAATTGAAATCCAGACCAAAACTGACAGGATATAGAGCCACTAGGATACTTAGAGAAAGCTTTCTGCTAGACTTGAGCTCCTTCTTAAAAATTATGGAAAATCTGATGTTACGCTATTCCTAGAGACACTGTAGATAACTGGTTAAGAAACCCAGAATCAGAGACATATGCCTGGCTTAGTATACAGGCTCCAATCCTGCTAGCTGTGTGACCTTGGGCAAAAATTAAGTAATCTCTTAGTGCTTCAGTTTCTTCATCTGTAAATAACGGATAATAATAGCATCTGCCTGATAGTGTTTCTGTGATGCATGAATGAGTTAATATGTGTGAAATGCTCTAACATGCAGCAAGTGATAAATCAGTGATGCGCACTTGGTAGTATGTAAGTGTCTGTTGTTGCTGCCACGACCACCATGGTCATCATCACCATCATCACCACCACCATCATCACTATTTTCACCATCACCCCCAGTACCACGATCGTGCCCCCACCACCATTACCATTATCATTACCCTTCACTACCGTCACCACCACCCCCCACTACCACCCCCACCACCACCCCAACCACCATCCCCACCATCACCACTATCACCACAACCACTATCACCAACATCACACTCCTCACACCACCTCACTGTCACCACCACTACCACCACCACCATAACCAACACCACCATCATCATCACCATCACTACCACAAACACCATCGTCAGCCCCACCCTTGTCACCATCACCACCACTATCACCGTCATCATCACCAACACACCCATTACCACCACCCCCACCACTATCATCACCATCACCAACACCACTACTACCACCACCATCATTATCACCATTCCCACATCACTATCACCACCGTCAGCCCCTACTGCCATCATCACCATATAACCACAAATAACACCAACATCACACTACTATCACTACCAGCACCACCACTAGTACCACTATAACTTCTGCTATTCTGCAATGCTTACAGAGGCTATAAATTTAATGATAATTAGAATGTATTTATTTTTTCTCATTCTATAATCTCTCTCCAAGAAAGACCAATATTTCCAGTTGTCAACTGAGAGTTATACTAATCAATGTGGACTCTGGCACCCAGAATGTGCTGTGTAAGTACTTGATAAACAATTGGATTTCCCCCTACCTCAGTGTACTGCTGGGTGACAAGCTCTGGAGTCGGCCCCAAGAACACATAAAAGTCCAGAACTCCCCCTGTGGTGCGGTATGTCAAGGCAGGCAGGGGCTGGAACGTCACATCTGAAAATAAAGAAAAATGCCAAGCCTCACGGACACCTTCCATGTCACGAATCACCCCTGAAATCCACACATTCTCCATCTTCCTGCACCCTCCCTATCATAGAGTAGTAACAGCAGGCATTTTCTATCATACTCACAGAACTGAAGAAGATCAATGGAAGTCTACAGGTCCCATTCCTGGGTTTGATTCTCTTTAGGGTACTTTACTATATTTTATCATTCTACTCTTATAAAATTATTATTTTTTACATTTCAAGTTTTATGTTAGATAAAGAGATACCTGTTCAGGTTCCTTACATGGGAATATTGCATGATGCTGAGGTTTAGGGTATGGATCCCTCACCCGGACAGTGAGCAGAGTACCCGATAGGTAATTTTCCAACATACCATACACCCTCAATACCCCCAGACTAACTTCTCTGACCCATAGTTTTACCCTAATTCAAATTATATAACTGGCTCTCACGAGCTGCCCTCCAGGATATTTGGGACCCATGTGGTGTTACTATCCCTTCTTATGTGATTTTTACCAAAATGAGAGTTGGGTTAAATCTTCTTATTACATGATATTAGATTGAAATAAACAGAAAGGCTAAACACAAAGAAAAAATAAACAGCAGTGCCCGTAAAATGAAGATTTTGCCTTCAAGGAACAGTTAGGCTAAACACATTGTAAATTGACTCAGGCATGATTGGTATCCCCCCAAAATAAGGGAGGTGCTGATGGCCTTACCCATGGCATTGCTGTTCAGCAGGAGCACTCCATGGGCACTGCCGTCCTCCTCCAGCCCCATGTAGTAGGGGTGGACACCATAGGAATTCTTCTTGTACTGGGGAGTCATGGGAAGAAGCAGTAGGAGTTTAAAAGACATTATGCCTGAGAAAGAAACTCAACAAAAATGTGCTTGCTAACATGGCTCTAGTTTTCTCCATGAAACTAGACACATAAACTAAACACATGAAACAAAGGAGCCTGAGAATTGGCCCACTTGCCTAAAAGCAGAATGTGATGACCAAGTGGAGTTTGGGAAGATGAAGCCCAAAGCCTGAGCAGTGTGGGTGGAGAGAAGCAGAGACACAGATCCCAAATGCTCTGTCCTTACCCCTGGGGGCTGGTCTCGGGAGAACATCCCCCAAGTGTGCCACTCCAAGTCTCTCCTATAGGACCTGTGCTCAGTTTCCCCAAAGCCATAGAGGTACTTGGAGGGAAGGCGGGTGGAGATGCGGATAAACATGTCACTGAAGGTAAAGCCAAGGAGCTGAGAGTCCCAACTGAAACACAAAAACGCAGATTTGAAACAGAAAATGAGCTTTTATCTCTGTTTCCAGCAGGTGACTTTTCAAGGACAACAGAACACTTGATTCCTACCAAGAAGCTGTTCATATCCCAAACAAAACTGAAACTCAATTTGATTAAAATATCACAGATATCCTCGCTAAAAGCCCAGGAGTTATTCATCATTCTTCCGTTTCCCTCTGTCACTGCCTCCTTTCAGTGGTCCTCCACAATACAAATCCAAGCACCCCTCATCATCACAGCTGGGACCACTCCACACCAGCACTGCCTTCCATCCTTGCACCCCTCAGTCCATTTTCTACATAGCACTCAAAGTGATATTTACTTATTATTTGTTGTCATGAGAAGAGAAACCTCAGCTGTGTATAAGGAGCAGCACCTAATCTAGAGAAGGCACCCCATAAACATTTGTTGGATGAATCCTCAGGCACATTCAACTCCTTCAGTATTTATTTCCAGAATGCTAAAGATTTCCTGTAAGAATAGGTCTGAAGGAAACAACTCATCCATGGATCTGGAAGTGGACAATGTGATGTTTTGAACCAGGATACATCCAAGGACAATGGACCTGGCAGCGAAGGCGCAGGTAGCCATCAACTCTGAGTCACACTAGAAGCCACTCACATTATAGTGCCTGTACTCTTCCGGCGAATTTCAATCCCAAATGGATTCTTCTTAATGAGCACATCATAGAGTTGACCCTCAGGGGTGCTGGATGGCATGCTGGGTATGTTCAGAGGGACTGGAACTTCATACCGATTCTTGTTGGGATCATAAATCTAGGCCAGAGGAAATCAATTTTAGGCAACAATACTACTCTTGAAACCTATACCCTTAGCAGAACCTTTTTGATTTTTGGACACAAAGTTCAGATGCTATGTTTCTATCTTCTTTATGATATCTGAGATTTAATTAATATATCAGATAACAATGTCACATTTAACATTTTTCTGTGATTTCTCATTATTAAGGCCTCTATTACCTTAATAAACTCAATGGGACATTGCTGCTGACTTGGAAAATCATTCTGGAATCAGTGTGGTATTTATGAATATGTTACTTGTTATTTTCTGTGGGTATATGAGTATATATAAATAACTTAAAATCATTATGAGTTCAAAAAAAAACCTGTCTCCCCAAAATGAAATCTATTTGATTAAAATAATCAGAATGTCCTTGCTGAAAGTGGTATCTAAACTGATTCATGAGTACCTACTACATCCCCTGCCTGACACTGCACAAGACACTAGGGACGTGAGCTCAATAAGGCAGTGTTATGGTTTTACGAAATTCACATGCGAATAAGAAGTCAAAGAGAGCAGCTCACAACACGTGGGTGATGTGTGCTAAGGGAGAGCTATGTAGAAGTGCTGTGAGATTCTAGGGAAGGAAATGCCTAACATTGTTTCTGGGAGACTGAGACGGTCTCACGGGAGAAATACAGTCTAGAATATTAAAAGCTTGGTAGTCATTAACCAAACAAAGAAAGGAGATCAAGTCATTCTGGTGAAGAATAACAACCACGAAGGCAGAGAGAATTAAAGTGGGCCAGAAAGAGGCACATATTTTGGAAAGAGTTACTCTACGGTCAAGAGGTAGAGTAGGCAATGGTTAAGGCTAGAACTCCAGGGAAGTTCATTCACTTCAAACCCATTAGGTGCCTAAAACATGCTAGTGTTACAAGGAGGGTACAAACATACAAGAGATTCTTCCCTGCATTAGAGGATGAACAAGAACTCAGAATTCGGGTTGATGTCAGATTGTAAAGAACCTTTCAGGCAATGTGACAATGTCCTGACCACTTTCACTTACTCTGTCAATAACATTACAGCACTATCGGCCAGGCTCTGTAGATTTCAGAAGCACAAACAGGAAAGGGCACATTCCTGTCCTTGAGAAGCTTAGTTTAATAGAAAAATAGACATCACAGCTAGTCCATCCCTAGTCCTTAAATGCAATTAAATTCTGGAAAGAAATGAAATTACTGCATATTGATGGCCATTTTACAGAAATCTCAAATTCAGCATCCCAAACTGAACATATCATCTTACATTGATCAAGCACAAACTTTTTCAGTATTCCTATTTGAGTTAATGTCAGCACCATCCATATTAAGATGCAAGATACCAACACGGTCATCATTCTTGATGTTCCATCTCCATTGTCACCTGCTTGCAATTGAGCACTAGATCCTGTAACCCAACTTTCTCAACCTCAGACGGGTCCACTGTTCTCCACCTGCATTCCACTGTCTAGTCCAAACCTAATCCCTCCACTGACCTGCCTAACTGGTAGCCTCCCAAGTTGTCTCTCCGTACCTACTCTTGCTCTCCCAACCATTTTCCTAACAGTAGCCACAGTAATCTTTTCCAAATGAAAATTAGGGCAGGTCTCATTGTTCCCTCAATGATTTCTCAATGCTCTCTGGATAATGATATAGTCTGTTGTAGCATGATTAACTTATTTTAGGGTTCTGTGATCCAGACCAATAAAAGGTAATGGAACTGAAAAGGGTCTAATCACTACCTGATACATGTACTGTGTTTACCTTGAACTGCAGCATTTCATTCTTATGGTAAGTGACATCCAGGCGAAGGGGGTTCACGGGTGTGGAGGGGAAGGCATTGGCATAAACGGAAGACTTTAAGGAGATGTCAGCTGTGGCCCCATGGGAATTATACTGAACATCACTGACAGAGTATAGGTCGTTGACAAAATAGCAAAAAGGGACTCCAGAAGAATTGGATGCCTGAAAAGTAAGGCCAAAGTCATAGATCAGCACAGCATGTGGTCTTAAAGTTCTCTAACCTAAACAGGGTTAGTAAAGTCATTTTATATGACGATAAAACTAGCCCATCACTTATCACTTGGCAATAACATAAATTTCAATTCCTTGTCTCCAAGCAAAATATTCATCTTAAGAAGTTTCGCACATGTCCCCACCTACTTGTCACATCTAGATCCTGTCCCTTAGGAAGTTCTTTCTATGGATTTTAAGTAGTTATGTAAGTACCACTGCTATGCTTAAGAAACTACAGATTAGGTGTGGAGATTCTCATGCACACAAACCCCATCAGCATGGTTACCTCCCAGATACAGCCACGGGCAGTGCAGTTTTCGGCAGAAGCACCATTCTCATCAGGGTAACAGTCTATTTTTTCTTCATCCCTTATCTTTATGCTCCATTCCACTGTGTATGCTTCTCCCAGGAGAAGATCAATATCTGTGATAATGGCAACCTGTAGGAATGTGGAAATCATAAGGAAATTCATCTTTAGGAGACAGGCTTTGCAAGACCTGAGGTTTTTTTTTCGATAAAAAAAAAATAGAAATTAGACCAGACTTTCAAACATCCAAGCAACATATGACTTTAGCTTATAAGAAGAGAACTGCACATTGGGAGAATCTATTTAGCAGCAACAGGTCAAATGTCTCCCCTCTAGCACAATCTTGTACTTAGCATAATGAAAACAGTTAGGTCAAATAAAACCTGTTGTGATCACCCCTTATTCTTTTCTACCCTGACTCCTCTTAGCTCGCTGTGAGATGACACATGATGTCATCCTAAAGTGAGTTGATCCTCTTGCTCTCCAATGCCCAAACCAGTATCACCCATTGGCGTGGAGTGGTAGAAAGAGCACAGCAATAAGAATCATATGACCTGGTTATCATGCCCACATTTCTGTAGAATGTTGGACAAATGATTTCTTTTTTTAATTTTTAATTTTAATGGGTATATAGTAGGTATGCATATTTATGGGTTATATGAAATATGTTGATTCAGGCATACAGGGCATAATAATCACATCAGGGTAAGTCAGGTATTCTGTTTCATTTCTTTGGGTTTCAATTTTAGCAACGGCAAATTTGAAAAGTTGAAAAAAACATTATATTTCTTTCTATTTCTAACATCCCAGCATGTTCATTTCTCTAAGCCCAAAGACTCCAATTCTGAAACCTTCCTTGAATACCATTAGTTCAAATATTTAATATTTTTCTATATAGTTTTCTTATCTTGACACTTCTTTAAACAACACTTCCCAAGTTAAAGTTCTCACTTGTCTGGAGTACAAAAATCACATTCTAAAGATTATCATCCTTCTCCTAGTCTCCTCCCAATCTAAACCATCTTGTACTTCCCTGTTCTACTAGTCCCCAGCCCCCACTCCCACTCCCAACAATGCTCACACACAGTAGCACAGCCTTCATTCAAGGATCAATATGAGACTGCTTGAGAATTAAATCAAGTTGGTAACTAAGACCTCCAAAACCTGACCACAAGTTTCCTATCCAAACTGGCCTTTTTCAAATACCAATTCTTATTTGTGCTAGTCATACAAAATTCACAGTCTAATAATGTCAGGCTATTCCCCACTTTCCAACTTTGCTGTTCCTGGGTCTCATCATAATTATTCTATTTTTGGGAAAAGCAAGTGAAACCAGCTAGAAAGACGGGAACACTGATAGGCAGAGAAGGGAATAAGAAGAAAAATACCCAACTCATTCTAGCTCTGGCCACCTCATTTTTTTCCCCAGCCCTCTCACTTCCCCAAAACAGGCCTCAAAGGTGCCCTGGTCCTTCAGGGACCCATGCAAACTTGGCAAGAAGGAACATCACGATGCTATGGAGAATTCTCAATGTACCATCTCAACAAAATGGGTTTTTACCTTCAGGTTAGAATCATAAGTGACTGTAGGAGAAGTCTGACTTGGGACACCATTGTGTTTCACTGTAACATTGCTAGGTTCCTCCGTCCCAAGAATTTTAATCTCATTAAATGCTAAATTATTGGGGTCCTTGTAGGTTGATTGTGAAATATTCACCTCCAAGCGGTTCTGCAAAACAATTAAGTCCAAGTATGCATAAAGGTATATGAGTATACACAGATTCTCAAGTCACTCAAATATTCCATTCCAGACCGGATACCCCCCACTGCCATAAATGCCTCTCTGCTTTCTCTACTAGTGTGTGCTGAAGAAGTACAACATTATTTGGATAATCCTCTAATTTAAAACGATCATAAAAACACACAGGCATTTAAAAACTGTGTTCAGAAACACTAGCTGCTATATTAATGCCTCCTTTTGAAAACATCGATGAAATCATAAATAGAAATGTACTCACCTATAGCCAATAATGCATATAAAGTTACAAATATAATCACACATATACAATATACACAAGCACAGATGTGCTAATGGTCAGTCCAAAGCCCACACCTAAGATTCATAAAAATATGCTACTCACTTGAGTGACAGAAAACTCACATAAAAGATACACTTTATTGGCCACAGTATCTGAAAGTGAGAGAAAGACAAGTCAGATTCTGGCCTGCCCACCTCAGAAGAACAGATTTCACCCTACCACTCCTTTCAGCTATGCCTTGAGGTCACACATAGCAGTTTTCCTTTTCCTTATGGATGAATAATTTTCAATTGTATATGTGTATCACATTTCTTTATTCATTCATTCATCAATGTATAATTAGATTGTTTCTATATCTTGGTTGTTGCACATAATGCTGTAATGAACGTGGGAGTGACTGTATCTCTTAAAGATACTGGTTTCATGTCCTCTGGATATACACCCAGAAGTGGGATTTCATGGGATTGTATGGAAGTTCTGTTAATTTTTTGAGGAACATGCATACTATTTTCCATAACGGTTGTAACAATTTACATTCTCACCAACAGTCTACAAAAATTCCATTTTCTCCACATCCTCGCCAGCACTTATCTCTTATCTTTTTTATTATTTCCATGCTAACAGGTGTGAGGTGGTAGCTCACTGTAATTTTTTATTTGCATACCTGTGTCACTTACTGATGTTGAGCATCTTTTCACATGCCAGTTAGCCACTTGTATGTCTTCCTTGGAAAAACATCTGTTCAGGTCCTTCACCCACTTTTTAATTGGGTCATTTGATCTTTTGCTACTGAGTTGCATGAGTTCCTTATTTTTTTATATTAATCTCTTCTGAGATACATGGTTTGCAAACATTTTTATCCATTCTGTAGTTTGCCTTTTCACTTTGTTGATTATTTATTTTCCTGTGCAGAAGCCTTTTAGTTTGATGTAGTCATGCTTGTTTATTATTTGCTATTTTGCCTTTGCTTTTGGTATCATATCCAAAAAGTCATTGCCAAGACTAATGTCAAGGAGGTTGTTTCCTGTGTTCTTCTAGGAGCTTTACAATTTCAACCCTTACATTTAAGTTTTTAATTTTACTTCTGCACAGTAGCAAAGATATGAAAATAACCTAAGTGTCCATCAATGGATGAATGAATAAAGAAATTGTGGTATATATATACAATAGAATATTATTCAGACATAAAAAGAAGAAAATTCTGCCATTTGCAACAGCATGGATGAATCTAGAGGACGTTATACTAAGTGAAATAAGCCAGAGACAGAAAGTCAAGTACTGCATGGTCTCACTTACATGTGAAACCTAAAAAAGTTGAGCTCCTAGAAGCAGACAGTATAACTGTTGTTCTTAGAGCCTGCAGGTGTGGAAACTGGGGAGATGATGGTCAAGGGTACAAATTTTTAGTTATTAGATGAATAGGTTCTGGGGATCCAGTCTACAGTATGGGTGGTGATGGATCTGTTCCTTAAAATAGCTGTGGTAATCATTATACTATGCCTATATATATATTAAATCCTCACATTGTCCACTTTGAATATATTTCATCTTTATTTGCCAATTAAATATTTTGCAATTAAAAAATAAATATTTAAATCTACACATTGGATTAGATGGACAAGAGTCTCCAAGGCCAAGCCATTGTTTTTCCTTCTCTTTCCTACTGGAACATTGCAAAGTTTCCCTTCCAAGGGCTTCCAAGGCATATGCCTCAAGGGAATCTATTTCCTAAACTTGAAGCACAGGAATTGTTAGTATACTGGATCCACAAATATGCTAAAAAGTATATTCTCACTGCCTCACTGGCAGGGGCATGATTTCTATATCATCAACATTTGCTCATAAGAATTTCAGGAGGAAGACATTAACATTGGGTTACGGGAACAGTCTTGAAACCATCTCTTCTAAGCACCCATTGACAATAAAAAGAGAGCCTATTGGCCAAGCATGGTGGCTCATGCCTGTAATCCCAGCACTTTGGGGGGCCGAGCCGGGCAGATTACGAATTTAGGAGATCGAGATCATCCTGGCTAACACGGTGAAACCTCATCTCTACTAAACATACAAAAAATTAGCCAGGCATGGTGGTAGGCACCTGTAGTCCTACGCGGGAGGCTGAGACAGAAGAATCACTTGAGCCTGGGAGGCAGAGGTTGCAGTGAGCCGAGATCGCGCCACTGCACTCCAGCCTGGGCAACAAGAGCAAAACTCCACCTCAATAAATAAATAAATAAATAAATAAATAAATAAATAAATAAATAAATAAATAAAAAGCCTATTATAGATATCACTGTCCAATAGGAGAATTGCCAGAGATAGAAATGTATTTTTCTTTCCTTTGTAGGTCATCTACCACTACCTCTGAATGGTGCAACCAGAAACAAAATACTTAAGTGACTCTTGCTACTGTGCCTACTGAGATTTCTCCCACAGCTGAATGACCAGCAGGAGTGAAGGACCATAAGTCACAGGTGCAGGTTGGGAAACAGCAACATTATCGTATAAGTGCTCACCCTTCGTTTCCCCATTATCCCAGAAAAGTTCTCCTTTTGCTTCTTTGTTCTCATCTAGGGCAATGATAAGACCAAGAGGGTTCTTTCGACTGTGGGGAACAAGATTCAAGACACAAAGACAGGAGTCAGAGAATTTTGCCAGCCGAGCTGAGAATATTTCCATCAAATTTCAAATTGGAAAAGTTACTAGCAGCAGATGGTTCTGCTTTTCTTCAGGCACAAACACAAAATTGACAGGCGCCCCTATCTTTAATATCAACAGTGTCACAAGAGATAGAAATACCCCAAACATTAACAATAACATCTATGTTAGAGGCAAGAACTTAAGCACCAGAGGCACTGCAATAACTCAAATAAAAGCTGCTTCTGCAACTACTACTTAGAATACAGAGTATGAGAAGAGAAATAAATCTTGGGCAATAACTGGTTCAGTTATATCACTTTAGCAATGATGCCCTCAGTAGAAGTGTCCAGTGCTGTGAGGAAGACACATTTTCGCCTGCCTAAGGACCATTTATACTCAGAAAGCAACAACATATAATAAGGTCCATCTATTTAGTAGTAACTTATCTGATTATTGGTTATTAGTTTGTTTTGAAAGAAAAACAAATCATTCTAATCTACTCTATAATTTAGAATAAGAAACACAAAACATTACTCAAATACATGGTAAAGTAGATGGACAGAGAGGAAGAGGGGGAGAAGAGAGAAATTTTTATTTGGAGTCTCTCCTCATTCTATCACTGCTCTAAGCAACCTCCCAGTTTCCTGCTCTTCTTGTTTCTCCTCTGTCACTGGTCTCATATTCTCCATTGTATTCTTTCACAGTTCAGCCTTTCACTATGCAAGAAAGTTAGTTTTTATTATCAGCAAAAACATCTGCTTTCATTAAATATTCATGTACTGAGTAGCAGTCGTTTCTAAGAAGTCAATGAGATACAAAAATAAATAAATCACAACCCCTGATCTGAACGACCTTAAATATTATAGGAAAAAATAGGCACATTCATTAAAAAATGAAGGCGAACAATGAAAACAACACAAAAGTTAGGATATTCTAGGAGTCCAGAACCACAGTTCCAGAAATATGGTGGACCGGATATTCTTCTGGAGACTTACCCAGTAAAATATTCCCTGATCCTAGTTAAATTACAACACATATTCCTGTTAAAATATTGTTGGATTTGCAAGAAAGTAAGAAATATATCCAAGAGATGAAAACAATAACAGGATAACAAAACACTGAGCTAAAACCAAAAGGGGGCTTAGTAAGCAAAACCTAGAATCTCCGTGTGGCAAATTCCCATAGCAAGGTTAAAATTGGGCTACTAAGCCTAGTGATCCAAGGTAGAGAATGTGAACCTCTGATTCCCACATGAAGCTGAGATCCTTGAAGGAAGCTAACATAATGCCAGTTGGAAGCAATTCTTGGCTTGCACACAGAGGAGAAGGCAAATCATCTCTGGAGGAATGAGACCCACAGTTATAAGATTATCACAGCTTAAAAAAAATAAGATCACCAAGCACACAAGGTAATAAGTCAACATGAAAGAAAGTCAACAAAGTTAACTAACAATAGACTTAGACTCCCCTAAACATTTCAGATAATAAAATTTTCAAGCACAGAGTATACAACTGTTCTTGAAATACTAACAGTATTAAAGAAGAAAGACAAAATCATCTAAGGAGCAAAAAACAAAACAAAACAAAAATATAATATAAATATATATATAATATATAAATATATAATAAATATATAAATATAAAAATAAATATATAATTACACATATAAATTTCTATATTATATATTATATTACATATTGTATGTATATATAATATATATTACATATTGTATGTATACATAATATATATTACATATTGTATGTATACATAATATATATTACATATTGTATGTATACATAATATATATTACATATTGTATGTATACATAATATATATATTACATATTGTATGTATACATAATATATATATTACATATTGTATGTATATATAATATATATATTACATATTGTATGTATATATAATATATATCATATATTCATACATTGTATGTATATACGATATGTATATTATATATTCATACATTGTATGTATATATGATATATATTATATATTCATACATTGTATGTATATATTATATATTATATATTCATATATTGTATGTATATAATATATATTATATATTCATATATTGTATGTATATAATATATATTATATATTCATATATTGTATGTATATAATATATATTATATATTCATATATTGTATGTATATATAATATATATTATATATTCATATATTGTATGTATATATAATATATATTATATCATATATTATATGTATATGTAATATATAATATCATATATTGTATGTATATATAATATATATAATATATCATGTATTATAGGTATATATAATATATCATGTATTATAGGTATATATAATATATATAATATATCATGTATTATAGGGATATATAATATATATTATATATCATGTATTATAGGGACATATAATATATATTATATATCATATATTATAGGTACATATAATATATATTATATATCATATATTATAGGTATATATAATATATATTATATATCATATATTATATGATATATAATATATATTATATACATATATGTTATATAATATATATTATATATCATATATGTTATATAATATATATATTATATATCACATATATGATATATAATATACATATTATATATCATATATTGCACGTATATATAATATACATATTATATATCATATATTACACGTATATATAATATACATATTATATATCATATATTACACGTGTATACAATATACATATTATATATCATATATTACACGTGTATATAATATACATTATATATCATATATTACACGTGTATATAATATACATTATATATCATATATTACACGTGTATATAATATACATTATATATCATATATTACACGTGTATGTAATATACATTATATATCATATATTACACGTGTATGTAATATACATTATATATCATATATTACACGTGTATATAATATACATTATATATCATATATTACACGTGTATATAATATACATTATATATCATATATTACACGTGTATATAATATTCATTATACATCATATATTACACGTGTATATAATATTCATTATACATCATATATTACACGTGTATATAATATACATTATATATCATATATTACACGTGTATATAATATACATTATATATCATATATTACACGTGTATATAATATACATTATATATCATATATTACACGTGTATATAATATACATTATATATCATATATCGTAAGTGTATAATATACATTATATATCATATATCGTAAGTGTATATAATATACATTATATATCATATATCGTATGTGTATATAATATTCATTATATATATCGTATGTGTATATAATATTCATTATATATCATATATCGTATGTGTATATAATATTCATTATATATCATATATCGTATGTGTATATTATATATATATTATATATTATATATCGTATGTGTATATTATATATAGTATATATTATATGTCGTATGTGTATATAATGTATATATTATATGTCGTATGTGTATATAATGTATATATTATATGTCGTATGTGTATATAATGTATATATTATATATTATATGTCGTATGTGTATATAATGTATATATTATACGTCGTATGTGTATATAATGTACATATTATACGTCGTATGTGTATATAATGTATATATTATACGTCGTATGTGTATATAATGTATTATACGTCGTATGTGTATATAATGTATATATTATACGTCGTATGTGTATATAATGTATATATTATACGTCGTATGTGTATATAATGTATATATTATACGTCGTATGTGTATATAATGTATATATTAAACGTCGTATGTGTATATAATGTATATATTATACGTCGTATGTGTATATAATGTATATATTATACGTCGTATGTGTATATAATGTATATATTATACGTCGTATGTGTATATAATGTATATATTATACGTCGTATGTGTATATAATGTATATATTATATGTCGTATGTGTATATAATGTATATATTATATGTCGTATGTGTATATAATGTATATATTATATATTACATATTACATGATATATAATATATGTATTATATATTAGATAGTATATGTATATATAATATATGTATTATATATTAGATAGTATATGTATATATAATATATGTATTATATATTAGATATTATATGTATATATTATATATTTAGATATCATATGTATATATAATATATATATTTAGATATATCTATATAATTCATATTATATTTAGATATTATATGTATATATAATATATATATTATATTTAGATATTATATGTATATATAATATATATATTATATTTAGATATTATATGTATATATAATATAGATATTATATTTAGATATTATATGTATATATAATATAGATATTATATTTAGATATTATATGTATATATAATATAGATATTATATTTAGATATTATATGTATATATAATATATATATTATATTTAGATATTATATGTATATATAATATATATATTATATTTAGATATTATATGTATATATAATATATATATTATATTTAGATATTATATGTATATATAATATATATATTATATTTAGATATTATATGTATATATAATATAGATATTATATTTAGATATTATATGTATATATAATATATATATTATATTTAGATATTATATGTATATATAATATATATATTATATTTAGATATTATATGTATATATAATATAGATATTATATTTAGATATTATGTTTATATTTTATATATATTATATTTAGATATTATATGTATATATAATATATATATTATATTTAGATATTATATGTATATATAATATATATATTATATTTAGATATTATATGTATATATAATATAGATATTATATTTAGATATTATATGTATATATAATGTAGATATTATATTTAGATATTATATGTATATATAATATAGATATTATATTTAGATATTATATTTAGATATTATATGTATATATATTATATTTAGATATATGTATATATAATATATATATTATATTCAGATATTATATGTATATATAATATATGTAATATATTATATATAATATTATACATAATATATATTATATATTATATATAATATGTATATATAATATATATTATATATTATATATAATATGTATATATAATATATATTATATATTATATATAATATGTATATATAATATATATTATATATTATATATAATATGTATATATAATATATATTATATATATAATATGTATATATAATATATATTATATATTATATATATGTATATAATATATATTATATATTATATATTATATGTTATATTATATATTATATGTTATATATTATATGTATATATAATATATGTTATATATTATATGTATATATAATATATGTTATATATTATATGTATATATAATATATGTTATATATTATATGTATATATAATATATGTTATATATTATATGTATATATAATATATGTTATATATTATATGTATATATAATATATGTTATATATTATATGTATATATAATATATGTTATATATTATATGTATATATAATATGTTATATATTATATGTATATATAATATGTTATATATTATATATTATATGTATATATATTATATGTTATATATTATATGTATATATATTATATATTATATATTATATGTATATATTATATGTTATATATTGTATGTTATATATTATATGTATATATATTATATATTATATGTATATAATATAATATATATATATTATATTATATATATAATATATATATATTATATTATATATATATAATATATATATATTATATATATGTATATATATAATATATATATTATATATTATACGTATATATATAATATATATATTATATATTATACGTATATATATAATATATATATAAAATGACCAGAAACTTGAAAGTGGCAGTGCTTCCTCTGCTGGAAGATTAAGGAAAGATTTCTTGCTGCTGAAATGTAAAGTTTCATTTGGATCATTAAGAATACACCAGGCAAAGAATGTTGGAAAGGATAAGTGCAAAAGCCCAAATGTTGTAAAATACATACGTATGTCTGGGAAAGAGAAAGCTTTTGGCATGACTGGTCTGTATGTACATGAAGGTGTGGCAGGAGATAGAGTTGTTAAAGTAACGTGAAACCAGGTTGTGATTGGTTTTGAATACCCTATTAATGAAAGACTTTGGACTTCAAGCCTGGGAGCAACCAGTTGAGATTTTCATTTTGGAAAAATTAATTTGGTATCAGTGTGCAGAACAGCTTGAAGGTGAACAGTTAGAAAAAGGAAGCCAACTGGCATTGGATTCAGGGATATTTTCCATTAGTATCATAAAAAGTCTACAACTTGGAAAATTAAAGCAGTAAGAGAGGTTCAAAAGAAAAGACAGGTTTCTGGCTTCCAAAGAGCTCCTGGTCTATTAAAGACAAGTAGGCTAATACTCTCAAAGCCATGAAGATATAAATGTGCACCTCTTTAGTACAGATGGAATCTATTTTTTTGGAATCAATTACATATAAAGGAAAATTCAGTGACTTGGAGATTTGAGGTTTGCATAAGGTAATTTTTGAATCACAAGAAAGAAATCTTAGTGGGAGAAAAGAAATAGGAAGTTGAAATTCTAGGAGGGAGGAGAGTCAAGGTTCTCTAGAAATGAGAACAAGTGAGTCAAGGGTAAAGAAACATGGATGCAGTGTGGCCAAGGCAGACAGAGGGATCAACTGACCTGGTTTGCCCAGAATTGAAAAGCCTCCCAAGGGAAGAGACTTTTGGTGCTAAAACTGCAACAGTCGTGGCCAAACCAAAGAGGCTGACCACCTGGCTGTTAGTGTGTTTCGAAAAGAAATTCAAAGGGTTTAAGCAAGGACATGAATTCTGAAAGGACACTCCAGCCATGCTATACCTGGCCAGAGTGGTTGTATTTGGCTGCTGTGTGGGGAAGATGTAGCCTCCTCGAAGGTGAAGTCCAATTTTGTCTCCAGGAAGTTCCATCTCGACTTTTTGCTTCCTCCATCTCACTTGGCTCCCCTGATGCATGCAGATAAATCAAACACATTGGCATGACAGCATATTGCCCTTCACTGATTATCTACATGCCTGGTGATACACAGCTCTCTCCCTTTTCCAATTAGCTGAATTATGGTCTAGCCAGGCAATCAAACAACAGAAGGAAAAAAATCAAGAATAACATGTTCTGCTACCAGTTGGGGGTTTGTGAAAAAATTTATGCCATGCTGAGGCTATTTGATATATTATATAAACTGATAGTTTTAAACAGATAGTCTGATTCCTGACCAAGCTCACATTGTCCATCAGTTCCTCCAATATTAATTTATGAGATACTATGTCAGCCTATCTTATTGCTAAATAAAGTATATGAAGGTATTTTTTCACATTTCATCATGACTGATGTTAACGGTTTAGGTTAACTTTACCCAGGTTCTGCTATGAAATTACAGAAAACACTAAAAACTACTCCTCAGCATGTAGATGGATGTTTCTCTCTCCAGAAAGGTAGCTTGTCTATGCAGCTGCAGCTACAGTCTTAAGGAGTAGAAGAAAAGTCAAAGCTACTTACAGTCTCGTAGTCATACCAGACAGCATCAGGCACATATGCCATCACTTTCTCTGCACCCTGAAATTAAAAAAATGTAGTGTCCCCTGAGGGAAATAAAATGGATTTCTTTTTATTCTCTAGGGAATTTCTTAATCATACACAGAGAGGGCAGGAATGCCCTGCTATTATGCCTTTCTTCTGCTTCTCCTCTAATACAAATAATAGAAACTGTAACTTGGCAACCCAGAGAGAAATCCCAAACGTAGCCACATTAGGAATAATAATAATCATAAAATAATAATAAAACATGTGTGGTGACAAACATTCCAGCTTTACATGATTACCTCATTTAATTTTCCCAACATTCCCAAATGGTGGGTACCATTATTTTTAGTAGTAGTAGTATTACCCCTCTGCAGATGAGAAGCCAGCACAATAGTCACCCCTGATCACACAGGCTCAAAGTGGCAGAGACAACAATCACATCCCGATCAGCCTGACTTTAGAGTGAGTGTTGGGTCACTGCTCCATCCTGTTTCTACGTCATGGAGCAAGTCAGGATCTGCTATGAGAATCCAACAACAAATAGGACCACTCTTGATATAGTTTGGATGTTTGTCTGCCCAAATCTCATGTTGAAATGTAATCCCCAGTGTTGGAGGTGGGGCCTGGAGGGAGCTGACTGGATGATGAGGGCAGATTTCTCATGAATGGTTTACACCATTCCCTTGGTTCTGTCCTGGTGATAGTGAGTGAATTCTTGTAAGATTTGGTTGTTTAAAAGTGTGTGGCGGCCAAGCGCGGTGACTCACACCTGTAATCTCAGCACTTTGGAGGCTGAGGCAGGTGGATCATCTGAGGTCAGCAGTTTGAGACCAGCCTGGCTAACATGAAACCCCGTCTCTACAAAAAATACAAAATTAGCCGAGCTTGGTGGCAGGTGCCTGTAACCCCAGCTACTCAGGAGGCTGAGGCAGGAGAATCATGTGAACCCAGGAGTTGGAGGTTGCAGTGAGCTGGGATTGTGCCACTGCACTCCAGCCTGGGTGACAGAGTGAGACTCCATCTCAAAAAAAAAAAAAAAAAAAAGTGTGTGGCAACTCCCCCCACCCCGTCTTGTTCCTGCTTTTGCTATATGACATCGCTGCTCCTCTTCACCTTCCTCCATGACTGTAAGCTTCCTGAGGCCTCCCTAGAAGCTGCACAGATACCAGCATCATGCTTCTTGTAAAGCTTTCAGAACTGTGAGCCAATGAAATCTCTTTTCTTTGTAAATCACTCAGTGTCAGGAATTTCTGTATAGCAATGCAAGAACAACCTAACATAACTTGTAACTCTAGAGTTTCCAGTAGATGCTTCTAAACTGGTTGGGAACTTGATCAAGAGAAAAAAGAAATTCTAGAAAGAAAAATGTGTAGTTACCAGATGTCTAGCTTCTCAAAACCTAGCACACTCTCTTCAAGGCTGACTCAGTCACAGATGTCAGAAGTGAGTTTGGAATAAGAAGCAGAGAGGAGTTTGCAGGGCAGCAGATACAGATGCAGAGATCTCTAGTGTATCTCTGTGGGAACACTTACTTCATCCAGAACTGGAGTGATGAGGAGGCCGGGCCCCCATAAGAACTGTTGGTGCACATCCCAAGTGCTGTTGTCCTCGTAGAACCTGAAAACCAGAGAGACAGTTCACTGAGATTTGAGCCACTGCCAATGAGATTTGTAGCAGCTCTACTCACACACAACCTGTTGAAAGCATGCAGGCCGTCTGCCCAGGCAAACCCCCCAAATTATTCTGTGACACCTACTCAAGCCCCTCTGCACCCCTAGACAGATTCCCCTTCCCCAGCTCATGTCTCCTATTCTTCCCTCAGGATAAACAGATGTTTCTATTCCAGTATGTATGCTAGGCAGGTCCCAGGCTGTAATTCTATTTTCCATAGCCCTCCTTTTTAAAAAAAGTAAGTTGAGATCCGGACATTCGCATCAACACGGATGGAACTGGAGATCATTACGTTACATGAAATAAGTCAGGCATATAAAGACAAACATCACATGTTTTCACCTATTTGTGGGATCTAAAAGCCAAGAACTTATGGACACAGAGAGTAGAAGGACGGTTACCAGAGGCTGGGAAGGGTAGTGAGGGGCTGGGAGGGAGGTCAAGATGGTTAACAGATACAAAAAAAAATAGTTAGAAAGAATGAATAAAACCTACCTTTTGATAGCAAAATAGGGTGACTATAGTCAATAATAACTTAATCGTACATTTAAAAGTAACTTAAAGAGTGTGCTTGGATTCTTTATAACTCAAAGGATAAATGCTCGAGGGGATGGATACCTCATTCCCATAATGTTCTTATTTCACATCGCACACTTATATCAAAACATCTCATATACCCCATAAATATATGCAACTACTATGTACCAACAAAAATTTAAAATTAAAAACTTAAATAATCAATACATTTCATAACTTCAGCTGACTATCAAGAAACTGGATCTGATCATACAAAATATCAGATAATTTAACATTTTACTTTTTTCTCTTTCAGAATATCTGCCTTTTAACAAGAAATTTCATGAGCAGACAAAAACTTCCCAAAATAATGAATATATAATAGCCTGATACGTGCCTGAGGGCCTCATATGTCACCCACATAAGGGAGTTGACTGTATTTTGACAAGAAAATGCTCTTAAGTGCCTTGTTTTAGAATTAAATTAGAGATGTTCATTGCCTGAGAAATAAGAATTCTGAAATTCTACAAATCCTTTATAATATCCTCATTTGTATTTGTATTATAGGCTCATTCCTACAGCTTGAACATAGTTCTGGCATTATAGTGCATTACAGATGAGACCATCACAGTCAAGATTTCAAATCCTTTGAATTAAGACTGAAGAAACTAAGGAAAAAATGATTTGTCTAAGATACAGAGTTAGTGAATGGCAGAACAAAGAAAAGACCTGTAGTCCCATGACTTTTAGTCTAATTCTCTCACCAAAAGGGAACAGGCGATGCTTACAAATACCAACTAGGTATTCCAGTTAGATAGATAGATAGATAGATTAATGAATATAGATAGCTAGATTACAGATATAGATACAGATAGATATGAATAACTGCCTGAATTGTTTCAGTTTTCACTCTGATATTTGATGATATAGTCAATGTCATTCCAGATGCATTAATAAAATTTAAGGAGGTTAGGTGAACTTACTCATGCAAAAGGGGCCTGGCCACCGTGTCCCCTCGGCTGTGAGCACGGAAGAAGAGGGTGTATAGGTAGGGCAATAGAGTATAGCGGATGTTAAGGTAGTGCCTGGAGGAATTCAACAGCAGGGAGTCAGCTCCAAAGGAGGCAGGATCCTGGTCCTGGGAGGAAATAGGAGTTTGCAGTTGTGGTTTGGCTGCAGGATAGCAGAAGCACCTGCAGAATTCCAGACCTCATTCATTACAACCAAGAATTTCCCTCCTGAATGACAGAGGCCAAGGTTGCAAACCTCGCTTCTGAGTAGTACCAAGTGTCTCTCCTTGAGTTTTCGATTCAACCTGCCTTCCTCATTCTTTAAGATTCCTCTCTTGGGAGGCTGCAATTTAAATAATTTTGAAGTATTTCCTTGTTTGCTTCTTATTTAAAAGCAAACAATGTAGATAAAGCGTACAGAAGTTTGATGAAAGACCTTTACAGACACACCATTTCCTTGAATGCAACAGTAAATAACAGGCTGAGGCCGTTGGGCATTTCGATGATACAGCACAGATTCTGGTTAATTGCACATGATAGTGCAAATTAGAGTAAGTGAAGACCAGGTAAGAGGTTGGTTCAGCAGATCTCTTGGCAAGGATGCAGACAGATCTAGTCCTAATGTATGCCAAATTTATTCTGACTCTATGTCCTAGGAGCCTTACCTTGTAGCCTTGGCCATTGTGATTTCTAGAAAACGGATAAAATGCACCCAACTGCATCCACCGCCTACAGAGCTCCTCAGGGGTGTCCAAAGCAAAGCCACATATGTCAGGACCCACCTGGAAGGACACACAGACAACAGGTATACCTCACTTCCTTCTAACCACCCTCCTTTGCTTTCCACCAGGGACCTCCCAACTGAACCTTGCTTAAACCTCCTACCGAGAAGGCTAGGAGGGTGGTCAAAATTTGGTCATAGCCTGTGTCCACTCTTGAATGCTGGATGACTTTGAGTAAGTTACCTAACCCTTCTGTGCCTCAATTTCCTCATTTTGTCAGTGAGTACTAAATTACTACACAGGTATTTCGTAAATGAATGAGGTAATAAAAGTAATACACTTTACATAAAGAGCTTTTGGATGCATAGTACCTAGTAATACTGCTGATATTATTATTTTGACCTCACCACTATCAGCATTATTTTTCTAAAGCCTAAGTCTGACCATGTCACTCACCTATTAAAAAATCTCCGGGACTTCCTTGCTGTTCAACCTTTTAGATCTTTAAAACCTGGTTCCAACCCATCTTTTTAGCATCATTTCTCATTCCAGTCCCACACACCAATCCTTATAGATACATCAAATAATCCCCCTTATACTGTTTGTGCTCATTTTTATTTCTCAGTGTTAAAATGAACTTCCCCCCTGATTAGTCAGATGAAAAAATACTCACTTTTCAAGGTTAATCTCAAATGTCATCTTTTCCATGAAGTGTCCTTGACTCCCTGCCTTGATTCCTTTTGTCCCTCATAATTTTGTCAGATAAATCCCTTTCTCGGGATCTCCCATAACATTTAACTCATACGTCCCTGTTGGTCTTTTTACCCTAGTTTGTCACAATTATTTGTTTACACATCTGTCTCCTCTTACTAAACTGTAAACCCTTGGGGCAAAGAGAAGGTACATCTTTACTATATTTATGCTTTCCTTCCCTCTCACCATGCCTACTCTGCTCAAGACCTTGAACACTCTAGGAGTTCAATTCATAAATATGTTGGATTTAACTAAAAAATGCCAAAGACTGTAGGGTGCTGGCAATGTTATAGTTCTTCATCTTGGTACTAGATACACAGATGTGTTCAGGTGGTGAAATTCATCAGCTGTGTTCTTAAGGATACATACACTTTTCTGTATAAAGTATGTTACACTTTAATAGAAAGATATATTCCAGCACATATCAAAGTTGCACGTTCTGTCTTCATAAGGCAGTACAGGAAAGAATGTCATGGTATCAAAGCCCTGCTGATGTGGATGAAGCACATGCTCTCAAGATATTAAATCCCCAGCCATGGCAGGCAGGAGAGGGGAGCTTTGTGGTTTGAAAACTTTCTAGAATGAGGTTGCCTGGGAATTCAGGTTCATAAGAGAGCTTGAGGTAGCAGCTCACCATTGGGATGCCAAAAAGGTTGAACTCAAGCACGCCAGGGATGGACCATCTCAGGTCATCCCAGGTGGCAGTGTTGTCTCCTAACCAATGTGCTGCAAACTTGCCAGAGCCCGCAAAGGTAGAACGGGTCAGAATGAAGCTTCTCTTATTAGGGAACACAGTCTTGGCAGCTCTGCAAGGGAGAGAGATTTAAGGAGTCAATGTGGGATCTTAGCTTGTCTCAGCCAAGGGGATACAGCAACAATACAAAAGACATTAAAAGTGAATAACCCATTCTCTTCCAACTCTCTTTCGGTACAATTAGAGTCCCTGTTGGGAGCATTCTGTATCATTAAATGTTTTGTTTTGCTTTGTTTTGTCTTAAGAAATTTTATGCATTAGCCCCATAATCTCCAAGAATTAAAAACATATATATATTCTTTATATTCAATAATTAGCAGGTCATAGCCATAGTGGCCTTACTCTGCTGTGGCGACCGCCATGGAGTAGCCATACAGATTGTGAATGTCATACTGCTTGCCCCAGTGCTGCACTGCATCCATACAGAGAGTCTTGCAGAACAGGTACCCATCCAGGATTCCTGAAACAAAAGCAGGATCAATCAGTGAGAGCCTAAGTTGCACATTTTCTGCTCCTTGACTATCACAATCCGAAATGACAGCCCCCTGGGCAGGCACTTTTGTGGGCATCCTGTAAACAGTCACACTGCTCCCTTACTATTAGAATGCTATCCACTTGGAGTAGTTTCTCTGATATATAAATGAATTCTGCTGACCCACACACATCCTCCCACTGGAGCTCTCACGTGATTAGAGGCAGACACTTGGAAGTAAGAAGATTCATTCAGGCCTGAGGTTCAATCTGAATTCTCCAAACTGAGCTAAGTTAAGTGGTCCAAGAATGGAAATACTGAATGAAAGTGTAAATTAATTTCTGACTCCTTCTCTCCCCTGATCATATATTGTAGAGAATGATTTCCAGTCTCTCCTGTATTCATCTATTCCTCTCTGCTCCCATTGCACCACTCTGTTTGAGATCCACATTATCTGTGGATCTTAACTATTGCAGTAGCTTCGTCATGTCTTATTTACCTCCTATGTATCTATTTCTAGTTCACACTATATATTAATGTCAGGTTCATATTTCCAAAATCATCTGACTACCATGCTTCTCTATTACTAAAAGATAAGTAGCTTCTAACACCAAAAGAGTAAAATATGAACTGTTTAGCCTCTCATCCAAGCCCCTCAGCATTTGATTCTAACCTTCCTGCCCCAATTTCCTGTCTTCCCACCATATTGAAGCCTTCATAAGTTATTATCATCTTAGCAGTTTTTTCCTTTCTCAATCAAGATATAATCTGTCCTTGAACCTCTAGCATTCTTCAAACTATGGCCGATGCTATGATGCCAAGGCCACACCCTGAGAGATAGTGTTGTCCAAAGTTCAATCAAAGCTGAGTATCATCACGTTCACTGACTTTGACCTCCCAGGTCATGAGTTCTGTCTTTTCATCCTGTAACTCAGTTCTTCACACTGTGGACACATCAGACATAACCCTTACCTGATGACCAAGGCTGGTTACCTGGTGTCTCTCTGGTAAACCCTGGCCTGTGGGTGCATACCTGAGAATGACATAAACTTACCACTAGCCTCTGGCCTCTACACTTTATCCTCTCTAGATCTTCCCTAGAAATAGCTTTGAGTATAAGTAGAAGTACTAGATTGCCCCTTTTGAATTTGTGCATGTTTTAGGAAAGCATAGTGTGTTTTTATTTTCCTTCCTAGTTTTCCTTATATATTACCCACATATTTCTTTTTCTATGCACAATTATGAACAAATTCCCTTGCCAGATTTTTCAGATCTGTCCTTATGAATTTATAATATGAAATACATATGGCTACTTTAATCTGCTGACCACCAAGACTTACTGGGAGTGAATGGGGGATTATTTAGGTTGTTTGTGGAACATCCTGAGACCGAACCATCAACAAAGTTGGAGACTTCATTCATATCCTACAAGACAAAGAGCAAAAACTATTAAGAAAAAGTAACATGTTATCTTATGATGTCGTGATGGTGTCTTTTTTTAATTAATCAGATAAATTATTCCAGATATTTTAAAGGGGTATTTGTATAAATGGAATAGAGTAGGTGTTCTTGTCTTGTCTACCCACTGAAGGCTTCATGAAGAAGGTTCTTAACCTCTCTTCAAATAATATGTCTATAATCGCTGAAAATGAACAATTCCCAAACATATCAGGTGAAAAAAGTTTCAATTTATATGATGACATGTTTCAACTTATACATTTTTCCATATATCGAAATATAACTGTAAATACATATACATATAAATACATATAAACATATATGTGGAGAGAAAAGGAGAGAGAGAGCACATAAAGGTCTAGAAAGATGCATTCCAACGTATCGATAATAAATGTCTTTAGTTGCTATAATTTAAGAGGATTTTTGCTTTTATCTTTTTAACTCTCTGTATTGTTTGAATTTTCTACAGTTCTCTTAGAAAAAGAAAAAGTTTCAACTCTGGAGCTCCCTAAATTTTGCTAACCCTCAGTTAGGTTACTTTCTTTCATCTGACATCATATGAGACATTTTTCTTTACCACAGGCATAGTTTGTTCATGCACCTGAGTACTTTGGCTCTGATCAATTTGTTCAACATGTCCAAAAGGAAGAGTCTTCAACTAGCAATTGAACAATTTGTATACTTTGCAACAATGTAAGGAGTACATGACCTATTCTGACTTCAGCTCATTCCTTCGTAAAAAAAAAAAAAAAAAAAAAGAGCTAGACTTGGGAAAAAAAATTCTGAGTTTCCTTTCAGCTCTAACATTTTGATTTTTATTCTAAGCTATGTGTTTTAGCAAGATTATTTAAATAGTAAGAGAGTGAATATTGAGAGTGATTGTTATACTTCCTTTCTTCTCCTCCTCCTCTCCCTATGCTCTGTGACTCAAAGATACAGATACAGATATACACAATTTGAATATTTGTCACCTAATAATCCAAGTGTAAACAACTCACAATCCAGATTCCATCAAACTCTACTTGATTGTGAAAAAGCTCAAATTCCTTTGTCCACCAAACAGCACAGTTGGGATTGGTATAATCAGGAAACACAGTTTGTCCAGGCCAGACCTTCAGGAGAAAAAGAAAAACACTGGTAAGAGTAAATTAAACAAATATAGACTAAAGGAAAGTACTTTGCAAAGAAATTCCTAATATGATCACAGCAACCGAGGTACCCAGGAACATATCCTTTTTAGTTAAGAAGGTGCGGTGCTCACAATACTTAAAATAAATGCCAGGGTCACTCGAAGAAATATGCATTTAAAAAAATGTTTAAGTCCTTAATGAATAAATTCGTGGATAAAGGCATTGTCTAACTTAGTCATCTTTAACTCTCTACACTTCTTTGTTCTTAATTCTGGGAATAGTAAATGGGGGAAGAGCATTGTGTAAATTTCAGCTAGTCCACTATAAGCTGTGGATTCTAACATCATTTACTTTTCTCTCTTTCTTTCCTATCCAATTTCCCCCAGACACTATACTCTGAAAAGGTCATCAGAGGCCTTAGAAGTGAACAAGCAGATAACACCTTCCTGAAAAAACAAGGACAAACAAACATTTGAGAAAGAAGTGGGTACACTTGTCAAATAATGCAGGAAAATTGAGTAAGAAGAGGTATGAAACAGTTCCGCTGGACTTACCAGTGAGAAAGTAACGGGTGCTTTTTGCCAGAGCGGTATCAGGGAAGTGAGGGGGGAAGGAAGGAGACCACAGTCAGCTGCAGAGTGTGTGGGAGGTGAGAAAGTGGACACTCAGTGTGTGAGCTGTTGTTTAAAGGGACTTACTTGGCTGTGAAGGGAATCAAAAAGCTACGATGGCCGGCTTGCACTTGGGCATGAAAGGGCAGAGGAGAATTTATCCCCAGCATATATAAATATACTGAAAATGTACAATAAAACAATTACATGCACACACACACACACACACACAGACACATTCAAACACCCCTATGCAGCCCCTCCACCAGCCTCCAGCCTTCCCATTAAGTTACCTCCCCAATGAGTGGAGTCACTCCATCTGAACTATTCACCCATATCTTCATATCTGAACCCCTGTCATATGGGCCATAGGGTTTACTTGAGGAAGAGTTGTTGGAGATGGCTGGATCCTAAAAATAGGAAGAATACAATGAACAAACTAGCTGGAAACCGGAGGCACTGAAAGGAGACTGGGAACTGGGGGAGAAAGCAGGAGAGATGGGTGTATGATACGGAGGAGCAAATACCTAATTTGGTGGAAAGAGGGCAGTACATACCACAATGATGACAAGCTTCTGTCCATTATTGTGTAACTCGTTGACAAATTCAGGGAAGCCTTTAAAATCCACTGAATCATAAGTGAAGTCCCTTCTCTCATCCATATAATCAATATCAGCATGCTGAACATCCTGAAAGAATATACAAAGTCCACAATTAGCACCTAGGAATTTCCATAGTAAAATGAAATCAAATTTTCACTGTTATTATTCAGGATAAACAACTCTGTTCTGGGCTCTAAATAGAGTTCTTAATCAGTTCCTGGCATCTGAGTACTTCTTTTCCAATGTTGATTTCAAAAACACACGACTGGTTGGTTCCCTAGGGCTTGGCCCCCTCCCTGCCATCAGGTTAACTGCATCATCCAATCCTTGCCTGGCACTCTGGCATTAAAAACCAATCAAGCAAGCAACACCAATTATGACAAACCCCTAAGACAATCAGACATATCCACCTAAGAAATGACCTAAATTTCACCCTATTCACAAGATAAAGAAGGGAAGAGACTGTCTCTCTCCCACATCTCCCTCATTTTACTACCCCACATTTTATTTTGTTACTTCGCTTCTACCCCACATCTTTGTTGTTTATGCTATCCCAATTTTACCTGTATAAACAGTGAAGCCCAGAATAAAATGTACCCTTCTCTACAACCTAGGTTTGTCTCCAATGGAATAGAGTGGGGGAGAGAAGAGGATTATTCTAGAAGACTACTGAGCTTTTCCCTTTGCATCTCTTGTTAAATTTCACTCCCAATAGTATCCAATATCATAGGTACATTCAAACTTAGCCATTCAAAGTACAAAAATGTTTTATTACATGTCCATACTATATCCTTTCATTCACTTAAATGTGACAGATTTTGACATGTATACTGAACTCAGGTAATAGTGTTCAATTCCCTGTCTAAACACTCCCTCTCACATCTCACACCACTAGGCAGCAGTAACAGTCCAATTCTTTCATTTCCTGGATCACTTAAAAAGGAAATGTCTATCTATAAGTAAGGAAAATGGCATAAAAAAAGAGATGACCTCTATGATGTTAGAGATCTGGGCTTGAAAACTAGTTCCCCTAGTTTTCTAATATTAAATGGGATTTCTAATCTTAAATGGAGTCCTTTTTTTTCCCTCAAGACTGAGTCTAGCTCTGTTGCCCAGGCTGGAATACAGTGGCACGATCTCAGCTCACTGCAACCTCCACCTCCAGGGTTCAAGTGATTCTCATGTCTCAGCTTCCCGAATAGCTGGGATTACAGGCACCTGCCACCATGCCCAGCTAATTTTTTTGTTGTTGTTGTATTTTTAGTAGAGACGGGGTTTCACTGTGTTGGCCAGGCTGGTCTCGAACTCCTGACCTCGTGATCTGCCTGCCTTGGCTTCCCAAGTGCTGGGATTACAAGTGTGAGCCACTGTGCCCAGCCAATGGAATTCTAATAGTAAAATGGAGTTGCTGAGATAACTAAAGAAGGCATGTAGCACACTGCCTGCCACGAGAGTTCACCACGTTGTAGCACTCATTATTATGGTGGCTGTGTTAATTGTCCTTTGGCTCAGTCCTGCTTTTACCACTTTTTCTGTTATCCCTCCCCCAACCCACCCCCACATGCATAAAGACACGTCATGCTGGAGAATGAGTAGTGGGACTCGCAGCCAAATTGAGAGTGAATTCATCCACCCAAACGTCTTTATCTGCCCTGACTTTCTGCTTCCCCCATCTCCTCAGTGTTCCTAGGCTTTTTGAATCTCAATTCCATTAAGCACTTTCTTTTACACATCATATTTATGGACTATCTTTCCGTCAAATTACAAAATGTCTACTGAAGCTCAGCTTCAATGGCAAAATGACCACTCTAAAGAGAAAGGCAAATTTTGCTTATTCCCAATTTAATAGTAATCAAAATATCAATGTAAAAACACATGGACCTGAAACTTGTATTATTTTTCACATCCATGTAGTCACATGCAGTATTTGTTCTGTCATCAATTACCTATGTGGTCTTGGTCATAGTATTTCCCCTGACAGCCTCAATTTACTATCTGTGAAAAAAAATGATGCTAACCCAGATGGCTCATGGTTGTTCTAGCAATATAATTAGTTTGAACTAAATTCATGGGGTCTAGAACTACTCCACTTCCTCAATTCCTCTTTAAAATATCTGTTAAAACATAGGTAGGGAGCCTGGGGATCTGCATCATTCTTGACCTGACACTAAACCTAAGAACCTAAGAATTTAGACATGAAATCTTATGCCAGAATCTTAGAGGAATTTCTGAAAATATGATACAACTTTTATGGTAAGTCCCTGCCATGACACTTTTGAGTCAAAGCAAACCAAGAACATGTGTAAGGCAAGAAAATCCATACTGAGAAGCATTAAAATGCTACAATTCAAGCTAAAGAGACAAATGCCTTGAAAACTCAAATAAAAACACCTGTAAAATGTAGTCAATACAGTAAGCACAAAAAAAGTTTACTAATAAAATACATAATAAGAAAAATAGAGACAAAAACAGATTGCCTCCCAACACATAATTATGGTCTCCCAATCTATTTCATACTATAAAGAACAATGGTTCCTTGAAAAAATTACTGGTCCAACAAAAAAAAAAATGTCTAGTATTCTGAATATCTAAAACTCCTTTCATTACCAAATAAATAAATCAATTAAACTCAGGGAGAGAAAATATAAACAGTTTTTCTTTTTCTTCAAGGGAATTTCTTTACTTTTGGAGAACTGTTGAAAACCTTGCTTACATAAGGGAGCTGTGCTGCGCGATTTCTCTCCACGACTTCCCTCATGTTGTCTAAGGTTCCATATTCGTAACGACTGAGGTGAAATCCAAGCGCCCAGTAGGAGGGAAGGGCTGGCCGCCCAATGAGCTGAAAGAAATATGTGAAGTGAAAATTAGCAAATACTCTGTTTTTAATAAAAATTTTTCGAAGCATTGCTTTCAGAGCACCAAACATAGTCCATTTCCCAATGCACTGATTCATTAATGTTAGAATGTTAGTCTATTTTTCCAGCCCCTTCATAAATGTTTGAGGGTAGGGCCATGTTTGGGGCACCTTTATATTCTCTCACCTTCTTATAACATAAAAATGCTATACAGCAAGTTTCCATTGCATATATGAAATCTGTTCTTTAATATCTCAAATTTGTAACAGCAGATTTTGTGGGTCACACTTGCACATGAATTTTACTTTTTTAAAATATTTGCTGTTTAGGATTTCCTGAGTCATAATCTTGACATCCTAAGTTTACCTCTAGATATTCTTGAACAACTTGCTCTGGAGTGTTTCCCAAGAACACATAGAAGTCGAGAATGCCCCCAATGGTGCGGTAAGTGATGGCTGGCGCAGGCTGAAGGACAACCTCTTGAAAGGTTAAAAATGAAGAAAATAAAAATCAGAATTGATTCTTGAATAGTAACTACAAGTTTTAAAATAACACAGGATCACTAACCATGTGAACATTAACAAGGTGACCCTAGTGCCTCACATTTTGAATACCAAGTGAAAACCCTGACCATCCAAGTCCACCCTCACAGCACATGGCAGCCAAGGCATTTTTTCTGTGACAGATTTTAATAATACTGACTGGAGTGTCTTAGTGTCTTGTGCCAGGCCCCAGGTTCTGGGGAAAAAGCAGCCAGGCTTATGAAGGGGTCCAGAATAAGCCACTGTGACATAAAAAAATTATTTTGGACCAAAGGCATTTAAGTTACTGAAATCCCTGATGTGCTAAAATCAGAGCCTCCCAAAAGAACTCAATAAAAAGCAATTGTCATAAATCTGCTCCAAGGAGTACCTCTAGTCTTCTCTGAGACAACAGGCACCATTCCCAGATAAACAGTGTTACAAGACTATCACATCCTCCCACCTACTCTCCTAAGGGCCCATTTATCTTTCCAAAATGTCATTTGTTCTCTCCTAAGTGTCTTTCCCCATTCCCTTTCACCTATTAATTAAGATGGTATAGAAGCCCCAAGTTCTAATCTCTGCTTTGAGTTACTCATCACTGAGAATTGCTGTGTGTATGTGCATTGTATGTGTAAATAAATTCTGTCTTTTCTATTGCTAATCTACCTTTTTGCCAGTTTAATTTGCAGCCTCCCAAGAATTAACCCTAAGAGGTTAGAGGAAAAGTTTCTCCTCTCTGACTTTCATAACCACAGAACATGTCCCACCACATACCCCGTCATTATTGTGAGAATATAATTCAACTAGACATGGAGGTAACTAACCTCAGTGAATCTCACCTCAAACAAAAGCCAAACTAAAAAAAAAAAGTCAGAAATTGTATCATAAATTCAAAACCCTTCTATGTGCCAATCACCATTCTTAAAAGTTGTGTCATTACCTTGATTCGTATCTAGGAATAAAATGCCTCAAGAAATATTGCAATGTACTCTTTGGTCATAGGAACAACTCATACAGAGTATCTAGGATCTTGTGGCCTTTCCCACTAAGTCTGACTCATCTTATTTTCTGGTTCCTTTCACCTATCTAAAACTGTACAGTCTTTCTATTATATTATCTCAGTCTATTCTTAGGTTATTTGGTATTTTAAGTACCTTAGGACCATCTAAGATTCTATTAGAATCGTCTTAGATTCATCTCTTAGATGTCCTAGAATCATGTTAGATCATTTAGAGTGCTTCTCGGATATCTGTGGTGGAGAATCAGATCTTTATTTTGTTTAATTTCCATTTCACTGCAAGCTGATATTTTCATAAAATAATATGAAAATTAATTACTAGAAAAAGGTTCATGTGTGCGTGTGGAGGCTACAGCATTGCTTACTCGCCATTTCTATACTCATCTTACTATAGACCTGAAACAGTCTGTGACCCATTCAGGGACCACACTTTGAGGAGCACTGATTGAATCGATGACTCTCAATTAAGAAAAGGTATGGATCAATACCCTATGCCCACCATCAATCCTGGGAGATTCTGATACATCTTCTCTTCCCCTATGGCAATTCATTGCCACTGGGATCTACTGACTACAGGGCTGAAGACGGAGAAGAACACATTGGTGGAAACTATCTCAGAGTAAATTATAGGGAAGGGTGAGCTCCTTAACTTGATAATAGAAAATATTCCAACAGAGGCCACCAGATTCAGGAAAATCATAAGTTGGAGAAAATCCCCTACTCATGGCTACCATGGATCAATAGGTAATGAAGTAGGGATAGCACAATTAGAGAATCTATAAGGCCCTCCCTACACTATGGCTCAGTCACTCTTAAAGGGATCCATTCCTTTTATCATAGTGCTGTAAGAAAGGGACTGAAAATCACTCTTGTGCTTGTTTTTTCCATGAATATTCCTTTACCCATGGCATTGCTGTTCATCAGAAACACCCCAAAGGACAATCCACTAGCATCTTCAAGGCACAAGAAGAATGTCTGCGCACCATACAAATTAGTTCCGTTCTGCAGAAAGAGAATTAAAAACCAAAATTTACAACTAAGAAGTCTCAGCATCACACTGTGGGGTTGGTTTAGGAAATCAGTCTTAATCATGCAACTAATTGACAGGACATTCAGGGTCATAAAGACACATTTTTAAAAGATGGGGTCTATATCTAGTTGATGTTAACCAAGTGAACTCATGTTTTCTTACAGAATGAGCCAGCTATTATCATTCATCTAGAAGGAATGTGAAGGCTGTGATATTTTTTAGAAGGTAAGAGGATAGGAATTTTTAAAATGTAATTCAGAAAAACTGCCCTCTCAAAGAGGCCTGTCTTAACCTGACTTAACCTCATCAGCAAAAGCTCCATCAATATGCTTTAATATGAATCAGGTAACTAGATGGAGCTCTAGTCTAGGCTTGTCTTTGAGACTCCAGAACAGGAGTTCTCAACCTAGACTGCACCCCAGACCAATTAAAACAGAATCCCTAGAGGTAGAAGCAGACATGGCTGTTATTTTTTAACTTCCCCAGGTAACTTCAACATGTAGTCACATTTGATAACTATTGCTCTGGAAAAGTGTTTCTCAAAATTTGGTGTATCTGCAAACTACATGGGCATTTTAGTTAAATGCAGATTTTTTTTTTTTTTTTTCCAGACAGGGTCTCACTCTGTCGCCCAGACTGGAGTGCAGTAGTGTGATCTTGGCTCACGGTAACCTCCACCTCCCAGGCTCAAGCAATTCTCCTGCCTCAGCCTCCTGAGTAGCTAGGATTACAGGCGTGTGCCACTACCGCCTGGCTAATTTTTGTTTCGGTTTTTATTTTATTTTATTTTTTTGAGATGGAGTCTCACTCTGTCACCCAGGCTGGAGTGCAGCGGCTCAATCTCGGTTCACTGCAAGCTCTGCCTCCTGGGTTCATGCCATTCTCCTGCCTCAGCCTCCCAAGTAGCTGGGACTACAGGCACCCGCCACCACCATGCCCAGCTAATTTTTTGTATTTTTAGTAGAGACAGGGTTTCACCAGGTTGATCTTGAACTCCTGACCTCAAATGATCCACACGCCTTGGCCTCCCAAACTGTTGGGATTACAGACGTGAGCCACTGCTCCCAGCCCTAAATGCAGATTTTAATTCAATAGATGGAAGAAGGGACTGAAAGCCCACCTCTCTCAGAGGGTGGTTCCCCTGCCACATACACACTTTGAGAAGCAAGGATCTGAGGCTCCTTAATGAAACAACTGTCACCAACTATTCCTAGGTAAGCTGCTCTGACTTAACAGCTTTTCTGCTTTTCTGATAGGCATATGTACAGTACAGAGCCTGGGCTTAAAAATTACACAGAGTAGGGATTAGATTCTTCCTCTGTTCTTACAACCTCTTTTTTTTTGAGACAGAGTCTCGCTCTGTCACCCAGGCTGGAGTGCAGTGGCGCGATCTCGGCTCATTGCAAGGTCCACCTCCCGGGTTCAGGCCATTCTTGTTCTTACAAACCCTTTTGCCTTGAGCTATTAATTTGGCTTCGCTGGGCCTTGGTTTTTTCTAACAAGAAATTATTATATTTTCTAGACTCTATGGCTAAATAGATATATATACACAAACATGTATGTGTGTGTGTGTGTATATATATATATATATGACTAATAAATTATTGCTGTAATCTCCTTTCTTCCATCCATTAATTCTGCTTAGTCAAGAAAGCCCAGCTGGGCACAGTGGCTCACATTTGTAATCCCAGCACTTACGGGAGACCAAGGCCAGAGGATTGCTTGAGTCCAGGAGTTTGAGATCAGCCTGAACAACATGGCGAAACACAGTCTCTACAAAAAAAATACAAAAATTTGGCCAGGCATGGTGACACGCACCTTTAGTCTCAGCTACTCCAGACACTGAGGTACGAGGGTTACCTGAGCCCAGAGAGGTTGAGGCTAAAGTGAGTCATGGTTGTGCCACTGTACTTCAGCCTGGGTGACAGTGAGACCCCATCTCAAACAAAGAGAGAAGAAGAAAAGAAAAAGAAAGGCCCTGAACAACAGAGTATTGCCAAATCCAGAAAACAATGTTACTTCAAATTTTAGCAGTCAAAACAAAGTGGAAATAAAATAAAACAATAACAACAAAACTCTGTCTATTCTTTCACTACCACAATCATTCTTTATACAAAAAATGATTGTTTTAGCTGAGACTTTATCCTATTGTGATGATAAACCTGGTGAGTCAGTGATTAAAGGTGAACCTAAAAATATGGAGATCACAATCAACTGTTGTTGAGAGTACAGATATTAATAATATCTTCTCCATATCTGGTTAGGAAAATATGAAGGAGTTGGCATTTATTGAGTACCTTCTTTCTGGCAGCCATTCTTCTAGATACATTACATGTATCTGTTCATTTCATCCTCACCACAACCCTATTGAGATATTACTTCCATTTTATAGATAAGAAACTGAAGACAGAGAGGTAGGTAACACCCAGAACCACGTAACTGGTGAATAGCAAGACTAGAATTCAAAGCCAGGTAGTCTCACTCTAGACTCTAACTCTTAAACACTACACTGTAATACTAGAGGTGACCTTTAAGAATGAGACTATGATATTCAGTGGAAAGGGGCCCATTTGAAAGCTTACTCCATTGGGAGTTGTGTCTCTGTTAAATATGGGCCAGGTCTTCCAATTCATATCATGCCGATACTGCTGGTGCACATGCTCTCCCAGGCCATACACGTTAGTGCTAGGCAGTCGAGTGGAGAGCTGCAAGAACTGGTCAGCAAACAGTAGGGGCCCAATGCTCGAGTCAAACCTAGACACAGGTGGAGAACACAAGGATGGGTGAGCAAGCAGGGTGGAGAGAACGTAAGTGCTTAGAAAAGCGTCCTTTATATCTCAGTGACTCAATAGCCCCCATTCATTCAGTCCCATTTGCCCTCCTGTGACATTTTTCTATGGAAAACAAGAGATAAGGACTCCTTGAAGAAAGGGACCATGTGCAAATTTCTTGCATTAGTCTCCCAGACCAGACAGCCTACTACATGACCAGAACACTATACTTACGATAGGAGATGTTCAGTAAATATTTACTGGTGGACAGCTGGTTATATATTATAGACGGAGGGAAATAAAGGGAAAAATAAAGAGAAAAAAATGATTGTGCAAACAGAGGAAAGAGAAAGAAAGCCAGAAAAAAATGTATACTTTAGAAGGTAAAGGTTCTGGTCACCAATAATGGGCCCACAACCTTCAGGAATATTGTTGAAACACCCCCTTCTTCATGCTTACAGACCTCCCTGTAACCTTCCTACTCTGATCCTTAGATAGGTTTCCAAAACTTACAAAACACGATTGTTGCTTCTTCTGGTCACTTTGATGCTAAATGGCTGTCTGGAGATTTCAACTTGGTAGGTCAAAGAAGCAGCAGCATTTCCACTGAAGGACTGCACGTGTTCGTGGGGCACTTCAAACCTGTTATTGGTTTGGTCAGTCAACTGTGCAGAGATAGAAATAGAAGGAAAGCCAAAATAAAAACTTGTCAGAGCTTCCCAATATCCCTACTTAGGATACTGGAATCAGGCACTGATCAAACTGACCTCATATCTTAGGTAGATGTACTCATTATGTTACCAAACTCAAATGGTTCACCTTTGGGCATAAGTTAGTCTTTAGGTAGAGACATACAGAGCACATCTGCAGAGATGGATTGAAAGCTGTGATACTTCCTTATTTTATCTTCCTACCATATTCCACATGTTATCTAGAGTAAATGAATGAAAGCCAAACTCACTAGTAAACTGTAATACATATTCAGGAAGTTATTACAGTAAAGGAAGCTATTCTGTATATGTCTTTAACATACAGGTGCTAATTAATAATAGCAATATAGAAAAATACATCCAGTAGCAAAATTTTCTATTTTGTAGTAACTGCACTCATCCGATAGGGAATAAAAGTCTCTCAAAAAAACTTAAAAAAAAATAAACAAATTACAACCTTAAAGTGGAAACGATTAGATGTCTGATATTCTGCTGTGAGAAGAACATTGTCAACATTGCTTCCAAACACTGGTGAAGAAGGCAGATTTTTCAACCGGGCTGTGAATCCTAACATAGGAGAAAAAAAAGGTTTTCATAGTTGACTCTGCAAATTCTCAAATAATAGCTACATAAAAATTATGATACACGGGGCTGGGTGCAGTGGTTCACACCTGTAATCCCAGCACTTTGGGAGGCCAAGGCAGGTGGATCACAAGGTCAGGAATTCGAGACCAGCCTGACCAACGTGGTGAAACCCCATCTCTACTAAAAATACAAAAATTAGCCGGGTATGGTGGTGCATGCCTGTAATCCCAGCTACTTTGTAGGCAGGAGAATTGCTTCAACCCCAGAGGTGGAGGTTGCAGTGAGCTGAGATCGCACCACAGCTCCAGCCTGCATGACAGAGTGAGGCTCCTTCTCAAAAAAAAAAAAAAAATATATATATATATATATTAGGATACATGTCAAAGGGATTGATGAAAAATCTTTATTTCTCAAAAGAAGGGAAAAGACAGATATATACCCCATCATACGCACATACTATCTATGGCAGATTCTGGAGCTAGATATCATCATTACATTTTATAAAAATCTATGTCTCTCTTCTACAAAATCTGATTGAAAACCTCCCCCAATAAGCCTAACACTCATTCCACAGGCCCATCAGTCATTCGGTATTAATTAGATACCCTTTACATTCTCAGACCTGACATACATATACATAATTCCTTCTCAGTTATTTTCATATTGCATTACAGGTGATTATATCCATTGATGCCATCTCCCTAATTAAATGGTAAACCAGGTGAGAGTTGAGACCTCATTGCAACAGTCCATCAGGCCAAGAGCATCTGAAAGGGGAACATGCCTCCTCCTTTATACCGAGAGCCTCCCTAAAGTGTCACCTTCTGCTATCCCCTAGAATGGTCATCATTGTCATCATTATACTCTGCATTTTTTTTTTTTTTTTTGAGACGGAGTCTCGCTCTGTCACCCAGGCTGGAGCGAAGTGGCACAATCTCAGCTCACTGCAACCTCTGCCTCCTGGGTTCAGGCGATTCTCCTGGCTCAGCCTCCTGAGTAGCTGGGACTACAGGCACATGCCACTACACCTGGCTAATTTTTATATTTTTAGTAGAGATGGGGTTTCGCCATGTTGGCCAAGCTAGTCTCAAACTCCTGAGCTCAGGTGATCTATCCACCTCGGCCTCCCAAAGTGCTGTGATTACAGGCATGAGCCACTGTGCCTGGCCTATGCTTTGCATTTTAGAGTAGGAGGAAGAAGAGGGGCTATTCACTCCATGAACACTTATATTGACTAGTAACTTTCATAACATGTTTATAAAATTGGAATTACTTCCATTTCATAAAAATAACATAAAATTACAGTTGGAAGTAGTCTGAGAGGTTACCAATTTCAAATCCCCCACTTTAAAAGGGATAAACTTGAAAACAAAAATGATCAATGATTATTGCAGTCATGAAGGTCCATAAATGGGGAAGTTGGAAAGAGGACATGGTCTCTCAACTCCCAAGGCAGAGAATAATTTTTCCTTGGTGCCCACATAGATTCTAGTCCTCGATTAAGAGCAATGCCCACCTTCTGTCACATGTGGTTATATGGCCCCACAGAGCAGAACTCTGCAGGCTGCCCCTGGGGGATACAGAGTCAACCTCCAGAGGGTCTGGACCTCCTGCATCATGGCAGACTCTGGCTTACCTGCATTTGTGTTGACAAGGTTGCCCTCTACATGGTAGCTATGATTCTTGGAATAGTAGCACCAGGGAACACTTACAGCTCCCTGGGGATTCCAGCAACAGCCACGTTGGTCACATGTGGCCTGAAACAAGAGGTTAGTCAAAGAAGCTCCATTTAGTTGTAGAACATGATCATTTATAAAGCACGAAACATCTAATTTGAGACTCTGGTATGAATAATTTCATTTTACAAATAAGGAAACTGACATTTAGATAAATTGTGCCATATACCAAGCAATGGCAGAGTTTCTACCCACAACCAATTTTTCTGACCAGTGTCCTTCTTATGTAACAGTATGGGAAGCAAAATGCATTCTATAACTTTTATCACAAAAAAAAAAACTCATAAATATATTTAAATAGTCTAAACAATAATATAGCTATATCACCAGTAATCCAAAATTACAAATGGAGCTTCATTTATATCGGCTTTGACTTTTAAAAATGAAAATAAGACTTTGCAATCATCTGTATTCTGAAGCTTTCAAATCAAACTAATGTTGTTTTGACTTTTAAATATATGCCTTACATTTATATGGATTATACATATGTGAGATATATGACATGTTTACAGTCTCTCAACTCCTCCAGAGGCAGAAAGTAGTCTTTCTTGACACCCAAATAGATTCTTACTTAAGAAAGGTGTGTGCCTTCTAACATAATTAATGACTGAATCAAGTAGAAGCCAAAATGAAGATAGTTTCTTTCTCACACCAACTAATTTGGGAGAAGCAACCAAGTTAAATACAAAAAAGGACAAAGAACTCTCTCCTCTTGAGTGCATGCTGAATCAAGTGATTTGCAAGTAATAGAAACAAGAGAAAACAATGAGACGCTGCTTTCAAGATTAGATCACAGAAAGATTGAAGTTTCTGTCTTGCTTGCTCTCTTTCACCTTCTCTGTTGGAGTCCTCATTCTGGGAGAGGCAAGTTGTCACACTGTGGAGGGGCTCACATGGTAAGGAACTGAGGGAGGTCTCCAGCTAGCAGCCAGCAATGAACTGAGGCTCTCAATCCAACAACACCTGAAGAGCTGAATCCTACCAACAATTGCATGAGTGAGCTTGAAAACGATCATCCCATAGTCCTGGAAGACACTTTGACTGCAGCCTTCCAAGAGACACTGAGCCAGAGGCACCTAGCTAAGCCAAGGTCAGATGTCTGACTACAGAAGCTGTGAGAAAATATTTGTCATATTAGGCCATTAAATTTTGGAATAATTTATTACACAGCAATAGATAACTAATACATCCTACCAGATCATTTTACAGATGAATTACCTTTGGCCCATGGTGGTAAAGCTTCTCCGAGGTAAAGTGACCTGCCAAAGGTTACTCAGCTATTGAGAAGGCAAGAACAAAACTTGGTTCTCTTACTATCCATTTCTTTTTTTTCTATACTCTGGGTTGAGTATCTCTAAGCACATTTTCAGGAGAATACAGCCTTGCAAATGGTCAGAAAAATGTTTTGCTTAGTTATACAAATAATGAAATTTAATTAAATGCTATTTTTTACACTAATAGCCAATATGAGGGATAAACAACGATGTCCATATGTGGTTTATACTGCCGTAAGATCAGGTGTCACTGTGAACTCAACCTCAATCCACGGTTTTGTCTTTGTTCTTGTAAAACCCACTCAGAGGAAACCTCAGCATAAAAAGAAAAAAAAGTGTTGAAAAGGGTGTTAAGCATGATGGTTTTTGTATACAGCCCAGAGTTTAATAATTTTTCCATTAAACTGGAAAGGACAAAGATCAGAGTGGCCAAAAGAGCAAGGAATGCAAACAGTCTTTGTTGGCCAACTCAAAAATGCCAGCTTCTACAGTAGAGCTGAGCCATTGCAAGAAGTGGGAAGAGACATGGTGCAAGACCCACATAATAAGACAAAGCAAACTATGTAAAACCTAGGAAAATAGATTTAGAAAGAAACTACAGAAAATGATGGCATGAATAGAATTAGGGCACACAAAAAGAATTAGGCCCAGGACACAAAATGCCCCTTTAAGTTGGATATGAGAATTAAAAATTTAAGAGAAACTGCCAAAATAATATAGAATGTGTAACTACCAAAACAGTACTGAAGGAAAATTGTTAGAGTTGTGGGGAGTGTGGAAATCCTCGATCCAAAAAATTAAGAAAAAAGACATGTTTATGAAGGAGTAGGGGTGGGGACTAGCACATAAACAGGATGAAGAGAAGGCACAAAATGAGACCTTAGAAAGAATGTGTCATGTCAACTATCACATGGTTTAAATATTTAAAAGACAAAGATAGTCAGATTACATTTAAAGAAGTAAGTCCAACTAAATGTTTCTTATAGTTTACACATCCTAAACTAAAGCTCACAAAAGCCCTGAAAGTAAAGGGGAAAACAAATATGTAAAAAGAATGCCAGCTGGGTGCAGTGGCTCTCGCCTGTAATCCCAGCACTTTGGGAGGCAGGCAGATCACTCGAGGTCAGGAGTTTGAGACCAGCCTGGCCAACATGGTGAAACCCCGTCTCTACTAAAAATACAAAAATTAGCTGGCTGTGGTGGTTCATGGCTGTAGTCCCAGCTACTCAGGAGGCTGAAGCAGGAGACTCACTTGAACCCAGGAGGCAGAGGTTGCAGCGAGCCGAGATTGTGCCACTGCACTCCAGCCTGGGTGACAGAGTGGCACTCCATCTCAAAACAATAAAATAAAATAAAAGCCATACTAATATCAGGCAAATAGACTTTAAGTAAAAATTCATTATTAGAGAGACATAGAGTCAGTACATGATGATTAAAGTTTCAAGATATTACAGCTAAAACTGGATATATACCTAATAATAAAGACTCAAAATATATACAAGAAAAGTTTAAAGAATCACAAGGTAAAATTAAGGGAGATAGTACATAACAGAATATTTTAAGAACACCCAGAGTAATTGATGGATAATGTACATAAAGGATGGAAAGATATGTTACTTTTTATATAATAGCTATACAGGCTCTTTCGCCAACACGAAGAGGAGTAGTGAATAGAATTCAGAGATAGAGACAAGCCAGATACTGAAGACACTGCTTAAGAGTCAATCAAGCTCTGCTCTACCCCAATCCTCTCCTCCTCCAATTCCCAATGCTTCTTAACACTTAAAAGAGAGAGAAGGGAAGAAACAAAGAAAGTACTTTATGTCAAAAGCAAACATGAAACATAAAGGATAACTACAGCCGAGTCTTATCCATGAACATAAATGCAAAAGCCTAAAAGAAAAAGCACACAAAGGATTAATAACAGAAATCAGTACATATTAAACGAATAATAACCAAGTGGTGTTTCCTCCAGAAATAAGGAGATCCTTTAATAATAGAAAATCTACTTGTGTGATTCATTAAAAAAAACTCATTTTAAAAAGTATACCATATAATCATTTGAATTCATCAGCTATCATAATAAAATTTTTAGCAAACTTGGAATGAAAAGCAACTTCCTTAGTTTGATCATGGATATCCACCAAAACTGTACAACAAGTATCTTACTAAATGGTAACATATTAAAAGGATTCCTTTTAAAATCAGAAAAAAAAACCTAAGTGATCCATCACTATGATTGCTTATAATTTAAAAATATATTGGAGGTTCTAACAATTCAAGAGGACAAGAAAGAAAAATGTACAAGACTGAAAACAATGAAGCCAAATCATCCATTACTTCCAGACAAAATATTGTCTCGGTAGAAATTCAAGAAAATTTATAGAAAAAATAGAATGAATAACTCAATTATTATTATATTAGATTCTTTTTTTCTCTTCTTAAATCTATAACTTTTTGTTTTTTGCCTTTAGGCTTTTAGTCTTCCTGGAATTGTTTTTGAGATACAATGTAATATGGGAATACATAGTTATCAAAACATAAGTCACAATTGTTGATAGGCTTGACTCTATTAAAATGTAAAACTTTTGTTCATCAAGACAGTATAAAATAGATGAGCAAAGCCTCTTAACAGTAAATATTTGCAACATATATGATAAGAATAAGAATCCAGAATCACATGAATGAACAAACGGGAAGACTGTACACATCAAGAAGATAAACATCTCAATATAAAATCGGGCAAGACAGAAAAATTCACAGAAAAGAACTAAATGAGAGATGTTCACCAATATTAGTATTCAGAAAAATTAGCACTGAAACCACAACAGAACACTATTTTATAATCCTCAAATGGCAAAACTTTAAAAGACTGTCAATTCCAAAGAAGATACAGAAAATGACAGTGAGATGGTAAATCGGCACAGCCACTTTGGAGATCAATTTGATAATGTCTAGTAAACTTAAGATATATATCTAAAATCACACAGATGCAAGTAAAAAAAAACTTACAAAAATATTCAGAATGGGACTGATGTAACTTCAATATATTGAAGAAAAACTTTTTTTACTGTAGAATGATTTTGATTTATTTTTGCCATAAAATTGACATAATTTTATACAATTGTGTACCAGTTTTATAGCAAAATAAATGAACTAGAGATATCTATCAACATAGTTAAATCTCACAATGTTAAGCGCATAAACAAAAATGCATTTTGTTTATAGGCTGTATATATCTATTATTTACAAGTATATATAGAGGTAGTAAAGGTTGAAAGGAATGCATGGTAAATATCAATTTCAAAAGTGTGGTTACTTCTAAAGAGGATGGAGGAAAAGGTAATAATACAGAAGGGATATGCGTGGGGGACTTCATCTCTGCTGATAATATTTTATTTCTTAAGCTGGATAATGGTTATATATTTTTGTATATCTTAAATATTTATGAATAATTATTTCAAAGAAGTTAACGCTATATAGAAAAAATCAAAACCATTGTGAAAATAAATAATAGAAAATAATATAGAACTGCCTATTTTCTCAACTCCCTATCTTTTATCAAGTCCCAAACGTGTCATTATTTTTCAAGCTTTCATATACTGGATTACCAAGAAGACTATAATAATCATGCCTAACAATATAAAAACAGAGACTGAAAACATTCCATATTTTGCCAAAGTCCCTTCCAACATAACGACCTACAGAACTGCTGAAAAATGTACAACTTTGCACATTGTGTCAAACACATTTTACTATATTCTCAAACTATGGTCCCTGTCAGAATCACCTGGAAAATTCAGGAAAAGTATAAAAGCTCAGGCCTTATCCTCCTTCACTGAAGCTGGAGTGCTAAGGATTTTATTAGCTCTCTACGTGATGCTAATACAGAACAATGTTGGAAAACTGCTGCTCTAGACCAATGGTTATTAATCTTAGCTGCACATTTGGATCACCTGGCAAATTACAAAAATAAGCAGGCCTGGGATCCACTCCTTAAGAATTAAATCAGAATTTCTGGGACAGAGCCTAGGAAATAGAGAAAAAGAGAAGCAAACAGAAAGTAGTAAAATGAAAACCACTAAATGATAATCCATGATTCCTACTGTTACAGGAAAACAGAGAAGCCCCAGGTGCTTGTGGGCTGACCAGTGTAATGGGTAGAGAGAAGAACCAGAAAAAACCTAAAGGAATCTGTCACAGACTTTCTCTCCTAACACATTTTCTGTAGTAAGCATGTGGGCCTTTTAGTTTTAAAAATACTTTCTCACATATTTTTGTATAAAAAAGAGAAATTGCCACCCTATTCTCAAAAGCCTATTCTAAAGGTGAAATCAATTATCAACTAGAAACTTTCTCGAAAGTAATTCCCTATGTCTTTCCACAATATGGGGTGAAAATAATTTACTGATAAGATTACAGGCGCCTTGAAATGCATAAACCATTAGGGCATTAGGAAACAGCAGATCTAAGATTTAAAAAAAAAGAAAATCAAAACTTCAGCAACTACAGCATTCAGGAAAGAAAGAGGGCAAAGTTGCAAGGACAAATGCAAGCTGGTTAAAAGGACATGATCCCAGACTGAGGCAGAGTCAGCTTGAGTGAGTCAGTGGCATCAACCATTTCCTGCCACTGGAGGGAACAGGAGGAGCTCCTCACAATTCGCATTAGACCTCAGTCACTCAACTCTGCCACCCACCCTATTCCCAGTGCTGACTCCTCTAACCTGTGCCACCCCATCCTGCTCTGATCTGTATTGTCCAGGTCACCACAGCCTTCACCATTAACAGCAGCCTTTATGCTACTCTGAAAAAAAAAATAAGCATTCCTCTGCAGTTGTTTAAAATGGCCATCAAGTTCTCTTAACACACTTTGTGTCAAGAGGTGGAGTCTGTCGCTGTTCCTGTTGAAGCTGGGCCGCCCTGAGACTGATCTGATCAACAAAATGCATCAAAAGTGATACTATGCTGGTTTAGGTGTGGTATTTAAGAGAACTGGAAGCTTTTGCCTCTGTCTCTTGCAGCACTGAGCCACCATGTAAGAAGTTCAGCTACCCTGCTGGAGAGAGTACCAAGAGAGACTCCGTGACTACATGGAGGGGAAGAGGGTGCAGTCAGTCTTACCACCATTTTCACCAAGGTACCAGGTATGTGAGTAAAGTCATCTTGAAACCTCCAGACAAGATCAGCCACCAACTAAATACCACCATATCATGTAATCCCAGTAAATGCTATGTGGAACAGAACCATTCAGCCAAACCCTGGCAGAATCTCTGACTTACAAAATCACTACATATAATAAAACAATTGTTGCTGCAAACCACTAAGTTTGGATAGTTTGTAATTCAGTAGACAAATGGAGAAGCTTGCCCTAAGAAAACAGAAGTCTAAGAAAATAGAAGACTTAGAGCAATTTCAGTTAGACTGGTGCTTTGGCTGGAATGTGCCCCCTCCAAAATTCACGTGTTGCCAGTATGTTAGTATTAACAGTGGGGCCTTTAAGAGGTGATTAGGCCATGAAGCCTCCTCCCAGACAAAGGGAATTAGGTGCCCTTATAAAGGAGACAGTGGGCTGTCTCTTGCTGTCTACGTGCTGCCATGTGAGGATGCAGCAAGAAGGTCCTCACAAGATGCCAGCACCTTGGTCTTGTTCTTTCTAGTCTCCATCCATAACTATGATAAGTAAATTTCTGTGTTTGATAAATTACTCAGTCTTGGGCATTATGTTATAGCAGCACAAAAGAACCTGATGTTGTGAACAAAAAAGGTGGAACCAGAAAGTCTCCACATGAAGAAAATGAGTAGAATGAGACAAAGTATCCCATCTTCAAATAGAGCAGGAATTTTAGAAGTTGAAAGCACTTGATGATAAAGGAATTTCAAATCACCCTCTATTCATCAAAATGTTCTCTAGCTGTTTTTATGTGCAGCAAGTTTGAACTAACGAATGAATAAAATTAGTCTCGACTCTGTGAAATATCTTAAATGTAGGCTATTTTATAATATGTGCATCTTGAGTCAGGTTTTGAAATTTAGCTTGTTAGGCTGGCCACTTCATTTAACCTCAAAGTGAAGTCTAACAGCAAAGACTTTTTAAAACAAAGTTGCCACCTCTGCCATTCCCATAATCCAGTCTTTCTAGTCCCCCAAATCAGACTGTGGTGAATATTCAGAGAAACATTTGCCAGAACCTTAGAGATCACTATTCTAAAATATTTTGAGGTTAGTATAGTGTTCAATAGTCATTTAATCGAACGTTTAATGAGTATGTTTAGCTGAACACATACTGTCTCATTTTACTTAGAAGGATTTCACAGTTTATAAGAAAATGTGACTTACTGATCAAGTCAAAGAGCTTTCCAGAAGCAAAGCCAGGACTGAGTAACTCAATAACCTGGCTCCCCTTACATCCTTTCACTTGACCAATGGCTACATTATCATTTCAAGGTGCCAAACATAAACTTAAGTCTTTTAAGACTTTAAGTTTTTATCTGGGCTCACTGCTCTTCCTAGCACCATATAATGGCTATTAACTGATGTTGTGTAAACACAGAGTAATTTAAAGGTGAAGACTCACAATGATCTTGGCAAAATGCAATACCCTTGCTGCTATATCATAAAACATGATCCCCAACATATTGATAATAAACTGGAATTTGGAAAAGGATATCATAAGCCAAATAAATGAGTAATACATAGACAATTACCAAGTGTGTTCGCTGTAAAAGATGACAAAGCTTCTGTTTAAGAAATATGGTAACCTCTCAAATTATTGAGATTACCACTTATGTTATTGTTATCCTTGGAAATCAACTGTGAATTTCTCTCAGCTTAATTACTCTGCAACATTTACTTAGGGCATGCGGGTTTATCTTTAAGCACGTAACCTGCCCTCCCATGTTTACACAGTGCTTTATAGCCCTGAAAAATCAAAGGATTTAAAAGTATTAACTATCATTTCTTTCCTAAGCTGGATATCTGGAATTTGATGAAATATTCCTGCTCCCTGCCATCAATGGGATCTTTCAACTCTGCGTTCTGGAATTGGGGATAAAAGACTTCATCAAGAAAGTGGAAAGGATTTTAGAATTCAAAGGTTTGGAATAAGTGTAGACAGTTGTCTTTAAAATCTGCATAGAAGTATAGCCTAAGTGAACCTATAGAGGCACAGAGGTAGGGTCTTAGATGATAGAAGACAGTGTTTGAACTTGGCTCAACGTACAGTAATAAACCACTATATGTACTGAAGTTGGGTAGAAATAATAACAAAAGTTGGATGTAAAAAAGAGAAATTCTAATCCCACATGTAACGGAATGGATAGGAGAAATGGAATTCAGAAGGGATGCCAAGGGGCACCTGGAGCAACCCAAGCATGAGGAAATGATGATCTAGGGATGGCTGCAAGAATGGAAATGAAATGCCTCTTCTGGAAATTATTGTTAAGGAAAATATTTTAAAATACATGGAATACTGGCCAAAGGGATAGAAGGGATGAGCCAAGCAGAAGTTCTGCTGTTTCTGTCTCAAGAACTAGAAGCTTAATAGAACTACTAGCAGAAATCTGGTAGCTGAGAAGGAAAAGCAGATTTGGTGAGGAGGTAACGAGTTCAGCTGATATGATAGGAAGGAATTCAGTGAAGATGCCCTCCAACCAGCTTCAAGCCCAGAACTAAAGATCCGAACTAGAGTTAGATAATCGAGTGATCTTTTTTTCTAAGATCCATGAAGGGGACTCCTAGAGTCCATTCTCTCCAAAGAAGAGTCTCCCAAGAGTACTCAGGGTGTCAGGGTGGCTTGATACAGTACTTCCTCCTGTACTGGAAAAGGATTCCCTCTCATAACTGGGAGAATCAAACAATGGTATTTACAACCAAGAATCATCTGCAGAGAAAGTTATTCTTTTAGTTCTTTTACATATAATCTTGGAGGACAGATGATAAGAATGATAAAATTATATAGCAATGGTTTCGACACCAGAACATTCTGCCTAGCCTATCTGTTGTGTTCATAACTTCTTCCCACCATCCTCTTTCAGCTACATTCCCTTTAATGTGAACACCATACAAACACATCATTATCCATAGCCTCAGCTCTCAACAACAATCTGGATCAGCATACCGCTCTCAGGATTCAGAAAACATACAACAAAAGTTCTAAGATGTATCTTCTACAAGAAAATGAATCATTGAAAGTGCCAGTATTTCTCTCTGGCTGAGCAAAAAAGGAGAATGCCAATTAATAAACGCCAAGGCCGTGGAGTAATTCAGTTAGATATGACATGTAGAAAAGCCAAAGTTCATTTATTGAACTTCAATCTTGATACCACAGTATTTATCAAAAGATCTTACAATAAAGCACCAAAGAAACATTACTATGGCTGTATCTGAAGTGCACCAATACCCAGTGACAAGATGGAGTGTTGCAGTAGTGTGACATACTGAGAATGTGATAATCTAGGTGAGCTTCCAAGTAATGAGTGAGCTATTGAGTACAGCTTGAGTGAGCTATTGAGTACAGCTCAATTGAGCTATTGAGTAACTTGCACAATATGACAGGGAAAGTAAATGCATGTGCATCAACTTTCTGTAAATTTGGCACATCAAACATAGGGTGTGGGCAAGTACTTTATAATCATCATAATCAGGTGGACTTCAGCCGATAATCTAGAAACACTGGGCTAAGGTAAATGCCCAGATGTCTGCACTGTCTTTAATCTGGTATTCATTACCTTCTTCCTTCCAAAACAGAGCTCTTGAAACTTTGCCCTTATTTTAAATAATGTTTTGTGAATTTTTACTGCAGATTCTAGATGAGCTTTGGAAATTCTGAAAGGAGGAGAGACATACAGGGCATGAACAGAGTCAGAAAGAACTAGTAATCATGTAGTGTTGCCATATAAAAGACAAATACGTTTTTAGTAAGTAAGCCCAAAATCTTTCACGGGACACACTTATACTAAAAGCTTATTCATTGTTTTTCTGAAATTTGAATTTGGCTGGGCAACCGCACTTTTATTTGCTGAATCTGGCAACCCAAGGGAATTTTCCAGGTCTTCCTTTCCTGAAGCTGCACTGTCATACAAGCATGGACACAGGTTAATTTGCCTGAGCCACTAATGGCTGCAACATAAACACCTCTCTTGAGAGTCACTAATAAAGAAAACCAAAACAAAACAACAAAAAAAAATAAACTATCAAGTTGCATAAATTCTAAAATGGAAACAAAATTCATAACTCAAACCTTTGTTGGCGGCTGGTCAGGGATGCAATTAATTCGTTCCAATTCATTTACCACTGGACATTCAGCAGAAACAGGAGTGGTACCAGTTGTTCCAGGATCTGGGGGACCCGTTGTCCTAGCATGTGTGGTACCAGTTGTTCCAGGATCTGGGGTACCAGTTGTCCCAGGATCTGGGGTACCAGTTGTCCCAGGATCTGGGGCTATACCAAAAGCAAACATAAAAAGACCATTAGACAAATTTAATTTCACAGACATTCAATAGTTCTCAACACCTCCAATTAACTCCACTACTGAGTAGGCTTCACTCTGATGACCTCAAAATTTATGCATTCACTTTATAAAATGTCACTTTGTTCCTGCTGACTGTATTTACCTTTGTGTATCTCTATATCATCTCCTTCTACTCCCAACTCCCTCCCCTACAAGATAGTATGTATAAGAGCAAGGACTCCGCCTTTAGACTAGAAGCTCATGAAGGTGGGGACCACCCTTCCTTTAGTCTAGGGGTCAGTAACTATGGCCTTCAGGCCAAATTAAGTCAAAGCCTGTTTTACAAACAAAGTATTACTGGAACATTACACACATGCACATTACATATTATACACATTACAAACTCGTTTGTTTTTAGCTGCTTTGTGCTACTAGGGCAAAATTAAGTCATTATGGCAGAGTCTGTATGGCCCACAAAATCTAAAATATTTACTATCTGGTCCTTTACAGTAAAGTCTGAAGACCTCTGATCTGATTCTTTACTTCCAACCCCAGCAGCAAGGGCACACAGAACATGTGCAGTACAAGTGTCATCCTAATTATAGTAACCTCAGCTTTGCTTGCTCAGTCAACAGCCAATCCCCAAGTCAAAGAATGCTTCTGAGCAATGCCATTCTTCTGTAAATACAAAGTCCTATATGACAAAAGATGTAAAGGGAGGCCACCACTCTAAAAACTGACAGCTAGGACTTACCTAAGGGCTAGTGAACTTTGAATTCAGATTTAAAAATCAGTAAATTAGAAAAGGTATTTTTATTGTATCCTAAAATAAGGAGGTGAGCTTTCTTGAAGGTATTCTGCAATAAATTAATAATGACATTAAGACAAAACAGTGTCTTTTGATTGGTTTTCTTTTCATTGGGGGTTTCAAATTCAAATTGTGCCAATGTCTGCATAATGGTTTTAGTTACATCTTTAGAATCACATAATTTTAAGAGTTGAGCAATCTTTGGGACTTTTTTCTACAAAAAGTAGATATTGTTGTAACAAGGGATGGGGTAGGAGGGGCAGAGAAGCCACAGGTTAACACTTGATTGCCTGGTTCTCCTAGGAAGTTGATCCTAGATGAATCAGATAAGAAACCATGGATAATTCAGCATAATCCAGCTCCTTTTGAGGATATAAAAATTCAATAAACAAAAAAAGTTTGATTAGATGAGGGTCTTCAGAAAGTCCATGAAAAATATGTATTATGAAAAAACTATGTATAAATTTCAAATATTTTTGGTACTAAAATAAACTCAAAGTAGATTGTTACAACATGTCTGAACAGGACTTAGCTTGAGGCACTAGGAAAGATAAGACATCAATTTGAAAAGAGCACCTATCAGAGCAACATAAATTCTGCTAAAATTGAAACAAGAACAAACATCAAACTCACGGTGAAGCTTGGGTGGAAAAATGGTGAAATCACTGATACTCACAAAAAGTTTATGGGGACAATGCCCCAAAGAAATCAGCAGTTTACAAAGGAATAACTTATTTTAAGAAGGGCCAATACAATATTGAAGATGAAGCGCACAGCAGCAGACCATCCACATCCATTTGTGAAGATAAAAATTAATTTTTTCATGCCCTAATGAAGAGGACTGACAAATAACACCAGAAACAATAGTCAAAACCACAGATGTCTCAATTGGTTCAGCTTATATAGTTCTGACTGAAAAATGAAAGTTGAGCACACTTTCTGCTCTACGGGTACCAAAATTGTTGCACCCACATCAGCTGCAAACAAGAGCAGAACCTTAAACAGAAATTTTAAACAAGTGGGGATCAAGATTCTGAAATATTTCTTCCAAGAGTTGTAGCAGGTGATGGAACATGGCTTTACCAGTATGAGCCTTAAGACAAAGCACAAAGCAATGGCTCCCAAGAGGGGAAAGTGGCCCAGTCACAGCAAAAGCAGACCAGTCAAGAGCAAAGGTCACATAACGGTTTTTTGGGATACTCAAGGCATTTTCCTTGTTGACTTTCTGGAGGGCCAAAGAGCAGTAACATCTGCTCATCATGAGAGTGCTTTGAGAAAGTTTGCCAAAGCTTTAGCAGAAAAATGCCCGGGAAAGCTTCACGGAGAGTCCTTCTCCACCACCACAAAGCTCCTGCTAATTTCATCATCAAACAAGGGCAATTTTGCAAGAGTTTTGATGGGAAATCCACCTTATGGTTCCTATTTGGCTCCTTTTGACTTCTTTTAGTTTCCTAATCTTAAAAAAAAATCTATAAAGGGCATTCATTTTTTTCAGTTAATAATGTAAAAAAGACTGCATTACAAAGGTTAAATTCCCAGGACCCTCAGTTCTTATGGATGGACTAAATGGCTGGTATCATCTTTTACAAAAGTGTCTTGAACTTGATGGAGTTTACACTGAGAAATAAAGTTTTTTTTATTTTTATCTTTCTAGCTTTCTTTTTATTTCTATATTTCTATTTTTCCACAAACTGCTTGAAGTCTCTCATATACTCGCTTGCCTTTCACATAAGGGTATTGTTAATTATCATTCTTAGCAGAATTAGACTTATTTAAGGAAATTTGGCAAATATTTTTAAAAAGTCAATTATGGAATTCTGCAATGCATTAATTGATAAATCAAAGTATCAGAACTTAAACCTACAATGAATATCTACTGAGCTGTCCAAAACACATAGAACACACACATATAACAGCCCCCGCAACAAACACATACACACATGAGCATGAAAGCATTACTTTCCTGACATTGTTGAAGGTTTGCTCTAATAAAAACAACATATGGAGAGAGCCCCAGAGTTACTTCTTACCTGTTGATTTCAGTGACTCTTTGGCTAAAAGCACAATTAGAACAATACTGATGATAAACAACACAAGCAGAAGAACACTGAGCACAATCTCCAAAGTAGTAAATTTTTTCAGCTTCTTTCTTGCCATCTCTAAAATGTAAGAGAAAACAATTTTAGATTTGAATTTGATTTACTATATAACTAGTAAGATTTTTAATGGAAAAGCTCAAATGTATGCAATGAATACTATAACAAGCCTCCCAAGCATCCATTATCTAAATTAAAAAATTATCAGCTCATGGCCAATTCATTCTGTCCTTATTCTGGTCCACTTTTCTCCCTACCCCTGAATTACTTTGAAACAAATCTCAGGTCTCATGTCTTTTAATCTAAAAATAGTATGTTTCTTTAAAAGATAAGAAATTTTGCAAAAGGCAAAATATTATCATACCTAATATATGTTTATAATAATTTACTGTCATCAAATATCTAGTGAATTTTAAAATTTCTTTCATTGTCTGATAAACTTTTATAATTTGTTCTGCTCTCCTGAGGATGCAAGTAAGATTTATCTCTTGTAATTGGTTTATATCTGTTATGTATTTTTTAATAAACAGAATTTGTTCTGTAGATTTTTCCTGCAATCTGAATTTTGTTGATTACATCTCTATGCATGCTAACATGTTTCTCTACCCTTATAGTTCCTGTAAATTAATTATTAGCTTTAGAGTTTTTATCAGATTTAAGTTTGATTTTTTAGCAAGAATGGTACATAGATGATATAGCATCTTCCAGGAGACTTTAAATCTAGTTAATTCTCTTTTTTGCAATCTTCATTCTGAAAATAACCAGCTAGACTACCTTGGAAAATTTACTTAAGCTTTCTCATTCTCAGTTTTCTCATTTACAAAGGAAATAAATTGAACTAGAAGATCTATGATATTCCTACCAGCATTTTTTTCACTTTTTAAAAATATTTTGTACTGATTTTAATTTTTATAGATTTAGGAGTACAAATGCAATTATGTTACATGGATGTATATGCATAGTGGTGAAGACTGGGCTTTTAGTGTACCAATCACCCAAATAGTGTACATTGTACCCAATAGGTAGTATTTCACCTCCCCCCTAACCCTTTCTCCTTTTGGAGTCTCTAGTGTCTATGACTCTGTATGTCCATATATACTCACTGTTTATCTCTCGTGTATAAGTGAGAACATGCAGTTTTTTACTTTCTGTTTCTGGGTCATTTCACGCAGAAAAAATAGCCTCCAGGTCTATCCATGTTGCTAAAAAATATGATTTCATTGTTTTTTATGGATGAGTAGTATTCCATGGCATATAGGTACACTACATTTTTAATCCAATCATCTGTTGATGAACACTTGGATTGATTTCATGACTTTACTATTGTGAACACTGCTGCAATAAAAATACAATTGCAGGTGTCTTCTTGATAAAACAATTTATTTTTTTATGTGTAGATACTCAGTAGTGGAATTGCTGGATTGAAGGGTAGTTCTAATTTTAGTTCCTTGAGAAATCTCCATACCATTTTCTATAGAGATTGTACTAATTTACATCCTCACTAAAACTGTATCAGCATTTCCTTTTTTCTGCATCCTCCCCAATATGTGTTGTTTTTTGACTTTTCAATAATAGCCATTCTGACCAGTGTAAGATATCATCTCATTTGTGGTTTTAATTTGCATTTCTCTGATGATTAGTGATGTTGAGCATTTTTTCATGTTTTTTGGCCACTTGTATGCCTTTTTTTTGGAAAAATACCTGTTCATGTCCTTTGCCCACTTTTTAATGGGGTTATGTGTTTTTTTTCCTGTTGAGTTCCTTATAGATTCTGGATCTTAGCCCTTTGTCAGATACACTGTTTGCAAATATTTTAACCCATTCTGTTGGTTGTCTGTTTACTCTATTTTATTTTTTTACTGTGCAGAAGCTTTTTAGTTTAATTAAGTCCCCTTTTGTCTGATTTTGTTTCTGTTGTGGTTTCTTTTGAGGACTTGGTCATAAATTCTTTGCCTAGGCCAATGTCCAGAGAGTGTTTCCTAGATTTTTCTTCTAGTAATTTTATAGTTTCAGGTCTTACATTTAAGCCTTAAATCCATCTTGAGTTAATTTTTGTACATGGTGAGAGATTTCATTCTTCTGCATATGACATCCCAGTTTTCCCAGTACCATTTATTGAATAGGGAGTCCTTTCACCAGTGCATATTTTTGTCAAGAATCAGTTGATTGTAGGTATTTGGCTATGTTTCTGAGTTCTCTATTCTTTTCTACCGATTTATATGTCTATTTCTATACCAGTACTGTGCTGTTTGCATTACTATAGTCTTTTAGAGTAATTTGAAGTCAGGTAATGTGATACCTCCAGCTTTATTCTTTTTGCTTTGGATTACTTGGGCTACTTACACTCTTTCAGGGTTCCATATGAATTTTAGGATTGTTTTTTCTAAACCTGTGAAGAATAATATTGGTAATTTGATAACAATTGCACTGAATCTGTAGATTGCTTTGGGCAGTATGGTCATTTTGATGATACTGATTCCTCCAATCCTTGAACATGGGATGTTTTCCAATTTGTGTCATCTACAATTTCTTTCATCAGTGTTTTATAGTTGTCTGTAGAGATCCTTGACCTCCTTGGTCAAATGTATTACTAGGTATTTTATTTTATTTTATTGTAAATGGGATTGAGTTCTTGATTTGGTTCTCAGCCTGATTGTTACTGGTGTATGGAAATGCTACTAATTTTTGTACATTAATTTTGTGTCCTGAAACTTTACTGAAGTCATTTATTAAATCTAGGAGTCTTTTGAAGGGTTTAGAGTTTCCTAGGTATAAGATTATACCATCAGTGAACAGAGGTAATTTGACTTCCTTTTTTCCAGTTTGGATGCCTGTTATTTTCTTCTATTGCCTGACTGCTGCAGCTAGGACTCCCAGTACTATATTGAATATGAGTGGTGACAATGGGCATCCTTGTCTTTTCTCCATTTAGGGGGAATGCTTTCAATCGTACTGAACTTTTCCCTGTTCAGTATGATTTTGGCTATGGGTTTTTCATATATGGCTTTCATTATTTTGAGGTATGGTCTCCCTACGCCAAGGTTTTTAAGGGTTTTTTTTTATGAAGGAATGCTGGATTTTATCAAATACTTTTTGTGCATCTATTGATATGATCATATGGGTTTTGTTTTTAATTCTGTTTGTGTGATGAATCACATTTATGGAATTGTGCATGTTGAATCATCCTTGCATATCTGTAATAAAACTCACTAATCATGGTGTTATTATCTTTTCCACATGCTGTTGGATTCAGTTTGTTAGTATTTTGTCAAGAATTTTTGAATCTATGTTAATAAGGGATATTGGTCTGTAGTTTTATTCTTTTGTTGTGTCTTTGTCTTTGGTATCAGGGTGATGTTGGCTTCTATATTAGTTTTTAAAAGTCATTTTCAAGTGAGTCACAGAAATCTCACACTACTCTATTTCTCCCTTTCACAAAAGACACATGTGCTAAACATTTCATTAGTGTCTTATTTTTTTATTCTATCCCCAAGTTCTTCTCAGAAGAGAAGGTGGTGCTAAATAGAGCATGAGAATCCCTGAGCTTGATTCCCAACCATACCATTTTTTGCTGTGGTAGCTGAAACAATTTATGTAATACTCTTGAGTCTCAATTTTCTTATCTGTAAAATGAAACTACAATTTCTTTTGTTATTATTATCTATTGCCACCTTCTTATTGTGGAAATCAAATAAAAATATTCTAAGTCATAAAGCACAGGTCTCATTATTTACCAAAGAGAAGACAGGTAATGGGTCCTGGGTAAGAAACAGAATGTTCCTACAAAATATGTCAGTCCCACTTTCCCTGAGTGTGTCACCACACCCGACTTGGTGTTCTGGTGGAGCAGCTGATGAACAATGCTGATTGCTGTCCTGGTTGGCTTGCTCTGGTATGACCTTCATTAAGTGCTTTATGGCCCCGTGTGTTGGATGACTCATGCATTGCCTGGGACATAGGTGCAGAAAGCCAGGAAGAGGAGCCATAGCTACAGTCTTGCCTATACAAGGCCTACTTTCTCCACCAACCCACCAATGCTTGCTTTCCCAGGCTGCCTTGTAAATCATACTCTCTTTACTCAAAAAGAACATCACCCTTCTTCTCCTGTGAGGTCTTAATTCATGACTCCCTAATTTAGGAATTGTTTGATATTTCCTTGCGGTCTCATTCTCCACCCAATCAATGTTTCCTCCCACATTCTCTTCAGTAGGAAGCAGCCATCCTTAGTCATTTATCCAAGGATTGGTTGAATAAGAGGACTTACTTCTCATACACTGATAAGAAACTGCTGTTAGTCAACGTAATGCCCTCTTACTATGCAAAAGGAAATGGAGCTGTGAAAGCAACCTTTCTCTACAGCAAGGATTGCCTTGTGTTTTCTAGAATAAATTACTCCAATTCTAGTCTTTCTTACCATGACTGTCACCACTATCTCACATTCCAAAGAGCTTCATAAGAAATCCTATAAAATTAAACTTGCTTGTTAAATTCCATAAAGATTAATAATCTCTCATGCCTGGTATAATTAAATTAACTAATAAAGCAAAGAGTAATCTTATGTTCACTGATAAGAAGAGGAGTTAGAATGTCTATCCAAGTGACCATGCCTCCTCTTTGGTAGATGCTAATAGTTGTAAGATGTGAGATTGCTTTTTATAAAAATATTTAATTTTTTTCCAAGTGTTTATTAACACACTATGTTAGACACTATGAAGAAACACCCACCGACTGCTGGTCAAACTATAAACACCCTATGCTCAATGAAGACTTGGTAAAAACTATTAAAATTACTCATGCCCATTACCCAGCAATTGCATTTATAGAAATTCATCCCTTAAATACACTTACACACTTGGGAATCAATGTATATACAAATAAAGGTTTTTCATCACAGTATTACACGTAATAGCAAAAAAGTGTAAATATCCATAGAGACAGCAATCAGTAAATACGTGAAGTAAAATATAATTCAATGTTATTTAAAATCATCACACGGCAGGTGTTTTTAATTTAACAAATTATTTGATACTCCTCTCTTCAAGAGGTAGGGCGAGTCCCCACCACCTCACCCTCTGAGGATGAGCTGGACTTAGTGACTCACTTTCAACAGATAGGATGTGGAGAAGGGATGGCATCTAACTTCCAAGACTAGGCATTACAGCTTCCTCCTTGCTCTTTCTCTTGGATCATTTCCTGAAGAAACCAGTTACCATGCCATCATAACATTCAAGCAGGACTATGGAAATTTCTAGCAAAGAACTGAGGTCTTCTGCTAAGAGCCATCTGAGTGAGGTCCCTTGAAAGCAAGCCTCTACCCCTATTCAAGCCTTCACATGACTACAGTCCTGGCTGACATATTGGCTGGATTCATGAGAGACCCTAAATCAGCACCACTCGGCTAACTCACCCCCATATTTCTGACCTACATAAATTGGGAGATAATAAATGTTTGTTGTTTTAAACTACAAAATTGTAAGGTAATTTGTTACCCTGCAATAGATAACCAATATGCATAGGTAAATATGACTTTTTAATAAAATATCATTAGCATATTTTTAAAAACATGTTTGCTGTTTATTAATAGTCCTTTTGCTCCATATTTTCAAATATGGTTACTTGCTCTATGGAACAATAATATCTATTTTCTAGCTATACAAGAGAAAGATTTCCTTAAACCTTAAAAAAAACTCCAGCATTATCTGATTGACCTTACTTCCTGCATTATAGAACTCTTGATGGTGAAGCTTCCTATCTCAATTAGAAATGCAATTGAAGAAAAACTAAGATCAGGAAAAATGGCAAGACGCAAATAAAAAAGGAAATAATTTAAATAGGGTTAAGGGCTTTTAAAAATGTTTTTTAAAAAACTGCTACTTGGCAATCTGTCCTTAATCTTTGACTATTTTTTTATAGGACAAATATATAACTATGCAATTTTAATGCTAATGATAATAATGGTTAACAGTGATTGAGCAGATATCCTAAGAGGTTTCCATAATTTGTCACATGCCATTTTTATAACGACTGCAAGTTAATCATGGCTACTATCCTCACTTTCAGATGAAAAAACTAAGCTTCAGAAACGTCAAATAAACTGCCTGATGTCATCATACAGCTGATAAGGAGCAAAGCCACAATTTGAACACCTGCCCTTTGGACTCCACAGCCATGGCTTTTAACCATCACTCTGTATTCTATGCTATAATGCCCCACAGTGTACACCAGCTTGGGCTTTCTGTGAGATTATAGTTTTATCAAATAAAAACACATTAAGTTTATGGCCCATAGCACGTTTTAAATTATCTGGGAGACCTAGAAGAAGCTACTGATGTGCCTCATTTGCCAAGATCATTCATCATTATCTAAACTACATCTCTGGAAGAAAGAAATCTGCTTGCAGTTTATTTATTCATTCATGAATTATTTATTAAGTTCCTACAATGTGCCAAGCATTCTTTCAAAAACTGACTACACAACAATGAACAAAACAGATAAAAATCCCTGCCGTCATGAGACTTATGTTCCCATGAATAGAAAAAAGAGACAATAAACAAAATAAATAAATATACACTGGGTTATACTGTGTAAGTATATGGAGAAAAAGTGGGGGGTAAATGAGGAATGTTGGGGTAAGGGTGGCAATTTTAATTAGGTTGGTCAGAAAATAATCTTACTGAAATATAAGAATTATTACTATATACATATGAACGCTTTTACACTGTTGGGAGTGTAAATTAGTTCAAGCATTGTGGAAGACAGCGTGGCAATTCCTTAAGGATCTAGAACTAGAAATACCATTTGACCCAGCAATCCCATTACAGGGTATGTACCCGAAGGATTATAAATCATTCTACTATAAAGACACACGCACACGTATGTTTACTGCAGCACTATTTACAATAGCAAAGACTTGGAACCAACCCAAATGCCCATCAATGATAGACTGAATAAACAAAATGTGGCACATATACACCATGAAATACTATGCAGTCATAAAAAAGGATGAGTTCATGTCCTTTGCAGGGACATGGATGAAACTGGAAGCCATCATTCTCAGCAAACTAACACAGGAACAGAAAACCAAACACTACATGTTTTCACTCATAAGTGGAAGTTGAACAATGAGAACACATGGACATGGGGAGGGGAACATCACACATTAGGGCCTGTCAGGGGATGGCGGGCTAGGGGAGGGAGAGAATTATGACAAATACCTAATGCATGTGGGGCTTAAAACCTAGATGATGGGTTGACAGGTGCAGCAAACCACCATGGCGCATGTATACCCATGTAACGAACCTGCACATTCTGCACATGTATTCCAGAACTTAAAGTAAAATTTAAAAAAAGAATTATTACTATATATACATTACGCAAAAGCAATAGAATTTTTTTCTTCTTGAATTATTTAGTATATGAATAATTGTCAAAGCTCATTGTCCTGGTACCATTATAGTTCTTTAGGCAAAGTAGACAAACCACATGGGGGCCCAAATTATTAAAATGGCTATCTAAATTAATTTGGAAAAACTGGATATTTGTCCTCTTTCCGGCATTATAGCCAGCGTTTGATGTGTATATGGAGGTCTAAGCCATTCTTTTAAAATCCTTTGCTAACACAAGACATGAGATCTAGTGGAAAAGAGGATTCATTGTGGATAGATAGACTAAGAACAACTTGCAAAGAGGACCCCAGTGAGCCATAGCTATTCATCAAAAATGCTGGGCGATATTAGTAGGTTGGGCCATCCTTTCCCAGCTGCTTGGTGAATGGGAAGGGATAAGGTAGCTAATGAATGGCTTTTTTCTTCCAAGTCTGGTCACACCCAAGGTGAGAGATTTAAGAGTCAGCTCTGACCCTAGCCAGCTGTATGACCTTGGAAAAATCCACTTAACCCCTCTGGGTCTCAGTTTCCCCATCTGAACTGCAAAAGGATCATCTCTAGGAGACAGCTAACTCCTCCTTGAGCCCAGCAACAGGGTGTGCAAAGGCTTATATTTCTCATCACATTCCACAGCTGCCACCTGAACAAATTTTAAATGGAAAATTTCTTTTCTAGTTCCATTCCATGCTTATAGAACAATTTTTATAGTAATTTTATTAGCTCATTAAAATGTATTTGTGAGGGAATGCCTGATAATAAAAAATAATCATTGGCATCTTGTGAGAGTGTGACTGAAATAGCAACAAGCTGTCTTAAATTTAGTGTCCCACTTCATTTGGTCCCTGGTAGCACAGGGACCTACCAGCACAACAAACCAAAGACCCCCTCCATCTCACCCCCTCTTTGCACACCTACAGACATACACTTACTGTCCCACACCAGGACACAGACTGTAGACAGTTTGGACATTGGGAGGTCTTCCTCGCCCAGCAAAGCCACTGATCAGATCCTGCATGAAGAACCTAGTGGTATCCTTTTTCAGGGAGACCCATGGGGATTAGTCTCAATTTCTCTCTCTTTCCCCAAGAGTAACTCTCCCTTCCCACCTCTGTAACCAGTCAGAAAAGAAATGCCTGCGTGTGTCTAGCTAGACTGGCAACTAGTAAGGATCCAACTTTTTTTAAGTTTTATTTTAAGTTTTATTTTAAGTTTATTTTAAGTATTTTATTTTAAGTTTTTAAGTTTAAGGGCCAACAACAATTTATCACCTTCTCCTCTTCCCACGAGCACTCCCATTCTACTCCACACATGACTGCCAGGACAGATACCCTACCTTTCTCTTTATGACCTCCTCCCACATTCCACAGGAAACCTCTCCTACCCACCAATGCACACCAACTCATAAATGCATCCCAATATTTTACACACATCCTCAGACTATCCCCTAAAATTATTCTGTATTTAATCAACAGAGGCACCAAACCCATAAGCATAGTGATATATTTCTCAATTTTCTGATTATAATTGGTTCTTCAGTTACATTTTCTCAATCACAACTCCAAATCCTTTCAGAGGGAAAATGCTCTAATCTCACTCCCAAATTCTAACTCCTTTTATTCATTTCTCTCACTTCATTTCCAGAATCTGAAAGAATTTCTGCCTGCTACCTCAACCTAAGTATTAAATAATTCATCACACCTCACACAGAAACACACACAAACACACAGGTTTCACTACAATCAGGCTTATAGATCCAGCCTTAGTTCAGAAAAATATACACACACTAAGAAAAAAAGATAAATGAGAATTTTGTTCCATGTGTATGCATGTGCATAATTTTTGATTTATTATTGGTGTTGTTTATCTTTGTGTTTAACAAATTAACAAGGGCTTTTTTTTTTTTTTTGAGACGGAGTATCGCTCTACGACCCAGGCTGGAGTGCAGTGGCGTGATCTCGGCTCACTGCAAGCTCTACCTCCCAGGTTCACGCCATTCTCCTGCCTTAGCCTCTCCGAGTAGCTGGGACTACAGGCGCCCGCCACCATGCCCGGCTAATTTTTTGTATTTTTTTAGTAGAGATGGGGTTTCACCATGGTCTCGATCTCCTGATCTCGTGATCCACCCGCCTCGGCCTCCCAAAGTGCTGGGATTACAAGTGTGAGCCACTGCACCCGGCCAACAAGGGCATTTTGACTAAAAGAGATCAACTCAAATTCACACACACTTGTAGACACACATCTGTAACCGTAAAAGAATACAAGGTTCACAAACATACCTCATTACCTCTTGCAGCCGCTCCCTCTCTGTCTGAAGGATGGCTTAGCAATAAAAGCAGAGGAGCACAGTCCACCAAAGCAACCAAAGATCTGGTAACTATTTACCGACCTATCAAGAAAATGTTAATGGCTTTCAAATGCAAATGAATGGCCAGCTTTTATTTCCAGGATCAGAATTTTTAGTTAATTAGTAATCGTGGTCTTGCTCTAAGAAGGACATCCTTAAGACTTTTGGAAGGAAAAGCCAGCTCCCATGACCCACTCCATCCCCTCCAGGCACTGAATGTTTAATCGGTGGTGAGGACACCCTGTATGTCTGGTAAGAGAACACAGACACAATTTGTAGATGATAAAGAGCAAAAAATAAATGACCCCAGTATTCCAAAAGAGCCCTGGTCTCTTGCACTGACTCCGAATCTCTCAGGAACTCACTGACGTTTAGTAGCACAATCTGATGATTGTGATGGAAGGAAGTTGTTTTAAAAATGTTTTAAAAATAGTTTTCTTCTTTCTTCTTTAAGGTGTCCTTAAGCTTGTTTGCAGTATGGAAATCCTTTAACAGTCTGGTGACTCTTGAACTGCCTTTGCAGAACTATAAATAAGAGAAATCTAACAAGACTGACTCCATCTTGCTTCTAACCTCCCAGGCTAAATTATGTTTTCTAGGGGATTTTTTTTTTTTTTGGTTGGCTTTTTGCTTATTCTAGTACAAAGGCCAAGAAACCTATGAGAGGGATTTAGTTTATAGTTAAACTTGGAGTCAAGGGAAAATGATCCCCCTCCTTGCCTGGAGCTTAAAGGCGCATTCATAAGGCAAGGTTGGAATTATGGTAGGGGCTTAGACTTTGCTAAAGAATAGGCATAAACAATGTCCTGCCATGGCTTAGTTTGTTTTTCTATAAGTTGCTTACTGCCCCAGTCACACAACCAGTGTCACAAAATTCATAACTTCCCCAACTACCAAAGATAACATCACTGTATTGGTCTGTTTTCACACTTCTATAAAGACATGCCTGAGACTGGGTAATTTATAAAGAAAAGAGGTTTCGTTGACTCAGTTCCGCAAGGGTGGGAAGGCCTCAGGAAACAATCATGGTGGAAGGGGAAGCAGGGACTTCTTAACATGGCGGCAGGCCAGAGAGAGTGAGCAAGAGCAGGGAAAACTGCTTTGCAAAACCATCAGATCTCATGAGAACTCACCCACTATCATGAGAACAGCATAGGGGGATCCGCCCCCATGATCCAATCACATCCCACCTGGTCCCTCCCTTGACACATGGGGATTATGGGGATTACAATTCAAGATAAGATTTGGGTTCTGACACAAAGCCTAACCATATCAATCACTATTGTGAAACCTAAATAACTGGTCTTTTAGATATTTGTTAGCATTTCAGTAGACCAACAGACACCACCTAGTCTTGAGGCCAACACACACACCCCTCCTGGGAACTGACTCAGTTGCACAAAGACAGTTTTAGGTGCTCCTGTGATTTCATTCCCTGCCAATCAATTATACAAGTTCCCCAGCCCCATGCCCACCAAAGTACCCTTTACAAACCTTAGCCTTTGAATCCTGAGGGAGAGGGGATTGAGAAGTTTTTGCCTGCTCTTGTTTGGCCAACACTGTGATTATTCAACTCTTTATTTACTGCAATGCCTGCTGTTCTCATTGATCTTTTTGGAGGGCAGTGGGCAAGAAGAACTTATGGAGCTGAGACATGCTTATAAACCCCTCTTAGAATTAATTCTTAGGCCAGGTGCAGTGGCTCACGCCTGTAATCCCAGCACTTTGGGAGGCTGAGGTGGACAGATCACCTGAGGCCAGGAGTTCAAGACCAGCCTGGCCAACATGGTGAAACCGCGTCTCTACTAAAAGTACGAAAATTAGCCGGGCATGGCGGTGCGTGCCTGTAATCCCAGCTACTCATGAGGCTGCGGCAAGAGAATCACTTGAACCCAGGAGGCGGAGGTTGTAGTGAGCTGAGATACAAAGAAAATCAATTACATTGAAACACAGTTACTATAATATTTTTTAAATTATAGTTTGTGCCTCTTTAATGACATACTAACAATAAAGCGATATGTCTAATAGCGATTGCAATTTCAAAAACATGATAAGCGTAAACAATATCTTGAGATTGTTTTAAATATATGATGTGAAAGTAACTGTGACCTCTCTTGAAACCAAATTCATAGGTACTACTAACACCACTGTAGTTTGCAGCCTAACTCTAAATTTCAATTAGAATTTAGCAAAGAAAAGATATGTAAATATTTTCCCCCTCCAAGTTCACAGGCTTTCAGAATTATATCTACAAACCCCAGGTTAAGAACTTTGCTCTGTTACTAAGTGGACCTTCCTCCAAGTGGGGCAGAGTTCCCCGCTCTGTGATACTCCAAGAGTTATCTGTGAACCTGTGGTTGCCAGCTTCCAGAAAAATAAGCACAGAAATTGAAGGTAAGTGTTGAGAGACTTGCATTACAATTTGACAGAATCATTTCATGTCATTGATCTTGATAATTAAAAAATGGAGCTTGTATCTGTATATGCTTTTTTAAAATTTATTTTTCAAGTAATTTAGTTTTAATTTTACAAAAGCCACAGTCTGTGATATATTGGACAATTTTAAAACAATTGCTGTTTTACCACACATAGTTTAAAAAGTCCTGCTCAGCTACTGCTATTTCTAGGCATTTGTCTTTATGGGCTAGTGAAAATTCAGAAAAAAATCTGGGCCAAGAGACCTAAATTTATAAACCATGTATATCATCTGGAAAATACAAACAAAAATCACTATCTCTTATCACAGTCGTTTCACAGTAGACATAGACAGATAATCAAAATTGAATCAATTTATCTCTTTGAAAGTTTACTTCCTTATCCTTACTTTTCTGATTTCATGAACCATCAGTGAACAACAACCACCGTGGTAACACTGACTTACCGTGTTTCTTTGGCATCATAGAATCAAAGAATTTACAGCTAAAAGAGGAAAGAAAGGAAAACTGGCATGCATGGAGGCTGGCCGAGTGCCAAGACCTTGGGTCTGAAGCAGTGGCTCATACATGTAATCCTAGCACTTTGGGAGGCCAAGACGAGAAGATCACTTGAGCCCAGGAGTTCAAGGCCAGCCTGGGCAACATAAGGAGAACATGTCTCTACAAAAAATAAAAAAAATCAGCTGAGTGTGGTGGTCCACACCTGTAGTCCCAGCTACTTGGGAAGCTGAAGTGGGAGTATCACCTGAGCCTGGGGGTCAAGGCTGCAGTGAGCTATGATCATGTCACTGCAGCCCAGCTTGGGTAACAGAGTGAGAGCCTGCCTCAATAAAAATAAATAAATAAAAACAAGACCTTCACCTACATGATCTCACTGATGTTCACAATGGCCCCAAGGCAGCAAATGTCTAAACTGCCACCCAAATGCACATCCATCAAGCTCCTAAGACATGTGACTTGAGTTGTTTGGTATCGCCCTTAAAGAACTTTAAAAATCACTAAGCATAGCCTCCTTATTTTACAGAAGAGGAAATTGAGACCCAGGAATAGGAGGTTTGTGTGGGTGGTGACTCAGAGTTCCAGATCCGAACAGGGCAGGCCTGAATTGCAAAGCCCAGGTCTGCTTATTAACTGGGGGAGCTTAAGCAACTAAGTCTCTGATTCTGTAACTTAAATGAAGATTAAAATACTACCTATCAATAAATTTATAAACTAGACAAAATAATGTGAGTAAAAGACTTGATGTTACTTAGTAAATACTCAGTAAGTGTCAGTTACAATTAATATGATCAGTTTGCATCTGCCACAGTTGTGACAAGAGCTCAGACCCTGAATCCCCAATCCAAGGCCCATTCAAATATGCCAATCTCTCATTCGACCCCAAATCAGAATTCCGAACATAGCAGGCAGTCATTCATGTTTACAAAGGAAAAATTATTGAACACCTACCCTGCACAACATCTATGATGTTGCCTGACTGTAGCAGTTTAAAGGCTTAGCTCCAAGTCCCTGGATTTAAAAACATGGTTCAGGCCAGACCAAGGTATAATCATTGTGGTGCCTGGAGTGGCTTGCTGTCTGGTGACATGGCCTTATCTAGGCTTGGAGATATTAGAAAAGCATGTCTACTTGGGAGCCTCGAAGACTATGCAAACGTGAGGATTGGAATGTGATTAAAATATCTCCTTTTCTCGGCCAGGTGTGGTGGCTCACGCCTGTAATCCCAACACTTTGGGAGGCTGAGGCAGGCGGATCATGAGGTCAGGAGTTTGAGATCAGCCTGACCAACATAGTGAAACCCCGTCTCTACTAAAAATACAAAAATTAGCTGGGCATGGTAGCGCGTGCCTATAATCCCAGCTACTCAGGAGGCTGAGGCAGGAGAATTGCTTGAACCTGGGAGGCGGAGGGTGCAGTGAGCCGAGATTGTGCCATTGTACTACTCCAGCCTGGGCAACAGAGTGAGATTCTGTCTCAAAAAAAAAAAAAAATCCTTTTCTCCATCCCCAGCCACCACCCTTACCCTAACCATTGTGACCCCACCTCTGGATCAAGCATTAGCCCTGGGGCTGCCTCCTCACTTCCGGCCACAGAAAATATAGCAATAACCACTTCCTCCACACAATTCCATCAATATACAGTCATTATGTGTGTACTACAAACAAGGCACTATGAGAATAACAGTAACAACATCTACAGAGTGCGTACTGTGGCCTATGTTCTATGCTAAATGATTTCCATGCATTATTTCACTTCCTCCTGGTAACTACGCTATGCAGTCGGTACTGTTATTATCCCAGTTTTACAGATGAGAAACCTGAGGCACAAAGGCGACTTGCCCCAGGTCATGTAACTAATGAGAGGCAAACCCAGAATGCAAAGCCAGGCAGTCTGGTCAAGCCTGCACTGAAATATAGATGAGCGTGATTCCTCCATGACCTCATAGCAGAGAGAAGTCAAATGGCTACGATGCTAAAGAGAAGACAGCACCAGCAAATGCTACTGGACAGAGAATACACATGCTGGGAGGGACAGGAAAGAAATCAAAGCCATAGCTGGGTGGAAGTGGGAAGGGAAGGCGAAAAGGAAAGATATTTTGGGCGAAGGGAGCAGCATTAGCCAGACCCACAGGTAAGAAATAACAGAACCGGTGCAGCGCACCAGCATGGCACATGTATACATATGTAACTAACCTGCACATTGTGCACATGTACCCTAAAACTTAAAGTATAATAATAAAAAAATAAAAAATAAAAAAACATAAAAAAAAAGAAATAACAGAACCTGTTTTAGAAACTGCAGTAAAAAGACACAGAGAAGACAGTTGTGAGACAATCAGGGACACTTCTGGGAAAGTACACTGGAGCCACAATGCAGAGATTCTAGCATCTCATCTCAGCAAGAAGATTTTGCAAGCAATAGGGAACCACTGCAGGTAAGAAACTGCCCAGAGCTGTCATAAGCACGAGATAGATTTCTACACAGATTCAAAACACTGGATTATCTGCTTCTTTCAGTTTTTAGTCCAGAAGAATATTACTTCTCCCCACACCTCCAAGCAGACTAAGTATCCACAGGGGACTCTGGAAGCTGCACAGGTGCATGTTCTTTGGAGTGAAGTTGTGTAGATATGAGGAGGGAATGAAATAATGCATGTGAATCATTTGGCATGATACATAGGCCATAGTAAGCATTCTATGTGTGTTGTAATTGTCGTTCTGACATTTCCCCTTTCCCAAGCCACTGGGGTAATAGTGCATTCAAGAATATATTGCTCTGTTTTATAGGTGTGCATTCCCCAAAGTGCTCAGAGGAGTGCTAGCCACTCCTTAAGATGCTGCCCACAGAGCCTCCTCAAACTCTCTGTCAAAGCCAGACCCACATGAAGAGCCCATTCTGAATGCTGAGCCCAGAAGTGACAGATGAGGCCCAGTGTGCATCCTTCCTCCTCCTACATGGAACATGACTTCATGTGTTCTCCCTTCCTGGAATAAAATCCTTGTAGAAAATAATAATTTTATCTGTGTGGATTTTACCAGTAATTAACTATGGGTGGATTAGGTGTCCCTAAAATATCCCTTTAGTATGAAATTGTCAAACATAGTATTTCATTCAAGATAAATCTTTTTTTGGAGAGTATTTTCATGTTAAATTTTCAGATGATTTCAACTGAAAATCTGGGGAATTTTCCATAAAAATTGAGGAATTTTGGAAAATTTGGAGAATGCACTTTAGGGATTCTCAGCCTCCATACAGCAGCAAGAGGATCACTTGAGCCCAGGAGTTTGAGGCTGCAGGGAGCTATGATAGCACCACTGCACTCCATCCTGGGCAACACAGCAAGACCCTGTCTCTAATAATCGAAAAAAAAAAAAAGAAAGAAGAACATGGAGTTTCAAATCAAACTAGCCTGGGCTTAAATATGAGGTCCTCTACTTACTTTCTGCAGAACTTGGACAACCATTTCAATTTTCTGAAGCTCAGTTGCCTTATCTGGAAATCAGGGATGATCATGAGTACTTCATGATGTTACTTTGAGCCTAAGCTGACATAAGTACCTGACATCCAATGTCAGTTTCCCAACCCCTCCTCAGCCAGTCCTTTCTGAAAATGAAATAATATCCAACAAGCAGTATCATTAGCTTAAATTCTGTTAAGAACTATTCCTCCAGTTCCTCAACCCTTAGGAATAGCCACAGTAAACAGTCAACACATCCCACACTGAACTGATTCCACAGGCCAATGGAGAAAAACCACTACTACAAGACTCTCTTTCTCTCTCTCTCTCTCTCTCTCCCTCTTTCTCTCACATACTCATACACACACACACACACACACACACTCACAAGCACATGGCATCTACACCCCCACCTATCAAAATGATTTCTCACAGTCTTCATAGCCTACAAACATTAATTTTTACCTCTGTTTTTATTGCAGCCAAGTTGTTTTCCTTCTTTTGTCCCATATAAAAGACCTTAACATCTCATGCCACCTGCAAAGGGCAAAAAGGAGTTAGTTGGAGTAGGAGTAATTTCTCTGCCCAGAAATGTTCAGAGGAAGGTGAGAGTGGAAACAATGTACACAGGACATTACAGCATTTCCTTGTCTTGTGAAATGTCTATTATTTAGCAGCTTTACACCGTCTTCTACTCCTTTCCTCTTCACCACCACAGATAAGAACACATGCACACACAAGTATGAGTACAGAGAGAATTTTAGGAATAACACATCACCTAGTATTCACATAAAACTTTACATTTGGCCATGCATGGTGGCTCACGCCTGTAATCCCAGCACTTTGGGAGGCCGAAGCAGGTGGATCACCTGAGGTCAGGAGTTCGAGACCAGCCTGGTCAACATGGTGAAACCCCGTCTCTACTAAAGATATAAAAATGAGTCAGGCATGGTGGCGGGCGCCTGTTATCTCAGCTACTCGGGAGGCTGAGGTAAGAGAATCGCTTGAACTTGGGAAACAGAGACTGCAGTGAGCCCAGATTGCGCCACTGCACTCCAGCCTGGGTGACAGAGTGAGACTCTGTCTCAAAACAAAACAAAAAACGACAACAACTTTGCATTGTGTGACACTTTGCAGTTTTCAGAGTACCTTTTAAATATTTTTGTTTTTTTTTAAGACAGAGTCTTGCTGTGTTGCACAGGCTAAAGTGCTGAAGTGCAGTGGCGCAATCTCGGCTCACTGCAACCTCCTCCTCCTGGGTTCAACCAATTCTTCCACCTCAGCCTCCTGAGTAGCTGGGATTACAGGCATGCACCACCACGCCCGGCTAATCTTTGTATTTTTAGTAGCTATGGTGTTTCACCATGTTGGCCAGGCTGGTCTTGAACTCCTGACCTCAGGTGATCCACCCACCTTGGCCTCCCAAAGTGCTGAAATTAAAGGCATGAGCCACCACGCCCAGCCTCGGAGTACTTTAATCTGTACTATTTCATTGATCACAACAATCCTTTAAGATAAGGCAGGTATTTTTAATGCCCATGTATAAATGAGGAAACAGAAACTAAGAGAAATGAGTTGCTAAAGGTCACTCATATAGTGGTGGGGTTAAAGTCATACTAATTTAATTTCAATCCAGGAATCCAATGTTCATAGGGTTTGAAAGCAGTAAATACAGAAAATGGCTTTTTCAAACTAAATGTTTGTTCATTCATTCAACAAATTCAAAGTGGATTTGCCACCAAGTCTCCCAAACGGGAATCCCTCCAATCCTATCAGTTGTCAAATTCTAGCATCCTCACCTCAGAGATGGCTATTTCTCTTTAAGCTCAAATCTTGTTCTAGAAACCCCCATTATTTCCTCCATGCCCCCCTCCCCTGTGCCTCGCTGACACCTGCATGGTCCACTTCTGTGTGGGAAGCTCAACATAACCCTAACACTCTGATCTCAGCTGAGTGAACCAGCTGGACAGATGATCCGACTTCGTCCAGATGGATTCGCCCTCCCAAAAATTTAGATTTGAGACACAGTGCCTGAATCATACTGCACTGAGTGAGCACTATGTCTGTGGGATTACGGCATGTTATTAAGATACAGAGATTAGTTTTACTGAAAATGCTTGTTTGTCCAAAAGAGAATGGGATACACATGTAGAGAGTAGCAGAAAGAAAACATTCAAACCCACAGAAGGAAAAGCAGAGAGATTAACTGCCAGTATTCTTTTCATTTCTGTGAAGGCCAAGGTACAAGTTAATTTCATGTAATTCTCCTATTTCTTCATCAAAACACTACCTTTACTATGCCTATGACTACCACCACCACTACCAGCACCACCACTATCCTAACTTCCAGTTTCTGTTTCTGTGCCATGTGACAAAATGGTCCCTGCTAGCCCTGCTATGACAGGCTCGTGTTTCGTCTCCATTGTCCAGTATAAATAAATATCTCCACCAAAAATGTCTAATCATAGTCTACCCTATGAGCAAAAAGTTGTCCTCCTGTTATCTGCATTTTTCTGGCTTTTACCACCACCTGCAAGTGTAGGACCTCCAAATCTCCACAAAGTCCCTCCCAATTGTTTGGCATCCCCATTGAGTTCTATTTTTTTAGATGAGGGTACACATACCCTAGGAGGTATGTGGTGGCATATTGAGAGGGTCATAATGCATTTTCTTGGAAATACCATTTTAGTTCAAGATTATTGGAGAAGAGTAAGTAATTTCAATCAATATTTTGAATTGCTAAAATTGTGGCAGTATAATATAATAGTATGCAAATGTACACAATTGTTTTTCAACATCAAACACTAAATTCTGCAGAAATTTTCCCCTATAATGAGCCACTGGTAGGTATATTTCCCCTCAGTCCCCTACCCCAAGGGAAAAATGTGAAAAGAATGCCATAGGAAATGTCTTAAATTCACAAACAATGTCTTACAGCCATGTACGGTCTCTGTCATGTTTGCTGTCTTCTCTGGCTTGGCATCCTTCCTCCAGGTACCTCCCTCTCCTCCTGGTCTGCTCTCCGGGAATTGCCATGTCCACACTGTCTCTGGGTATGGCTTGAGCTCCCGTGTCTGCAGACAGAGAAAGAACCCTCCAAGTGCCAGAGCTACACAGTGTTCTCTTATGTGAAATCTGCTACGAAGAAGCACGAAAGGGCTGTCATCCAATGGCTTACAGCTCTATCAGCTTTTACTTAAAACCTCCTCACCCTTAGCTCATGTTTGTGAACAAAATAAAACTTTAAGAGGGGTCCAGAGATCCCTCAAAAGGAATCCCCACCCATGGGTCCCTGCTGAGAAAACTGATCTTATGTCCCTAATCACAAGGTTCCATGCTGCCATTAAAGATGCTGGGGGGAGGAGCCAAGATGGCCGAATAGGAACAGCTCCGGTCTACAGCTCCCAGCGTGAGCAACGCAGAAGACGGGTGATTTCTGCATCTCCATCTGAGGTACCGGGTTCATCTCACTAGGGAGTGCCAGACAGTGGGCGCAGGTCAGTGGGTGCGCGCACCGTGTGTGAGCCGAAGCAGGGCGAGGCATTGCCTCACTCGGGAAGCGCAAGGGGTCAGGGAGTTCCCTTTCCTAGTCAAAGAAAGGGGTGACGGACGGCACCTGGAAAATCGGGTAACTCCCACCCGAATACGGCGCTTTTCCGACAGGCTTAAAAAACAGGGCACCACGAGATTATATCCACCACCTGGCTTAGAGGGTCCTACGCCCACGGAGTCTCGCTGATTGCTAGCACAGCAGTCTGAGATCAAACTGCAAGGCGGCAGCGAGGCTGGGGGAGGGGCGCCCGCCATTGCCCAGGCTTGCTTAGGTAAACAAAGCAGCCAGGAAGCTGGAACTGGGTGGAGCCCACCACAGCTCAAGGAGGCCTGCCTGCCTCTGTAGGCTCCACCTCTGGGGGCAGGGCACAGACAAACAAAAAGACAGCAGTAACCTCTGCAGACTTAAATGTCCCTGTCTGACAGCTTTGAAGAGAGCAGTGGTTCTCCCAGTACACAGCTGTAGATCTGAGAACAGGCAGACTGCCTCCTCAAGTGGGTCCCTGACCCCTGACCCCCGAGCAGCCTAACTGGGAGGCACCCCCCAGCAGGGGCACACTGACACCTCACGCGGCAGGGTACTCCAACAGACCTGCAGCTGAGGGTCCTGTCTGTTAGAAGGAAAACTAACAAACAGAAAGGACATCCACACCAAAAACCCATCTGTACATCATCATCATCAAAGACCAAAAGTAGATAAAACCACAAAGATGGGGAAAAAACAGAACAGAAAAATTGGAAACTCTAAAAAGCAGAGCGCCTCTCCTCCTCCAAAGGAACGCAGTTCCTCACCAGCAATGGAACAAAGCTGGACAGAGAACGACTTTGACGAGCTGAGAGAAGAAGGCTTCAGACGATCAAATTACTCTGAGCTACGGGAGGACATTCAAACCAAAGGCAAAGAAGTTGAAAACTTTGAAAAAATTTTAGAAGAATGTATAACTAGAATAACCAATACAGAGAAGTGCTTAAAGGAGCTGATGGACCTGAAAACCAAGGCTCAAGAACTATGTGAAGAATGCAGAAGCCTCAGGAGCTGATGTGATCAACTGGAAGAAAGGGTATCAGCGATGGAAGATGAAATGAATGAAATGAAGTGAGAAGGGAAGTTTAGAGAAAAAAGAATAAAGAGAAATGAGCAAAGCCTCCAAGAAATATGGGACTATGTGAAAAGACCAAATCTACATCTGATTGGTGTACCTGAAAGTGACGGGGAGAATGGAACCAAGTTGGAAAACATTCTGCAGGATATTATCCAGGAGAACTTCCCCAATCTAGCAAGGCAGGCCAACGTTCAGATTCAGGAAATACAGAGAACACCACAAAGATACTCCTCGAGAAGAGCAACTCCAAGACACATAATTGTCAGATTCACCAAAGTTGAAATGAAGGAAAAAATGTTAAGGGCAGCCAGAGAGAAAGGTCGGGTTACCCTCAAAGGGAAGCCCATCAGACTAAGCCCGGATCTCTCGGCAGAAACCCTACAAGCCAGAAGAGAGTGGGGGCCAATATTCAACATTCTTAAAGAAAAGAATTTTCAACCCAGAATTTCATCTCCAGCCAAACTAAGCTTCATAAGTGAAGGAGAAATAAAATACTTTACAGACAAGCAAATGCTGAGAGATTTTGTCACCACCAGGCCTGCCCTAAAAGAGCTCCTGAAGGAAGCGCTAAACATGGAAAGGAACAACCGGTACCAGCCGCTGCAAAATCATGCCAAAATGTAAAGACCATCAAGACTAGGAAGAAACTGCATCAACTAACGAGCAAAATAACCAGCTAACATCATCATGACAGGATCAAATTCACACATAACAATATTAACTTTAAATGTAAATGGACTAAATGCTCTAATTAAAAGACACAGACTGGCAAATTGGATAAAGAGTCAAGACCCATCAGTGTGCTGTATTCAGGAAACCCATCTCATGTGCAGAGACACACATAGGCTCAAAATAAAAGGATGGAGGAAGATCTACCAAGCCAATGGAAAACAAAAAAAGGCAGGGGTTGCAATCCTAGTCTCTGATAAAACAGACTTTAAACCAATAAAGATCAAAAGAGACAAAGAAGGCCATTACATAATGGTAAAGGGATCAATTCAACAAGAAGAGCTAACTATCCTAAATATATATGCACCCAATACAGGAGCACCCAGATTCATAAAGCAAGTCCTGAGTGACCTACAAAGAGACTTAGACTCCCACACATTAATAATGGGAGACTTTAACACCCCACTGTCAACATTAGACAGATCAACAAGACAGAAAGTCAACAAGGATACCCAGGAATTGAACTCAGCTCTGCACCAAGCGGACCTAATAGACATCTACAGAACTCTCCACCCCAAATCAACAGAATATACATTTTTTTCAGCACCACACCACACCTATTCCAAAATTGACCACATACTTGGAAGTAAAGCTCTCCTCAGCAAATGTAAAAGAACAGAAATTATAACAAACTATCTCTCAGACCACAGTGCAATCAAACTAGAGCTCAGGATTAAGAATCTCACTCAAAACCACTCAACTACATGGAAACTGAACAACCTGCTCCTGAATGACTACTGGGTACATAACGAAATGAAGGCAGAAATAAAGATGTTCTTTGAAACCAACAAGAACAAAGACACAACATACGAGAATCTCTGGGACGCATTCAAAGCAGTGTGTAGAGGGAAATTTATAGCACTAAATGCCCACAAGAGAAAGCAGGAAAGATCCAAAATTGACACCCTAACATCACAATTAAAAGAACTAGAAAAGCAAGAGCAAACACATTCAAAAGCTAGCAGAAGGCAAGAAATAACTAAAATCAGAGCAGAACTGAAGGAAATAGAGACACAAAAAACCCTTCAAAAAATTAATGAATCCAGGAGCTGGTTTTTTGAAAGGATCAACACAATAGATAGACCACTAGCAAGACTAATAAAGAAAAAAAGAGAGAAGAATCAAATAGACACAATAAAAAATGATAAAGGGGATATCACCACTGATCCCACAGAAATACAAACTACCATCAGAGAATACTACAAACACCTCTACGCAAATAAACTAGAAAATCTAGAAGAAATGGATAAATTCCTTGACACATACACTCTCCCAAGACTAAACCAGGAAGAAGTTGAATCTCTGAATAGACCAATAACAGGATCTGAAATTGTGGCAATAATCAATAGTTTACCAACCAAAAAGCGTCCAGGACCAGATGGATTCACAGCTGAATTCTACCAGAGGTACAAGGAGGAACTGGTACCATTCCTTCTGAAACTATTCCAATCAATAGAAAAAGACGGAATCCTCCCTAACTCATTTTATGAGGCCAGCATCATTCTGATACCAAAGCCTGGCAGAGACACAACCAAAAAAGAGAATTTTAGACCAATATCCTTGATGAACATTGATGCAAAAATCCTCAGTAAAATACTGGCAAAACGAATCCAGCAGCACATCAAAAAGCTTATCCACCATGATCAAGTGGGCTTCATCCCTGGGATGCAAGGCTGGTTCAATATACACAAATCAATAAATGTAATCCAGCTTATAAACAGAGCCAAAGACAAAAACCACATGATTATCTCAATAGATGCAGAAAAGGCCTTTGACAAAATTCAACAACCCTTCATGCTAAAAACTCTCAATAAATTAGGTATTGATGGGACATATTTCAAAATAATAAGAGCTATCTATGACAAACCCACAGCCAATATCATACTGAATGGGCAAAAACTGGAAGCATTCCCTTCGAAAACTGGCACAAGACAGGGATGCCCTCTCTCACCACTCCTATTCAACATAGTGTTGGAAGTTCTGGCCAGGGCAATTAGGCAGGAGAAGGAAATAAAGGGTATTCAATTAGGAAAGGAGGAAGTCAAATTGTCCCTGTTTGCAGATGACATGATTGTATATCTAGAAAACCCCATTGTCCTAGCCCAAAATCTCCTTAAGCTGATAAGCAACTTCAGCAAAGTCTCAGGATACAAAATCACTGTACAAAAATCACAAGCATTCTTATACACCAACAACAGACAAACAGATTGCCAAATCATGAGTGAACTCCCATTCACAATTACTACAAAGAGAATAAAATACCTAGGAATCCAACTTACAAGGGATGTGAAGGACCTCTTCAAGGAGAACTACAAACCACTGCTCAATGAAATAAAAGAGGATACAAACAAATGGAAGAACCTTCCATCCTCATGGTAGGAAGAATCAATATCATGAAAATGGCCATACTGCCCAAGGTAATTTACAGATTCATTGCCATCCCCATCAAGCTACCAATGCCTTTCTTCACAGAATTGGAAAAAACTACTTTAAAGTTCATATGGAACCAAAAAAGAGCCCGCATCACCAAGTAAATCCTAAGCCAAAAGAACAAAGCCGGAGGCATCACACTACCTGACTTCAAACTATACTACAAGGCTACAGTAACCAAAACAGCATGGTACTGGTACCAAAACAGAGATATAGATCAATGGAACAGAACAGAGCCCTCAGAAATAACGCCACATATCTACAACTATCTGATCTTTGACAAACCTGAGAAAAACAAGCAATGGGGAAAGGATTCCCTATTTAATAAATGGTGCTGGGAAAACTGGCTAGCCATATGTAGAAAGCTGAAACTGGATCCCTTCCTTACACCTTATACAAAAATCAATTCAAGATGGATTAAAGACTTAAACGTTAGACCTAAAACCATAAAAACCCTAGAAGAAAACCTAGGCAATACCATTCAGGACATAGGCATGGGCAAGGACTTCATGTCTAAAACACCAAAAGCAATGGCAACAAAAGCCAAAATTGACAAATGGGATCTAATTAAACTAAAGAGCTTCTGCACAGCAAAAGAAACTACCATCAGAGTGAACAGGCAACCTACAAAATGGGAGAAAATTTTTGCAACCTAGTCATCTGACAAAGGGCTAATATCCAGAATCTACAATGAACTCAAACAAATTTACAAGAAAAAAGCAAACAACCCCATCAAAAAGTGGGAAAAGGATATGAACAGACACTTCTCGAAAGAAGACATTTATGCAGCCAAAAAACACATGAAAAAATGCTCATCATCACTGGCCATCAGAGAAATGCAAATCAAAACCACAATGAGATACCATCTCACACCAATTAGAATGGCAATCATTAAAAAGTCAGGAAACAACAGGTGCTGGAGAGGATGTGGAGAAATAGGAACACTTTTACACTGTTGGTGGGACTGTAAACTAGTTCAACCATTGTGGAAGACAGTGTGGCGATTCCTCAGGGATCTAGAACTAGAAATACCATTTGACCCAGCCATCCCATTACTGGGTATATACCCAAAGGATTATAAATCATGCTGCTATAAAGACACGTGCACACGTATATTTATTGCGGCACTATTCACAATAGCAAAGACTTGGAACCAACCCAAATGTCCAACAATGATAGACTGGATTAAGAAAATGTGGCACATATACAGCATGGAATGCTATGCAGCTATAAAAAATGATGAGTTCATGTCCTTTGTAGGGACATGGATGAAATTGGAAATCATCATTCTCAGTAAACTATCACAACAAAAAACCAAACACCACATATTCTCACTCATAGGTGGGAATTGAACAGTGAGATCACATGGACACAGGAAGGGGAACATCACACTCTGGGGACTGTTGTGGGGTGGGGGGAGGGGAGAGGGATAGCATTGGGAGATATGCCTAATGCTAGATGATGAGTTAGTGGGTGCAGCGCACCAGCATGGCACATGTATACATATGTAACTAACCTGCACAATGTGCACATGTACCCTAAAACTTAAAGTATAATAATAAAAGAAAAAAAAAAAAAGATGCTGGGACCAGGGATGGGCACCTAACCCAAAGACAGCCAATCCTTAAATTGGCCTACAGCTCAGGAAGCATCCCACTCTGTCACCACTCAACCACTCAGATTCTCTTTCTCAGTGTAAGACACAGAAAGAATTGCTAGCAAGATCAATTAGTAGCAAGAACAAAATGAAAAAATAGAGAAACTGAAATAAAAACTGTGTGAGAGAATCTTTAACCACATGTCCTCACACCGGTACCACTCTGCCAACCTCCCTTTAACAAATACGTGTGGGCAAAAACAATATGCCTTAAAATGTAGGAAGTAAAGACATCTTTTCTTTGGTTTCCTCTATTGTACTTCTTGTTTCCTGCCTCTTCTTGACAAGCAAACCTAGACAGGAAGCAGGCTGCCCTTCTCTCCATTTCACCCTTGGCTTCTCATGCTTAGATGGGCAATTAGATCCAAGATCCTTCATGCAGGCAAGTTATCTCCTCTTTCTCTCTTTCTCCAAATAAGTGGGTAAGTAATCTCTCTCTCTCTCTCTCTCTCTCTCTCTCTCTCTCTCTGTGTGTGTGTATGTGTGTGTGTGTCTCTCCCGCTCCCATTTCTTCTCTCCCTCTCTCCACTCTTGCGCATTCTGGTCCCAAGGTGTAAGTTTCATATTGGATAAGTTAGTAATTGCATTCGGCTTCCAATAATAATGTTCCAAGCATTGTGGCTTAAGGACATAAGAATTTCCCATTATCACATAATGAGAAGGCTGGAAAAGAGTAGTTGCTGGTGTGGTTTCAGCCATCAAGATTTCAGAGTGAAGCCTTTGAGATTCTCTTGGCTTTTGCCCCATGGTTAGAGTCCAACAATAACACTCAAGTTCAGGCACAGAAAAAGGGAAATGCAACAAGGGCTTTCTAAGAAATTCCATCCAATTACTTTTTCTTGTGTCATTTGGACATTCCTATCTGAAAGAAGGATGAGATTTGTAGTTCTTTTAAATTGGGAATACTGACATGCCTAACAAACACAGAAGTTCCGCTGATAATGGCGAGAATACCACATAGGCGATTGGTAGTAACTACCCTGGAAAGAATGGCAAATTGGGTGTGTGGATTCTACCTAGGCCTGCTGCTTGCTTAAACCCAACTGGTACCAGGGCTCTGCAGCGAGAGCTGTTGGGTGCTGCTGTCACATTTAAAAGAGTAATACCCACATTATACCCCCTTTCACTGTTCTTCTCAGGTAACAGGAATAAATGGCAGAGCTGGATTTGGGAATTCCTGGGACTCTTGGCACTATACCATCTAAACCATCAAAGGCCTTCTTTTCTAACAAGAGTCTGAATATCACTTACAGTGGAGCATTCAAGTGAATGGCAATTAACTCCTACTGCTAAAAAAACACCCCAACATGGATTCTGAATAAAGTTTCAGCACCCAAGTGATGTTTAATCTCTGTGAAGTATGGCTCATTGCTGAAGTCCTGGAAAATCTTTCTCTCTTATGCCCCAGTAGTTGTCAAACATGAGTGTGCGTCAGAATCACCTGAATGACTTGTTAGAACACAGTCATGAACACCTTCAGAGGTTTTTATTCCATAGGTCAGCAGTCTTGCATTTCTAGCAAGTCCCCTGGTGATCCTGATCTCCCTAGTGTGGGGCACCTTAAGCCTTGAGAACTATTGATATAGCCTATAAAAATCCATATTACTGGAGCTCACCTGAATGAATCTTTACTGCTTGCAGCCAAAAGGGCTTACTTAATAAACTGTTCTTTGGATTCAGACTGAAATCCATCAGACTGGAACAGAGGACAAGCCCTCATAGCAAACACCATGTCCCCCGAACAAGAGCCTGCCTACACTTTGGTGCCTACAGTTTTGTTAATGAATGATTTCACTACCTAATTTTTTCTTCTCTTAGGATGAGTGCTGTCCTGAATGGCTACATAATGGGTTACAAAGACATTCAGCCTTTGATCTTCAGTGCAGAAAACATGTTAGAATCCCAGGAGGCCAGACTCGGTGGCTCACGCCTGTTATCCCAGCACTTTGGGAGGCTGAGTCGGGCAGATCGCTTGAGCTCAGGGGTTTGAGACCAGCCTGGGCAACATGGTGAAACCCTGTCTCTACAAAAAAAATACAAAAATTAGCTGGGCATAGAGGCATGCACCTGTAGTCCCAGATATTCTGGAGGCTGAGGTGGGAGGATGGCTTGAGCCCGTGAGGCAGAAATTGTAGTGAGCTGAGATCACACCACTGCACTCCAGCCTGGGCAACAGAGTGAGACCCTGTCTCATAAAAGGAAATAAATATAAAAAGAATCCGAAGAGTGAATTCACCTAGATTGAAGCAGGGCCAATATACCTATATTCATAAGAAAGCAAGGTTGGTCAAACCATTACTTTGGATTTAAAGTGAATGGCCAAATAAACCAACAAAAATCTAATTACTTGTCATATACAATAAGGAGTAAAAAAAAAGAACAATACATAATCCCTACTCTTGAAGAACTCAATATAATTGAGGATACCCATGTAAACAAATACTTTTTTTTTGAGGCGGAGTCTCACTCTGTCTCCCAGGCTGCAGTGCAGGGGGGCAATCTTGGCTTACTGCAAGCTCTTCCTCCCGGGTTCACACCATTCTCCTGCCTCAGCCTCCCAAGTAGCTGGGACTACAGGTGCCCACCACCACGCCCGGCTAATTTTTTTGTATTTTTAGTAGAGACAGGGTTTCACCATGTTAGCCAGGATGGTCTCAATCTCCTGACCTCGTGATTCGCCCACCTCGGCCTCCCAAAATGCTGGGATTACAGGCGTGAGCCACCGCGCCCAGCCACAAATACATATTTTAATACATATGGTAAGTGCTACAATAGTGCTGTGAACAAAGTATAATGGAAGCAAAGAAGATATAGGAAGCCTGTAGGAAGGGAGTAAAGGAAGACATCATCCCAGATCCACCTGAAAAATTCTGAAGAATTTCCTTTTATGCTCTAGGGCTCTAACTTATGAATAGCTATGTTAACCTGTTGCATACATCGACACGTTCTTTCAACGAGCCTAGCGAAATTTTCCCCATTCCTTTCCCTTACCAGAACAGTGGCCTCCTGAGATATAAACCTATCCAGACTCAATTTTTCTCTATCTCCTGGGAATGGAATGAGCTATCATCTTGAGGGAGTCCACAAGGGCAACTGCACTCCCCCTGCCCACGCAAAAAAAAAAGAAAAAAAGAGTAAGAAAAAAGCTCAGATAGGGCTGAGGTTGGGGAAAAAAAAAAATGTTACCAGGTGTCTTATCAAAGCAAGGGTATCTCCTCCAGCCCGTACTCTAGATTGGGAGTTAGGCTCAGAGGAAGAAACGCCAAAGGTGAAATCAGAATACCTGCGGTTGGAATCCCAGCTGCTCACTAGGTTACTTACCTTGGCCAAGATATTTAACTATTTAACTTTCCTGAAACCACTTTCTCATCAGTACAATGGAAATATCACTACATTCTTCGCAGGGCAACTGTGAGATTCAAGGAAATTCAGCCTATCATAACGCAGTAAGTGGAGTCTAAAATTTCAGTTGCGTGAGATACGGAACCCCATTATTGCTAGATTTAAACGGCTGAGGTGAGGATGCACTGCGAGCCTGCCAGGAATTCCAGGCCTCGCAGTGTTCTGGCGCCACCTGGTGGGAGCTGTTAAATAGCGATGGGGGAGGACTCGGTTGCTGGGGAGCTGGAGCTTCCTGGAAAAGCTGGAGTCCATTGCTTTGCCCGATTATTTGGGGAGATTGGAGGTGCAGAGACTCCTCCTAGGTCTGTTGTTTCCCACCTGTCTCGCTGTCCTAGGAATTCCGGCAGGGGGAGAACAGGAGATAGCCAATCACGGGGGAAGAATGGGAGATAGCCAATCACTAGTTACTTTATATTGTAATCACACGGTAGTGGAAGAAGTCGCCCTCCAGCCTCACCTGTGGCTACAAGCCAGCCACGCGGGCCTCCCCTCTCCCCGTGAAAGCACCGAGCTCCTTCCTGCCTCATCGACTTCCTGGGTGCCATTTCATCTGTTTTGAGTGCTGTTGATGATGGCCACTGCCAGTGTTTCCTATTGACACTACCCCAATTGTATGTTTCCTGTCCGTTGTCTCTCCCCCAACATTGTTTCTTTCAGTTCACTCCGCTATCTGAAGTCATCTAGTGGTGTTTTTCCTCTAAAGTAAGGTATGGCTTACTTTAAGCTTTATGGCTTTAAGGCTGTGCTCTTTCAGTTCCTCTAATACGCCTTTGTTTACCAGTGTGTCCTCAATGCCCATTACAACAGGTGGAATATATTTTGCTCTTAATAAACATATATTGGTATGTCCATTTCTCTAGTCATTGGAAACATCTAAGCAAGGTATTTTAAGGGAATGAGGTTTGATATTACTAATAATAGTGTTCTTCTGTCAAGCTAACAAAGACCAATTTTTAAAAATCAATCCAAAGAATGTAATTCCAATCTCCAAAAATAAATGGCAGCAAAAGTCGAAACACCAATTTATATAGGTTAAGAATTTTTAACATCTGTTTAGTTGCAAAATCCAGGGACTAAGATTTTTTTAATTACATCTGATAAAGATGTAGTCACTGACTTATATCACTACTAATAACAAATAAGGAGCTTTTGTGTTCCTACCACTGCTCTTACTGGCATTGCAGTTGACTTTACTGTTTTTAGCTTCCTGAGTAAACCATTTTTCAAAAAATAGCCAATAGCTAAGGACTATCTGCAAAGGAGATTACTTAGATAATCCCAAACACTGTGTGTACATAAGTCAAATGGAGGGGGTGTATCAATGAAGGTTTGTGTTACCTTTCTCTGAAAGAGCCCTTGATTATTGAAAAATTAAGATTGGATCTGGTGTTCCAAGAAATAACATAAAGAACTTTATTTTTTAATAAAAGATTATAATCTTGATATAAATGGTTCTAACTGTATAGTTATATATCTCTGCTTGTGCAGTAGAGCAAGTTTCTACCTAGACTTTTTAGGGAGGCAAACATCTTTTCTAAACACCTTTAGTGCAACACCGCCACCTGGTGTGGTGAAGACAAGGAGAAAATTAGCTTAAGTTGAAAGTGCAGAATTCTGTGTTTGACACTCTGTAAGCATGAATGACCCAAATGAAGTGGTCACAAACACAATTAATTAAATACAACTGCTACATCATGATGCACAAATAAGGACTACATAAATATCTGCGTATGAACAGTTCAGAATAAAACAAAAGTGAACATCTTTAGTAATCACTGACTTATGTCACTACTAATAATAAAAAAGGAGCTTTAGTCAAAAGAAAACATAAAAAATACAAAGAGAAAGTATCGAAAAACACCAATGGGGCAGCACCAATAACTCTTAAAGGATTTATCGGGGGAAATTCACTCATAAGTGGCAGTTGAACAATGAGAACACATGGACACAGGGAGGGGAACATCAAACACCAGGGCCTGTCAGGGGGTAGGGGGCAAGGGGAAGGAGACCATTAGGAGAAATACCTAATATAGATAACGGGTTGATGGGTGCAGCGAACCACCATGGCAGGTGTATGCCTATGTAACAAGCCTGCATGTTCTGCACATGTACCCCAGAACTTATACTAATTAAAAAATAAACATAATAATAATCCAAACCAGCTATGCCCCCTTTCCTCTCCCTTCATGACAGCGTGCTAGTCTTGTTCATGTTAATATTCTCCTTGCCAGGCACAGTGCCTGGCATAATAATGATGATTGCATGAAACCTTTGGCAACAGCAAATAAAACTGCAATCATACACTGACACATGGAAAGGAACCATGCATTTATCTATATTAAAAACACAGTCTGTGATAAGAGTCATTACTTCACAGATGAGAGAAGGAATGCAAATGAAAAGAGACTCTATTTCAAACCTTAGATCACCAAGAATATCTGCTTTGCCTGCTGCAGGGTGCCTCAAAACCCATAAGCAAATCCTGTTCTCTTCGCCACCCCCACAGGTCCAGATGGGCATGCAAAACTGGATTGGGGAAATTGAGGCCCTGTTTTGTTTGCATCCGTGATGCTGTGCTATGGCCTTCTGGGAAGGCGGTTGTACAGGAACACCTGGATTTATTAATCTTGCATCACCCAAGAGGTAGAACCATCAGTCTTCCACCCTATGATAAGCTCTTACGTGTATCCAAGAGATGTTCTAGAGAAACAACATCCCTCTAAGTTTCCTGCCAGAACTTTTTATGCGCTCGCTTTGGGATAGATCTAGGCAAAGAGCTGGATGCTTTGTGAAGGAAAGGTCCTGGCTTGGAACGTACATTTACCTTTCTGCACTGGGTGGCAACCAGGTCTTTAGATTAGCCAACTAGAGAAGAGAAGTAGAATAGCCAATTAGAGAAGTGACATCATGTTGACTCTAACTCGCATCCGCACTGTGTCCTATGAAGTCAGGAGTACATTTCTGTTCATTTCAGTCCTGGAGTTTGCAGTGGGGTTTCTGACCAATGCCTTCGTTTTCTTGGTGAATTTTTGGGATGTAGTGAAGAGGCAGGCACTGAGCAACAGTGATTGTGTGCTGCTGTGTCTCAGCATCAGCCGGCTTTTCCTGCATGGACTGCTGTTCCTGAGTGCTATCCAGCTTACCCACTTCCAGAAGTTGAGTGAACCACTGAACCACAGCTACCAAGCCATCATCATGCTATGGATGATTGCAAACCAAGCCAACCTCTGGCTTGCTGCCTGCCTCAGCCTGCTTTACTGCTCCAAGCTCATCCGTTTCTCTCACACCTTCCTGATCTGCTTGGCAAGCTGGGTCTCCAGGAAGATCTCCCAGATGCTCCTGGGTATTATTCTTTGCTCCTGCATCTGCACTGTCCTCTGTGTTTGGTGCTTTTTTAGCAGACCTCACTTCACAGTCACAACTGTGCTATTCATGAATAACAATACAAGGCTCAACTGGCAGATTAAAGATCTCAATTTATTTTATTCCTTTCTCTTCTGCTATCTGTGGTCTGTGCCTCCTTTCCTATTGTTTCTGGTTTCTTCTGGGATGCTGACTGTCTCCCTGGGAAGGCACATGAGGACAATGAAGGTCTATACCAGAAACTCTCGTGACCCCAGCCTGGAGGCCCACATTAAAGCCCTCAAGTCTCTTGTCTCCTTTTTCTGCTTCTTTGTGATATCATCCTGTGCTGCCTTCATCTCTGTGCCCCTACTGATTCTGTGGCGCGACAAAATAGGGGTGATGGTTTGTGTTGGGATAATGGCAGCTTGTCCCTCTGGGCATGCAGCCATCCTGATCTCAGGCAATGCCAAGTTGAGGAGAGCTGTGATGACCATTCTGCTCTGGGCTCAGAGCAGCCTGAAGGTAAGAGCCGACCACAAGGCAGATTCCCGGACACTGTGCTGAGAATGGACATGAAATGAGCTCTTCATTAATACGCCTGTGAGTCTTCATAAATATGCCTCTGATTCTTCAGGAATACAACTCTGATTCCTCACAAAGCCTTCCAATTTCTTCTATAAAACACAATTGAAAGTCTCTCCACTTTGTATCAATGAACTCACTTATAGATGAATAAAATAATTAAGCACTATACATGGCCTAGGCAAGAATAATGTTGGTACCCTAGGTTTGTTTTGATAAAATGAACAAAATAATTAAGTATTTGGTGTAAATCCTTTATATACTATAGCTTATTATTGGTATAAATCAAACCATGAGAAATCATCTCTTCTGAAATAATATCTAAATCCCAAGATAATATGTTTGGCTTTTAACATGACTGTTAAACCTCTTTCTCGGAACTTGTGCTAGCATCATTTTTGGAAATATTCACTACTACAATAAGGATATAATCCTCTTCAAACTTCGCAATTTTCATGGAAACAAAGACAAACTTGGAATGATAATTATGTCATAATTCCAGCTTCAAGAGGTACCACATAACTTCAACTTCAAGAGGCACGAGAGGATAGGGGTCGTTTTGTCTGAAAATACACTGATCCAGAAATGCACTTTTACCTACTCTATAATGATGGAAGAGAAGCAGATATTTGCTCAGTAGGTGACCTGGATGCCAGTAGGTGCCCTGTGTGGGCTTTCTGGCTATGCCCAATTTGCCTTTGAAGATGGTGCTTTGCCTGGTACCAAGTATTGGTCTCTCTGGTTGGAGACCCTACCAAAATCACCTAGCTGAAAGGTAAATTTGTAGAGATTTGGCATTGTCTGTATTCCTGCACAGGAACCCAGCCAGGAAGGCTTTCCTCAAATCAGGTACTGAAAGACTCAGGAGAAAACAAGGTATACCAGACATTTAAATCTTGATAGGCTTCGTGGTTCACAGGCTTCACAGTTGTAGCAGCTCACCACCAAGGCTCTTAGTTCTGCCAGCTGTGGGGCCAGAGAACTGTTTCCTCCTCTCAGGCACTTGGTCTTAATAGATCCAGATCTTCACCTCAGTTTTCCTCCAAAAATTAGCCATTTCTTCACCTGCAGTGGCTACAAAATTTGCAACTTCATCTGGCTTCCTTTCCTTGGTGGACACTGAAGTTGTCCCAGGATTCCCTTAAAGACCTAGGTCCTCGCTCTTGGCTGCACATTGAAATTATCTAAGGGGCTTTTTAAAAATCTCAATGTCCAGGCCAAATACAACCAATCAAATCAAATCTCTTGAGATGAAATGAGGCTTTTATTCTTTAATGCTCCTCAGGTGATTTCGGGGTGCAGCCAATGTTGAGATCCACTCTTCTAGATGCCCTGTTGGTGTAGAGGTGGAGCATCTTTTCATATGTTTATTTGTATGGCTTTATTTTTAACATTATGTTTCTGAGATTCACCCATAATATTATATGAGTCACTGCTTGCTTACCTACTCACTATTGCTGAACATTTTCCATTGCCTACAGTGTGGGGCTACTATGAATAAAGTTTCTATACACATTCTTGAATCCATTTCTTTGTAGGCATAGGTTCATTTCTCAGGTAAATACCTAGGAGTGAAATTACTGTGTTAAAAAATTTATATTCATTTAACTTTATAAAAACTGTTAAAGAGTTTTCCAGAGTGATTCTGACATTTTATGCTCCCCTCAATAATGTAGGAGAGCTGTTCCACATTCCCACCAACATTTGGTGTTGTCAGTCTTTTTGATTTTGGCCATTCTAGTGGGGATGAAATGGTATCTCATTGTGGTTTCCATTTGCATTTGTCTTCTAACTGATGATATGGAGAACAATTTTGTGTGCTTCTTGGCTATTTGTATTTTTTCTATTATAAAGTAACTATTTGTTTGCCCATTTTAATATTGAGTTATCTTTTTATTATTGATTTATAAGAGTTTATTGATTTGTAGCATTTGTGTATGTGTGATAATATACATATATGTATTCTTATCCAACTCCTATATATACACAACTGTTTTATATTGTCTTTTTATTATTGATTTGTAGAAATTTATTGATTTATGTGCATGTATATATACATACATATATGTATATATGTATGTGAAAAATATATATATATATAACATATACACTCTGGATACAAGTCCTTTGTCTGATATATGCATTGTGAATATTTTGACCCAGACTGTGGTTTTCCTTTTTATTTTTTAATAGTGCGCTGATAAGCAGAAATGATGACTTTTAATAAAATCTAATGTCATTTTTTTCTACAATGTTTGTGCTTTTTGTGTCTGCTATAAAAAATATCTGCCTGCCTCTGACATGCAAAAACAGTTTCTATGATTTTCTCTAGAATTTTCATAGTTTTTACTTTGATGTTTGGGACTATAATTGATCTTGAATTAATTTTTTTTGTAGTATTAAGTAGGGCTGAACTTCACTGTTTTTATATGTCTATCTAAGTATTCCAATATCATTCACTGAAGATTTTTATTTTCAAATTGACTTGAACTCTTGTTGAAAATCATACGACTATATATGCATGAATCTTTTTCTGGTTTCTATATTGCATTCCAGTGATCTATTTGTCCAGCCTTTAACCAATACCTCACTTTTTGATTATGGTAGACTACTAGCAAGTTTTTAAATATTCAAAAATATTCCATCTGAAAATCTATAAACATATCTCTTTATTTTTTGTCCTTAATTTATCTCAACAATGTTTTGTAATTTTTAGTGTAAAGGTCTTTTGGTAAAATTATTCTTATGTATTTAATATTTAATAATGTTATTGTATATAGAGTTGTTTACATTTTTATTTGCTACCAGCATATAAAAATACAATTGATTTTTGTATGTTAACCATTATCTTACAAATATACCGAATTAATATATTGGTTCTAGTAGCTGTTTGAAGATTCTTTGAAATTTTATACTTAGTCATCAGCAAATAAAGACAATTTTATTTCTTCTTTCTCCATATGTATGCCCTTTATTTATTTTTTTAAAATTTATTTCACTGGCTAGGATCTCCAGTGTAGTGCTGATTAGATTTAATGTGAGTACACATTCCGGCCTTGTTCCTGTTTTTAGGAAGAAAATATTCACTATTTCATCCCTGGGTATAGTTAACTGTAGATCATTTTTAGATTCCCTTTATCAGCTGTAAAAAGCCCATTTTAATTCCTACTTTGCTAACAATTTTTACCATTAATGAGTATTGAATTTTATTTTAAAATTTTTTTGTATTTATTGAGATGATCCTACAGTTTTTCTTCTCCATTTCATTAACATGGTAAATTACACTGATTAATCTTTGAATGTTAAATAAATTCTGCATTCCTGGTATAAGCCCCACTTAGTCATAGTGTATTATTCTCTTTATATGTTGCACTACTTTATTTGCTAATATATTGTCAAGGATCTTTGTATATATGTTTATGTGGAATACCAACCTCTATTTTTATTTTTTTTTAATTACATATCTTTGTCAAGATTTGGTGACAAGGTTATTCTGGCCTAATGAAATGAGTTAGAAAACATTTCCGCCATCTTTATTATCTTAAAACTTTGTGTAAGATTGGTATTATTTCTTCTCTAAATATTTGATATGATTCATGAGAGAAACCATTTGGACCTGAAGTTTTTAATTCATGAAGGTTTGCTTTTTTTAAAATAATTACAACCTATTTAATAGATATAGTACTATTAAGATTTTCTATTTCTTCTTGTGTCTAATTTGGTTTCATTTTTTAAGGAGTTTGTCCATTTTATCTAAGTTTTTAACTTTTTGCCATAAATTTGATCAGAATGTCCCTTTATTAACATTTTAATGTCTGTAGTATCTGGCTTTCTATTCCCTCATTCTCAGTTTTGATTACTTTGTTGTCTCTTTTTATTTATTGTTCTAGCTAGTGATTCATCAACTTATTGATGTTTACAAGGAATCATCATTTGGTTTCATCTGATTTTCTCTTTTATTTCCTATTTATGTTTTATTATTTATTATTTCTTTTCTTCTTTCTTTGGTTTAATTTCTCTTCCTGTTTTAGCTTCTTAAGGCAGAGAATTTGATCAATATTTTAACCTTTTTTTGTTCTAATATAAACATTTAAGCTTTAAGTTTCCTGCTCAACACTTCTTTGCTGCATCACACAAATTTTGATATGTTACATTTTCATTTTTATTCAACTTGAACTTTTATCTAATTATACTTTATATTTGTGGTTTAACCAATGTTTTATGTAGAATTGCACTGTTTAATTTCCAAGAATTTTAGACTTCACTAGATATCTTATTGAATTTCTAATTTAATTCCATTGCCATCAGAAAACATATTCTGTAATATTTCAATCTTTTGAAATTTATCGAGACTTACTTTATGGCCCAGCATATTGTCTATCTTTGTGAATAATTCATGTGTATTTGAAAAAGATATGCTGTTGTTGAATGTAGTGCCCCATAACTATCAATTAGGTCAAGGTGCTTGATAGTGTTACTTAGATCTTCTACATTCTTACTGACTTTTTGTCTCATTTTAATCTCAAATAATAAGAAAGAAGTGTAAAAATCTTTTGCCACAATTATGGATGTGTCTACTTCTCTCTGTAGTCCTGTCAGTGTTTGCTTCATCCTTTTTGAAGCTCTGATATTAAATTCTTACATGTTTATAATTGTTATGTGTATTTGATGAATTTACCCTTTTATAATTTTAGAATTATAAAATACTTTAAAATTAACTTTATCTCTCATAATACTTTATATCTTATAATACTTGCCTTGAAGTTCACTTTGATATTAAAATAGTCACTCTAGCATTCATATGCTTTTCGTTTTCTTGGTGTGTTAGGTCGTTCTTGCATTGCTATAAACAAATATCTGAGGCTGGATAATTTATAAGAAAAGAGGTTTAATTGGCTCATGGTTTTGCAAGCTATACAGGAAGCATGGCGACAGCATCTGCTTCTGGTGAGACCTCAGGAAGTTTACAGTCATGATGGGAAGTGAAGGGGGATCAGGCAACTCACATGGCAAGAGCCGGAGCAAGAGAGAGAGGGGAGGAGAGATGCACTACACTTTTAAACATCCAGGTCTCATGAGAGCTCACTCACTATCGTAAGGAAAGCACAAAGCCACAAGAGATCTGCCCTCATAGTTTAAACACATGCCACCAGGCCCCACCTCCAACATTAAGGATTACATTTCAACATGAGATTTAGAGAGAACAACATCCAAACTACATCACTTGGTTAATTTTTCTATCCTATTACTTTCAAATATCTCTTTATTTTTCAAATATGTCTGTTAAGAGAAAGGCACTGGACCGATATATTCAAAGTGCTAAAAACAATACTGTCAACCATCCTATATTCATTCAATAAACTGTCCTTCAAATGTGATGAAGAAATTAAGACATTTTCAGACAAAGAAAATCTGATAGAGTTCATTACCACCAGATCTGCTCTGCAAGAAATGCTTAAGGGAGCCCTGCAAGGTGAAACAAAAGAACACTAGATAGGAATTCAAAGCTGTATGAAAAAAAAAAGACCTTAATAAAGCTACATGGGCAGTTAATAAAAGCTAGTGTAAGTTAGTAACAACAGTTTGTAACTCCACTTTTTGTTCTCTACATGATTAAAGGGATTAATACACTTAAAAAATTATGAGTCTAAAAGCTAGTATTATTGTAACTTTAGTTTGTAACTCCACGTTTTGTTTTGTACATAATTTAAAAACACTAATTTAGGCTGGGCATGGTAGCTCATTTTTGAGAGCCTGTAATACTAGCACTTTGGGAGGCCAAGGCGGGTGGATCACTTGAGGTCAGGAGTTGGAGACCAGCCTGGCCAACATGGTGGAATCCTGTCTCTACTAAAAATACAAAAATTAGCTGGGCATTGTGGCATGCACCTGTAATCCCAGCTACTCAGGAGGCTGAGGCAAGAGAATTGCTTGAACCTGGGAGGCGGAGGCTGCAGTGAGCCAAGATGGCACTACTGAACTCCAGCCTGGGTGACAGAGCGAGACTCCATCAAAAAAAAAAAAAAAGACTAATTTATGTAATGACTTATTAGCTTAGAAAAGGGAAGGGGAAGGGATGGAGCAACGTGGCTGAATAGAAGCCTATACCCCTCCCCATGCCTTGGCAACAGCCACATGGCATAGAGTATCTGTGTGCTTGAGGGAGGGCACAGCAGGTGTGAAGCTTTGCATTGAACTCCGTGCTGCCCTGTCACAGCAGAAAGCAGAACCAGGTGAAATTCAGCTGACATCTGTCCATGGAGGGAGCATTTGAATTGGCCCTAGCCAGAAGGGAATTGCCTATCCCAGAGGCCAGAACTTCTGGCCAGCCTTGCCACTGCAAGACGGAGTGATCTAGGTCTCTAAGTAAGCTTGAGGGGCAGATTGGGCCACAAGGACTGCAATTCCTGGTCAAATCTTAGTGCTAAGCTAGGCTCAGAGCCAGTGGACTTGGGGGGCACATGACCTATGTCAGAGTGGCTAAGAGAGTGTTTGTGCCACCCTGCCCACACCCCCTGAAAGCAGCCACACATTGTGGAGAAATCAATTTCTTTGAGAGAAGGAGAGTGCAGTGATTGAGGGACTTTACATTGAACTCAGTGCTGCTCTGTAAAAGTGGAGACCTGACAGGATGCATCACCTACTGACTAAAGAGCCCCCGGGCCCTGAATAACCAACAGTGATATCCAGGTAATATGCTGCAGTTTGGGCTCTGAGACATGTTGGCTTCAGGTGTGATCCAGCACATCTCCAGCTGTGGTGGTTATGGTTTGAGAAAAGCAAGAGGAAAAGTAAATGGGGCTTTGTCTTCCACCTTAGGTCCCAATTTAGCCACAGTAGGTTAGAGCACCAAGCAGGATCTTGGAGTCCCTGAATCCAGGCCTAGGCTCTTGGTCAGTATTTCTGAGCCTGTCCTGGGCTGGAGGGAAATCCACTGCCTTGAAGAATGAGTTCTAGGTCTGGCAGCATTCATCACAAGCTGACTGAAGAGCTCTTAATCTTTAAGTGAACATCAGTGGAGGCCTGGCAGAACTCCCTGTGGAACCATGGTGGTCATGGCCACAAGAGAGGCTCCTCTGCCTGGGGAAAGGGCAGAGAAGAATGGGAAAAACTTTGTCTTGTGGTTTGAGTGCCAGCTTAGCTTCAGTAGAATGGGATACCAGGTAAATTTCTAGGGTTTTTTACTTTAATCCCTGGCTCCCAGATATCATCTGTGGACCCACCCAGGGCCTGGGGTAACTCACCACTCTGAAGGGGGGAACACCAACCTCTAGGGGGTATTTAGACCTGAAAAGATTGTGTATTGGGCCCTTGAGCCCGCTGCTTGGGCCTGCTCCCGCACTGTGGAGTATACTTTCATTTTCAATAAATCTTTGCTTTTGTTGCTTCATTCAAAAGAAAAGGGTGGGGGTAGGGGGGCAAAGGACTTGAATGGACATTTCTCCAAAGAAGACACACAAATGGCCAATAAACACATGAAAAGATGTTCGACATCATTAATCATTGGGAAAATGCAAATCAAAATTATGATTAAAACTCTCAGCAAAATCAGCATAGAAGGGACTACCTTAAGGTAATAAAAGCCATCTATGACAAACCCACAGCCAACATTCTACTAAACGGGGAAAAGTTGAAAGGATTTCCCCTGAGAACTGTAACAAGACAAGGATGCCCACTTTCACCACTTCTATTCAACATGGTATTGGAAGTTCAAGCCAGAACAATCAGAAAAGAGCAAGAAATAAGGGGCATCCAAATTGGCAAAGAGGAAGTCAAACTGTCACTGTTTGCTGATGATATGATCGTATACCTAGAAAACCCTAAAGACTTATCCAAAAAGCTCCTAGAACTGGTAAATGAATTCAGAAAAGTTTCCGGATGCAAAATTAATGTACACAAATCAGTAGCTCTGCTATATGCTAACAGTGACCAATCTAAGAATCAAATCATGAACTCAACCCTTTTCACAATAGCTACAAAAAAAAAAAAAAGAAAAAAAAAAAAACCTTAGGAATATACCTGTATACCTAACCAAGGATGTGAAAGACCTCTACAAGGAAAACTACAAAACACTGCTGAAAGAAATCATAGATGACACAAACAAATGGAAACATATCTCATGCTCATGGATGGGTAGAATCAATATTGTGAAAATGACCATACTGCCAAAGCAATCTACAAATTCAATGCAATTCCCACCAAAATGCCACCACCATTCTTCACAGAACTAGAAAAAACAATGGAGTCCACATAGCCAAAGCAAGACTAAGCAAAAATAACAAATCTGGAGGCATCACATTACACAACTTCAACTATACTATAAGGCCATAGTCACCAAAACAGCATGGTACTGGTAGAAAAATAGGCACATAGGCCAATGGAACAGAATAGAGAACCCAGAAATAAAGCCAAATACAACAAACTGATCTTTGACAAAGTGAACAAAAACATGAAGTAGGGAAATGACATCAACAAATGAAACTGGATCCTCCTCTCTCATCTCATACAAAAACCAACTCAAGATGGATCAGACTTAAGTCTAAGACCTGAAACCATAAAGACTCTAGAAGATATTAATAACATCGGAAAAAATCCTTCTAGACATTGGCTTAAGCAAAGACTTCCCATACCGTGGAAAACAGTATGGCAGTTCCCCAAAGAGTTAAAAATAAAATTACCATATAATCCAGTAATTCCACTTCTGTGTATATACCCAAAAGAATTGAAAGCAGGATCTCAAAAAGATTATTTGTACACCTGTGTTTATAGTAGCATTATTAACAATAACTAAAATATGGAAGCAACCAAAGTGTCCATCAACAATGAATGGATAAGAAAAATGTGGTCTATTCATATAATGGAATTTTATTCAGCCTTAAAAAGAGTCTGCATTATGCTAAAACATGGTTAAACCTTGAGAACATTACACTAACTGCAACAAGTCAGTCACAAAAAGAAATATTATATGATTCCACTTATATGAGATAATAGGGTAATTAAAATCATGGAGGCAGAAAATACAATGGTGGCTGCCAGGTGCCTGAGCAAGGGGGGAATTAGGAGTTATTGTTTAATAGGTATAGAGTTTTGGTTTCATAAGATGAAAAGAATCATAGAGATGCACAATGATGATGGTTGCATATTATGAATGTATTTAACACCACTGAGTTGTACCCTTAAAAATGGTTAAGTTGGTAAATTTTGTTTTTCGTATTTTACCACAATAGAAAAAAATGAAGAACAAGTATTTTACAAAAAGAAAAGTAAAACAAGTAGACCAGCACATTGGAGAAAGTATAGCTCATAGTGACCTGTGTTTACTTTGCATTTTGACCTTAGAAACCATGTCACTCCAGACAGGCCCACAGCACTCTGGACTACAAAGAGTCAACCCCCCCTGAAAATAAAAGTGTCAGATATTGTGGTATCTGGCCAGCAGCCTGCAATGCAGCGGGGCTCTCTCTTTGTTCCCAGGCGGACCGGCAGGTCGAGAAATAATAGACACACACAAGATAGTGAAAGCTGGGTCCAGGGGGGTCACCGCTTTCTGCTCCCGCGGTGCCAGCAATGCACTGGATATACTAGCATTTATTCTTAAGTTTAGTGACAGCAGGGGTAGGTTAGTGAGGGATTTAGGGTCATTTGATTATGAGGTGAGATAGTCACATGGGGATGAAGTAATTCTTTAACATAACATTTGTATGTAGAAGTACAGTACATTTGTTTGTAGAAGTACAGTATACAGAGATAAGAATTTACAATATAGTGTGTGTGTCAGTAATTTCTAACAGAGCCTTAAAACAGAAACACAATCTTTCCATAACCTATGATTAGCAAGATATTAATCAGCAGTAACAATTGCAACAAAAGCTGGTTACAAACAATCCATGGAAACAGGACATGAAGCTAGACAGCTGGTTAGACCAGAAATTCTCAGAAGAGAGTATGCCTTAACCCTAAAAAGGCTTAGAAGAGCCGTGGCAAGATGAGGGCGTTTATAGCCCTATCTTATCCATATGGACAGGCGCCCCTGCCCATGCGTCCATTTATAGGCTCTCCACAAGGGTCGCATTCCATTCCCAGAGCTATGAACATCTGCTTTTCTAGGATAGGAATCTTGGTGATGTGAAACCTTCCTGACTGCACGTCCATTCATAGGCTCTCTGCAGGGGGAAGCACATCACACGCTGTTGGCTCATTCTGGCAGTCCAACCTGGCATTGTCTTTACACAATCCTGCATGCAATTTTGTATTTACAATAATCAGGAGCATTTCATCTTTTATTCCATAGCAATAGTTTCAGCAGGTCTCCCTACAGTCAGCCATCTCAGAAAATTAAAAAAAAAATGTTTGTTAAGGGAAGAACGTTGTTGGATATTATTTTTATCCAGTCTTTTAATTGCTGTCCTTTGATTATAGCTCATTTACATTCAAGGTAATTTCGATATGGTTGGATTTAGGTGTACAATGTTGGTATTTTGTCTTTTATGTGTTCCATCTGTTTTTGTTTTCTGTTCCTTCTTTCCTGACTTCTTTTAGAAAAAAATTTTTTAAATCTTCTATTGCACTTTAGATATACCTATTTTTATAAAAGTTTGGTGGTTGCTGTAAGGATTACAGAATCAATTCTTATCCTGTGATAACTACTTAGAGTTAATATTATATACAATTATCTTGCAAAAGTAGTTTCATTGGCTACCAATCCTCATCCTTTGTGCCCTTTTTGTCATATATTTTACATACACATCTATTGTAAATCCCACAATGCAATGTAATCATTTTTGCTTTATTTTTTGATTGAAAAATAAAAATTGTATATATTTATCATATACAATATGTTGTTTTGAAATAGGCACATGTTGTGGAATGGCTAAATCGAGCTAATTAACATAAGCATTACCTCACATACATACCATATTTTTGTGGTGAAAACACTTAAAACCTATTCTGTTAGCAATTTTCAGTAATATAATACATGGTTATTAACTATAGTCACAATGTTGTACAGTACTTCTATGATTTCAACTTTTTTGGATTCCACATTGGATTTTTTCTTGAAATTGTTATATTTTCAAGAAACTAAGAGAAGAGAAAATAATAGTTGTTTGTATTTGCCCACATACTAACCATTTCTAGTACCCTGCATTTAGGCTCGAAGGGTGATGCAGAGTAATAAAATATGGTCTGTTTAGCATAGAACCTTCAATTTAGTTGAGGGTTACACACAAACATATAGGAAACATTTAAATAGCAATAAGAGGCTGCATCTAATTAGGTGTCAAAATTATTGGCATAAACAAACTGTGTAACCAGGCTTTGGATCGGAATGCAAGTGAATGTCATAGACAAAGGTTTAGAGGGGGGAATGAGCATAGCAAGTTCTCTATAGCAGGTAGAGGTCAGATTATGGAGCTAAGCTCAAGAGTTGGGGCTTTTTCATGTTAGCGGTTATAACAGAATCTTAAGTAAGGAAGTGACACAATCACAGCAGTTATTTTATGTGCAGGATTTATTTGACGAGGAGGAGACAGAGGATTTGAACCATGTACACTTCAGTTACAATAAAAGGAAATTTGGTCTGGGATGAGGTGGTAGGAATAATGAAGAAGGAATAGACTGAGAGACCTTTGGAAAAACATCATCAACTAGTGTCTTAATATGGTGGTTGATAGGGAAGGAAGAATCAGGGAGGATTTCATTGTGGGATTCTAATATGATGTAATCACTTAAGAAAAATTAAAGAAGTTGAGAGAGGAAGTTGGTTTGAATTTGGAAGAAATAGTAAAACTTGGAGTGTATTACAACTGGGTAGACATCATGTTTTCCACTTAGAAAACACCAGCAGACCTTTGAAAATGAAGAAGTGAAACTCAGATTAGAGGTTGGAACTAGAAATAGACTTGTAGTCATCAAAAGAGAGGCTACCCTGAAAAATATAAGATTTGATTTGGGTTATAAAGGTAGAAGGAAAATGTTGGGAAGATTAGAGGCTGTAAAATTCTGGGAGGAGCAAGTGGGCAAGAGGTAGTGAGGATAGTTGGAAAAGGCCTTTTTTTTTTTCTGCCTTCTCAGTCCCTCCTTTCTTCAGAGAACAACCACCTCCACCTAGAGACAACTGCTCCTCCTCGTGCTGTCGCCAAGAGTTCTCCATGATCCCGCCCTTTACCATATTTGATGGATCCATTGCAAGCCCATCAAAGTCTGTTTTTGGGAATTTTCTAACTTGATCAAAGAAAACATTGGTAAGACATGAAATCCAGCAGTTTCTCATAGCTATATTCTCTACCATATAGCCTATTACACGCAGAAAGGAACAGAGACAAGAAGTGAATATGGCTAAAACCTGCTTTTATTCAGTTCCTGATGTTCCAGAGGCCCAGCTATATCCTTGCCCTGTTTTGGTTTCATTGAACAACCTTTTATCATATTCCATGAACCAATACATACCACTTTTGCCTAAATCTGTTTGAATTGAATTTCTGGCCCTTGTAACCAAAAGATTTATGCTGCGCTGAGTGGTACAAAATCACATAAATGGAACAATTAAGTCCATGAGCAGACATGTAGAGAAGGGATAAACACATAAGTTAGTTGTGGACCAGGAAAAAAAAAAGCATCATTCTTAGAATGGCCTGGCTCAGACTCAATGGGAAATTTAAATAGAAGATTAAATTTCAGTACCGAAAAAAAAAAAAAAAAGATGAACTGTCAGAGAAGATCTAAAGAATGGGTTATTGCTAGAGCCTCTTACATAGTTTGTTTTATTCTACTTGATCCACTTTGTTTGCAAGGTATATTTAACTTGACAGGTTTATGATTAAATTTAAATAAAGGTTGATTTATTTAATGGTGTTATTCACTTAAATACTGCCTGAGCAGGTGTCGTGCTTTTAAATAAGGTTGGGAGATGAAATGACGACACAGGCGTTAACCCCAAGCTTTTCTGTGCAAAAAAAGGCCCTAAATATACACAACTATTTAATAGTTTGTAATTATATTGGGAGAATGCTCCAAGTCCCTCTCATTCCAGATCATCTCTTCTCCTAATCATTCAGCAAATATGCTGTGTGCACTTGAGGGTCATCCATGCCTATAGTAGAAGTAGGGGAAACTGAAGAAGAATTGGTGAAGACAAAGTGTATGGACTTCACTGTTTTGCTGAGGACTAGCATCTCCCAAGTTGCAGACACAGTTCAGGTCCTCAGGCATCGCCTAGTTGGAGGAGAGAGGTAGCCGAGCCCTTCATATGTGGAAGTGTGAACACAGATATCCATAGCCTGAGGGAAACATGAAAAACCTAATCACCCATCTATGAACTTTAAGGATTTCCAGAGTTAGCCCTAGACATTCCAACCTCAGATTAATTATGGAAATAATTAGTAAGAGCCTGGGGAAGGTGATATTTGAGTGCCTTTCGACTTGTTTAAACACCTGATGGAATTAAGTAATTGATTTTACACACGGTTTAGTTTGGTATAAACCTGGGGATTCCTACTGCACTATTTTGTGTCTTTTATTTTCCATTTAGATCTTTGAGCAACAAGTTTGAATATCATGAACAGAGGTTTTTCCACTACTTTTTGTTTCTAGGATATGAAGTTTCAGAGAGACTCCAATTGAAAGTAGTGTAGTCAGTTGTTTAGCCTGGAGGTTCTGGAGTCATAACGGCTGATAATTGCAAATCTCAGCTCCAACATGGACCAAATTAGAAACATCAAAATACCTATTAATAGATAAATGGATAAACACATTGTGATATATTCATGCAATGGTGTGCTACACAGCAGTGCAACTGAACATGGATGACCTCACAAACATATTGTTGAATGAACAAGGAAAGTTTTAGGGCAATTTATATACTAGGATACCATTATTGCAGTTCTTAAATATCTACAAAACACCACCACATATTATACAGGGTTCCATAAGTGTGTGAGAAAACAGGAAGAAATGTGTGAGAATTATAAACACCTCATTCAGGAACGTGGTTACTGCTGATGGAAGAGTAGTATAAAAAGAGATTCCATTATTTTGTAATGGTTCAGCTCTTAGGTTAGGAGATAGGTGTTTATTATTATTATATTATCATTTATACTTTTATGTATACCTGAAATATTACGTTATATATATATATTTTTTTTTAATTTTTTGAGATGGAGTTTTGCTCTTTCGCCCAGGTTGGAGTGCAGTGGTGCGATCTCAGCTCACTACAAGCGATTTCCTGCCTCAGCCTCCTGAGTAGCTGGGATTACAGGCGCCTGCCACCATGTCTGGCTAATTTTTGTATTTTTAGGAGAAACGAGGTTTTACCATGCTGGCCAGGCTGGTCTCAAGCTCCTGACCTCATGATCTGCCCACCTCGGCCTCCCAAAGTGTTGGGATTACAGGCGTGAGCCACCGCGTCTGGCCCTGTAAAATATTTTTTAAAGATTACATCATAGATTTGGCTGTTTTTGTTAACATTACACACTATGTAAGCACTTTAAATATTTCTCTGATAGGACATTTACATGTCATTCCATGAGGCCAGGCTGGTCTCAAACTCCTGATCTTAAGTGATCCATCTGCTTCAGCCTCCCAAAGTGTGGGATTACAGGGATGAGTGGCCATGTCCACCCCAGTTTGTGTTTTTTCAATGAATTTAATATATTTTCTCCAATATTATGCATGTTTGTGTTATGTGCTTCATTCAGTAAAATAAAGTTTTATAGTTCTGAGAGATGTTTTTCTTATCCCTGGTTGATTTCACACATTATACTAATTTTCAGGCCCTTATAGGTATTTGAGTTTATAAACCATTGGTTTATAGGCCACAACACTATAAAAACAGATAAAGAGATCTTGCTTTGGCAGAATTATATGCACTATCCATCACCAAACAAAATAATGAACCTTTTGCTCGATGCACCTGTATAATAGTCAATTCACCATTTATACCAATTCACCATTTATGGTTTGGCTGTGTCCCCACCCAAATCTCACCTTGAATTGTAATAATCCCCACGTCTCAAGGGCGGGGCCAGGTGGAGATAATTGAATCACAGAGCAGTTTCCCCCATACTATTCCGGTAGTGAGTAAGTCTCATGAGATCTGATGGTTTTATAAATGAGTTCCCCTACACAATCTCTTTTGCCTGTCACCATGTAAGCCATGCTTTTGCTTCTCCTTTGCCTTCCGCCATGATTGTGAGGCTTCCCTAGCCATGTGGAACTGTGAAACTGATTCCATTAAACATCTTTCCTTTATAAATTACCCAATCTTGGGTATGTGGGGTTTTTTGTTGTTGTTGTTGTTGTTTTGAGGGAGTTTTGCCTTGCTCTGTCACCCAGGCTGGAGTACTATGGCGCGATCTCTGCTCACTGCCACCTCTGCCTCCCGGGTTCTAGCGATTCCCCTGCCTCAGCCTCCTGAGTAGCTGGGATTACAGATGCCCGCCACCATGTCCAGCTAATTTTTGTATTTTTAGTAGAGACTGGGTTTCACCATGTTGGTCAGGCTGGTCTTGAACTCCTGACCTCAGGTGATCCACCTGCCTTGGCCTCCCAAAGTGCTGGGATTACAGGCATGAGCCACTGTGCCCAGCCAGGTATGTTTTTATCAGCAGCGTGAGAACAGACTACTACGACCAGCCCCAGCCACAATCACAAAATTTGTAAGTCTTACCTTTATAATTGTGTATCTGTGTAATTCAAAATATTTCCTGAATTCAAAGACTATTGATCCTCAAAAGTGATTTCAAATTTAATCTTATCACAGAAATTGCTGCTTTCAAATGATATTTTCTGGCAGCTTATGCTTTACAATTATTCCAAAATCATAGGGCCATCTTTTAGCTAGGGCACTTCAAAACTTCTATTTCTCAAGTCAATTTTGTTAAGTTCTATTTATATAGCTATTTATCTATTTTTTATAAGTTTTAAATTATAATGGCTTAAATTTGTGGCATTCTCTTATAATCATATTTCACAGAATCTCAGATAACGTCAATCGTAAGATGCACCATAATTTTATATATCACTAAGAAAGAAAAATTAAAATCTGCCTATTAAAATACTGCACAGTGCCTTCTTATCATTGACTAAGATACATCCCAAATTCAGAGATGGTATTAAAAATAATGTACAAAGTCAGTGAAATGTAGTACTCTTTTAAATCCCTGTGTACCTATATTTCTTTTGTTCATTTATGCTTTTTAGTACACATGTGGAATACAACAGATTATCGTGTTATGCATCCAATTCATCATACAAAGCACTGAATATTTTATGGTCCTAGACATTCAAGCATGTCTGGTATACTACGTTAACTACCACATCTATAAATACATTAGTACAATGTGTTTCCTGATGAACGATGCAATAAACAGACTTCACTTCCTTGCCATTGCAAAATGTTGCCACAGTGGTTTTAAATTCATGAATAAGTCTGTCTTTTAGATGTATCATCACAGAATTTCTCTATAGTCATGCTTACTAATTTGACTTCTCTACAGTAGAATATCAAGGCTTTTCTTGGCACACAAAAATGTCATTCCTTGATATTTTATGTATCATGGGTATCCTTTTAATGAATTCATTGGTTGCATAAAATTTTTCATCAGTACCACAAGTAAATATAGCTAGCTGCTTAGAATTATTTATATCTTTGTTTTCATCAGCTGCAATATAAAACACCACAGAATATTTCATTTTTCTCCAACAAGTCCCCAGGTATGGTCACTATTCTCAGCAACAGTATTTCTCATTCACTCCGTAGTTTCACTCTTTGAGAAACTCATCATCTGTAAAATATTTATGGCCACTTTTTCACAATAGCATCACTTATTTGCATTCAGAAATTCATCCTGTGTAAATTCTAGTTCTTTCTTTTAGTTAATTAAGTTTTAATCATGTAGGTTTTCTAGATAACAGTTGTTCTTTGTTTCATAATGGTATCTTTTGTTGTATTTTTTGGCAAAGTCACATTTCGGGAGGCCAAGGCAGGCGGATCACGAGGTCAGGAGATCGAGACCATCCTGGTTAACATGGTGAAACCCCGTCTCTACTAAAAATACAAAAAAATTAGCTGGGCATGGTGGTGGGTGCCTGTGGTCTCAGCTACTCGGGAGGCTGAGGGAGGAGAACGGCATGAACCCAGAAGGCAGAGCTTGCAGTGAGCAGAGATTGCGCCACTGCACTCCAGTCTGGGTGACAGAGAGAGACTTCGTCTCAAAAAAAAAAAAAAAAAAAAAAAAAAAATATATATATATATATATACATACATGTGTATATAATATGTGTGTATATATGTGTGTGTATATATGCATATACATACATATGTATGTATAAATATGTGTGTATATATGTATATATGTGTGTATATGTGTGTATGTATGCATATACGTACATATATATGTATATGCATACATACACACACACATATACACACATATATACATATATACATATACACATATTTATACATACATATATATATATATATAGTCTAATTTTCACAAAGAAATACGTTCCCTCAGGGCTCAGTCACCCTTGATATGGTTTCCAATTCTACACTTCCAGGTTCTCCTGTGTGGCCAAGTCAGATAGCTGCCTTATACAACTGCCTCCTGGTGACCAGCTCATTATAGGTCAGCTGGCTGCAGCCTGCTCTACTTGCCATCCTGACCCCCACACCCAACATGGAGTGTGCAGACATGCTGCAGTGACCACCTCTGTGTGCCCCTGGAACTTATGCCTGCTTGCTTTAAACGCACCAATTAAAACTCCATGTGGAAAATCTGTTTAGATGATTCCTTGACCCCAATAAAGTTCGGCCCACAGGTCCCTTTCTCTCTTTCCCTGCCCTTGCTCCCTGACCTCCAGGTATGCCATGTAGCCTCCAGAGTCCCCAAATACTAAAAACTCTTAAACTTTCTCTGCGTGTGTGTGTGTGTGTGTGTGTGTGTGTGTGTGTGTGTGTGTGTATCTTTTATGTTTATATGTGTATATACATGTTTTTCATTGTTCTGGAAGCCTGTGGTCTCCTCATTCTATCTTTTGTTTTCCCTCTTTCAATAGATGTATGACTGTAAACCATTCTCACTCTCCTCTAAGAAAAAAACAGCTTTGCATGCATGACAATGGCTGGCAACTGGATTCCTTCCACAGAGGTGGTGAGACTGGAGACAGACTTGATGAGGCCTGACTCCTGCTCCAGCTGACCACTGGCCTATGCACATGTGTTCTCCATAGTGTGAGATCTCCTAAGTACTAGGATATCGGTTGAAATCTAAATTTCAATATGTTGATCCAAATTTTTTAAAACACTGAACAGGTCAAACTAAATACAGCTGCATACTGAGTGCAATCTATGGGCCACCAGTTTGCAACCTCTCTCCAATGGGGTGTGAGAGTGTGTTTCTGCATTCAAGCACTTGCTTACAAGGGATAAGGAACTGAGACAGAGAACTGTGAAATAAACTCTTTAAAAGATGGTATTTTGGCTGGGTGTGGTGGCTCACGCCTGTAATCCCAGCACTTTGGAAGGCCAAGGCAGGCGGATCACCCAAGGTCAGGAGTTTGAGACCAGCCTGGCCAACATGGTAAAACCCTGCCTCTACTAAAAATACAAAAATTAGCTGGATGTGGTAGTGCATGCCTATAATCCCAGCTACTCAGATGGCTGAGGCAGAGAATCACTTGAACCCAGGACGCAGAGGTTGCAGTGAGCCAAGATTGCGCCACTGCACTCCAGCCTGGATGACAGAGTGAGACTGTCTCAAAAAACTAAATGAATAAATAAAAACAATGCTATTTAGGTTGAGTAACCCAGAATATAGTGATAGATTATTGTATTCTGGTGTCATTTTTCTGTGGAATTCTTCTGAAGAAAGTCAAACGTCTAGACTAGAGAGGATAGACCCTTTCCTCTTACCAGGCATCCCATTAGACCACAGGGCTCTGAGCACTCTGCATTAGAGGGAGTGGAAGTTGGGCTATAAATCACGAATTCTGACAGCCACATCCCTGAGCAATTTTAAGTTGAATCTGGATTGTACTTTACTTTTATTATTGGTTCCTGAGTCACAACATTTCACTATCAAAACCCTAGATGTTTATCTATGATCATCTAGGATTTAGAATATTTCAACAAATATTTTAAAGACACTTAATATTTTGTTTCCTTCACAGATTTTTCTACTTAGAGGCTTCCAGAATATTTCTTTTTTAAAGAAATCCGAAATGATGTCTAGGTTTAGATTTCCTTTCATTGATTTTGCCTAATTTTCAGCTTTTTCACTTATATTTTCTTTCACAATTACTTTGATTATTGCTGTTCTTATATGTTATTTTTTCATGCTTTCTCTTTTGCAAGCCACAGAATGTATAAGGATCAGTTGGATCTAATATTAATATCTTTCTTTCTCCTCTACTTGTATTTCTTTTTCACTTTTTCTCTGAATTCCAAATTAATATTTCAATATCTTCTGATTTACTTATTTTCTTTCTATTGTATCCAATCAGCTATTCAGAGCCCTTCACTTCATTGTTTTTTTAAGCCAGCAATTAAATCTCAAAGTGTTTGTTGGTCCATTTCATTATATTAAGTCATATCTCTTTCATAGAGTTAGTGTTTTCTAAAATCTTAATAAAAACATATGAGGTGTTTTCTAACATTTCCTATGTCTTGTAATGATTTTGTTTCACAGATGGACATTGGATCTCTTTCTTCATAATGCTCATCTTATTTTGAGTTACTGTATTCTCGCATACCCATTGTTTTTTCCACATGTTAAACTTTGAAGTGAGAAATGAGTTTTGCCCATATTCAAAGTCCTGAAGCCTAGTGATGGGTTCTGATAGATATTGCAAATACCACATCTTAGAGGATTTGATCAAGGAAAATGGGGGAAGTTTTATATTTACTCTAGTTCTGTGTTGCCAGGCTAGAGACCAACTGAGCAGGAAGTATGACCACTGAGCATAGTGTTTCTTTGGCTTGGTGCTGGGACAGCCTTATATTAATGGGGTAATGTCATCATCATCCAACTGGAATGACTGTTCTCTGCAATGGGATTCCCAATTCATTTAAGGAGTCACTGTACGAAATAGAAGCCAAGTGCATCTCTGCTGCTGGTAGGCTCCAGAACCATACAGCCTTCCTGCAAGCTCTAAATCAGCCTGTCTCCAGGCCCCACAGCCTCCCCTCACCTCAAAGCTCTGACACATCAGGTTCAGGTATATATAATAGAGTTCTACTAGATGTTCCTTCTAATTATTCCCAAAGCAGCCTTTTTCTGTGGTTTGTATGAGTTCTGGTGTGTTATATTATCTGAGCAGCAATTTCCTTTAAAATATATAGTTTTATTAATATGGTAAGGGTGAATATAAGTTAACTCTATTTACAAACTAGGGGATGGTTTGTTATTATTTAAAGTACTATAATCACAATGCATTCTCCAAGGTGGTTATTTGAGATAGAAAGATTTAATCAGGAATGAATACTTTTGGAGATGGTCTGGCACTTAAATGATCATTCTTGAACACTATGACAGCAAATTTGTCAACTAGTATAAAGACTATTGCACAAATTTTTGATTGGTTAGAAATATTTTTTAGGCCTTACCATGCTCTCACAAATAAAGATTTAGATTACAAGTCTAAAAGCCTAACTCCATGGTGCAGTGTTCTGAGCACTGTGGATATGCTGGAGCTTCAACAGTGAAGAAGACAGACTCAGCCCTGCCTTCCTGACTTTATAGAGTCTAATAGGGGAAGCAAACAAGTGCATTATCATGCAATAAGTGCTCCCAAGGAAAAAATACATGATATTATGCGACACCAAAGATAACAGTCACTAAACTCAACTGGGCCAGGGAAAGAGAATCGGCAAGAAAGTTTTTCTGAAAAGATGAGACCTGAAGGGTGAGCTCAGACCTGAAAGATGAGTCAGAATTATTTAGTCAAAGAGGATATAGGAGTATACGTGTGTGTTTGGAAGACAGCAAGTGGTGCCGTTAGTGCTTTGCACATATTATGTGCTCAATAAACATGTGTCAGATAAATATTTGAAGAGTTGGATCCAGGAGAGAGTGCATAAAAAACTAGAAGTTTAATGTCACTAGCAGACAATGGTAGGGTAGATGTGGTGTCATGAGAGGTACAGAAGAACCAGCACATGGTCCTCATTGCCCAGAAGAGTATCTGGTTCATGGCAGCACTCAGCAACGTTTGCTAAAAGAATGAACATGCAAAGACTTAAAGACCATGTTAAGGGGCCAAAGCCTTGTCCTAAATGCAATAGAAAGTTACTAAAATGTTTAATCATGGAAATTATATAATCAAGTTTGCATTTAGATCATTCTGACTAAAGAGTGGAGAACTATTAAAGGCAAGATTATGGCAGAAATGTTTCTTTGGAGGTTACTGAAGGAGTCAAGGAGAGGGCCAAGGGGTAGCAGAGAGAAAATAGTAAAGAGGATAGATTTGATAGACTTTGAGGAGGTAAAGTCACCATGACTTGGAGTTTTATTAGATGGTGTATTAGGGTTCTCTAGAGGGACAGAACTAATAGGATAGATGTATATATGAAGGGGAGTTCATTAAGAAGTATTGACTCATACTATCACAAGGTGAAGTCCCACAGTAGGCTGTCTGCAAGCTGAGGAAGAAGGAAGCCAGTCAGAGTCCCAAAACCTCAAAAGTAGGGAAGCTGACAGTGCAGCCTTCATCTGTGGTTGAAGGTCTGAGGGACCCTGGCAAACCACTGGTTTAAGTCCAAGAGTCCAAAAGCTGAAGGACTTGGAGTCCGATGTTTGAGGGCAGGAAGCCTCCAGCACAGGAGAAAGATGAAGTCCAGAAGACTCAGCCAGCCCTTCCATGTTCCTCTGCCTGCTTTTATCCTAGCCGTGCTGGCAGCTGATTAGATGGTGCCCACCCAAATTGAGGGTGGGTCTGCCTCTCACAGTCCACTGACTCAAATGTTAATCTCCTTTGGCAACACCCTTACAGACACACCCAGGAACGATAGTTTGCATCCTTCAATCCAATCAAGTTGACACTCAATATTAACCATCATAGATGGGATGGAATTAGAGAAGCCAAGGATAATACCCACACTTCATGATTCAGGCAACTAAACAAATGGTCTTTACATTCAGAGACATGGAACATAAGAGAATGAACTTGTTTTGGCCATGGTATAGCAATTAATACATTTTGGGAAATGGTGACTCTGGGGTGTCTGCGAAGCACCTCAATGAAAAATGTAGCTAGTCAGAGATATATAGATCTGAAGCTCTCTGATAAAGATTTAGGAATCAACTTCATGAACATGGTGATTAAAACCGTGAGATGAAGAGAGGAGGGATAACTACAAAATCTGAGGAATAGGCAGAGGAGAAAAATAATAAATGGAGAGGCCAGGGAGAAGGGAAGAAAGTCAGGAGAATGTAAAATTATGGAGACCAAGAAAAAGATTATACAATGTAGGCCAATGTGGGCCTCTGCCACAAGTGGCGTAAAGACTGAAAGGAGCCCATTTAATTCATCGAGTGGGAGTCAGCACTTAGTGATGTGGTCATAGTGGAACTCAGACTGGCGTGAGCTGAGGAGAAAGCAGGAGGTGGGGAAGAGGGGGCTGTGAAAACTGGCAATCCATTCAAAAATTCTGACTGTGAAGATAAGGGGAAACATCAGGTCTCTTTCAAATTTTCAGGTTTTCTCACTAAACTGCCTGAGAGAATTCCAGCAATATACATTTAAGGAAATATACATATACTTACGTATGTACATATGTATATAAATATATATATATGCTACTAATAAGGCTCAAGAGACAGTACTAGTCTTTATCATCTTGAGATACAAAATAAAGTTATGTCTGTAAATATTCATGTTGATACCACTTGAAACTCCAATTAATGAATCATAGGATGTCCTTTCTTCTTTTGGTTTCCTTTCTTGATACCCCATGGACACCTAATCCAAATGTGGCAGTTACAGTTCCTACTTTGACAAAGTCTGATCAGTCCACCAAGTTGGTATTGTTGCTGCCACTGTCACCATAGGGTAAACATTCTGAAAATAGCAGTCCAGCTGTGTGGTGCCATAGCCTATCAGCATCAACAGCTGATCCTGGGAGCTGGATTAAGAAAACGTTATAGATCCTCTTTTTTTGCTCGTTAGGATAGGAAAGCTTTTAATGACTATCCATGTCAATACACACACACACACACACACACACACACACACACTGCACACTGCCATTTTCCCCCACAAAACACACACGATAACCCAGAAGTCTTGTTTAGCCATACACTGTGTCCCTTCCAAATTACCTACAATTGTGGGCATGGTCTTCTTAACTCTTTGGTAATTACAATGTAGAGGTGACTCCGTTGTCTGCTCAGGCAATTATAATATTGCATAATACAGTCCCTAAAGACTTAGCATTTCCAACTTGATGTCACATGAAGATTGCCAAAGTTAAATTTCAGTTTTACTCTTCAATAAAACTTTTTTCTTTATTTTTAGGACTCAGCCTAGTGAAAAAAATCTAATTTGACTCACTAAGCAGAGAATTTGTTATCCCAGTCTGCAATAACTGATTAAAAATTAGTGATCTCATGGTTTTTTCCCCAAAAAACAATGTGTGGGTATTTCCTTACAATTGTGTGACTAGAAGCCCCTTTCTTATTATTTTCCCAAAGCAATGGGCATGGGCCCCCAATGCTATTGACTTCATCTCTAGTAACCCCTCAGTTGCATTTGCCATTGCAGATATTGGCTTTTTTTTAGCAAGGTTTCTGATAATGTCGAGTTTAAGAGAAGCATTGCAGTGCGAAGCCTTGAACAAGAATTTAGATTTTTCTTTAGATTTTCTAGCAGAGCAGAGGTGTCCCACAATGCATCAGTCAGAGTACTACCCCCAAAACTTCTGTGGACATCCTTTTATACTATGACATTTTCTTCTCTTTTGATGATATTTGAAAGATCTCTTATACCTCTTTGTTATAAAAGATTCACTTGCTATCCAAGTGTATAGATTTTATTAAGTTATTCAGAAAGTCTCTGTTAAAAACTTTCTAAATAATAATAACCAAGTCTCCTGATTCCCATACTTCCTAACATAGCTGGCATAATTGGCCATATTTATTGTCCAATAAATATATGGATCCTTCTGGACAGCAATCTAGGGTCTAGAAGTAATTACCTTGTGACCAGATAAATCAGGTTCAATGAGATTTTTCAAAAACACAGAGGACTATCCAAGTAGAACAAAACACAACTTTAATGTTCCAAAGCCCTCCAAATGTACATGTCTTTTGATCCAGCATTTATATTTCTGATAACTTAGCCCAAGAAAGTTATTAAGGACATGTAAAAGGATGCATGCACTTAGCTGTTCACTGTGCATTGGGAAGATAGTTAGAAGAGTTTTAGAAAATAGTTAGAATACTAAGGATTTATGTTTAAGATGCTGAGTATCACGCTATTGAAATTACAAGCATTATCTTGCTCATTTCTCGGAACAATCCTATGTGGTATTTACTATAATTACTCCTATTTATAGATAAAGAAATGGAAGGTAAAGAGACTCAGTAACTTAATCAAGGATGTTCAGCTAGTGAAGGTCAGCTCCAGGAATCAAAAGCAGGACTGATTTTTAAAACTTTGTTCTTGTCCACCACACTTTACTAGAAGATTTGTGGTTATGCAATTGTTAAAGAAATAATATACTTTTACACCTGAATAAATAAATCATATAGTTTTACACCTGAATGCTATGCACATATTAAATAATACATTATCAAAATCTATATTTTGACATGAAAAGATATATATAACATAGTGTTAGCTTAATCTTGAGCAGATAGATTGCAAAACAATATGTACAATATGTTCCCATTGTTCTTTGTGAACCAGTGTTTTTCTGTCTATCTATCTATCTATCCATCTATCTTTCTATCTACCTACTCATCTCGAAAGGATACACCCTGAGGTGCTAGCAATGACTATAACTAAATGTACAAGGTTATAAATGGTTTTGTTTTCTCAATTTTCCTTGTTAATATTTTCCAGCCATTTTTTTGTCATGAGCACAGTAGTTTTCATAGTAGGGAAAATAAAAGCAAATTTTCAAATTTAACACGAAATTAAAAACTCCTTGACAATAGGACTTGAGTATTGTTCACCCCAGCCCACTGCTGTATCCAGCAGAGTGCCATGTTCAAGAAACACTGAAGAGCCACCATGAGGTCTGGAAGGTGAGCAGGTGGTGCCAGAGAGGAGTCCATGATAAAGGGGAATGAGCAGAGCTCCAGCAAATGGAGCAAATGGAACAGCAAGAACCTGCTCATTCATATTAGTGTCTTCAACTGGATTTCTTAACATTTTTAACTTGACATAATTTCAGACTTGCAGAAATGTTGTAAGGAAAGTACAAATAACTTCCAGCTACCTTTTATCCAGATTCAATGTTTGTTAAAATTTTACTACATTTCTCTTCCCACTGTATTTCAAGGAGATTTAGACACAGAGGAAGGGTGAATCTGTGTTGAGGTATTTTGTTTTCCAAATTGTCCTTAAAATGTTCCTCTGCATTAGAACTCTCCTGGCAGGAAGTCTGCTCTTGCCACCACTAGGGCTAGAGAGTCTCTTCCCTTCTTTGCCCCGCCTGCTCCCTTTGCCAAGAACCCCACTGAACAGGAAGAGGTATTTCTTGGGGATGCTACCAAGGCAGAGACTGTGAAGAAGGAAGAACGTTGCTTGGGCAAAAGGAGCATATTCTCAGGAGACGGGGCCCCTGCCTGCCACACCAAGCATTAGGCCACCAGGAAGACCCCCATCTGCAAGCAAGCCTAGCCTTCCAGGGAGAAAGAGGTGAGTCTGTCTGTCTGTCTTGGCTGCATGGACTGTTGACCAATGCCAAGACCTTCAGGGATGCCTGTCCTGTCTGTCACCTACCCCTGGTATTTGGAAGACTGAGGCTTCTGACAACTTAAGTCAGTATGGTGAAGGCTACAGACTAAGGTCCTTGGGAACAAGGGTCATTTCAAGGATAAGGGTTCTCAAAATACAGGAGAGGGTTTAATTATTAGACAGAATTTAGGAGGCCACAAATAGGGCAAGGCTGAGGCCTGGAGTAGGGAATGAGTGAAGGAGAGGCAGTATGCCAAGTTCCAAGGCTCCAATCAATACATGATTCTTTCTGTGTTCGCGGCCCACGCTGGGTCACCTCCTGGTACCTGTCAATGTCATGCCTGTCTTCCAAGCCTGCCTTGCTTTGGGTACTCTGAGCGAGAGGCTGGGATATGTCCTAGTGAAAAGCAGCCTTGTACCCGAATTCTGATGCTGCTGTGCTCTAATCTTCACAGGCCCCTGCAGCTCCTTCATCATGAACTGGCACATGATCATCTCTGGGCTTATTGTGGTAGTGCTTAAAGTTGTTGGAATGACCTTATTTCTACTTTATTGTGAGTATTTGAGCAACCTCTTGCCCCAGACTTCATGTTGTCTTGCTCATTGACTCTTCTCTCAGAATGCATGGTTGTGTGTAAAGGTTACATATCCAAGTCTTTCCACCTGAGACTAACTGACCCAACCTGAGGTCAATTGGCAATGCCTTTCTCACTCCCCAGCACACACAGTGGCCCAGGCTCCTTGGTCTACCTTGGAGATATAGAACTTACCAGTTTCTGATGGTTAGAACGCCACGCAAAGCTTTTGCTAGTAGAGTATTATTTGGGTGATCTCAGCTGAAGTACTTGGCAGCGCTTGTTATTGTTGGCAAAATCTAAAATACAGCTCCAGTTCAACCCAATGACAAGGCCATGGTAAGAGCTGAAGTATAATGTAACAGGATTTAACTGAGAAAGAAATTTCTCTTTGTATACATATAAATTAATTCATCCAAATGCCTAGTTAAAGAAGCCTCCTATGAAAGGATTTTACTGCAATCAGAAACTAGAATCTTCTCTAGCCCCAGAAGCCAGTAGGGAAAATAAATGAGGAAGGAAACGTGAGTGGGAGGCAGTAGTTAGCTAAGAGGTGTCTTCCTCATGATGCAATCTGAAGGTGCAATTCCTATCATGTCAGACAGCAGGACAGAAATATGAATAAGGGAACGTATTCACAAAACCACATTTATGCATCTTCACTGAGTCAGAGAGTTCAGTATTTCCCACTAATAGTCACAGTACCCTAGCAGCCCCTGTGCTGATACTTGTTTGTCATATTCATCATGCAGTCACATTTGGGGCTGAGCCAACAGCTGATTTTCTTTTCAGTCCCACAGATTTTTAACAAAAGTAACGATGGTTTCACCACCACCAGGAGCTATGGAACAGGTAATCTGCATGGTGGTAAATCTTCTCCCCATCCTCCTGCTACTTCTATGCTGAATTCCTAGAGACCTTCCACACAGCCTCCTTTCCCAAGAAATTCTTTTGTACAAAGGGTCCATAAAGATCTTCTAATTAATTCCCTTTCTTTTACATATGAGAAAACCAAGAGCAGACTGAGGGAAATTTCTGATCCTTAGTTTTTCTCCTGGATATGGGGATGATTTATATCTAATCATTGTAATAGAATGTGAAAGTGCTTAATAGCCAGTAGCTATGGGAGATAGAGAGATGAGTGGGGCATGGTTCTCCTCTCCCGATTAAACCAGCTTCCTTCTGAAGCCTTTCCCAACAACATCCTCTCACTTCCTCTTAAGACACCTATTACTACTGACATCGTTAGGAGAAAGACCGTTTCTCATTTATCTTAGTATCAACAGAGGCAACCCAATACAGTGAGCTGTATGGAGAAAATACTCATAAAATATGTATTGAGTCCTTAAGTTATAATCTCAAAGTAGTTTCTGATGAAAACCAGGCTATTACATCTTAGAGTCTATAAACGGGGTACTGAAATAAAAAGTGAATGCCAATTTGTTTCATTAAGATAAATGTAAGTAACTAATTTGATGTCAGAGTAAAGTGGTCTTCAACCACAATGGACAAATAACTGGCAGCCCAATTAGATGTTTGACCAGCCTCTGAAGCCACTGCGGCTGCCTGCTCAGACAGCCAGTGTTCCCAGGGAAATGAGGCCCCTATATGGATTTCTAGAAATGAATGGACCCTTCCCTGCTTATAGAAAATCTCCCTAAAGTTCACCTGCTTCCTTGTCTGATAATATCCCCTTGGCCCTGAAATTTTGTTCCAATTAGCTTCAATCCTTAGAGCTAATACAGTGCTGATGAGAAAAGAGTCCCAGAGTTGCCCAGGATTATGAATTTTCATACTGAATCTGGGACACCAGAAGTAGAAAGAACAGCAAAGATGCTGTGTGGAGCCTGGGCGAGAAGTACTCCAAACAGTCCTTTGGAGAAAACACTGTCAAAGGTTTATATACGATAGGAGTGTGAGAGTTTCTCTCTGATACTAAATTCCTCCATTACTTTTCCTTTCTTCTGTTCTTTTTCTCAGGATTTGATGCCTATGGCTACATCAAAAAAAGGAGACATGAAATAGGATTTGGGTGTCAAGTTGACAAATAATGATAGTAGTTAGATGGAAGGCTCAAAGAAAGAAATTATTTGAAATGTTCTAGCTCAGAGTGGCCAAGAGCTTCTTGTCATCTCCATGATTCAGAGTCACACAGCCCATACTCTGATGTTTCTGTTTCTGTGTTGTATTCATCATACCATAACCTTTAGGTTTACTTTTCACTTTAGTCTCACAGATTTTTGGGAGCAGTTCCCCAAGTCCCAACGGCTTCATTACCACAAGGAGCTATGGAACAGGTAAAGTGCATGATTACAACCTACTCCCCATCCCCTAGGTTCTCATGCACTGAATTCTTAGAGATTTCTCCCATTGTCTTTATTCTTATGGAATTTTTTTGCTCAAAGGGACCATAACGACCTTCCAGTTCATTCTCTTTGTACATATTATTTTGGCTTTTATTTTTTAATTTTCTCAGTACATAGTAGGTATATATATTCATGAGTTACATGATATATATTGATAAAGGCATGCAATATGTAATAATTATATCAGGGTAAATGGAGTATCCATCACCTCAAGCATTTATCTTTTGTATTACAAACAATCCAATTATACTGTTAGTTATGTTTAAATCTGCAATTAAATTATGTTTGACTATAGTCACCCTGTTGTGCCAGCAAATACTAGATCTTATTTATTCTTTCTATTTTTTAGTACCCATTAACAAGCCCCACTTCTCCCCCATACCTCCCCACCAACTACCCTTTCCAGCCCCTGGTAACCATCCTTCTATGCTCTATCTCCATGAGTTCAATTGTTTCAAATTTTAGCTCCTGCAAGTAAGTGAAAACATGTGAAGTTTGTCTTTCTCTGCCTGGCTTATTTCATGTAACATAATGACCTCCAGTTCCATTCATGTTGTTGCAAATGACAGGATCTGATTTTTTTATGGTTGAACAGTACTCCATTGTGTATATGTACCACACTTCTTTATCCATTCATCTGTTGATGGACACTTAGGTTGTTTCCAAATCTTGGCTATTGTGAATAGTGTTGCGATAAAAACGGGAGTGCAGATGTCTCTTCAATATACTGATTTCCTTTCTTTTGGGCCTATACTTAAGAGTGTAATTGCTGGGCCATGTGGTAGTTCTATTTACAGTTTTTTGAGGAACTTCCAAACTCTTCTCCATAGCTGTACTAGTTTACATTCCCACCAACAATGTATGAGGGTTCTCTTTTCTCCAAATCCTTTCCAGCATTGGTATTGCCTGCCTTTTGGATAAAAGCCATTTTAACTGGGTTGAGATGATATCTCACGGTAGTTTTGATTTGAAATTCTATAATGAGGAATGGTGTTGAGCACCTTTTTATATTTCTATTTGCCATTTGTACAACTTCTTTGGAGAAATGTCTATTCAGATCTTTTGCCCATTTTTAACTAGATTATTAGATTTTTTTTCCTATACAGTTGTTTGGGCTCCTTATATATTCTGGTTATTAATACCTTGTCAAATGGGTGGTTTTCAAACATTTTTTTCCATTCTGTGGATTGTCTCTTCACTTTGTTGATTGTTTCCTTTGCTGGGCAGAAGCTTTTTTAAGTTGATATGATCTCATTTATCTATTTTTCCTTTGGTTGCCTGTGCTTGTGGGATATTACTCAAGAAATCTTTGCTCACTTCAATGTCCTACAGAGTTTCCCCGAAGTTTTCTTGTATTTTCATAGCTTGAGATTTTAGATTTCAGTCTTTAATCCATTTTGATTTGGTTTTTGTATATGTCAAGAGATAAGGGTCTCCTTTCATTCTTATGCATATGAATATCCAGTGTCCCAGAACCATTTATTGAAGACACTGTCCCTTCCTCAATGCATGTTTGTGGTACCATTGTCAACAATGAGTTCACTATAGACGTAGGGAATTATTTATGGGTTCTCTCTTCTGTTCTGGTCTATATGTCTGTTGTTATGACAGTACCATGGCATTTTGGTAACTAAAGCTCTGTAGTATAATTTGAAATCAGGTAATGTGATTCCTCCAGTTTTGTTATTTTTTTGCTTAGGATAGCTTTGGACAGTCTGGGTCTTCTGTGGTTCCATGTACATTTTACGATAATTTTTTCTGTTTCTGTGAATAATGTCATTGGGTTATTGACAAAGATTGCATTAAATCTGTAGATTGCTTTGAGTAGAGTGGACATTTTAACAATATTGATTCTTCCAATCCACAAACATGGAATATTTTTCTATTTTTTGGTGTCCTTGTCAATTTCTTTTGTCCATGTTTTATAGTTTTCATTGTATAGATCTTTCACTTCTTTGGCTAAATTAATTCCTAGATATTTTATTTTATTTGTAGCTATTATAAATGGGATTAGTCTCTTAATTTCTTTTCAGAGTGTTCACTGTTGGCATATAGAAATGCTACTAATTTTTGTCTGTTGATTTTGTATCCTGGAGCTTTACTGAATTTGTTTATCAGTTCTAATAGCTTTTTGGTGGAATCTTTAGGTTTTTACAAATATAAGGTCATATCATCTGAAAACAAGGATAAATTGACTTCATCCTTTCCAATTTGGATGCCCTTTATTTCTTTCTCTTGTCTGACTGCTCTAGCTAAGCCTCCCAGCACTATGTTGAAAAACAGTGATGAAAGCGAGTGCGGCCTTGCCATATTCCAGATCTTACAGGAAAGGCTTTCATTTTTTCCCCATTCAATATATGCTGGCTGTAGGTCTGTCATATATGGCTTTTATTTTGTTGAGGGATGTTCCTTCAATACCCTGTTTTTTGAGAGTTTTAATCATGAAGGGATGTTGACTTTTATCAAATAATTTATCAGCATCAATTGAAATGATCGTATGGTTTTTGTTCTTCATTCTGTTGATATAATGTATTACATTGATTAAGTTGCATATGTTGAACCATCCTTGCATTCCTGGGATAAATCTCACTTGGTCGTGATGAATGATCTTTTTAATATGTTGTTGAATTCAGCTTGCTAGTATTTTGTTGAGGTGTTTTGCATCAATATTGATTGGTATATTTGCGTGTAGTTTCATTTTTTGATGTGTCTTAGTCTGGTTTTGGTATCAGGGTAATGTAGGCTTCATAGAATAAATTTCGAAGTATTCCCTCTTTCTCTATTTTTCAGAACAGTTTGAGTAGGATTGGTATTAGTTCTTCTTTAAATACTTGGCAGAATTCAGCAGTGAAATCATTGGATCCTGGGCTTTTCTTTATTGGGAGAGTTTTTATCATGGTTTTCATCTCATTACTTGTTATTGATCTGTTCAGGTTTTGGATTTCTTTGTGGTTTAATCTTGGTAGGTTGTATGTGCCTAGGAATTTGCCCATTTCTTCTAGATTTTCCAATTTATTGGCATATAGTTGCTCATAGCAGTCACTAATGATTCTTTGAATTTCTGTGCCATCCATTGTAATGTCTCCTATTTCATCTCTGATTTTATTAATTTGGGTCATCTCTTTCTCTTTTTTTTTTTTGGTCTGGCTAAAGGTTTATTGATTTTGTTTATCTTTTCAAAAAGCCGACTTTTGTTGCATTGATGTTTTGTATTGTTTTCTTCATTTCAATTTATTTCTGCTTTGATCTTTATTATTTCTTTTGTTCTACTAATTTTGGGTTTAATTTGTGCTTGCTTTTTTAGTTCTTTAAGATTTGTCATCAGGTTTTTGGTTTGAAGTTTTTATTTTTTCTTGGTTTTTTTTGATGCAGGCACTTATAGGTATAAACTTCCGTCTTAATATCCTACAGGTTTCAGTATGTTGTGTTTTCATTATCATTTGTTAAAAGAAGTTTTTCAATTCCTTTCTTAATTTCTTTATTGACTGATTGGTCATCCAGGAGCATATTGTTTAATTTCCACGTATTTGTGCAGTTTCCAAACTTCCTCTTGTTACTGACTTCTATTTAATTCCATTGTGGTCAGAGAAGATGTTTAATATTATTTCAATTTTTTGAATGTTTTAAGGCTTGTTTTGTTACCTAAAATATGGTCTATCCTTGAGAATGATCCATATGCTGAAGAAAAGAATGTGTATTCTGTAGCTGATGAATAGAATGTTCTATAAATATCTATTATGTTCATTTGGTCTATAGTATAGATTAAGTCCAATGTTACTTTGTTGATTTTCCAACTGAAAGATCGGTCCAATGCTGAAAGCAGAGTGTTAAACTCTCCAGCTATTATTATATTGGAGACTATCTATTTCTTTAGCTCTAATAATATTTTCCTTACATATCTGGGTGTGCCAGTATTGGATGCATATATATTTATATTGTTATATTCTCTTGCTGAATTGACCCCTTTATCATTATACAGTGACCTCCTTTGTGTCTTCTTACAGTTTTTGTCTCAAGATCTATTTTGTCTGAAATAAGTATAGCTACTGTTGCTCCTTTTCGGTTTCCATTGGGATGGAATGTCTCTTTTTATCCCTTCATTTTTAGTCTGCATGTGTCTTTATAGGTGGAGTGTGTTTCTTGTGGGAAATAGATCATTAGGTCTTGTTTTTTCATCCATTCAGCCACTCTATGTACTTTGATTGGAAAGTTTAATCCATTTACATTCAATATTATTATTAATAAGTAAGCACTTACTTCTGCCATTTTGTTATTTGTTTTCTGGTTGTTTTTTGATCTTCTCTTCCTTCTTTCTTTCCTTCCTGTCTTCCTTTTAGTGAAGGTGATTTTCTCTGGTGGTATGATTTAATTTCCTGCTTTTTGTTTTTCATATATCTACTGTATATTTTTTGATTCAAGGTTACTATGAGGCTTGCAAATACTATCTTATAGCCCATTATTGTAAGCTGATAACAACTTAACTCTGCTTGCATTAACAAACAAGTAAGCAAAAAAAGAAAACTAATAAAAACTCTACATTTTAACTTTGTCTCCCACTTTTTAACTTTTTATTGTTTCTATTTATAACTTTGTTTTTACTGTCTATGTCTTGAAAAGTTGTTGTAGTTATCATTTTTATTGGTTCATCTTTTAGTCTTTCTACTTAAGATAAGAGTACTTTACATACCACAGTTGCACTGTTGTGATATTGTGTTTTTCCATGTACCTACTATAATCAGTGAATTTTGTATATTCAGATGATTTCTTATTGCTCATTAATGTCCTTTACTTTCAGATTAAAGAGCTGTTTTTAGCAATTCTTATAGGACTGATGTGCTGTTGATTAAATCCCTCAGCTTTTATTTGTCTGGGAAAGTCTTTATTTCCCCTTCATGTTTGAAGGATATTTTCATCAGATACGCTATTCTAAGGTAAAGGGTTTTTTGCTTCAGCAACTTAAATATGCCATGCCACTCTCTCCTGGCCTATAAGATTTCCACTTGGGGAACATCCCAAGCCCAGTAACGCTGTGGGTCTGCTACCAGACATATTGGAGCTCCACTGTATATTATTTGCTTCTTTTCTCTTGCTGCTTTTAGGATCCTTTCATTATCCTTGAACTTTGGGGGTTTGATTATTAAGTGCCTTAAGGTAGTCTTCTTTGGCTTAAATCTACTTGGTGTTCTATAACCTTCTTGTACTTGGATATTGATATCTTTCCCTAGGTTTGGGAAGTTCTCTGTTATTATCCCTTGGAATAAACTTTCTACCCCTATCTATTTCTCTACTTCCTCTTTAAGGCCAGTAACTCTTACATTTGCCCTTTTGAGGCTATTTTTTAGACCTTACAAGTGTGCTTCATTGTTTCTTATTCTTTTTTCTTTTGTATCCTCTGACTTCTGTGACCCCTCTGATTCTGTTATTAATATACTCTGATGCATTCCTCAGTATGTGAATTTCATTTTTTAACTCCAGAATTTCTGCTTGATCCTTCTTAATTATTTCTATCTCTTAGTTTATCTGATAGAATTCTGAATTTCTTTTCTGTGTTATCTTGAATTTCTTTGAGTTTCCTCAACACAGGTATTTTGGATTCTCTGTCTAAAAGGTCACATATTTCTGTTTCTCCAGGATTGGTCCCTGGTGCCTTATTTACCTCAACTGGTGAGGTCATGTTTTCCTGAATGGTCTTGATACTTGTGGATGTTCATCAGTGTCTGGGCATAGAAGATTTAGGTATTTATTGTAGTCTTCATGGTCTGGGTTTATACCCATCCTTCTTGGGAAGGCTTTCCAGGTATTCAAAAGGACTTGGGTGCTGTGACCTAAGCTCTATCTGCATGGGGGACATCCCAAGCCCAGTAATGCTGTGGGTCTTGCAGACTCGTAGAGGTACCCACCTGGTTGGTCTTGGATAAGATCTGAAAGATTTATCTGGATTACCAGACAGAGACTCTTATTCTTTTTCCTTACTTTCTCCCAAACAGAATCTCTTTCTCTATGCTGACCTTCCCAGACCTGGGAGTGGGGTGACACAAGCATCCCTGTGACCACCACCACTGGGACTGCATTGGGTCAGACCTGAAGCCAGCATAGCACTGAGTCTCACTCAAGGCCCACTGTAACCACTACATGGCTACTGCTTATGTTTTGTCAATGTCCTGGGGCTCTATAATCAGCATATGGTGAAGCCAGCCAAGCCTGTGACCTCCCCTTCAGGGCAGTGAGTTCCACCAGGCCCTAAATAGGTCTGGAGATGCTATCTTAGAACCAGGGACTGGAGTCAAAAACCTTATAAATCTACCTGGTGTTCTGTCCTCCTGTGGCTGAGCTGAAACTCGATTCATGAGACATAGTTCTTTCCACTCTTCCCTCCCCTTTCTGCAGGCAGAGGAGCTTCACCCTATGACCACTACCATCACAGGCCCACAGGGTCACTGCCAGACTACCACTGATTTTTGTTTAAGGCACAGGGGCTGTTTGGTCAGCTTGTCACGAATGCTGCCAGGCCTAGAACCTACCCTTTATGTCTGTGGGCTCCTATCTGGCTCAGGGCAGGTCCAGAAATGCTATCCAAGAGTCAAGGCCTAGAATCTTGGACCCCAAGAGCTGACCTTTACTTCTCTGTGGCCAGTCTGTTACATAAGGTGCAAGACAAAGCCCCCTTTACTTTTCTCTCTTCTTTTCTCAAGCAGAAGAATGTGCTGGGTTTCATCTGAAGCCCAAGACATCTCAGTCTCACCCAAGGCCCATAACATACTACCTAGGTATTGCTGCTTGTTATTCAGGGCCCAAGAATTCTTTCATCAGCAGGTAAGGGATCCTGTCAGGACTGTGTACTTATCTTCAAGACAGAGGATTCACTTTTGGCCCAGGGTATGTCTAGGTGTCTCTACAAATGTCTTTCAGGAACTAGGGTTTGGAATGGGGACCTCACGACTCTGACTAGTGCCCTATTCTACTGTGGCTTGCATCCAAGATGCAAGACAAAGTACTCTTTACTCTTCCCTCTCCTCTCCTCAAGCAGAAAGAAAGGGTCTCTTTTGGAGCTGCAAGTTGTGCTGCTTGGGGTTGGGAGAGCAATGGCACAAGCATTCCCTTGGCCACCCTGGCTGGTATCTCAGTAGGTGCCCCCTAATTCCACTGGCTCAAAGCCCAGCTCAGCACAAGGACTTGCCTAGGAGTTGCAGTCCTTGTGGCCTAGACTACCCTTCAAGTTTATTTAGGGCCCCAAAGCAATTCAGCTCACAGTGGCGAGGCTTGCCAGAACTCAGGTTTCAACCACTGGGATGGGTTATTCCCCTCCGGCTAGCGCTCATCTAAATGCTTCCTCCATGGGTGGGTATCAGCTGAGTTTGGTCCGTTTTGCCCTCCACTGTGACAGGGCAGCACTGAGTCCAATGTAAAGTCTCACAATCCCTGCACACTCCCTCTCCCATGCACATACACTTTACCATGCCATGCTGTCACTGCAGCAGGGATAGGGTGGGGGTGGTGTCAGCAATTCAAGACTATCTTTCCTACCCTCTGCAGTGCCTCTTTCAGCTATCCAGGTACTGAGTGTTCATCTGATTTTTTGTTCTCATGTATGTATATGTGCTTTTTTGTGTGTAGATAGTTGTCAAATTTGGTGTTCCTGTAGGGGGATGACTAATGGAAACTTTATTCAGCCACTGCGCTCTTCTCCTTATTCTCCTTATATTATTGTCAAGGAACCAGACTAGACTGGGTGGAATTTCTTCCTGGATGGAGAATAATTTTTACCAATATAATTGTTAAAACAAAGCAAAAATATGTATCACTGTTTCATGACTTAGTTGCAGGATTCATAACCCAAACCAGTAAACTCGTACTCTCCTTTCTTGGACCTCTTCAGTCTGCCCCAAAGACTGGGAATTTTATCAAGCAAGATGTTTTTTCTTATCCACTTCTGAATCATCTTGGAATGAAAGCAGGGACTTTTGCAAAGGAAAAGGATCCACATTGGCAATTGTCAACACGCCAGAGAAACTGGTGAGAACACTGGAATGGTACAGTAAAGCCACACACTCCACACAGCCTCAGTGGGTGGGATGGGGTAGAAACTTGGGGGAGTGGGGATGGGATGGAGTGAGGAATGGAGAGGTGGCTGGCTGAAAAACTGAAGCTATTTGTTCTGGACTGGAGGTTAGGAGATTCTTCTTAGTAGCAGTGAAGCAGCATGATTTTCCAGTTTCATTTAACCACAGAAATTCGCACCTTGTGGTCTTTTCTATAGCGCACTGTAATTAGCTGATATCCTGGGGATGGGCCAAGACATTTAAAGTGAAGCAAATGACCAAATGAGATGATGTGTATAAAAGTTGTTTAACAACAAAAAGAATACCTTATAGATGTGATGTCAATGTACCATCCCAGTCTGCATAGTAAACAAGGAAGACGTGAACTGACAAAATTAGTAGTGTGAAAAAGTAAGAATCAGGTCATACTGAATTTGCAGTTGATGATCATGATAATAATAATGAGGATGTATTATTATCCACATTTTATAAATGGCAACTAGGGCACAGAAAAGTAATTTGCCCAAGGTCAAATAACAGAACGTGGAATTGAATTCAGAACTCTCTGACTCCAAAACCCATACTCTAATCTGTGCTACATACACTATACTCTTGCTTCTCTCGCTTCTATCCCTTTATTCCTCCTCTAGAAAGTCCTCCTGTGATTTAGAAGAATTTGTAAGAACTTCTCCTTTCTGAATCTTGGTAATAGATGACCAAGGGATCTGGATGCTACAAACCCTCTAGGGCTAAGTACCCAGGTAGCAAGGGAAAATGTCTTAAGATAGAAAAACAGGAGCAAGACAGGGGAATGAAAAGAGGAAAGGAGGGAAGGCAACGGGAAGAAGCAAGTGTGACAAGTCTGCCACACCCATTAAGTTTTGTGGATCCCAATTTGCTTGACCAAAACACATCCATGTACCTTTTCCTTGGTGATGAAAAAGGTCATCACTACTAACCTGGCCAACATGGTGAAACCATGTCTCTACTAACAATTAGCCAGGTGAGGTGGTGCATGCCTGAAATCCCAGCTACTTAAGTGGCTGAGGCACAAGAATTGCTTGAATCCAGGAGGCGGAGGCTGCAGTGAGCCATGACTGTGCCACTACACTCCAGCCTGGGCAACAGAGCAAGGCTCTGTCTCAAAAAAAAAAAAAAAAAAAAAAAAAAAAAACGTTAAAGAAAAAGACAAAGGTCATCATGGCAATGGTTTGCTGCTGACTCGCAAGTCTGTATCTCCAGCTCATCCTTCTCCTCCCAACAAGTATACCAAATTCCACTTCGATGTTTCAAGAGGCCCACAAACTCACTATGTTCAAAACTGAGTCAATTATATTTGACCCCCCCACTCTTCCTGTTGCATTCCAAATACTGGTGAGTACTCATGTCACCCAAGATTGAAGGCTTAAGAGTTTTCTGGGACTTTACCTTCTCTTTTCTTCCTCAATTATTTGTTAAACAAGTCCTTTTCTCTCTATGCCAACAACAAATAGTTCAGTTCTCACCTGGATTTCTTCAGAATTCTTCTAATCCATCTCCTTGCCTCCAGTTTTGCACTCTTTCTAGCTATCCTCCTCAGAACTGACATTATAATACCTCTAAGGCTCTAAACTGTACCATTTTCCAAATTAAAGTGGGTTAAACGCCAGTTCTCCTAGCATGGCATATGTCAGGTTCATGACCATGCCAAATGTCACACTCAGGGTCAGGTTCCAGCCCATGCTAAGGTCCTAGGGGAGTGGGTGGGTGGCAGATAGCTGAAAGAACACTCAGGGGGCCATACACAGGTGAAATGTAGTTTTATTCAGCAGCTCTTTCATCAGCAGCTTTCTCATACTCTCTGTCTGTCTGTCTCAGCTGCTTGCTCCAGCCGCTCCCATTCACAGCTGCGCAGCCGGCTCTCCCTTAGCGTTCAGGGTCAGCAGCTTAACTCTTTCTCCCTCTGGGCATGAATGCATGCTGAGCCATGTCCTGGCTGCCCTCTATCAGTCTGCAAGATGGACAGCCTTGGTTCTCTCTCTCTTTCTCTGGGCACCAGAGCCTGTACCATGTCAAGGCACGTTGAGCCAAGCCAAGTTGCGTGCACAGCATCGGCAGGTCAATTATACCTTTTTCAAACAATAGTGGCTCTGAGCTAAGCATGAGCTTACACAAATAGGTTATATAACAAGTATATATATATATATATATATATATATATATATATATATATGCCTGCTCCCTAAACTCGCTGAGTCACTTTGGCCTGGATGTCCACCTCAGCCTATTCCTTGACCAAAGCACATCCATGTACCTTACATCATATCAGGCCTTGCACAGTGCCGCCTCTGCCTTTGCTCCAGCCTTGTCTCTCAAACCACCTCCCTGCCACCTCTGCACTAACTACGCTGAGCATCTCGTAGTTCCTCAAGAGCTCCAGGCTGCTTCCCCACCTGCCTATAATCCATGCTCTCTTCCAGGAAGTCCATACTCTCCCTGACAGTTTGTCTGACAAACTTAGCTATCTCCTAAAATTCATCTCAGGTATCACCTCATCTATCATTCTAGAAAAACTTCAGATCTATGTAGAATGATCGCTTCCTCCTTTCTGCCTCTTCCAGATCCAGTATATAATTTCCTAGTACTACACCTGAGATACCTCCTTATGCTAGTTAAGTTGGTTGTCTTCCCTCATTAAACCTGTGGTTCTTCAAACATGATGGGACCACTGACTTTTTTAAAATGGTGATAAAATCTATGTACCCCTTCCCAGAAACATTACATAAGCAAAATATTTTTCATAACATTCCAGTGGTTTCATAGTTTTCCTGGGAAACCATCCATGGCTTCCAGCATGAGAGTTCAGCATTAAGGATTCTGGTTTTAGACCATGGGTCAGAAAACTTTTTTAAAAAAGGGTCAGATAACATACATTTTAAGCTTTTCAGGGCATTGGTCTCTGCTGTTGTAACTTGAAAGCAGCCGTAGATAATGTGTAAACAATGGGCATGGGTGCATTCCAATAAAACATTTACCAAAACAGGATGAAGTCTGGATTTGGCCCACTGGTTGTAGTTTGCCAACCCTCTTGATCATAATTTCTTTGAGGAGAAATATATTTGTTTCCACATCCTCAGCCTAACACAATGCATGGCATATAATAGACACTCGAGAGATGTTTGGTGAATGAGAACATTCAGTAATTAATTAAAAAGTAATGAAATAAGATATTTCAGAAAAGGAGAACATTGAAAAGTGAGAAACTAAGGAAATAGCCATGGGGATGGAAAGAATAAGACTTGGATACCCACTGATTATGGGACGTATGTGACAAGTATAGGAAACACTTCTGGCTGAAATGATTTGTAACTCACCAATTAATTACAGAACAAAGATGTCTAGGACTAGTGTCAAATCAGCAAATATTTGACAAGCACTTGCTTATTTCTTCTTGGATTACACTTTTAAAAGCAATACACTTTTAAATCTCACCGTTTTCCTTTCCTAAGTACTCAATATATAGAAACACATTTTATTAGCACTTGGTTCAGCCTCACTTAGCATACAAAATTTCTGGCAACAAAAACAATCCTATGGATAGAAGCATGACATATTTTTTTAAATGACCCTGTTTTAGATTGTACAGTACCCCTTCCCCTTCATTCTCACAGTGTGGTCCCTGGACAGAAACATCAGTATCACCTGGGCATTTTGTAGAAAAGTAAATTATTGGTTCCCTTCACTAGACCTACTTAACCAGGAGCCCAGCAGTCTGTGTTTTAACAAGACCTCAGGTTTTCCAAATTCCCTCTGAATCTTGACAATGACTTCTTTAGGGTTAGTTGTGAGTCCCAGCTATAGCTGGTCCCAGAGTTCTCTACCGGCCTTCCTTATTCCCAGGATCAGATATAATCATGGGCACATTGGCTCAAGAGAGGCATCATTAAAAGACTCACTGGTAAAATTTTTTTTTTATTTCCAGAAGTTTCTTCAGGACATAACTGATGCTGAGAAGTATTTTATTGGCTTAATTTACCATCGTGAAGAGAAAAGGTGGCGTTGGATCAACAACTCTGTGTTCAATGGCAAGTACGTGAACATGCCACAGTTTCCTGGGGATCTTGGTTTGCTTCAAAAGACCAAACCTGAGATTGCTGGGTTCACCCTGGAATAGCTCAAACGCTGACACTTGACTCTGTTCTGCTCTTCTCCTTTCTTCCAACCCATCTATTCCCTGAGACACATTTTAATAAATGTTTTCTTATGAAAGAGATCAAACTTTCATAAGGAGAAAGAAGAGTATTCATATAGCAAATTATTTTATTCATATCAAGATCCAAACAAATCCACCTACATAGCATTCATTTGATGTATCTTGTAGCTCTCTATAGATGCTAGTTTCCATAGCACTGAGCATTTCTGACTGATCAAAAAAGCTCAGTCTCTTGACTTCAAACAGACTAGATATGAGTCTAGACTGGATGCTAGCCATCTCTAGGAGACAGGGTCAGTTTTATGGAGGCAACCCAGTTGGTATAGAGATGAGATCTATTTCTATAACACTAGTGTTTCTGACTGATCAAAAGGGCTTCGTCTTTTAACCCACAGATCACATTTTATTACAAAGTACATACAAGTTTCCCCAGATATGCCTTCTTTATCTAAGAAAGGTTATTATAAGCAACTTGTCTATGTCTTAAAGCTATGAACTTCTGACCCCCAAGAGCTGTCTCCTGTGAATTGTTCCATGGAGATGAGGATTGGTGAGAACATCAATAATCTTCCCAGTGTTTATACAAAAATAGTGATTCAGACAGAGGTCAAGTCAGTCCCCCAGCCTGTAACTGGGCTTCCCTACAGAGAGGAGGAAATTGACATTTATTCAGTGTCTGCTAATGCCAGCACTATGCTAAACACTTTGCATATGTTGTTTCCTGAAATATTCCCCATGATGCTACATGAAAAGCTTTTATCGCTCCCCATTTCACAGACAGTTGAACTGAGGACAAGTAAAGCTTAGAAATGTGTTAAATATCATAAAGCTAGTCCCAAACACATGACATTTCTCCGAAACCAGAGCCTTTTCAGTCAGACTGAAACAGACTGAATGACAGAAAAAGAGGTGGGAGAGCCAACAAATACCTCCACCAAGTTTTTCTGAGGCCACTATGGTCTGGAAAGGGATGCACAACCTCTCTCCTTTTCCTTCCTGTCCTCTTGCTGTGAACATGCATGCTATCCTAAACAGTACTTTTGGAAGAAGAGACAGCCCATGAGATGCTTCTAACCAAATGCCAGAGTGAGTTAGTTAGTCCAAGACTGTGAATCCATACACGCTCACAGGAGAGCTGACAGGAAAGGGTGGGTTTAGAGCTGCATTTGCGGAGCTGGATTAGGAAAAGGATCTGAGCTAAAAAGGAGGCTACGCAGATGGAGACGTGTGTGGGCCCGGTAGTCTGCTGCCCTTCCAGGCAAAACTCCTGCAAGACTCTCACTCTGGAATCAGGAAGAGGCTGGGCTAAAATGATGGGCCATCACCATGCTTTGTTTTTTGTTTGTTTGTTTTGTTTTGTTTTGTTTTCTCATTTAGTGTTACCAATCAGAATCAGAATTTCAACTGTGCGACCATTGGCCTAACAAAGACATTTGATGCTGCATCATGTGACATCAGCTACCGCAGGATCTGTGAGAAGAATGCCAAATGATCACAGTTCCCTGTGACAAGAACTATACTTGCAACTCTTTTTGAATCCATACAGGTCGTCTGGCCAATGATTCTTTTACTTACCTATCTGTCTACCAGTAGCGGTCCTTGCCCATTTGGGAAACTGAGCTTCTTTCTTCTGCACTGGGGGACTGGATGCTAGCCATCTCCAGGAGACAGGATCAGTTTTACGGAAACAACTCAGTTAGTATAGAGATGAGGTCCGCTTCTGTAGTACTGAGCATTTCTGACTGATCAAAAAGGCCTAGTCTGTTGACAGGGTTTGTTTTATTTTAGCCTCAGAGTATACCATACTACTAGGGAGTAACTGTAGAGTGAGAAATTATAAACATTATTTAGGGATTACCATGGTGGAAGAGGGATAAACATAGGTCCTGTGACTTCGTCTCTGTTCTCAAGGGAACCCCATTCACATGCCCCTCCTAACTCCACAAGCGAGGGTAGCAGAGGCTCTCCTCAGTCTGAACTAAGGCTTGGCCTTGGGGAGGGCTCCTAGTGCTGAGCTTGGAGCAGCACGGACAGCAGCATTGTTTATGGGAATGGAGAGAGGTCTGGGCAGGATAGGAACCTTCTTGGAGACCCCTTTGAAGAAAACCAGGCAGCCAAGGGAGCCAAACACACTAGATTTCTGTTCTTCAGCAAAGCCCTGAAGAGACACTTAAGCTAAAAATTCCCTTGTCATATTTCTGAAACTCCATTATAACATATGTAACTCCTTTGTAACCAAAATTTAGGTAAGCAGGCTTCCTTTGCTCTGAAGGTTTTGAGTACCTGGCTGTATTTGTTGAGTATTTTTAAAATTTTGGATAGTCTCTTAGGCAACAATAATCACAATATATTCATCCCTTCAGTTCTGGAGAAAGCCTGATACCAGGCACAGCCTACTGACCCCAAGGAGCCTGGCACTGATTGGCATCACATTGATCTAGAACTGGTCCAGCCGACGAAGAGTAGGAAAAGAGAAGGGCTGCTCAGGGAAACATTGGCTGGGGGCACGGAATAAGCACATAGTAAAAAGGGAACATCAGGGTCAAATGGAAATCACCTGAGACAGGAAACAGGGAGTTCATTTGGCCACACTGGAAGAAAGGCAAGAAAGAGGAAGACAAGTCTTGGAGTACCCTGGCTGTTCTCCACACTCACAAGACATCAGCTATATACTCTGCTTGGTGCATAAGAAAGAGAAAAGAGATGCCTTTTGTGTTTTGAGTAAGAATAATTAAACCATAAGGAAGACCATGTATAAAACTGATGGAAATAATAGTCACCAAAGTACAGCACATACCATTTTGTGTCTAATAACAATGTAGCACAGTAATGACTGTACATGTCATTGTATGTATACCAAACAAGATTGTTGTAAATCATATTTTTTATTACAACACTAAGTTCTGCTTCTGCATTCCTAGGTTTCATCATTTTTGGCTCCTTAGCATGGCCACTTACAATTTTTTAACATGAGATAACACATCAGGTGTCAGAACTTGCTTGAAGGGAATTACCAGAAGTAATTTGTGTTTGAGATGGGGTGGAAATTGGAATTATATTAGTAGCCGGTGGAGATACAAGTTCTCTGACTGTGTTGGGAAAGGATAAGTGCTACCGTTGAGAAGGGAAGAAAGGCTGAGTCTAGGTGGAGAAAAATATCAACAGAACTCTAGCCAAAGGCAAGCCCCAGAACTCAGACAACAGAAAGGAAATCCTAATCCTTCTGTTTTGAGAAGAGAGAACTGTAGTTGCTTCACTTCCTATTTCATGACAGAATAACTGCAAACTTTTAAGATCAGGAAATGTAGACATCTAGTGATTTCTTTAGTAGACAGTTTAATTTCCCCCAAGATTAGGAGACACTTCTGTGCAGGTTCTAAAAGGAGCCCAATGGCCTGGGGTGGGAGTGGGGAGTAGATAGGGAATATGTGGGATTTGGTTTAAGTTCATCATTGGAAGAGTTCCTGGATCCTTGCAAGCTTAGATAAATGTGATCTTTATTAGATAGCAGTGGCATGCTTTAAAAAAAAAAAAGGCAATGAAAATTTAGCAAGCCACTGAATTTGAGTTTTCACTTTGTTTCTAATATGCTGTGTGAATCAGTACAGTTTTCTTACCCTTTCTTGGTCTTAATTTCCTTACTGATAAAATGGGGTAGTAATACCTATCTCAAAAAATTATTGCACATATTAAATAACATTCCTCTATGTATCTCAATGGCATTAGACATTAGGAGAAGCATTTTGTGGAGGATTTGAAGTTGAGATCTTCATCCAAGAAGTAGCTTTTCAATTTGCTAGAAGCTTAATGTAGGCAAGCCACTTCATTTTTCAGAACTTGTTTACTCATTTATAATATGGGAATAAAAATTTGTGCAAGTCAGAGAAGGGTGCCTTAAAAATGTTGTGGCCAAGCCACATGAGATCAAAGACACACTTTTCATGACCTCAAATGTGGGCCCAGCCTAGGTCAGCCAACCCCCATCCAACCCTTAGACTCACGAACAAATCCACCTGAGATCAGCAGAGCCACCCTAGATCAGCTGAAACTCTAAGCACAAAAATAAAAACTTATCACTGTATACCACTGGAGTTTTCTGGTTATCTCTCGTATAGCAAAATCTAACTGATGCAATCTCCATCTGGCCTTCATCCTTCTCCCTTTATTGTCCTTTCGTGTATTGTTCATCCAGCAACCAGGATGATCTTGTTAAAACATTAAACAGATTCTGTCACTCTTCTTCAGCCCCCTGTGATGGTTTTCCAATGTGCTTCTGGAAAGAGCAAACATCCTTAAAAGGCTCAGTGTGGCGATTCCTCAAGGATCTAGAACTAGAAATACCATTTGACCCAGTGATCCCATTACTGGGTATATACCCAAAGGATTATAAATCACGCTACTATAAAGACACATGCACACGTATGTTTATTGTGGCACTATTCACAATAGCAAAGACTTGGAACCAACCCAAATGTCCATCAGTGATAGACTGGATTAAGAAAATGTGGCACATATACACCATGGAATACTATGCAGCCACAAAAAAGGATGAGAGTTCATGTCCTTTGTAGGGACATGGATGAAGCTGGAAACCATCATTCTGAGCAAGCTATCGCAAAGACAGAAAACCAAACACCACATATTCTCACTCATAGGTGGGAATTGAATAATGAGAGCACTTGGACACCAGGCAGGGAACATCACACACCAGGGCCTGTCGTGGGGTGTGAGGAGAGGGGAGGGACAGCATTAGGAGAAATACCTAATATAAATGATAAGTTAGTGGGTGCAGCACACCAACATGGCACATGTATACATATGTAACAAACCTGCACATTGTGCACATGTACCCTAGGACTTAAAGTATAATTTTAAAAAAAAGAGAGGGAGGAGCCAAGATGGCCGAATAGGAACAGCTCCGGTCTACAACTCCCAGCGTGAGCGACGCAGAAGACGGTGATTTCTGCATTTCCATCTGAGGTACCGGGTTCATCTCACTAGGGAGTGCCAGACAGTGGGCGCAGGCCAGTGTGTGTGCGCACCGTGCGCGAGCCGAAGCAGGGCGAGGCATTGCCTCACCTGGGAAGCGCAAGGGGTCAGGGAGTTCCCTTTCCGAGTCAAAGAAAGGGGTGACGGACGCACCTGGAAAATCGGGTCACTCCCACCCGAATATTGCGCTTTTCAGACCGGCTTAAGAAACGGCGCACCACGAGACTATATCCCACACCTGGCTCGGAGGGTCCTACGCCCACGGAATCTCACTGATTGCTAGCACAGCAGTCTGAGATCAAACTGCAAGGCGGCAACGAGGCTGGGGGAGGGGCGCCCGCCATTGCCCAGGCTTGCTTAGGTAAACAAAGCAGCCGGGAAGCTCGAACTGGGTGGAGCCCACCACAGCTCAAGGAGGCCTGCCTGCCTCTGTAGGCTCCACCTCTGGGGGCAGGGCACAGACAAACAAAAAGACAGCAGTAACCTCTGCAGACTTAAGTGTCCCTGTCTGACAGCTTTGAAGAGAGCAGTGGTTCTCCCAGCACGCAGCTGGAGATCTGAGAACGGGCAGACTGCCTCCTCAAGTGGGTCCCTGACTCCTGACCCCCGAGCAGCCTAACTGGGAGGCACCCCCCAGCAGGGGCACACTGACACCTCACACGGCAGGGTATTCCAACAGACCTGCAGCTGAGGGTCCTGTCTGTTAGAAGGAAAACTAACAACCAGAAAGGACATCTACACCGAAAACCCATCTGTACATCACCATCATCAAAGACCAAAAGTAGATAAAACCACAAAGATGGGGAAAAAACAGAACAGAAAAACTGGAAACTCTAAAACGCAGAGCGCCTCTCCTCCTCCAAAGGAACGCAGTTCCTCACCAGCAACAGAACAAAGCTGGATGGAGAATGATTTTGACGAGCTGAGAGAAGAAGGCTTCAGACGATCAAATTACTCTGAGCTACGGGAGGACATTCAAACCAAAGGCAAAGAAGTTGAAAACTTTGAAAAAAATTTAGAAGAATGTATAACTAGAATAACCAATACAGAGAAGTGCTTAAAGGAGCTGATGGAGCTGAAAACCAAGGCTCGAGAACTACGTGAAGAATGCAGAAGCCTCAGGAGCCGATGCGATCAACTGGAAGAAAGGGTATCAGCAATGGAAGATGAAATGAATGAAATGAAGCGAGAAGGGAAGTTTAGAGAAAAAAGAATAAAAAGAAATGAGCAAAGCCTCCAAGAAATATGGGACTATGTGAAAAGACCAAATCTACGTCTGATTGGTGTACCTGAAAGTGATGTGGAGAATGGAACCAAGTTGGAAAACACTCTGCAGGATATTATCCAGGAGAACTTCCCCAATCTAGCAAGGCAGGCCAACGTTCAGATTCAGGAAATACAGAGAACGCCACAAAGATACTCCTCGAGAAGAGCAACTCCAAGACACATAATTGTCAGATTCACCAAAGTTGAAATGAAGGAAAAAATGTTAAGGGCAGCCAGAGAGAAAGGTCGGGTTACCCTCAAAGGAAAGCCCATCAGAATAACAGCGGATCTCTCGGCAGAAACCCTACAAGCCAGAAGAGAGTGGGGGCCAATATTCAACATTCTTAAAGAAAAGAATTTTCAACCCAGAATTTCATATCCAGCCAAACTAACCTTCATAAGTGAAGGAGAAATAAAATACTTTATAGACAAGCAAATGTTGAGAGATTTTGTCACCACCAGGCCTGCCCTAAAAGAGCTCCTGAAGGAAGCGCTAAACATGGAAAGGAACAACCGGTACCAGCCGCTGCAAAATCATGCCAAAATGTAAAGACCATCGAGACTAGGAAGAAACTGCATCAACTAATGAGCAAAATCACCAGCTAACATCATAATGACAGGATCAAATTCACACATAACAATATTAACTTTAAATATAAATGGACTAAATTCTGCAATTAAAAGACACAGACTGGCAAGTTGGATAAAGAGTCAAGACCCATCAGTGTGCTGTATTCAGGAAACCCATCTCACGTGCAGAGACACACATAGGCTCAAAATAAAAGGATGGAGGAAGATCTACCAAGCAAATGGAAAACAAAAAAAGGCAGGGGTTGCAATCCTAGTCTCTGATAAAACAGACTTTAAACCAACAAAGATCAAAAGAGACAAAGAAGGCCATTACATAATGGTAAAGGGATCAATTCAACAAGAGGAGCTAACTATCCTAAATATTTATGCACCCAATACAGGAGCACCCAGATTCATAAAGCAAGTCCTCAATGACCTACAAAGAGACTTAGACTCCCACACATTAATAATGGGAGACTTTAACACCCCACTGTCAACATTAGACAGATCAACGAGACAGAAAGTCAACAAGGATACCCAGGAATTGAACTCAGCTCTGCACCAAGCAGACCTAATAGACATCTACAGAACTCTCCACCCCAAATCAACAGAATATACATTTTTTTCAGCACCACACCACACCTATTCCAAAATTGACCACATAGTTGGAAGTAAAGCTCTCCTCAGCAAATGTAAAAGAACAGAAATTATAACAAACTATCTCTCAGACCACAGTGCAATCAAACTAGAACTCAGGATTAAGAATCTCACTCAAAGCCGCTCAACTACATGGAAACTGAACAACCTGCTCCTGAATGACTACTGGGTACATAACGAAATGAAGGCAGAAATAAAGATGTTCTTTGAAACCAACGAGAACAAAGACACCACATACCAGAATCTCTGGGACGCATTCAAAGCAGTGTGTAGAGGGAAATTTATAGCACTAAATGCCTACAAGAGAAAGCAGGAAAGATCCAAAATTGACACCCTAACATCACAATTAAAAGAACTAGAAAAGCAAGAGCAAACACATTCAAAAGCTAGCAGAAGGCAAGAAATAACTAAAATCAGAGCAGAACTGAAGGAAATAGAGACACAAAAAACCCTTCAAAAAATCAATGAATCCAGGAGCTGGTTTTTTGAAAGGATCAACAAAATTGATAGACCGCTAGCAAGACTAATAAAGAAAAAAAGAGAGAAGAATCAAATAGACACAATAAAAAATGATAAAGGGGATATCACCACCGATCCCACAGAAATACAAACTACCATCAGAGAATACTACAAACGCCTCTACGCAAATAAACTAGAAAATCTAGAAGAAATGGATACATTCCTCGACACATACACTCTCCCAAGACTAAACCAGGAAGAAGTTGAATCTCTGAATCGACCAATAACAGGCTCTGAAATTGTGGCAATAATCAATAGTTTACCAACCAAAAAGAGTCCAGGACCAGATGGATTCACAGCCGAATTCTACCAGAGGTACAAGGAGGAACTGGTACCATTCCTTCTGAAACTATTCCAATCAATAGAAAAAGAGGGAATCCTCCCTAACTCATTTTATGAGGCCAGCATCATTCTGATACCAAAGCCGGGCAGAGACACAACCAAAAAAGAGAATTTTAGACCAATATCCTTGATGAACATTGATGCAAAAATCCTCAATAAAATACTGGCAAACCGAATCCAGCAGCACATCAAAAAGCTTATCCACCATGATCAAGTGGGCTTCATCCCTGGGATGCAAGGCTGGTTCAATATACGCAAATCAATAAATGTAATCCAGCATATAAACAGAGCCAAAGACAAAAACCACATGATTATCTCAATAGATGCAGAAAAAGCCTTTGACAAAATTCAACAACTCTTCATGCTAAAAACTCTCAATAAATTAGGTATTGATGGGACGTATTTCAAAATAATAAGAGCTATCTATGACAAACCCACAGCCAATATCATACTGAATGGGCAAAAACTGGAAGCATTCCCTTTGAAAACCGGCACAAGACAGGGATGCCCTCTCTCACCGCTCCTATTCAACATAGTGTTGGAAGTTCTGGCCAGGGCAATCAGGCAGGAGAAGGAAATAAAGGGTATTCAATTAGGAAAAGAGGAAGTCAAATTGTCCCTGTTTGCAGATGACATGATTGTTTATCTAGAAAACCCCATCGTCTCAGCCCAAAATCTCCTTAAGCTGATAAGCAACTTCAGCAAAGTCTCAGGATACAAAATCAATGTACAAAAATCACAAGCATTCTTATACACCAACAACAGACAAACAGAGAGCCAAATCATGGGTGAACTCCCATTCACAATTGCTTCAAAGAGAATAAAATACCTAGGAATCCAACTTACAAGGGATGTGAAGGACCTCTTCAAGGAGAACTACAAACCACTGCTCAAGGAAATAAAAGAGGAGACAAACAAATGGAAGAACATTCCATGCTCATGGGTAGGAAGAATCAATATCGTGAAAATGGCCATACTGCCCAAGGTAATTTACAGATTCAATGCCATCCCCATCAAGCTACCAATGACTTTCTTCACAGAATTGGAAAAAACTACTTTAAAGTTCATATGGAACCAAAAAAGAGCCCGCATTGCCAAGTCAATCCTAAGCCAAAAGAACAAAGCTGGAGGCATCACACTACCTGACTTCAAACTATACTACAAGGCTACAGTAACCAAAACAGCATGGTACTGGTACCAAAACAGAGATATAGATCAATGGAACAGAACAGAGCCCTCAGAAATAATGCCGCATATCTACAACTATCTGATCTTTGACAAACCTGAGAAAAACAAGCAATGGGGAAAGGATTCCCTATTTAATAAATGGTGCTGGGAAAACTGGCTAGCCATATGTAGAAAGCTGAAACTGGATCCCTTCCTTACACCTTATACAAAAATCAATTCAAGATGGATTAAAGATTTAAACGTTAAACCTAAAACCATAAAAACCCTAGAAGAAAACCTAGGCATTACCATTCAGGACATAGGCGTGGGCAAGGACTTCATGTCCAAAACACCAAAAGCAATGGCAACAAAAGACAAAATTGACAAATGGGATCTAATTAAACTAAAGAGCTTCTGCACAGCAAAAGAAACTACCATCAGAGTGAACAGGCAACCTACAACATGGGAGAAAATTTTTGCAACCTACTCATCTGACAAAGGGCTAATATCCAGAATCTACAATGAACTCAAACAAATTTACAAGAAAAAAACAAACAACCCCATCAAAAAGTGGGCGAAGGACATGAACAGACACTTCTCAAAAGAAGACATTTATGCAGCCAAAAAACACATGAAGAAATGCTCATCATCACTGGCCATCAGAGAAATGCAAATCAAAACCACTATGAGATATCATCTCACACCAGTTAGAATGGCAATCATTAAAAAGTCAGGAAACAACAGGTGCTGGAGAGGATGCGGAGAAATAGGAACACTTTTACACTGTTGGTGGGACTGTAAACTAGTTCAACCATTGTGGAAGTCAGTGTGGCGATTCCTCAGGGATCTAGAACTAGAAATACCATTTGACCCAGCCATCCCATTACTGGGTATATACCCAAATGAGTATAAATCATGCTGCTATAAAGACACATGCACACGTATGTTTATTGCGGCACTATTCACAATAGCAAAGACTTGGAACCAACCCAAATGTCCAACAATGATAGACTGGATTAAGAAAATGTGGCACATATACACCATGGAATACTATGCAGCCATAAAAAATGATGAGTTCATATCCTTTGTAGGGACATGGATGAAATTGGAAACCATCATTCTCAGTAAACTATCGCAAGAACAAAAAACCAAACACCGCATATTCTCACTCATAGGTGGGAATTGAACAATGAGATCACATGGACACAGGAAGGGGAATATCACACTCTGGGGACTGTGGTGGGGTCGGGGAAGGGGGGAGGGATAGCATTGGGAGATATACCTAATGCTAGATGACACATTAGTGGGTGCAGCGCACCAGCATGGCACATGTATACATATGTAACTAACCTGCACAATGTGCACATGTACCCTAAAACTTAGAGTATAATAAAAAAAAAAAAAAGAAAAAAAAAAAAGAAAAAAATAGTAAAATAATATTATCTTTTTGCATACCTGGAAAAAAAAAAAGGCTCACAAGGCTCTACATGGTCTGCATTCCAGTTACCACTCTGACTGCCATTGCTTTCTCCTCTGCACACTCCATTTCAGCATCTTTGTTATGCCTTCCCTAGGATCTCTCACTTATTACTCACTATGCCTGGAATGTTCTTTAACAAGTTTCCGAATGTATCACCACCTTACCTCTCTCAATCCTTCCCTGAAAACCTTATTTGAAATTTCAACACTCCTGCAAGAGATATTCCCTTTCATTCCTGTTTCACTTTTCTTCACAATACTTCTTCATGATCTAATATACTATTTTCAAAAGCTTTATTGAAATATAAATCACATTCCATAAAGTTGACTCATTGAAAATGTATAGTTCAATGATTTTTGGTATATTCATAGATATTTACAACCATCATTTCAAAAAGAAAGCCTGTACCCCATAGCTATCACTACCCTATGTCTGCATTCCCCTCAGCCCTAAGCAACCACTAGTCTATTTTCTAGACTATATAGATAGTCTATCTCTGACATTTAATTTTTCAAAGTTTAATTGTGAAATCATCATATCTTAAGAAAGGCAGATGATAGATAGATAGCTAGATAGCAAGACATGTCTTAAAAATAATAGACTGAGTTTCAAGTAACAACTAAGCATACTAAAAACCGTAGCTGTAACTTAAAAGTATTTTGTTGCATGCAAATCATTTGATAATGGCAATAATTATGATGCAGTTCAAAGATGAGCAAGTTCTTTTCAGATTATTCTAGAATCCATACTAAGTGCTTTACCATGTAAAAGTCCTCAGAGCAAGGCTAATTCCTGAATAGTTGACAGCAGCGTTTCACCCCATCCCGAAGGGCCTCTATGACTTTATCATTCCGGAGGGTGAAGATGAAAGGATTGAGGAAAGGAGTTACTACTGAAACCATCAGGGAAACTACCCAATTGTAATCAGCTGCCTGCGTTTGCTTGGGTTTCACGTAGAGAAACAAGCAGCTGCCGTAGCCAATCACAACACAGGTGAAGTGGGAGGCACAAGTGGAGAAGGATTTCCTCCGGCCAGAGGATGACGGGATCTTGAGAATGGTGGAGATGATGTAGGCGTTGGAGACAATTGTAGGGATCAAAGAACCAAAGAGAACAAAAACAGCCATTAAGAAGAGGATAAACTCCGTGAAAAGAGTATTATTGCAGGATAGTTTGAGCAATTGCCCTCGGTCACAAAAAAAATTGTTCACCACATTTGATTTGCAGTAAGTAAGCTGAAACATGACATAGACCGGCCAGATTTGAAAAAGAAACCCAAACACCCATGACACAAGAACCACAAAGTTGCAGGTGTGTCTGTTCATAATGATGTTGTACCTCAGAGGGTTACAGACAGCCACATAACGGTCCACAGCCATTGCTCCAAGTAATGCGAACTCTGTTGTCCCCACAGCAAGGTACAAGAAGAGCTGGACAACACAGGCAGACAAATATATTGTCTGCATCCCAGGGAGCAGCAATCCCCAAAGCATCACGGGGACGATTATGGTTGTGACCAGGATCTCCAGGGCAGAGAGGTGGCCGAGGAAGAAATACATGGGGGACTGCAGACGTTTATCCACACAGACAATCATGATGATGACTGTGTTTCCCATTAATGTCACCAAGTAGAAAAAGAAGAATATAGCAAAAAGGATATGATGTAGTTCTTCAGAGCCAGGGAAGCCAAGGAGATAAAATTCAGTGGCACTAGAGTAATTCATCAACATTTAGTTCTAAGCCCTTGTTCCTTGTGAAATCTAGAGAGCAAAAGAGAGAGAACAACCGCTTATCCTAAAAAGATTAAGGACATTTCAGGTTGAAAAAACATTCCTCTCCTGCTCCTCAACTCCATAACCTGACTCTACTATTTTCTACACGATGTTGATGTCAAATACTTCATGAAGAATATATATCTTTTGAAGATAAATGTATATGTTCAAGAAGATGAAATCCAGTTATGAATACCAAATGGTAAACATGAAAACCCACCCACCCTAGTATGCACTCTTTCTCAATACACTGGACATCTGCCTCCAACTCTGCTCTCACCGGCCACCCTGTCTGCTTCCATGATCACAATGTGTTCACTTACACCAGCACCTCTATCATCTTGGGTGGAACTAAATTGCCTTCTCTGCCTATTATGTCTCCATCTTGCAAATCCTAATGCATCTAAACAATTATAAGAAAGTATTCCTGGCTGGGTGCGGTGGCTCACGCTTGTAATCCCAATACTTTGTGAGGCCAAGGCAGGCGGATCACCAGGTCAGGAGTTTGAGACCAGCTTGACCAACATGGTGAAACCTCGTCTCTACTAAAAATACAAAAATTAGCTGGGCATGTTGGTGCGCGCCTGTAATCCCAGCTACTCAGGAGGCTGAGGCAGGAGAATTGCTTGAGCTGAGATCGCACCACTGCACTCCAGCCTGGGCAACAGAGTGAGACTCCGTCTCAAAAAATAAATAAATAAAGTATTCCTAGCCAATCTCACACAGGCATGGTTACTTTTTTCTTCTGTATCCTCTAAACACAGGCTCCATTTGCATTATGTTCATTTAAAAGTTTTCACTTCAGTTATATTTACCATTTTGGGGGGTGATGTCGGGAAGTGAGGTCTATCCAGGACATTGTCACAAGGTAAGAGCCATTTTAAGACAAAGTATTGAGTTTTTCCCTGACCTCTGGGATACCAGCTCCCTTGAGTGGATTACCCACTTCTTCCTCTTTTATTTTTATAATGAAAGCCATCCCCACCTCTTATCTAAGTGACTGTGTCTCCCCCACGCAGACAGAGTCTGATCAGCTCCCAGTTAACAATTTCTAGCTCTGAGATTTTGATTCCTCTTGTTATGAGATGACAAAGAGGAGGAGGAGAAGTCCAGGAGTGAAGAGGCTGGAACTTTAATTCTCAACTCCCAACACAGCCTCCACCCTAGGGCCAGGAGACAAGAAAACAGCTGTGGTGTGGAGGTAACTTATCCTCTGCATCTCCCAGTTCTCAACACCCCAGTTTCAGCAGAGAGACAAGACCTCCCAATGGGAAGTCTGTGCCTGCATCCAACTTGCCATGGTCTCAGTCTGTTAGAGCAGCTTGGAAGGTCCACAGAGCAGATCTGCTCCTCCGTGACCACCTGTTTTCTCCAGAGTCCTGGGGCAACAAAAAGTGTCAGAAGACACCAAAATGGATCACTCTGAACTCCTTAGAATGTCTGGACTCCTTCCCTTACCACATTCAGGTATTTGCTCAAATGTTTCCTCTTTATGGGCCCCTTCCCACTCAGCTTCTCTAAAACAATACAGGCACACCTTCCTCTCAAACCTGTGTTAGGCTACATTTTTCATACTAATTATCCTCACCAATATCTCCAGTCACATTATACTATTACTTGTTTATTAATTTATCATCAAAATCCAATATTTAATTAAATACTTCATAGGTAGGTCATTTCTCTTTCTCGTTCACTTCATCTCTCTTGTATTACCAGTGCCAAGAACAGAGTCTGACACTAGAACAGAGTATGCACTCTGTATTTTAAATGAATATATCAATGAATAGATTAAAGAAAAAAAATCAGTGAATGAACAAGGACTATACAGCCTGACTCTTCTCTCCATTCATTCTTCTCTGAAGCAACATAAAGTCAACCTGCAATCTCTCTCCCTGGAGCTCCCCTACTATGTGGCAGGCAGATATATGGAAGGAATGGGGAGAAATGAGAGAGCAGGGACTTGGGTAGTGGCAGAGCATTGTGCCTCTCGCCAGCATAGGGCAGAGAAGAAATGATTCTGCCCTCTGCTCTGGAGACAGGCTTTGCTGTAGAGCTCATCCTCTATGCAACTCCCACTGTCCAGTCTTCAGGCTCTAGGTATCCTTGTTCTAGGAGGCAGCCAAGCCCCGGCCCTCCCATCATGATGCTCTCCTACTGTCTACTTCACAGAAAGGAACCCCCTCTGGAAGACACTCACCTCCGGAGAAGCAGCCTGGACTGGAAAGTTCTACTGCTCCCCAGGGACCAGCCCAGGCTATCTCTCGCTCACCTAGTGCTGAGCTATGCTCAGGAGACAGGAACAGCTGCTTCTGTCTCCATTCAGAGTGAAGGATACTGTCCTCATACAGAAGCTTATGCAAAAGTCCAGAAATACGAGTGCTGAGGAGAGAGTCCAACTGTCTCTATCTCTCTCCTTCTCTTTGCTTCCTTCTCTCACTCCCTTATCTGTCTCCAAGGATGAGTATTCACTGAGGAACAATTTGTACAAGTTCAGAGACACACCAGGGATGCTGTCAAGGAAAAGCTGCCAAAAACATTCACCCTTCCCTCCTGAGGTTAATCAAGTTTTAGAACACCGAAAAGTTGTCTAATGGGCAAACTTGAAATCTCCCTCATGAGGAACCTCTCAACACTCCAGGTTGCCTTCCTTCAGGCTCTGAGTTATCACCATGCAACCCAGGCTGTGAATGGTTAGCCCCCTGAACTGCTCCATGCCTCTCCCTGATTCCACGTGGCCCTGTGGAGCCTAAGCTCCCCGCTCGCCATGATGGCCCCACTAGTGACTCCTAGGCACAGAGCAAAATTCTAGAGGCCACCAAATGGAATTTTATCAAAAATTTTCTCTTCATTTCCAAGTATTATGAAGCACGTGTTTCCAGATGATCTCTGCACTCCTATCAGAAATCCTCTGCCCATAGTTATGGGAACCCTGCTAAGTGAGTAATAGACAGGGTCTGCCACCTGCTTCAACCTCATGGACTGTTCATGCTACACCCATTCCACTGTTTGCAACATGCAGACATTCCAACTGTGGCTTCTCAGTCATGGGAACTGTGCTGACAGCTGCCCAGGTGGCTGTGCTGAGTCATGTTATGACAGGTGGAGAACTGTGAAGGAAGGGTGCTGAGAAATGAGGAAGTCCGAGGAGGATGGAACCTTTGTCTGAGAAAGCAAATTACAGATCCAAATTCCCTAAGTCAAGGCATGGTTCGGTTTCTCCAGACATGTTTCCAGGGTTATTAACTATACAGTGGCAGAGTAGAAAATGGAGCAGTAGGAAGGAATGTAAAATAATAAAAACCCCTGGGAAAACATTGGTTTCTTATTAACTTAAATATACATCTACTCTGTGACCTACCAATTCTATTTCTAGGCAGTTGCCTAATACAAATGAAAACATGTCCTCACAAATATTTCTGTTATCATGTTCATTGTATATTTATTATAGCTACTAATGACAGAAAATAAATGCCCATCAACAAGATAATTTGATATTCATATGAGGAAATACTATTCAGCAATGATTCACTACTTGCTAATTCAGTGATCCCAGCGACTTTATAAGACATAACTAACCCCAGTAATGAGAGTCAACTACGTATTTATATAAGGGAATAATGGTCAGGAAAAAAGTAACAAAGTACTGATGTATACAACATAAACAAATTTCAGATACATTACACTGCATAAAATAATCTGACACCAAAATATGCTTAATGTATGGTCCTAATGTAACATGCTCTAGAATGGACAAAATCCATAAAAGAAATCCCAGGCAATTCTTGGAAGGAAATTGACTGGGAAGGATTATGAGATAATTCTTGGCTATACTATCCCTTTTTAAATTGCTGCAATATATTTGGTCCACTTTTCATTTAGGCCTCTATGTTAATGAGAGATATTGGTCTGTGGTTTTCCTTTCTTGTAAGGTCCTTGTCAGGTTTGAGCTATCATAAATGAATGGAAAAATAAGCCCTCTTTTCCTATTTTATGGGAAAAAAACATTTGCATTATTTCCTCCTAAATCGTTTGGCAAAGTTCATCATTGAGAACATTTAGGCCAGGAGTTTTATTTGTGAGAAAGTTTTTAATTACGGGTTCCATGTATTTAATAGCTATGTGACTATTCAGAATTTCTACTTCAGTTTGTGTCCATTTTGAAGAATTGTGTTCAAGAGAATTGCTTAGTTCATCTAAATTGTTGGGTTTATTGGCATAAAGTTGCTCATACTCATTTTCATGCTTTCAAGGTTCACTGTCTCTGTTATGATATCCCTTGTTCCCATTTCTGATATTGTTACTTTGTGTGCTTTTGCTTCCTTATTATTCTTGCTAGGGATTTATCCATTTTATTAATTTTTTCAGAGACTTTACTTTGGCTTTGTTGATTTTTTTTCTATTTCTTTTCTGGTTTATATTTTAAGTTCACAAGTCATTTTTTCCTGTGTATGTCTTCAAGTGGCATTCTTTTCATAAGAATATCAGTCATATGCTTAGGAGCCCACCCTACTCCATTATGACCTCATACTACCTAATAACACCTGCAACAACCTTATTTCCAAATAAGTTCACATTCTAAGGTACTGTGGGTTAAGTCTACAAGGGATGAATTTAGAGGCACAAAAATCCGACCATAATGGACATCTTGATTGCCTCTGACTTGGGACGATTATGAATAGAGCTGCTATAAATATTCACGTAGTAGTTTTTGTGTGGAGATTAATTTTCAACTCATTTGGGTATATATCAAGGAGAACTATTACTGGATTGTGTGCTAAAATTTGTAAGAAAGTACCAAACTTTTGGAAGTACCAAACTGTCTTCCAACGTGGCTGTACCATGTCGCATTCCCACCAGCAATGACTGAGAGTTCCTGTTGGTCCACATCCTCACCAGCATCTGGTGTTTTGGATTTTAGCCACTTACTAGGTGTGCAGTGGTGTCTTGTTGTTATTTTATTTTATTTTATTTTATTTTATTTTATTTTATTTTTATTTTATCTTATTTTATTTTATTTTATTTTATTTTATTTTATTTTATTTTATTTTATTTTATTTTATTTTAGATGGCGTCTCACCCTGTTACCCAGGCTGTAGTGCAGTGGCATTATCTCGGCTCCCTGCAACCTCCACCTCCACCCCCAGGATTCTAGCGATTCTCCTGCCTCAGGCTACCTAGTAGCTGGGATTACAGGCACCCACCACCATGCCAGGGTGTGTGTGTGTGTGTGTGTGTGTGTGTGTGTGTGTGTGTGTGTGTGTGTGTGTATGTTTTTAGTAGAGGTGGGGTTTTGCCATGTTGGCTAGGCTGGTCTCGAACTCCTGACCTCAGGTGATCAACCTGCCTTGGCTTCCCAAAGTGCTAGGATTATGGGCATGAGCCACCATGCCTGGCCTCATTGTTGTTTTAATTTCCAATTCCCTGATGATATATGATGTGGAACATCTTTTCACATGCTTATTTGTCATCTATACATGTTCTTTAGTGATCTATTCAGATATTTCCCCATTTTTGTAACCAAGTAGTTTCTTGTTGAGTTTTGAGGTTTTTGTATATTTGTGATACATGTTCTGTAATGTGTATGTGTTTTGCAAGTATTTTCTTCCAAACTGTGTCTCTTCTTCTCATTCTCTTAAGTCTTTCTTTCACATATTGTGCTTTTGGTATTGTAGCTAAAAAGTCACTACAAAAGCCAAGGTCACCTAGGTTTTTCTATGTTTTGTTTTAGAGTTGTAAAGCTTTACATTTCACATTTAGGTTTATGATCCAAGTAGAGTTAATTTTTTGCCAAAGGTATAAAGTCTGTGTCTAAATTTTGTTTGTCTGTTTGGTTTGGATTTCCAGTCATTCCAGCAACATTTGTCGAAAAGATTATCCTTTCTCATTGGATTGCCTTTCTTCTTTTATTAAAGATTCGTTGACTATATTTGTGTGGGTCTATTTCTGGGCTCTCTGTTATGCTTCATTGATCTAATTCTCTATTCTTTTGCCCAAAACATACTGTCTTGCTTACGGTAGATTTTTAAATTTTTAACAGCTTTATTGAGGAATGGTTGATATAGAGAAAACTGCACACATTTAAAGTAAACAATTTGATGAACTTGGAAATAAGTGTACATCTATGAACCCATCACCACAATTAAGGTAATAAACCTATTCATCACTTTTTTTTTTTTTCTGAGATGGAGTCTCTCTTTGTCACCTAGGCTGGAGTGCAGTGGCATGATCTCCACTCACTGCAACCTCTGCCTCCCAGGTTCAAGTGATTCTCGTGCCTCAGCCTCTGGAATAGCTGGGATTATAGGCGCACGCCACCATGCCTGGCTAATTTTTGTATTTTTAGTAGAGATAGGGTTGGCCAGGCTGGTCTTGAACTCTTGGCCTCAAGTGATCCGCCTGCCTCGACCTCCCAAAGTGCTGGGATTACAGGCGTGAGCCACTGAACCCGGCCCTATTAATCATTTTTAAGGAGTTATTCCTGCCCCTTTATTGTTACTGTTGTTGTTGTTGTTTATTGCGGTAAGAAGACTTACCATGAAATCTACCCCTCTTAACAAATTTTTAAGTGCACAATACAGTATTGTTAACTATAGGCACAATGTTATACATCAGATCTCTAGAAGCTACTCTCTTGTATTATTAAAACTTTATACCCATTGAACAGCAACTCCCCATTTTTCCCTGGAAAAACCATTCTATTTTCTGCTCTTATGAGTTGGACTATTTTAGGTACCTTACATTTGTGGGATATTGTCCTTCTGTTTATTTCACTTAGCATGTCCTCTAGGTTCATCCTTGTTGTCAAATATGGCAAGATATCCCTCTTTTTAAGGCAGTTTCAGCTTTCAGCTCTTGCATTTAAGTTTTTAATTCATTTTGAGTTGATTTGAAGGGAGCTGAAATGTGGCATAGACTGACCAGATTTCAGAAAGGAACCCAATCAATAATACAATTACCAGCCAGATGCAGTGTGTCTGCTCATAATGATGTTTTACTTCAAAGAGTTACAGAGAGCCACATAATGGTTCACAGTCATCACTCCCAGTAATGCAAATTTTGTGTACCCCCAAAAAAGTTCATATAGAGTTGGACAGCACATGTCATTAAAGGTATTGTTTGAATCATGGAAAGTAACAACCCCTGAGCATCAAGGGAACAGCAGTATATGTGATAAGGATTTCCATGACAGAGAGGTCACCATAGAATAAATATAGGAGGAACAGCAGGCATTTCTCAACACATACTATGATGATTACATAATTTCTTATTACAATCACTGACAAAGGAAGAAGGTAACAAATGGCATACTTACTGGGAGCCAGGGAAGCCTAAGAGACAAAATTCAGTAACACCACTGTGACTCCCACATATTTAGTCCTGAGGATTTGCTCCTTGTGAAATGGAAAGAGCCAAAAAAAAAAAAAAATGAGACTGCTTCTGATCACAAAAGGACTAAAGACATTTCCAGATTGAGAAAATATTCCCCTCCGGCTTCTAGGCTCCACACCATGACTCTATACAAGGTTGATGTTAAATGTTTTATGAAGAATAGATAGGTAGGTAGAATGGTAGATAAATGTATATGTCCAAGAAGATAAGCACTGGTCACCAACACTGCACCACAGGCATGAAAACCCATCCACCCCAGCACGCACTGTTGTCTCTCAATTCACTGGACATCTCAGCTCCAACTCTGCTCTGACCAGATACCCTAAGTACTTCCTTGATCACAACCTGCTCATTTATGTCTTCCATCCTGAATGGAACTAAACTGTCTTCTCTACCTATTATGTCCGTGTCATACAAAAACCTACTGCATCTCAACAGTTATACAAAAGTATTTTTAGCAAATCCTACTTAGATGTGGTTACTTCTTTCCTTTGTTTCCTCTGAGTGTGAGTGATATTGTTTGGCTTTGTCCCCACCCAAAAATCTCATCTTGAATTGAAATCCCCATAATCCCCATGTATCAAGGGCAGGACTAGGTGCAGGTAATTGGATCATGAGGGCAGGTTTCTCCCATGCTGTTCTCATGATAGTGAGTGAGTCTTATGACATCTCATGGTTTTAAAAGCATCTGGCATTCCCTCTGCTTGCACTCACTCTGTCCTGCCACCCTGTGAAGAAGGTCCTTGCTTCTCCTTTGCCTTCCACCATGATTGTAAGTTTCCTGAGACCCCCCCCCGCCCCAGCAATGCAGAACCCTGAGTTGATTAAACCTCTTCCCTTAATAAATTACCAAGTCTTGGGTATTTCTTCATAGCAGTGTAAGAACAGACTAATACAGTAGGCTACATTTGCATTCTGCTTGTTCAAGTTTTCACTTCAGTTATCTTTATAATCATTTCTTTGTATTGGTAGAACTGGCTGACTTGGAGGTAGGGTCTAACCTGCCCATTGTCAGAAAGTAAGAGCAATTTTGTGACACAGTATTGAGTCTTTCCCTGACTTCTGGTGTGCTGGCTTGCGGGAGTAGATTGCCCACTTCTTTCTTTCTGTTTTATGATGAAAGTTATACCCCACCTTTTAACTAAGTGAATGTGTCTCCTTCAAGCAGGCAGAGTATGGCCAGCTCCAAATTAGCAACCTCTGGCTCTGAGAGTTATTCCTCTTGTCATCAGATGATACAGAGGAGGAGAAATCCAGAAGGAGTGAAAAGGCTGGAATTTTAATTCCCAACTCCCAATGTGACCTCCACCCTGGGTCCAGGAGACAAGAAAACAGCTATGGTTTAGAGGCAATATATCCTCTACCTTATTCTAAAATTATATTAAACTTTTCCTTGTTTATTCATTTGAAATCTGAATCTTACATTAGAATAAAATACCTTGAGAAAAGATCGCCTCTTTTTTTTTTTATTGTCACATCTTCAGTTCCAAGAACAGAATAAGACACTGAGCCAGTGAGTACACTTTAAATATTTATGCGATGAATAAATAAATGAATGAATAAACAGAGTAGTCATCCTGACCAGATTCTCTTTCCTGTTGTAAGATGTGACTCTCCATTCACTCTTCACTAAAGTATTGCCCAGTCAAAAAGATAAGTCTCTCTTTGTGGAGCTCCCCTACAATATGGCAAGCAGATATGAAGAAGAAATAGGGCTAAAAGAGAGGGCAGAGACTTAGGTAGTGGCAGAGCACTGTGCCTCTCTTCATCATGGGGCAGAGAAGAGATGAATCTGCCCTCTGCCCTGGAGGGAGGATTTGATTCAGAGCTCATCCTCTATGCAACTCCCCTGTCTACTCTTCAGGCTCTAGGTATCCTTGTTCTAGAAGGCAGCCAAGCCTCAGCCCTCCTATCATGATGGTCTCCTACTCTCTACTTCACAGAGAGGAACCTCTAGAAGACACTCACCTCCAGAGAAGGGGAAAGGCTTGGAAAGTTCTACTGCTCCCCAGGGACCAGCCCAAGCTACCTTCTGCCTGGCTAGTGCTGAGCAGTCTCCATGAGCTACAACAAGATGCTGCTGTCTTTACTCTTAGTGATAGTGAAAACTGTCCCCACACTGCCCCTAGGAAAAGGTCCAGTAATAATGCTGTGGAAAGCCCAATTGTCTCCTTCTTTCTTTTTCTCTCCTTCTTTACCTCCCGAATCTGTCCCCTGGAGAATTTATTCACTAACGGAATGTTTCCAGGTTCAAAGCAATCCCAGCAACACAGTGAAGAGAAAGCCAGAGAAACTTTTCACCTTTCCTTCCCAAGGCTAATCACATTTTAGAACATGAAAAAGTTGGTATAATGGGAAAATCTGAAATCTCCCAGACAAAAGTTTCTCAACACCCAGGTTGCCCTCCTCCCAGGCCTTAAGTCTTGGATGTTACTAAGCACTCCAGGCTGTGAATAGCCAATACCTTGCTCTCCTCTATGCCCCTCCCTGACTCCATTTAGCCCTACAGAGCCTAAGCAGCCCCAAGCAGAGGACATGACAAATGGCTCCAAGACACATCAAAAACTAAGGGGCAATCAAATAGCCTTTGCCAAAAATGTTATCCTTATCTCCAAGACCTTATAGATCCCATCTTCTCCAGATGATCTCTGAACTCCTGCCACTAGATACCCTCTGCCAATAGTTAAGGGAACCCTGCTTAGAGAGAAACAAAGAGAGGATCTGCCACACAAACCAACCTCACAGTCAACCAATGCCACAGCCCATTCCAGTCTCTCCAGCATGCATACATTCCAACTGTGGCTGTTCAACCATTTCTCCTCCAGGTCTTCATATGCTAGCAGGGTTCCTCCCTGAGCTACTTGAAGGGTAGGCGTAAAGGCTGAAGAGCCGACATTTGAGAAACGCAAATTAAAAACTACTATATAAAAGCAAAGATGGCTTGCAAACTCAGTAAAATAGCAAAATAACATTTAAAATATTTATGTTTACATTTTAAAAATGACTTTCATTTATCATAAAAATAGCACAGTTCATGTGAAAAGTAAAATTTTGTGAAGGAATATAAAACAAAAATGCAAATGCCTCTCTCACCAATGCCTGATCTTGCTGATCCATCTGCTAGAGCTAAACACTACTATTAGTTTCTAGTACATCCATACAGAAATTGTCTATGCATATACATGAGTATCTTTTATGGTCTTTTAAAAACTTGATATTTTAGTAAAATATTGGCCTGCAACTTTCTTTTTGTTATATGTGTATATGTGTGTGTTTATTAAGCCTTCCCATATTAGCATTTATATATCCCTCATATTTTAAATGATTACTAAATATTCACCTTATGAAAAAACTATCATTTACTTAATGAGTACCCTGCTAACAAATATTTTGTGTTTTCAATTTTTTACCAGCATAATGCTGCAATAAATACCTTCACATGTAAGCCCATACATTTTTACACTTGTATCTTGCTAAATTATTATACTAAATTTTACTAGCTGTTATCAAATCACCTTCCAAAAAGTTGTACCAATCAATTTATGATCTCTTGAAATAAGATTATGTTGAGCTTACCCACACAGCCTCCTGCAAGAAGTGGGTGGGAAGTTTTTATTTCCCAGTGTTAACCCAGTGCAGGTTCAGAAATGACACTAATGGATGAGGAGTCAGTAATCACATTGTGAGGTAAGGACACAACCCAGCGGTCCTCATCCCCATGGGAACAATGCTGACAGCTGCCCAGGGAGTCTTGGCCTTGGAGCAGCAGTGTTGGTTGTGTAATGACTGCTGGAGTAAGGAAGGCCCCTGGTGAATGAGGAAATCCAAGAAGGATGGAACCTTTCTCTGAGAACCCTTACTGCAGAAACAACTTACCTCATTCAGGGCATGGTTCCATTTCTTTAGATATCCTCCATGTTTTGCTTAATGCCACATTGGCCCAGTAAAGATTTCAGAAGTAGAGGGGAGTATAACACAGTAAAACTCATTTGAAAAGAGTTTTGTCAGTTTCTTGAAAGTATACACCTCCCTATAATGGAAAAATTCCACTCCCAAGTATTTTACTGAGAGAAATGAAAACACATGTCCTCATAAAGACTTGTATTAGAAGGTTCATAGCAGTTTAATTCATTGTAGCCAATTATGACACAACACGAATACCCATCAACAAGAGAATGGTAGGCTGATCCTCATTATTCATGGCTCTGTATTTGTGAATTCACCTACTCAATAAATTTATTTGTAACTGTAAAATCATTATTTGTAGTTCTTCTAGGGCTATTGGCTGACATGTACAAGTATGCACAGACCTGTGAAAGTTTTAAGTCACCCGTTACACTCGTTTCCAGCCGAGACAGAATAAGACAACACTCTGCCTTCTTTTTGTTCTCATCCTGTAAGCAAGTGTCCTCCTGATGGTCTTCAGTGCCACATTTTTTTTTTTGCATTTTTGTACTTTTTGCTGGTGATTTTGCTTTTTGAAATGGCTCCTAAGCATAATGCCAAAGTTCTGTCTAGTGTTCCTAAATTCAAGAAGGCTGTGATGTGCCTTACAGAGAAAATGCATGTGTTAAATATGCTTCATTCTGGTGTAAGGTATAGTGCTGTGAGCCATGAGCTCAGTGTTAATGAATCAACAATATATATTAAATAAGGTGTCTTTAAGAGGAAACATACATTTTGAAAAGGTTATGTATTGATCAGTTGGCAAAAATATTGTAACAAGAGGCTCGCAGTAACCTATCCCTGTAATTCCCTAGGAGCAATGATTCAGTATTCATTAATTTAGTATTCCCAGAGACTATGGATCATAACTACCACAAATAATGAGAACCAACTATATATTCATGAGAAAATAATATTTAGCAATGAAAAATAACAAACTGTACACACAAGATGGACAAATCTCATATACATGACACTGAATGAGAGAAGCCAGACACCAAAGAATGCATACTATGACTCATCACATAATGCTCTAGAATAGGCAAAAAGCATCATAATCCACGTTTAAAGAAATCCCCACAGTGATTGCTTTGTTCCTGGGGAAAATTGACTTGGAAAGATTACGGGGAAATTGTGGAACATATTCTCCCTCGTATATACTGCCGAATTCTATTTGCTAACTTTTTATTCAGGATGTTTATGGTTATGAGAGATACTGGCCTAGAGTTTTCCTTTCTTGTAAGGTCTTTGTCAGATTTTGGTATCAAGGTAATTTTGGTTATCATCAAACAAACTGGGATGTCTTTTTTTATTTTATGGAAAAATTAATATTATTTATTTCTACATTGCTAAGAAGTGTTCATCAGTGAGAACATCCAGGCCAGTAATTGCCTTTGTAGAAAAGCTTTTATTTATTTATTTATTTACTTACTTACTTACTTACTTATTTATTTTATTTTTTTTAAACAATTCCCAAGTGCTTGGAAGTGTAGAGAAGCTTTTAATTACAGGCTGCGGTAGGCTGAATAATGCTTCCCACCAAATGATATCCATATCCTAATCCTCAGAAACTGAATATATGGCACTCAAAAGGCATTTTTACCTTGTATGGCAAAAAAGGGACTTTGAAAATATTATTAAATTAAGGCTTTTGATATGGGGAGATTATCCTGAAATCTGACGACAGTCTCTCTATATCTGGTAGTATTTCTTGCCTTAAAGTCTACTCTTTCTAATGTTGCCTAACACCTCCAGGTTTCTTAAGCTTACTGTTTGAATAACTTTTTTCATCACTGTAATTTCAATCTGTCTTTAATTTAAAGTATATCACATGTAGACATCATAGAATTGGTGTGACAATCTCTGACTTTTATTTGTAGTGTTTAGTCTATTTACATAGAATATTAACTATTGATTTTTTTATTTAGGTGTACCATTTTCCTGTCTCTTTAAATTTGTCCCATCTATAGTTTTTCTTCTATTTCCCTTTCCTATCACCTTCTAGATAAACTAAATACTTTTAAGTTTTTATTTTAATTCCTTTATTGACACATTAGACATACCTTTTTGGATTATTATAGTGTTTGTTATTGAGATTATACTATGCACCCTTAAATTTCACAGTCTATTAAGAGTTGATACTGCAACACTTCACATAAAATGTAAGAGCCTTGGAAAAGTACACTTACATTTGTGCTCCTATCCACTACACCATCATCACATAAATTAAATCTATAGATGCTATAACCCCCAGAATATGGGATTATAGTATTTTCTTTAAAGATTCATATGTCTCTTAAAAGAATTATGAGAAGAAAAAATATTTTTTACTTCTGGTGTGTGAGAATCTACATATATATCTGTAAGGTCTGCTTTACTGACTGTGTTAAATCCTTTTATTCTTACTTTTTGCCCAGTTGTCCTAAGGACTGAGAATAGTATTAAAGTCTCTCAATGTTTTGTGTGTATTTTATTTCTCCTTTCACCTCATGTAGTCTCTATTTTATGAAGGTAATTGTTATATTACATGATGCACAGACATTCGTAAATGTATGACCTTACCAGAATTGGGCATTTAGAATTAAAAATCTTTTCACATTTATCATTTTTGTACTGAAATCTTCCTCATTTGATATTAAAATATGGTTGTGTTTCCCAACAGTTCTTTCGAAAAATATTTTCTCAGTCATCCTTTGTCTCCCTGTTTCCTAATTAAAGGAAATAATTAGGAAAATAAATTGCTCTCTTGCTTATTGGTTCTATTAACAAATCTGATACTGGCATGATTTACATTTCTTGTATGTGGTATTTTATATTCCTGGAATTTTTTCTTTACCTTCAAAGTCTAATAGTTTTGTCACAGGTGTATCTGTTCCAGGTCACTTTCCCAGATACACAGTGGATCCTTTCATTATGTATATTCAAAACTATCCTCATTTCAAGACAGTTATCGAACATAGTGTTAAATATTAGATTTTTTCATTGTATTGCTGTTGTTCTTTATGAATTCCAAATGTATGTAATGGATCTACTTAGCCTACCTTATCTCTTTAATCTTGCCTATTTTTCTCTAATATTTTATACCCCTTTAATTGTTTCAATTTCATAATTCAGCTATTTCTATTTCTTTGCTCAATAGATTTTATTTTACTTTCAGTCTAATGTACTCTTAGGAACTTGTAATTTTTTTATTTCTTAGATGCCTTTGTTTCTTTTCAAAATTTATTTAACTCTTATTTTATATATTACTCCTTTTAATCCATTACTCTTTGTTGTTATATTGGTAAATAAATAAGGTAGAGATAGTGGCAGATTATATTACTTAGATACATGCCACTCCTGAGAATTTCAAGAATGCCAAGAAATAATAAAGATTTATGCAATAGAAAATAATTAAGATAGATACTACCTTATTAATCAGCCTTAGATGGAGAATAAATATCTATTAATCAACTTGGCAAGACTAAATTTTCTGATGTAAATGTCGTTCTTGTATGTTGTTGTAAATGTTTCTCAAGAGAGTCAGTGACCTCCCCTCTCTGGTTCTTCTTTCAGCTACTCACCTATTTTGATCTTTTATCTGTGATTAGCCACAATACATTCTCCTTACCTCTTCCCCTATATTCAGATGGACATTCAGTTCTAGTGCTTCAAATCTTCCTTAATCCTCACTTAATAGAGATATTCTCGAGCATTCCCCAAGCTCATTTATTTAAAAATCAATAGTGAAAATAAAATTGGGTGAAAATGATTTTTATTTCGAGTATAATAAAATTGTACTATAATAAAAGAATGTGAACACCCATGACATACACCTTAAACTTTGTACACACATATATAGACACACACACAAACTTTGTGTATACATATACACACATTTATATATGAGGAATACATTTATATATGTGTGTGTGTCTGTGTGTGTCTGTGTGTGTGTATATATATATATATATATATCCTCTAGGCATGCTGACCTCTGTCATAGATACATTTCAGAGAACATTTCTGTGTGATTTTGATCTATTTTAGATACCTGTCATCACTTTGCAGAAAGTCTATCCAAAACTTGAACTTTTTAAGTTGATTTTCCATAAATGTAAAATATAATTTGGGGCTATATCCCTCTCCATATGCTAGTGACTTAGATAAGAATTTTCTCTCCCTTCTACCTTCACCTTATTTCAAACTTATATTCTTTCATCAAGACCCATTCAATTGCCACCTACTTGAGGATGTTTCCTTGACTGTCTCAAATAGAGTTAGAAACTTTTGCTCTTGTATACCCAATGCGATAGTTAATGTTATGTGTCAACTCAAGTAGGCCATAATGGAGTAAACATTATTTCTGGATGTGTCTATGAGGGCCTTTCCAAATGAGATTAGTAGTTGAATTGGTGGACTCAGTAGACTGACCTCCCTAATGTGGATAAGCATCATCCAATCCACTGAGAATAGAGCAAAAGGTGGAGGAAGGAGAAATTCACCTCTTTTTTCAAGCCTCATTGCTTGAGCTGGGACATCTCATTTTCTTCTGACCTTAGACTGGGATTTACACCATCAGCTCCCCCGGTCCTCAGGCCTTCACACTTGGACTGAATTACACAACTGCCTTTCCTGGGTCTCCAGCTTTCAGATGGCAGCTCTTGGGACTTCTCAGCCTTCATAATTGTGTAAGCCAATTTTTCATTTATATAGATAGAGATATGGGTAGCTATGTATCTTCATCTTATTCTATTTCTCTGGAGAACCCTGACTAATACACCATAGCACTTGTACATTATTAATCATGAATTACTTAACCCACTGTACTATAATTATTCACATATTTATCTGCCTCTCACAATTAAGATTGAGCTCCTCAAGGGCTGGCATTATGTCTTACTATATCTTCTTTTCTCCATTGCAAAGAGGAATAACTAGCACTTGGTAGGCATTCAATAAATGTTAGTAAATTTTGTATTAATAGTTTAAAGACACGTAAAGTAATCTACTTCACCTGTACAAAAAGAAATGCCACAAACATAATGTAACTTAATTTTAATCGACATATTTCAAAACAATTTTACTTTTTAAAAGAAGATGTAAAATGAATAACTGGATGATAGTATCATTAATTAGATGTCCCCTGGTGTGTATACACTACTCCAAACAGGTGCTGACTGATGGCTCACTGTAAGATAAAGTGAAATTTCTAGTAAAGGTTCCAGAGCATAAACTTCAGTCCCACACTATTAGTATGATTGGGGTGACTTTCATAATATATAGTCATTGGTCTTATCAGAGAGAAAGGATAACCGAGAAAAAATCATCCCTAGAAAGTTAAGATCATATCCTGAATGGGAAATACTGAGAATAGGTCTGAGCCTTGTGGATCAGAGCACTGACTATTGAAGATCAAAAAAAGGAGGTGTGGGAGGGTATACGAACATGCAGGGGAACAGAGGCATCTGTCTAGGAAAAGCATACTCTTTTAGAGGTGGGAGCAATTTGAAGTGGGAGGTGAATCTTAGAGCCTTGGAGATGAAGGGGAAGCAAGAGGCAAAAATTAGGGTCTTAAGAAAAACATGAGTATCAAAAAAAGTACCAACTCATCCTCTCCCAAAATAGGACCATTTACTAAAGAACAAGCACAATATGTCTAGTAACAGAAAGCATTGAGAACTATAGGAAGAAATATAGTAAACCATACAGACAAAATGACAAACAAGTTTTCCTGCTGGATCAGGAAACCTCCAAAAATTCTGAAGCAACAGATAATAATAAATATACATATAATGCTTCTAAAACAACAAAATGAAAGGGAAAAATAAAATGTTCAGCTGACAAAAATATTCTCCAAATGTTCACAAAATTGAGGAAGACTATAAAATAAATCCCCAACATGAATTAGCCACAACTAAAAGGCATTTACAAATAGGAAACAACACTGGAAATCAGAATTAAAAAAAAAAAAACTCAGAATAGAGTGCACAAAAAATAGCAACAGATGAAAAAAATAGTCAAGTAAATTTGAGAAAGAAATTTAAAAATCTGTTAAAAATATTTCAGAACCAAATAGTAAATTACAAGGTGCCCAAAGAGGACTATATTGAGTGAAATATAATAAATGGCATTGAAAAGAGGAAAAAACACAGCCAAAAAATCAAATTAAATTAAAAGGCAGAAGTGTTATGAGGGAATGTGATAGATTAAAACATTTAAAACTCAAAATATTCACATGCAGCACATGAACCTAGATGGAATCCTTGATTTTTTTAAAAAAACTGTACATTTATTTGGGAAAATATTTGGAAACTGAAATGTAAAGTATACCTTTTATTACTGAAGTTGTTAATTTTCTCATGTGGAATGACAATGGTATTATTATATGGGAGAATGCAGTGTCTTCTTGGTACCAGAAATATAATAGATACTTAATATCTGTCATTCCTTTACTAATCATGTTGCAAATGAATTAAGAACATGGGAAGGACAGTAATTCACCAGACTAAATCTCTGCAAGCCATCTTAGACTACTTTGGCAGAGGAGTAGTGAACAGACCACGTAAGTGGTCTCCCACTGTGTTCACCATCAATGAGTTATATAAGATATTAATGTCAACCCTGATCTTTGGATTTTAAAACAGACACTATAAAATTAATGGGCATCTAGAGATGGGCAGTCCGGATGTTAAAAGGTCAAGATTCCATATCATGATTGCTGGCATTGAAATATTTTGTATAGATAATTTAAGATCTAAGTGGGAAGACACTTAAAACCCAGTCCATGTAACTCAAAAGGGCAGAATTGGACAATGGGAGGAAGTTACATTTAGTTTGATTAGTTGGTTAAATTTAAACTGTTGAATTCCTAAAGTTGTGTTTTCACCACCCCTAGAGATGGTCAAGTCATGTTTCAATGTCCACCAAGTAATAATGTTATAAGAAGGATTCCTGCACCAAGTGGCAGGTGGATTTGGATGCCCTCCTCAGTGCCTTCTAAACTGTGGGTCTCAGACTCAGTTGCATCACTCTCTTATTTGGGATTGTGATTCCTAGATGCTATTGTGCCACATATCATAATCCAAGGATTCCATCTAGCAAGCTGGGTTTCACATTCGACCCGTTACACAAACACCATCCCAGAGTTTCTCAAATGACTACATACACCCATGGTCCCTGACCAATGAAGAGAAATGTAAGGGGATCAAAGAATCTAAGAATCAGTCTCACCAGGACAGATTTTCTCACAACCTCTAACATATCCTCCTTTACAAGTCTAATGAGGTTATAGAATCTGAACCATTTGTATCAGGATGATGCTGGTCTCATAGAATGAGTTAGGAAAAAGTCCCTCCTCCTCAATTTTTTGGAATACTTTCAGTAGGAATGGTACCAGTCCTTCTTTATACATCTGGTACAATTTGACTGTGAATCTATCTGGTCTTGGGATTTTTTCTTGGTTGCCAGTGTTTTTATTGTTGATTCAATTTCAGAACTTATTATTGGTCTGCTCAGGGATTTAGTAGCTTCCTGAAAACTAAATCTCTTGGTCTGGCTTACCTAACAAGTTAAAGCTCAGGCTTTATACTTTAAGTATAAAGCTCAGAACTTTAAGTTCTAGGGTACATGTGCACAATATGCAGGTTTGTTACATATGTATACATGTGCCATGTTGGTGTGCTGCACCCATTAACTCGTCATTTACATTAGGTATATCTCCTAATGCTATTCCTCCCCACCTCCCCTCACCCCACAACAGGCCCCAGTGTGTGATGTTCCCCTTCCTGTGTCCAAGTGTTCTCATTGTTCAATTCCCACCTATGAGTGAGAACATGCAGTGTTGTTTTTTTGTCCTTGTGATAGTTTGCTCAGAATGATGGTTTCCAGCTTCATCCATGTCCCTACAAAGGACAGGAACTCATCATTTTTTATGGCTGCATAGTATTCCATGGTGTATATGTGTCACATTTTCTTAATCCAATCTATCATTGTTGGACATTTGGCTTGGTTCCAAGTCTTTGCTATTGTGAATAGTGCCGCAATAGACATACGTGTGCACGTGTCTTTATAGCAGCATGATTTATAATCCTTTGGGTATATACCCAGTAATGGGATGGCTGGGTCAAATGGTATTTCTAGTTCTAGATCCCTGAGGAATCGCCACACTGTCTTCCACAATGGTTGAACTAGTTTACAGTCCCACCAACAGTGTAAAAGTGTTCCTATTTCTCCACATCCTCTCCAGCACCTGTTGTTTCCCGACTTTTTAATGATCGCCATTCTAACTGGTGTGAGATGGTATCTCATTGTGGTTTTGATTTGCATTTCTCTGATGGCCAGTGATGATGAGCATTTTTTCATGTGTCTTTTGGCTGCATAAATGTCTTCTTTTGAGAAGTGTCTGTTCATATCCTTCTCCCACTTGTTGATGGGGTGTTTGTTTTTTTCTTGTAAATTTGTTTGAGTTCATTGTAGATTCTGGATATTAGCCCTTTGTCAGATGAGTAGATGGCAAAAATTTTCTCCCATTCTGTAGGTTGCCTGTTCACTCTGATGGTAGTTTCTTTTGCTGTGCAGAAGCTCTTTAGTTTAATTAGATCCCATTTGTCAATTTTGGCTTTTGTCTCCATTGCTTTTGGTGTTTTAGATGTGAAGTCCTTGCCCATGCCTATGTCCTGAATGGTATTGCCTAGGTTTTCTTCCAATGACTTTCTTCACAGAATTGGAAAAAACTACTTTAAAGTTCATATGGAACCAAAAAAGAGCCCACATTGCCAAGTCAATCCTAAACCAAAAGAACAAAGCTGGAGGCATCACACTACCCGACTTCAAACTATACTACAAGGCTACAGTAACTAAAACAGTATGGTACTGGTACCAAAACAGAGATATAGACCAATGGAACAGAACAGAGCCCTCAGAAATAATACCACACATCTACAACTATCTGATCTTTGACAAACCTGACAAAAACAAGAAATGGGGAAAGGATTCCCTATTTAACAAATGGAGCTGGGAAAACTGACTAGCCATATGTAGAAGGCTGAAACTGTATCCCTTCCTTACACCTTATACAAAAATTAATTCAAGACGGATTAAAGACTTAAATGTTAGACCTAAAACCAGACTAAGATTCTTAAGGGGTAATTCTTAGACCTTATCCCCAGAAATAGGATTTGTAAGAATAGTGACCAAGAAAAAGGTCTTCAGAAAATTAATGGCAAATACTTCATAAAATACTCCTTCATGCTCTAAGAATAGAAAATGTCTGCCTGTTAGTTCCCTAAAATATTTTATGTTGTATTAGTCTAAATATGAGACAGAGTTGTTCCTATGTAATGCAAGTGATAACGGACCAATTGTTTATCTTAAACCAAGTTCCCGAAACCAAGAAGTCGAAGAAAGGGAGAGCAAAAAAGAAAAGATTTTTTTTTTTTGCTTGATTTCTGACAGAGGGGTATGATTAAGAGGTTGGAAGAGTTGCAGAAGAGTCTCTCAAGAGAAAAATCTGAGTGATTTTTTGCCCTGATATATAAGTAGAAACCTAATAAAGATGTGGGCCCTCTAAGAAGGAGATAATTGCTTTAATTCCTTACAAAGTTTTCAAAGTGGTGAAATAATTAGTCCCTTGTGAGTGAGTCAATACAGAGAAACTTTTCAGGTTGAAAAAAATGATTTCCTCATTTGGAGATGCTTCCTGACATTTACAGATACTCAAAGACGGAGAGATTTCCACTTACATTCTGGTGGCATTTGGAGTTGATCTTTAATTAAGGATTTAACAGCTATCTACTAACTAGAGTTTAATATCTATAGCTTGTATTCCTGTGATAGACTCAAGTGTGTACATGCATGCAAGCATGCATATAAATACCTGCATGTACCCAACCTCTCCATTTTCCAGCCCAACACCAGCAGCCTTGGACCAGTGGGTGCCCTGCACTGTGGATATCCATGCTGCAATTATAAGGGATGCTGCTCCTCTGGTAACAGTGTCAATGGCGCTGACTTCTGAAGTGACTCACCTGGTTCCTTGTACTATTTAGGGCCTATTTGTATCTATTCTTTTTCTACTTTCCTAACCCTGACCCTTTTGCCAGGCTCAATCTAGTCTAAGAAAACAGCGAATTTCCTAGAGCTGTGTGATCTGAGCTATTCATATATGCGTCCTCTGCCTACAACTCCCTATGTACAGAATCTCGGAGGAGGCACTTCAAAATCTGCCCTCTCTTCATCCCTTACCCATCTATTCCCACCAACATACAGGTCTAGTTTATTCTCTCCCTCTGGTCCAAATTAAACCACATTCACTCAGAGTGCCCTAGTAACTCCCAAATGCCCTAATAAGTCCAGAGCCAGAAGACAGGGGATCACGCATCAGAGAGACCCAAGATTCCTAAAACACAGACAGCTGACTCTTCTCCATGATAAAACAGTTAAGTTCCTGGGAAAATAAGAAACAAATAGCCTGCTTTTAAAGTTATGGGGGAAAAGGGTTAATTCTAGCCTTTACAACCTGGCAAGTATAATGCTGAAATACAGCCTACTGACAAGTATAATGCTGAAATAAAGCATCCAAGTATTCAAAAAACTTCGCTCATAGGAGTTTTCCCTTAGAAAGATGCTGGAAGATCTGCTCCATCAAAACTTGGAAGTAAACAGAGACAGAAAAGGACAGATAGTTTGGAAAGAAGAAATGCAACACAGGAGAGCTGTGAAGGGATGTCCCTGGACAAGGACTGTGTCCCAGGCCTACAGAGGACACAGCTAGATCATTTGGGAAAAATACCGCTGGGTTTCAGATGTATGTAGAATCATCTTAGGGGGAAAATTTGCAAATACAAACAAAAATGTTTACAGGCACCTGTTAACTATAGGAAAAACACATTTGAGAATTAAGAAATGTTTATACAAGCAGATTACTACTAAATATGTACCAGAAGAAATAGTTGAATACTCGGAAGAATAGCACCATATAAGTAAAAGGAAAAGGGTAACAGTCTGTCACCTTTCTATGTAAGTTACTTATAATTATTTGATATTTTCAAAACTACACATGTATGACTTTAATTTTTTAAATATTTAAATTAAAAATACAAATATAGTGAAAATATCCCAGTCAATGATGGAAGTACCATTGAAAAATATATATTTTTTGGCAAAAACTACTACAAATTCATTGTCATTTTTACATGAATTTTTGTACTAGCATTAACATACACTTAAAAGATACACATATGTTAGGCCTACATGGACTATTTACTGTCCATGTGTGTCCACATTGTGGATCACAGAAGTTGAGAACTTTTGCCTACTTGTTAGCTTACATAAAATCATTTGACGTGGTGCATAGAAGATTATGACCTAAACAGAAAATGAAGAAGAAAATGTCCAAAAATATTCGTTTAATGGTGAACCATGCAGAAGGCAGATTCACTATATATGAGCTATACACATGCCTTCTAGCGTCCCTTTTATTTAAGCTGTTTCCTTTTACTTTGAATTATAAGGGTTAAAATTAAAAATTATATAGTATTTGAGTATAAAATATTCTGGCAGCACTTGTGCATGTGGAGACCCCAAGGTTGTACTGACCCCTCTGATGCAGAGTCTATAATAAGCTGGTCACAGTTGCTAACTGCTGGTGGTGCAGCTGAGTGATACAGACCTGATATTCAAAAACAATGTTGGCTCTTTGGATTGTATGTAGGGGGTCTAAAGGTGAATGAAGACTCTTAAATAATGATCTGATCAATGTATGCGGCATCTGAAGAGTTATAAAGCCTGTTGGAGAGTTTTGTACAATGGTTTCATGGCAATACAAAGACACAAAGTGTTAAAGTTAAGTCACTGGTGCACACTGATGGAAGACACACAAGCAAGCCTAATGATACACAGGAGAGACAAATGTGCCTAAACCAAAAATAAGACATTGAGTACATGTCAGCGAGACATGAAAGATGAGGTATTGACCTCCTACCACCAAAGAACTGCCACTCAACCATGTGGTCAAGCTAAACATTTAAAATGATACATGAATTGAAAGGGTCCTATTCTTTGAGGTTGTAAGACATTTTGATGTTTCAAAACAGTCTCAGTTAAAATCCCAGCAAGATGTTTTATAAAGATTTACAAACTAATTCCAATATTTATATGGAAAGGCAATGGTAAGAAAATAGCCAAAACAGTTCTGACAAAGAGAAACAAAATAATTTCTTTCTATTACTTATTTATTCAATCCTTTAATTATATCATATATTTATAAAATATCAGCATTTTATACTATAGGTTATAATCCAAACTACATTATTAAATTTATCACTCAAATGATTCTAGGTTTGGTTATTAGAAGCTGCCATAGAGTGAATGCTTGTATTCCTCCAAAAATTCGTATGTTGAAACGTAACGCCCAACACAATGGTATTTGGAGGCAGGACTTTTGCAAGGTGATTAGGTAATGGCAGGGAGCCCACATAAATGTGATTAGCGCCCCTATTTAAAAGACCCCAGAGACCTCTTTTGCATCTTCTGCCATCACCAGACGCCAAATCTGTTAGTGCCTTGATCTTAAACTTCCCAGCCTTGAGAGCTGTGAGAAGTAAATTTCTGCTGTTTATCAGCCACGCAGTCTATGGTATTCTTTCATAGCATCCCACAGGGACTAAGAAAGGAACTCCTCCAGGTTGGGTCATGTATCCCTTTGACATGCCCCCATCTTTTTGTTTTTAAGAGCATTTCTATACTTTTTAACATTACAAGATGCTTCAGCCTTATCTTAGTTCTTCTTGCTCAGACCCTGAATCATTGATGTCTTCAAGGAGCCCTGGTTGATTTTTTTCAACAATGTTACTGCAGAACAAGATCCCAACATGGGGTATACAAGTAATTACCGTGTCTATGCCCTCTCGGCAGACAGAGATAGGAAGTAAATGTTTATGTATTAGCACATGTATACAGATCTCTACAATAATTTCCATGTCTATTGTCTGCATCTTTATTAAGTTAACATGAGCTCAAGCTGATGTCTTTGATCCTAATCCAGTACCACATGATACATTCTATCCTTCTTCCGCTGCATCTCTGTAGCTCTTCTCTTCTTAGTAAGAAACCAGGCTCTCACCATCCACTATCCTTTTTTTTACTTATTTAACTCCAGTATACATGTACAGCGATTTCAGGATTGTTAACCCTTTCTTCCATGAGAAACAATTTTAACAATTACAGTGCAGTGATTATGTAGTTATTTTTCTTTTAGCCTTATAGTTTTCTGTCAAACCACTGTTTTCCAAAGTTACATAAGGTAGTTCATACTCCCCACCCTCTTCAGTGAACTTATATCACACACAGATTTTTTTGTCAAAGTCTGCATTCTATCTTAGGATTCACCAAGCTCTTTTTTGATATTTTTAAATTTGCATATATTAAAGTTCAGTTTTAGTGCTGTAAAGTGCTATGAGTTTGACAAATGCATAATGGATCCGACAATATCATACAGATTAGTTCCATCACCCAGAAATCCCCCTGTACTGTCCTAGTGAAATACTGTCTTCTTACTTATCGCAAAGACGTAAGTATCCACTTATCTCTTTTCTATCTCTATTAGTTTCTCCTTTGTTACAGAATGTCATTAGAATTGAATCGTACACTATAGAGCCTTTTGCTATAGCTTCTTTCACTTAGCAAAATGCATTTGCAGTTTATGCATTTTGTTATGTGAATTATTAGCCCAATGGATTTCAATTTGTTATCAATTTACCTACTGAAGGACATTTTGATTGCTTCTAATTGCTAGTAATTATAAATAAATCTATAAACATTCATGTGTGGGATTTTGTGTGGATTTAAATTCTTACTTCACTTGGGTTAATAGGTGGCAAGTACATGGCTGGGTTGTATGGGAAGTCTAACTTTATAAGAAACATCTGAACTGCCTTCCCAAGTGGTCCTAACATTTTTCTAGGACAGCAATAAATGAAGCTGCTTCATGCTCCACATTTTTCCCAGCATTTGGAACTGTCAGAATTTTTTTTTTTTTTTTGGATTTTAGCTGTCCAAATAGGGTTAGAGTGGTATTTCGTTGTTGTTTTAACTTGCAATTTCTTAATGACAATTTACGTTCAGCATCTTTTTAAAAGTCAACTTGCCATCCTTACATCTTCTTTAGGATGTAGCCATTCAGATCTTTTCCAAGGTTTTTTTATTGAGCTGTTTCTTTTCTTATTATTGAGTTTCCAGAGATGTTTTTATCCAGTTTATTCTGGACACAAGTTTTTTATCAGACATGAAATATTCAAATATTTTCTTTCAGTTATCTTTAAAAAAAACTTTAATTTTTATTTCAGGGTAGAAGGGCAGGTTTGATACATAGGTAAACTTGTGAAATGGGGGTTTGTTGTACAGATTATTTCCCTTCACAGTGACTTGTGTAGAGTAAAAGTTTTCAATTTTAATAGAGATTAATTTTTCTATTTTTTTTCTTTCATTCATTGTACTTTTGGTGTTTTATGTAAAAACTAACCACCACACTCAAGGTCACCTAGATTTTCTCCTAGACATTTCACAATTTTGCATTCACACTTATTGCATGTAAACATTGAACTGTTCCAGGGCTATTTTTTTTAGAAAGGTTAACCCTTTTTTATTGAATTTCCTTCCCAATGCTGCCAAAAATAAGCTGATAGTTGCTTAGGTCTATTTCTGGGATCTCTATTCTCTTGTATTAATTTATATGTCTATCATTAATTTATATGTCTATCATTAATTTATATGTCTATCATTACTTGATCATTGTAACATTACAAGAAGTCTTAAAATTAAGACTTTCAGGTGTGTCTTCTGACTTTGTTCTTTTTTCAAAATTATCTTGGCCTTTCTATTACCTTTGCCTCGCTATACATCTTAGAAATATTTTGTCAATATCTACATAAAATCTTGCTAGATTTGATTCAAATTGCACTAAATCCATAGAACAAAATTGTAAACAATTAACATCTTAACAATTTTGTATCTTTCCATCCATGAGTATGGTACATCTCTCCAAGTATTTGGAGCTTCTTTGATTTATTTCACCAGTAATTTATAGGTTTCTAATAATATCCTGAACTTATTTTTTTAGATTGATACCAAAGTACTTCACTTATTTGGGTGCTGTAAAAAAATGATATTAGTTTATATACTTCAATTATAATTGTTCATTACTGGTATATAGAAAAGTAATTGACTTTTGCATATTGACCTTGTCTCTTTCAGCCTTACTAAATCTCTTATTATTTCCAGGAGTTTTTTTGGTAGAATTTTAGGGGCTTTCTATAGAGACAATCATGTCATTGGCTAATCATCAGGAAACAATGGTCAGCATGGTAATTGATCACATTGCCTTGTTTACCATGCTTCCTGCCTCACTTCATTTACTTTTGCTATACTAGGATTGCATCCTTCCTCAAATAAATCTTTAGCACTTAATACTTGCCTAAGGCTCTGATTTCTAGAGAGTGCAGGCTGTCAGCAACCTCTCACCTGCCTCAAAATAATTTTAATTATTTGATTTTAATATAAAATGTTGAGACAGAAACACCACATAAAAATATGTGTAACTATTACAAGGTGAACCACTTCATAATAATTGCAATCACTACCAAGATCAAGAAACAGAATTTTGATAGCAGTCACATAAATCCATTTGTGTGTTCCATTACAATTGCAATGCTCACATCATCAGCAAAAACTACAATTCTCAACCTTTAAGAAATTACTGCCTTGCTTTCCTGACTAGTTTAATCATGCTAGCTTGAATTGTTACACATTATAGCTTAGTATTGTACATTTTGTAATTCTATATGTTTTAAGTCTATTTTAATCTATAGATTCTCTGTATAGCCCATTCACTTTCTTCCAATCTACTTGTTGAAGAACTCAGGTATTTTGACAGTCGATTTTTCCATGATGTGGGTTTTGCTCATTTCATCCACATGGTGCAATTAAACATATTCATCTGTTTCAAGTTCCTCTTACACGTTTCCTGTACTAAACCTGGAATCAGTCATTTCTCCAAGAAGCCCTAGATTCTCACATCAAGAAAAATTACTGTAATACCACAATCTGAACCTAGGAATGATTATATTTGTTGGAATGGTCAATGTTATTAGAATTTTGAGTGGACGAAGCCAGCAGGTAAATAGGTAAATGGGTGGTAGATAGATTAACCATGAATCCACCATATATATAATTTAAACAGAAGAATCTAACGACTTTCCCTAAGCTCCTCTATATTACATTTAAAATTAGAATATTCAGTAAGTATTCATTTGCTTTATCTGACATTATACATGCAACAATTATAAAATACTAATACTATATCCCCCAATATAATTAATGAAAGCATTTTTAAAATATTTGCATATACTATCCCCATTCTTCTCTTTTTAAAAACATTGTCCTCCTGCATCTACATTGTCAAACCACATAGATTTTTTTTTTTGTTAAGACAGAGTCTAACTCTGTCACTCAGGCTGGAGTGAAGTGGCATGATCTTGGCTCACTGCAACCTCCACCTCCCAGGATCAAGTGATTCTCATGCCTCAGCCTCCTGAGTAGCTGGGATTACAGGCACATGACACCACGCCTGGCTAATTTTTTAAAATTTTTAGTAGAGACAAGGTTTCACCATGTTGGCCACGCTGGTCTCAAACTCCTGACCTCAAGTGATCTGCCTGCCTCAGCCTCCAAAAGTGCTGGGATTACAGGTGTGAGCCGCCACGCTCAACCCTAGATATTTTAAAAGACAATTTTTGAATCTTTTGAGTAAAAATTTGTTAACAATATATGCACATATAAATCACAAAAGAAATTATTAATTTGACTAAAGGAAAATTAATACTTTTACATGACAAGATTTCATTAAAAACTAAAAAGTCAAAAAACAGATTAAAAAAAGATATTTTCAACATACATAAGATAATGTAAAGTAATACCTGCAATTTCTAAAGAATATCTCTATATTTTTATAAAAGTAGTGAAGGCCTCAGGATAAGAAAAATGTGAAGCTCCATCTCTTCTCCCTTATTATTCTTCCATTTATCCTACTTAGCTCCAGAGAAACTTTACAAAATATTCAGAGTTAATAGAGACCCTTCTGCCAAAATATCTCCTTTGTTACAATCAATTATGTGGATAAACAAGCAAACTTTCCTTAGCAATTAGAAGCAGAATGAAGTCTTTTATTTTTGAGATAGTACAACATTACTATGAAGTAGAAGTGAAAGCAATGTACACAGCTGTACCATAAACAGTTTTCCTTCACAGACCATTCCCATAAATGCCATTCCCAAAAACACATCCCCAAGGTAACCCATTTCCTGGTTTCCCTCTCAGATGTTTCTTTATGCAACTATATACAAGTATCAATATAAATTAAGTTGTACTTTGTTCTTACAAAAAGGAAACAAACATTTTGTCTTCTTCACTTTTCTTACTCAACAGTGTATCTTGGAGATATACTTTTTTTTTTTTTTGAGATGGAGTCTCACTCTGTTGCCCAGACTAGAGTGTAATGGCACCATCTCAGCTCACTGCTACCTCTGCCTCCCGGGTTCAAGCAATTCTCCTGCCTCAGCCTCCCAAAGTGATACTCAAGCTGGGATTACAGGTGCACGCCACCACGCCTGGCTAATTTTTGTATTTTTAGTAGAGACGGGGTTTCACCATGTTGGTCAGGCTGGTGTCGAACTCCTGACCTCGTGATCCACCCATCTCAGCCTCCCAAAGTGCTGGGATTACAGGCATGAGCCACTGCGCCCGGCCCACTTTCTTTTTATTGATACAGAAAACCCTCATGTTTCCAACCCTCATATAATAGCAACCGAATGAAAGTCCCATAAAGTATATAAGTAGTCATCTTTTGATGTCCATTTGTGTTGCCACCAGACTTGTGTAATCACTTGTGTAATGATGCAGAAAAAATGTGTCATGCAATACAGAAATATTAATTGCAAATAGTGGGTATGACAGGAACTAGGGAGAGGATGGGGCAATACAGGAACTAAGATACAGGAGTTAATGGAGTTCAGTGTAGAGCTAGAAGGCAGCTTGATAAACTTGGGTTTTGTGAGAAAATAAAGGGGAAAAGAAACAAACAAATGAGTCTGGTAGTCACAGAGGGAGAGACACAAAAAGAAATTAAGAAAGAAACTGAGCAGGAAGTGGGAAAGCGAAGGGAGCACTGAGGACAAAAGTGCTATGTCAGGATTGAAGAATGTGTGGGACGCAGGAAAAGGGGCTGTAGGCTACCACTCCCTCTGCCCTCTCTCCATTCCACCCTCAGCCCAAAGACACAGAAAGCCCAGCTGTCCCTTATCACATCGCCTCCCAGACACAGTTCCATTTCCCTCCCTCATCTGAAGCTGGCCTAATAACGTGGGTGACATTACATAAAATGCCTCTTTCTAAGATCTTCCATCCATGCCTGAGAAGGCCCACCAATTTGAGATGCACCTGTAGGAGCACGCATTCAGCCTTAAGATTGCTAAGCAGTTAGGGTCGGGGAGTGAGTTCACTCTCACAAATGCCAATCGGAAAACCCAAAGAAAGGCACTATCGCTATTGGACACTGCAAGCAGGAATCAACGACGAAAGTTTGAAGCTTGTGCTGGCCCTGAGATTACTCAGGGAAGTGCTAGTGAGTTTACACAATAAGACAACACCTTGAAACCACGTGGCAATGTAGAGGAAGATAATCTCGGCACATAGGATCAAATATGTCAGAGGTAAGAAAATATATCACACTTGGCCGGGCGCAGTGGCTCACGCCTGTAATCCCAGCACTTTGGGAGGCCGAGGCGGGCCAATCACAAGGTCAGGAGATCGAGACCATCTTGGCTAACACAGGGAAACCCCATCTCTACTAAAAAATACAAAAAAATTAGCCGAGCGTGGAGGAGGGCGCCTGTAGTCCCAGCTACTTGGGAGGCTGAGGCAGGAGAATGGTGTGAACCCAGGAGGCAGAGCTTGCACTGAGCCAAGATCAAGCCACTGCACTCCAGTCTGGGCGACAGAGCGAGACTCTCTCTCAAAAAAAAAAAAAAGAAAAGAAAAGAAACAAAGAAAGAAAGAAAATATATCACACTTCTCTTGTTTTTCCCATTATCAGGACCAAGGGTTCAAAACATTGAACATCTTTCAGATGTTTACACTTCTCACATTTATTTTGCAACATGCATTATAAGTACAGAGGGCTAATAAATGTATACATCTATTTATTTTTTAAACGATGTATTAAAAGAATTTAATACAAAATGAAGCCATGTCATAGCTTAAATATCCATTGTAGATCATGAGCTGTTTGATTTTGAGAATGATCATTTTGTTTCAATTAGTACTATCAGATTACTCAAATCCATGATGAGGATTTGAACTGTACTCAGGACAGACTTAATTTTTAAGGAGTTTATAGCAGTGTTTCATGCCATCTCCAAAGGCCTGTATGAATTTGTCATTCCTCAGGGTGAAGATAAAAGGGTTCAGAAAAGGGGTCACCACTAAAACCAGCAGTGACACTACCCTGTTATACTCGGCTGCCTGCGTTTACTTGGGTTTCACGTAGAGAAACAAGCAGCTGCCATAGCCAATCACAACATAGGTGAAGTGGGAGGCACAGGTGGAAAAGGATTTCCTCCAGCCAGAGGCTGACGGAATCTTGAGGTTGGTGGAGATGATGTAGGTGTAGGAGACAATCGTAGGGATCAAAGAACCAATGATAATGAAAACAGCCATTAGAAAAAGAATAAACTCTCTGAAAAGAGTGTCCTCACAGGATACCTTGAGCAATTGTCCTCGGTCACAATAAAAATGATCTAACACACTTGATTTGCAGAAAGTAAGCTGAAAAGTGGCATAAACTGGCCAGATTTCAGAAAGAAACCCCAAAACCCATGACACAATTATCACCCAAATGAAGGTGCTGCTGTTCATAATGATGTTGTACCTCAAAGGGTTACACACAGCCACATAACGGTCCACAGCCATCACTCCCATTAATGCCAACTCCAAGGTACCCAAAGAAAGGTATAAATATAGCTGTGCAGCACAGGCTGTCAAAGACATGATCTGGGTGCTTGGAAGCAGCAACCCCCAGAGCATAAAAGGGACAGCGGTGGATGTGATCAGGATCTCCAGGACACAGAGGTGGCCCAGGAAAAAATAAATGGGGGACTGCAGACATTTATCAACACAGACAGTGATGATGATGACCACGTTTCCCATCACTGTCACTGCATACAAGAGGAAGAAGGTCGCAAATAGGATACGGCATACTTCTTGGGAGCCAGGGAAGCCTAAGAGAAAAAATTCAGTGGCGCTAGAGTAATTCCCCAACATTTACTTCTGAGTGCTTTTCCCTTCTGAAATCTAGAGAAAAAAAAAAGAGTTAATATGGCTTCTCATCGCAACAGAAGTAGAAACTGTTCTGAAATCCCCCTCCTGCTCACAGGCTGCACAGCATGACTAGAATGGTAGGCATTTGTCTTCTACTATTCCCTGTATATGGTCAGGCGCGATTTTTCTTTTCTTTTCTTTTCTTTTTTTTTTGAGATGGAGTTTCACTCTTGTCACCCAGGCTGGAGTGCAATAGCATGATCTCAACTCACTGTAACCTCCACTGTAACCTCCTAGGTTCAAGAGATTCTCCTGCCTCAGCCTCCCGGCTAGCTGAGATTACAAGCATGTGCCACCATACCCAGCTAATTTTTTTGTATTATTAGTAGAGATGGGGTTTCACCATGTTGGCCAGGCTAGTCTCAAACTCGTGACCTCAGGTGATCCACCCGTTTCGGCCTCCCAAAGTGCTGGGATTATAGGTGTGAGCTGCCACGCCTGGTTTAGGGGCAATTTTTCTAACTATGCACAATATGCCAAGAAAATTGAGTTGGCCAAGAAGATGATCCCAGTCCCCAGTGCCATACCTTAGACATGAGAGCCTATACCCTGCCCAGCATGCACCATTGCACCCTCAATGCTCAGTTTACCTGCCTCCCACTCTGCTCTGAACAGCCAGCAGTCAGCCTCCAGGACCACAGTGTATTCATTTCTACCACTAACTCCCTTCCACCTGGAAGGTCCTAAACTACTCTGTCTGCCAAGTATTTTCTGTCCTGTAAATTCCTGCTCCAGTATCATGTTCTATACAAAAGTTTTCCTGGCCAACACCCCTGAGCTGGCTACTTGATTTCTTTGTTTCATCAGAATGTAGGTTCCATTTACAGGATGTTTATTTTAAAGCTTCTGCCTTACCTTCATCATCATTGCTGTGCGTTGGTGAGAGTGAGGGTAGGGAAGTTTCCTGAGGAGTTTCTATAAATTCTCGAGGGCAAGGACTGAGTATCTCTCAATCTACTAGTCAGCTGGTTCCCTGCATGGATTACTCCTTTCTTCCTCCCTATCTTGGGAAGAAAGCTTCCCTTGCTCCTGTCCTCAGTAAATGTGTCTTCTCACAGAAGGCAGGCAACCAGCACCTGGGCTGAGTTGAGCCTGACCATCTCTCTCTAAGACTCTGACAACTCTTTCCACTGTTCTTAGAGAAAGAAAATTCAGGCGAAATACAGAGGAAAAACTTTTATCCTCAGACTCTAACTGTCCCACACTGAACTTATGCTGGCTCTGACAAATAGGAGACTTTAGTCCCATTTCAACATCCTCTGGCTTCAGGATAATCCAAAGCCCTGGATCCATCAGGAGACCAAAACCACCAAGTGTGACATCTGGGTTCAGCCCATGTCCTAAATACAGATGGCTTTGGTCTCGGTCTAACAGTAAATTTAGGAAGTCACCTCAGGGCCTATATTTCTTCTATGAACACATTCCTCTCCCAAAATCATATTAGAAATTGAAGATTCCACTGTCACTCACATGAAACAGACCCTGCATCCTGAGTAACTTAGAATTCCTGGGCTTTATTTATCACTTCTTTCAGGTTTTTGGTCAAGTATCTGAGTTCAAATTTTCTCTTCATTCTGTCTAAAAGAACACACACAACCCTTCACTCTCTATCACCTCATCAGAATATATTTATCTTTTTAGCGCTCATCATGAGAAATTATATGTTTACTTTTTATTTTCTGACTCATTTTACAATGTAAGCACCACGAAAGCAAAAAGATTGTAATTTTTATTCACTATATCTCATACAGAATGAGGTGGTACTACTTTTGAGTGAATCAATGAATTGATCAATTAAAGAATGAATCTGTGAACAAAGCCCCTCCAAATCAGGCTATAGCCAATGCTAAAAGAAACTGCTTTCTCTCCCTTCTGTCTTCACTGAGACAGTGATCAGTCATAATTCAGTCCTCTCTCTGAGACCCCTTATAAAATGGCAGTTGGGTAACAAGTACAGACTTGACGGAAGAGCTCAGTAGAGTGATTTCCACAATCTCTCTTTACCCAGAACCAGATGAAAAGAAAGTAGAGATGATGTCAAGGATGGTTTTGACAATAGCAAGGAGTTGTACTGCATCCAGCAATGAATCAGAGAAGAAGTGAAAGTGCTCTCTACTGTACAGGGGGAATTTGGAGATGAGCCAATCTCCTTTGCCTCTCTCATAGCTTACCCATTAGGGTCTGAATGCCCTTGCTCTAGAAAGTTGGCAGGTCTAAAACTTTCCATCCTGAACCTCTCTCACTCTTTTCTACACAGATGGAAACTGCTGGAATTCACTTACCTTCAAAGAAATTGAAGTGAAAAGCCATATGACTCTAAGTCTCAACCCAGACTACATCATGCCTGATTAGTGCTGAGACTGCTCTGTGGCCCAGAAGAAGCTACGACTTCCTCCCTCTCGGTGAACGAGAAAACTGTCTTCACATATGTATTTAGGAAAAGGTCCAGAAATCATAGTGCCATGGAATGCCCCACAGTTTCTCTCTTTCTCTCTCCCTCTGTCTTTTCTTCTTCAACGTGTCTCTAAGGAATGTTATTCATTGAGGAAAGTTAGTTCAGAAAAACCCTAGGGATGCAGGGAAGGAGAAAACAAAGGAAGTTTCAGATCTTCCCTCCTGAGGCTAATCAAGATTTAGAACTCCTAGAAGTTTGGTATAATGAGCAAAGTTAAAATCTTCCTCATCAAGAGTGTCCCAACATCCAGGTTTCTTTTTGCTACACATTGAATCCAGGTTAGCATCAAACTGTTCGAGTCAGCCCCCTGTGCTTTTCTAAATTTATTTATTTATTTATTTATTTTGAGACAGAGTCCCACTCTGTCACCCAGGCTAGAGTGCAGTGGTGCAGTCTTGGCTCACTACAACCTCCGCCTCCCCGGTTCAAGTGCTTCTCCTGCCTCAGCCTCCTGAGCAGCTGGGACTACAGGCACACGCCACCACGCCCGGCTAATTTTTGTATTGTTAGTACAGACAGGGTTTTACCATGTTGGCCAGGATGGTCGTGATCTCTTGACCTCGTGATCTGCCTGCCTCGGCCTCCCAATGTGCTCTTATGTTTATTTCCCTAATTCCACTTAGCTCTACAAAGCCCAAGTTATCAGCAAGCAGAAAACTCCACAAAAGTTTCCAAGACACACATCAAAAATCCTCAGGGCAGGGAATAGTGCGTGATGTGAGCAAAATATTAGCCTAGGAAGCTCCAAGCTCCTTTCCCTCCAGAGAAACAAAAGAAAACAGCAGAAACTGTCAGAACCAACTTCGCCAGAACTCTGGAAAACATTCAAAGTTTTTCAGGAACCAAGCAAACACTGGTTCAAGAAGAAGACAACTTTAAAATGTTAGGAAAACTTCTTCATGTGTTTTTTGGCTGCATAAATGTCTTCTTTCGAGAAGTGTCTGTTCATGTCCTTCGCCCACTTTTTGATGGGGTTGTTTGTTTTTTTCTTGTAAATTTGTTTCAGTTCATTGTAGATTCTGGATATTAGCCCTTTGTCAGATGAGTAGGTTGTGAAAATTTTCTCCCATGTTGTAGGTTGCCTGTTCACTCTGATGGTAGTTTCTTTTGCTGTGCAGAAGCTCTTTAGTTTAATTAGATCCCATTTGTCAATTTTGGCTTTTGTTGCCATTGCTTTTGGTGTTTTGGACATGAAGTCCTTGCCCACGCCTATGTCCTGAATGGTAATGCCTAGGTTTTCTTCTAGGGTTTTTATGGTTTTAGGTCTAACGTTTAAATCTTTAATCCATCTTGAATTGATTTTTGTATAAGGTGTAAGGAAGGGATCCAGTTTCAGCTTTCTACATATGGCTAGCCAGATTTCCCAGCACCATTTATTAAATAGGGAATCCTTTCCCCATTGCTTGTTTTTCTCAGGTTTGTCAAAGATCAGATAGTTGTAGATATGCGGCATTATTTCTGAGGGCTCTGTTCTGTTCCATTGATCTATATCTCTGTTTTGGTACCAGTACCATGCTGTTTTGGTTACTGTAGCCTTGTAGTATAGTTTGAAGTCAGGTAGTGTGATGCCTCCAGCTTTGTTCTTTTGGCTTAGGATTGACTTGGCGATGCGGGCTCTTTTTTGGTTCCATATGAACTTTAAAGTAGTTTTTTCCAATTCTGTGAAGAAAGTCATTGGTAGCTTGATGGGGATGGCATTGAATCTGTAAATTACCTTGGTCATCACTGGCCATCAGAGAAATGCAAATCAAAACCACTATGAGATATCATCTCACACCAGTTAGAATGGCAATCATTAAAAAGTCAGGAAACAACAGGTGCTGGAGAGGATGTGGAGAAATAGGAACACTTTTACACTGTTGGTGGGACTGTAAACTAGTTCAACCATTGTGGAAGTCAGTGTGGCAATTCCTCAGGGATCTAGAACTAGAAATACCATTTGACCCAGCCATCCCATTACTGGGTATATACCCAAAGGACTATAAATCATGCTGCTATAAAGACACATGCACACGTATGTTTATTGCAGCACTATTCACAATAGCAAAGACTTGGAACCAACCCAAATGTCCAACAATGATAGACTGGATTAAGAAAATGTGGCACATATACACCATGGAATACTATGCAGCCATAAAAAATGATGAGTTCATGTCCTTTGTAGGGACATGGATGAAATTGGAAACCATCATTCTCAGTAAACTTTCGCAAGAACAAAAAACCAAACACCGCATATTCTCACTCATAGGTGGGAATTGAACAATGAGATCACATGGACACAGGAAGGGGAATATCACACTCTGGGGACTGTTGTGGGGTGGGGGGAGGGGGGAGGGATAGCATTGGGAGATATACCTAATGCTAGATGACACGTTAGTGGGTGCAGCGCACCAGCATGGCACATGTATACATATGTAACTAACCTGCACAATGTGCACATGTACCCTAAAACTTAGAGTATAATAAAAAAAAAAAAAAATTAAAAAAAAAAAAACAAAAAAAAAAACAAAAAACAAAACAAAACAAAAAAAAAAATGTTAGGAAAACTTTATCATGTTTTTATTTACCTGTGCCTACACTATCTCCAGCTCAGCAGAAGTCTGCATCTCCAGTATGGAACTTGGGACTCCGCTTCCAGAGGGAGCAGAACAAACCTTAATCAGAAAGTACTGTGTATGTCTATTCAAATAGGTCTGGGGCTACCTGAAGGACTCACACAAGGTCCTCACCTTGTTCACCCAACATAGCAGAACTCACTCATGATGAAAAGTGGCAGGTATTGCTCAAGAGCATTATAAGAACAACTATAATCCTACAGTTACCTAGAGTAAAGATTACTATTGAGACATGCAACCC